>NC_000023.11:101212542-101837542 GCF_000001405.40 Homo sapiens
TTTTTAGTTTGAGACAGAGTTTCACTCTATCACCCAGGCTGAAGTGCAGTGGTGCAATCATAGCTCACTGCAACCTGGAACTCCTGAACCCAAATGGTCCTCCTCACGCAGCCTCCCGAGTAGCTGGGACTAAAGGCACGAGCCACCATACCTGGCTAATTTTTAAATATTTTTCAGTAGAGACACAGTCTCACTGTGTTACCCAGGCTGGTCTTGAACTCCCAGGCTCAAGCAATCCTCCTGCCTTAGCTTCCCAAGGTGCTCAGATTATATCACACCTGGCTGAATTGTGCACTTTTAAAAAGTGAACCGCATGACAATAAGAAAGAATTGCAGTTGTAATTATGAAAAAGTTCAGATTTTGTTGAATTCTCTCATGCTTATTTTATAGGTTAGTATTATTTATATCTTAAATTATTTATAGGCACTTAGGGTTTGTACCATTATCTATCTCTTTCATTCTTGGGGTTGTTTGTTTGTTTTTCCTTTTTTTTTTTTTTTTTTTTTTAGATGGAGTCTCGCTCTGTTGCCCAGGCTGGAGTGCAGTGGTGTGACCTTGGCTCACCACAACCTCCACCTCCCGGGTTCAAGTGATTCTCCTGCCTCAGCCTCTTGAATAGCTGGGACTACAGGTGTGCACCACCATGCCCAGCTATTTTTTGTATTTTCAATTGAGACGGGGTTTCACTATGTTGGCCAGGCTGGTCTCGAACTCCTAACCTCGTGATCTGCCTGCCTTGGCCTCCCAAAGTGCTGGGATTACAGGTGTGAGCCACCATACCCAGCCATCGTTCTTGGGGTTTTAAAATGTCTTACCCTAGCCCTGTTGTACTCTAGCTGTGCATCATACATCATATTGAATCTTTCCTTCTTTGCCTTCCCCTTCAAAATCATTTGCCCTCTATCCCATGCCTGTCTGGTGATTAGAACGAAAGAGACAAACTAATGAGTATAATGTATAGTAACTGAAGATAGCACTTTCATTTTGACAGATGCTTTAACTTGAAGGAAATGATTAATAGGGAATTGCAGGCACCATGGTGGGGCCAGCAGGGGAAGTCATTTTTATTAGTGATAGCATTTCAGTCCTCCTCAAATTATACCAAGTAGGTACCTACTAACTCCACTGACTCCTGTGAGATCGAATTTAAGACTGGATCTAAGGAGGGGGCAATATGGTAGCTCCAAGTTTGACTGGTTATTGTCCTGTATGAGGCATCCTTTTATCGCTGACAGAGTCTCACCTTGAAATTGTCACTTTGCCTCTACCAAGCAAATAAATACCTGCCTTTCTTTTGTGAGACAGATAGAGCTTGCTACTAGATATAAAACAGACAGCTCTTGTTGTTTAGGCCCAGGGTTGCTTTAGATTCTGAAGCAACTTCAGGGTTTAAAGGCATCCCTGAAATGGGTCTCTACCAGTTGGTGGTCAAGGTGCTTGCCACCCATATATGCCAATATGTGCTTTCAAGTGCACCTAGAATTATGAAGTGGTAAGTTCTAGGATGTGTCCTATTTGTAATACTGTGGCCCTGCCTAAAAGTAGGAGAGATGTGGGAAGAGTATCAGCTTTGGAGTCAGGTGGATTTGGGATTGAATCCCAGCTTGCATTTTTTTATTAGCTTTATGAATTTGGACAAGTTACTTTTAACATCTCTGAGCTGTAGTCTCCTTGTCTGTAAAGTTGGAAATAATAACCCTTACCTCACTGAATCATTGTGAGCATTGCAGGAGGTAACACTGGCACATAGGTACACTACTTGGCACAGAATACAGTCTCAAAAATGTTAGTTCCCTTCCCCTCTCAATCCAAGTTACAAGCAAGAAGTGAGTGACCATCTTGCCTCAGTATCCTAAACACAATGAAAGTACAAATCAATAGCAGTTCTCTTTAGCCTAGAAAATCAGTAGTTGTTTTCTTTTTCTTTTTCTTTTTTTTTTTTTTTTTTTGAGATGGAGTTTTGCTCTTTTTGCCCAGGCTGGGGTGAAATGGCGTGGTCTTGGCTCACTGCAGCCTCCACCTCCCGGGTTTAAGTGATTCTCCTGCCTCAGCCTCCCAAGTAGCTGGGATTATAGGCAACTGCCACCATGCCTGGCTAATTTTTGTGTTTTCAATAGAGATGGAGTTTCACCATGTTGGCCAGGCTGGTCTTGAACTCCCAACCTCAGGTGATCCACCTCAGCCTCCCAAAGTGCTGGGATTACAGGCGTGAGCCACTGTGCCCAGCCGAAAATCAGTAGTTCTTATTGAATTGTGTGTGTTTTCTTGGAAGCTCATATGTGAAAGGTTGCTAGTGAATGTGCATATGTCTAGCAGTCTGGGCTGAAAGGAGGATAGGAAGGTTGATAATGTGAAAGATAGTGAATAAACCTGAATTGTGTGGTTGGTGTGTCTACTTAAAGAAATATAGTATCTGATCTAGCATGGAAACAGGGAGCTAATTACATTCCTGGCACGACGTCCTTAGCTGTTATAGTCTACTCTAGGATGTATGTCCTTTGCATATAGGAAAACCACCAGGACCTTGAAGCAATAGAAATAATAATCTCTTACATTTGAATAACACTTTATAGTTTCAATATATATTCACATCCATTATCCCATTTGAGTCTCAATCCAAATGAGTGAAGTAAACAGGGCAGACAGCTATTATCTCCTATCTGGTGAAGGAAAAATCAAAGCTCAAAAATGTCAGTGACAATTTCGTAGCAAAATTGGGATTAGAACCTTTGTCTTTTGACTCCTAATTCAACATTCTTTCCACTATACCACTTTAACCGTAGCTTGAATGGTTTTGGCCTAAGTGGAATATATTTGAAAACATAAATAGAAGTTATGTTATATAACATCCCAGCTGCTGGGTCTGGTTTAGCAGAAGCTTGAAGAACAGCAGAAGAGGGTGGGAGGTAACCAAGTGTGTAAAATGAGTTCCACATTTTCAGATGTTCAACAAAAGCAACAGAGAGTGCTCAGACCATTGACTGGGACAATACTGATTCTTTAACCCTTAGTCTGTTATGGCTTTGCATTATTCCTTATCAACTCCAATGACGAATTCCAGCCTTTTTGACATTGTGCCCCCTACATTTTTAACCTGTTCCTCCAACTTAACCTGTTCCTTCAACTTATCTCCCAGCCTCCTGCATCTATATCATACATGGTGAAAATCCCTCCCTCCTACTCTCTGACTCATTCTCTCATCTGAATTCATATTAATCTTGTTCGTCCTGAGACATTTGCCTCTATCTGTTCTTCTAACCCTTTTGGTTTTTCTGCATGGAACCTCAATTCGTTGGAAGCAATCTCTGCTATGTAAATCAAATAATATGGCAGAAGATATTCTGCAAATAATAGCTGGCAAAGATTTATTATTATTCTGCATTTTCTGAGGGATATTTTTTACTTTGCAACCTTACTGAAACATGGGTATTCTTTGCCCTGATGATGCTGCTTCCCTCTAAACTTTCTCCGGTTTGTCCATAACATAGTCTTAAACTGGTTGTGTGTGTGTACGTGAGATGGGACTTTCTTTTTTAAAAAACTTTATTTATTTGGAGACGAGGTCTCACTATATTGCCCAGGCTGGTCTCAAACTCCTGAGCTCAAGAAATCCTCCTGCCTCAGCCCACCAAAGTGCTGGGATTACAGATGTAAGCCACTGTGCCCGGCCCAAGGGGGTGGGGCTTTCTATAGTGGGGAAACATTCTTCCCACTTCCCAGCTCATCGGAGTCAACATACTTCCTGCTCCTCGCATGTTTTTCGACAGCAGGGAAAGGGAGGCAACCAAAAGATTGCAGAGGAAAGCAAGAGAAGGAACAATGTATAAGAAGTTCCCGGAGGAGATACAGAGAAAATGGCCTGAGGTCATGGGAAGAGGCGTTGACCTTAGGGAGGTAATAAGTGATTTCATTTTGTCTGGAGACGGTAGGAGGGAAAGACTGGAAGACATTCTGAGATAGAGAAGTTTGCAGGGATAACATCCACCTTTTCAGTAAAGCAAGAGAATGGAAGTTATTTGCTGAGGTAGGTGGCCGGGGTTGAGTGGCTGGTAGACATGAACAGAAGTAGTTGTTTTGGTAAACATGGTCAGGGACCAGCAAATAAGGCTGCGGAATGGCAAAACAGCAATGAGAGAATAAGCTATACCACCTCTCTCACCCACAAAGGACAAAAATACAGTTTATTTCTCCTTTAGCAATGCAGCAAGTAGGCAGACTAGGAAGAATCAATACAAGGAAAGGCCAGTATGAAGAAGATCCATTTGGGGACGAGGCCCACTCTTCCAATATAAAACCGAGTTGTCCGTTTTTTCCACCCTCACTACCAACTGCTCTACCTCAGGCCCTTATCAGATGAGTACTGCAACTGCTTCCTACCAGGCACCCAGGCTTCCAGCCTTTCCCCCCTCAGATTCATCCTTCGTTTCACTTATCACTCTATTGTATTTGTTTTTAATTAACTGTCTCACCCATTAGGCTATGAGCAACTTGAAGGCAGTCTTCCAGTCTTCTCTGTGCCCCTGGGGTCTAGCACAGAATGTGGAATGTAGTAGACACTCAGTAATGGTTCTTTGAACGAAAACCACTGGAGCGATATTTCTAAAACATAAACCTGATCATGCCACTTGCCTGCTTCAACATTTTAAATGATCCTTAGCATGGTACTCCAGTGCCCCCATGGGCTGATCCCATGTGCTTCCATAGCTTCATCTCCTGCCACCTTCTCCCCTTTCCCACCCATATCCCCGTCTTAAGTTAACCATACTTAACTAGGACATGCAGTTCCTCAGCAGGCTGTGTGCTCTAACCTTTGTGCTTTTATACATGCTTTCTCCCTATCTGAAATACCCTAGCAAAGTCCTGTGCAGTGATACCAGGGTGAGCCTTGAACATCCTTCTGCCAGTTACCAAGGTGAAACTAAAGTCAAAGCTTGTGGCCCGACCTACTTTTATCTTTCTTTGGCCTCCTCCGAAAATAGTTGAGCCTAGCCTATGTTCTTGTTGGGCATGTGGTAGTCTGGTGCCGAGGGTGAGTAGTGAGTCAGGTTCCCATGTGTTTTGTATATGTCCGTCACAGTTGTTCTGTGTGTGCCTTCCCAAACTATTTCTCACAATGTTCCCTCTGGTCTTTCTTCTAGCCAGCTCTCCGCTCCAACTCATTCCAAGTCAGTTGTAAAGGACTCTGAGGTCCCTGGTTCTGGATGGATGGTATTGACAAACCCTGTAAGCTTCCACGGCTAGGATGGAGGGCGAGACAGGGTCAGGCCTGGGCTAGGCTAGGTAGCTGAGAAATGTTCTGTTGCGGATATGTAGGTTGAGAAGCCGGATGTGTTTTCAAAAGCCCCTTCAGAAATCAAAGGCCTTTTCTGCACCTGCATGGGGGCCTGCCTATTGCTATTTGGACCAGATAGGAAGGGCTACTTACACAGCTCTGAAAGCTTGATGACAGGGGCAATTGGTTCCTATGTCGCTTATTTTGAAGAGGAGATCAGGCCATATTTCTAGCCTTTTGCTGAAGCTAGCAACTTAAGTTTTTAAAATTTCACCTCAAAAGAAAAGATATATATACACACTATTTTCTAGCTGAAGGTTTTCAATAATAGTAATGATCATCATGATGACCACAGTTATTAATGATGTATTATATGTATCAAAATTGCTAAAATAATAGATTTCTAATGTTCTTGCTACAAAAAAAATGATAAGTTGGTGGGATGATGAATATGTTAATTGGCTGGGCTGAATTTTTCTGCATAGTATACATAGATCAAAACATCACGCTGGAGCCCATAAATATATACAATTATTATTTGTCAATTAAAAATAAATAATAAAAATACTTCATAAAAAAATCACATAATAATTTTAAAATGGAACTGAAAAAAAACAGTAATTCTGGGTCCTTTAGACACTTTGTAAACACTAGTCCTAGATCCTATGTAAATACTAGTCCTAGATCCTATGTAAATACTAGTCCTAGGAAGTATTTTCTTTCTTTCTTTCTTTCTTTTTTTCTTTTTTTTGAGACAGAGTCTTGCTCTGTTACCCAGGTTGGGTGCAGTGGTGCGATCTTGGCTCACTGCAACCTCCACCTCCCAGGTTCAAGTGATTCTCCTGCCTCAGCCTCCTGAGTAGATGGGATTACAGGCGCACACCACCACGCCCAGCTAATTTTTGTATTTTTTTGGTAGAGACGGGGGTTTTACCATGTTGGTCAGGCTTGTCTCGAACTCCTGACCTTGTGATCCGCCTGCCTCGGCCTCCCAAAGTGTGGGATTATATAGGCGTGAGCCACCACGCCCGACCCTAGGAAGTATTTTCTAAGTTCCAGTGCCATCAGAGCTTATAAAATTTTTAGAGGCAAATCAGTGAACTTAAGCAACCCACTCCCAACCAGTCTTTGTCTCTCTCCATATACACCCTGTTCCCAGAGATGGAGGGAGGAAAGAAGAAAGCTGCTTTTATCCTTTGCTGTGGCCTGGGACTGCTGGGGCTTTAAATCTTTGTATGTTTGTGTAGGAGGGTGAGGATGGGGACTTTCTGACTGCTATTCATCCACCTATTCATTCAATTTACTCATTCAACATATATTTATTAAGTAACCTACTGTGTGCTGGGCACTTGGTAAAGGGATATAATCTTATCTATCCTGCCAGTGGCTTCTCCCAGGTCTCTGAGGGTGTTTGGAGCTCATACCCTCTTCTCTTTAACAAGCGTGACAGTTAAAAGAGTAAGGGCTGGTATGGACAAAAGCAGGAAGGTGCCTGGGGTAGTAGTCATTGAGGTGAGTCATGGAGGAGCTGTATTTTCCTGAATTATTCAAGATCCATTTTGTTTCCCCAATTTGTTGAGGCTTTTTCTACACGTGAGATCTAAGAGGGTGTGAGGATGAGACTTAGGGGTGACTGGCAGACTGTCCTGAGCCCAAAACTGTACCTTGAGTACCAGTGATGATTCCAGACCACAGTGTTTCAACCCTCAACACAGAAGCAGAATCCTGGACTGGCTACCGAGGGGCCCCTGCCAGCTGCTGGCTCCAAAGTTGGTTTTGTCTGTGGGCTAGATCGGTGTAAGTTGGGGTCCAGGCTGCTCGCTCAGCAGCCTGATTGATCTCCAGGGCTCTTTTGTCTCCTCCTCCCCAGTGGAAGCCTCTCCCCCTCTTCCCCTCTCCCCCTCTCCCCCTCTCTCCCTCTTCCCCCTCTCCTTGTCTCCTTCTCTCCCCCTCTGCTTCTCAGGCTCTTCCGCTTTCCTCCTCTGCTTCTAATGAATTGACATCTCCAAGAGCCGCCACATCTCTGGTAGTTTTACAAAACTGTCCTTGCTCTTCCTGCGTTTGCCCAGTCAAGGGTATTTTTGCCTGAGGTCGGAATGATGCTGTTAGTCCTGGTGATATGATTGCATAGCAACACAGAGCAGCTCTGAGAGGGGAGGAGGAGGAGAAGAAGGAAGACAGGGAAGTGGGAGAGACAGAGGGAGAGTGTGCATACAGCAGCTGTCGGCATCCCTGTCTCAGGGACTTCTTTGCTGATTCACAGAGGCAGCCCAGCCCCGGCCTCCCAGCTTACAGCTGCCGCCTGCTTCTCAGACCTGACGGAATCAGAAGGTAGGCCACAGAAAAATTATTTCCAAGCCTTGGCCTTGTTCAGCTGGCTGAGGGGAAATGACTGAGGGAGGGGAAGCTCCAGAGGTACTGTGTGGCGGGCGAGGGGTGGGGGGAGAGAGGGAAAATGAGTGTGTGTGTGCGTGTGTGTGTGTGTGTGTGTGTGTGTGTACGCGTGCCTGCCTGCGGTCTGCTTGCATGTGCCTTTAGTGGAAAACTTGCATTTAAAAATGCCCACAATAAAGTAGTCACCATTTAGATTCATAAAGAAAAAAAAAAAGATGCCCAAGAATAGAAACTCAAGCCGATTTGAGCAACTAAGGTCTAAAAATGAATAAGAAGGAGGTACACAGTTTGCTTCTTTGAGAAAAGAGGGGCATTTATTTATTTTAGGTTCTCAATAGCATGCTTTTTGTCCAAGGGTATACTTCTTGGCAGGAGGGAAGCAAAGGTGTGTGGAAAGCCTTGGCTAACAAGGGAGGAGAGAGGAAACATGGGACCTTGGAGCAGGTTCCCTGAACAAATGAGTATTCTGGCCAGCAGACAGGACACAGGAGTTCTTTGCTGAAGTAAACCAGGCTCTGACCTAAGAGCCTGGAGCTGAAGGGCTCATCTCATCTCTGTATTTACTTCCTGGCTCTGTTGTTTTTCCTGTGACATTTTTCCCCCTTATCTTCTCCCCTGGTTTCCTTTCTACACCCTGTAATCAGGAGGCATCTTTCCACTCTTGAAAGCATAGCTTGGAGTGGTTTCAAATAGGGCTTGCTTCTCTTGGAGTCCAACACCCTATCACCTTCTGCTCTCACCACCTTTCCCAGCATCGGACCAAGTGCCCCAGCCTAGTAAGTGGGCCTGAGACTATATGGGTAGTTAATGTTTATCCTTCCTTTGGTAGGCAGGTCGAGCCAGGCCTCACAGGTGTTGGGTCTAAGCAGGTGGCAAGGCTGGGCTGGGGTGGGGTGGAGTGGGGTAGAGGAGAACGTCAGCAGCAGCTGCTGCCTGCTTCCGTTGAAAGCATGGTGCATGCTGTCTGGAAAAGAACATACTTTTTAAAAATGTTTTCTTTTTGATTGTCAAAAGAACAAAAGCCTTAAAAAAGCTCTATGTCTAGTTCATCTTAATTCCTGACTTTTCCAAAGAATCCTTGTTTCTAGATGAAAGGCCCTCAGGTAAATCACCTTTTAAAAGGCCTGTGGGAACCACAAGCCTCAGGTGATTTTCCTTCTAAGGTTTGCGTGGGGAGATGATCCCAGAGAATCTCAGGGCCTTCTAAGGAAACCTCCGTGAAAAGGCAGTGTTGGAAGTGGCAGTGTTGTGTCCTGTTTCTGAAAGAAGACCAAGCCCCTCTGTCTCTGGGTTGGCAGGCCTCTGTCCTGTAGTCTTGCTTTCTGTAAACCATTGCTGGGGGATGAAGGCACATGGAAAGAACTCCTCTTCCTGTGAGATTTGTACTTCTAGGCATTCAGCCTCAGCTAAGTAGCTCTGTGCTCCAGGTCAGATTACCCTTCAAGTCCACCATAAAGGAGGGGAGCATAGCTTGAAGCAATGAATTTAGCAAAGGCCCTGAGCCAGATGCGGAGAGCACATCTGCGATTCAGCCCTTCTAACTATGGATGCTCAGAAGTTTCTGATGTTGGATCTGCCACCATGCCAGCTAGGATGGGGTCTCACTAATGAAGGCCAAGAAGATAGTCTTCTAAACTTCTCAGGGATACACACTCAGAGGAAACCCATTCAGTGGAAATTATACTATGAAATGACATTCCTCCCTTATGAAGGATTCTAAACATGCATCAGCAACAAAAATAGCAAGTGAGATAAATCCTTCTAGGATAGCATTTACCAAACCAATGTTCTATAGAGCCCCATCCTGAGAGAATGTTAATAGATTCTGTTTTAAAATAAGTGTTGGGGGTGTGTGTGTGTGTGCATGCATGTGTGTGTATTCTGCAGTTCAATACTTTTTTGGAAATGCTTCTTAACCGAATTCTCATTTTGGAGAGTCACAGTGTATGTAACGCATATTAAAGACTCTGAGAAGTACTGCTGTAAATGAATGTTTAATTTTGTTTAACCCAGTACATCCCAGACTGGTTTGACCAGGGAACACTTTTCTGTATGGAAAACACTTTTTGCCTCTTGCAGATACAGTTTGGGGAACTGCTGCTAAAAAAAAATAATAAAATAAAAAATAAAAAAATAAAAAACTGGAAGAAATCGTCACATGGATAACACTTGTAAAATAATCTAGTCCAACAATGCATTTCTAAACATGAAAAACCCAAGAGGTTAATCATATTGTTTTCCTTCCCATAGCTGATGAGAATCTGGGATTATCTCCTGATTCCCCAGCCCACTGTACCCAACTGCTGCTTCTCTAGCAGGTCCCCTCCTGTGAAACTAGTTCCAGGAAAATGAAGCAGATTTAAGGAATAATCCTTAAATTTTGAGTGCAATATTTACATTTAATACATTTCTTCTAGTATTTTGCTATATGCAAAAATTGTCAACTTTCTTTTCAGCATGGGCTTTGTTGCATTCTTTTAAACAATGTGTTATGAAATATCTTTGTTCATTCAAAAAGGTATAAAAATAATATGGTGAAAATCAGGTTATTCACTGCCCAGCTTAATAAAGAAACATTACCAGTAGAGTTGAAACCTTCTGTCTATTCTCCATGATTAAAGTTCTCTCTTTCCTTCCAAAGTAACCACTATCCTGGATTTGGTGTTTATTATTCCCATGCATTGATTTATATACTTTTACTACACATGTATATATTTTTAAACAACATATACTACTGCTTTATATGTTTTAAAAGTTTGTATCAGTGGTGTATCATACGTATTCTTCTGCAACGTGATTTCTCTTTTCTTTTTTCTCCCCGCCAAGAGACGAGATCTTGCACTGTTATCCAGGCTGAAGTGAAGTGGTGTGATCATAGCTCACTGCAGTCTCGAGCTCCTGGGCTGGAGCAATCCTCCAGCCTCACCACCCCCCAGGTGGCACCACCATGCCCAGCTAATTTTTTTTCCTTCATAGAGACAGGGTCCTGCTATGTTGTCCAGGCTGATCTCAAACTCCTGGCCTCATGTAGTCCTCCTGCCTCAGCCTCCCAAAGTGTTGGGATTACAGCCATGAGCCACTGCACCTGCCTTGAAACTTATTTTTTCTATTCAATGTTATATTTGTGAAAAGCATCCATGTTGTAACACGGGTCTCTAGTTTACTCATTTTTTTCACTATTGTATACTCCTGTAATGACTATACCACACTTTATCTATTCTGCTGTTGATGGACATTTAGGCTATTTCTAGTTTTGAGCAATCACAGAGGTACTGTGATCATTCTTGTGTAGCTATTCTTAGGTGACAATTTCTACTGGGTAAATATCTGGGTGGAATTGTCCCCTTACAGGGTATGTGCATTGTCACCTTTGGGAGATATTGTCAAATCACTGTGCAAAATAGTTTACTAACTTACACTCCCACCATCAGTGTATAAAGGTTTCAGGTTTATTGCATTAATTGGCTCTTAGAGTTTTCTCCCATGGGGATGCATCTCTGATTTTTTAATTGGATAATAAATTTTATTTCTCAAAATTGCTTGACAGCTAAACTTCTCAGGAATACGTTTCCTTGTTTTCATTTGTAAATGAGGGGATTGGCCTAGATGATCTCAAAGGTCCTTTCTAGCTTGAAAATCTGAGTTTCTATGATTTATTCATTAAATCAGGTACATCTGAAGCAGAACCTTGGTTTTTTGGGTGCATTGCAGGAATTATTTTAGGAACTATAACAAAGTTTGTTACCAGTGAAATGTGTATCTTCTCTCTTACTGCCATGCTGTCAGGTAGAAAGCCAGTGGTATGAGAGAAAAGGCAGTTACACAGTGTTACCTTGGATTGGGGAGAGGATTCTGTAGCCCATGGGAAGGGGGTCGCCTTCCCATTGCCCTGTTCTTTACAGAACCTCTACATCTTAGAAGTCTTCCCTATCTCTTGAATTTTTTCTCCCAAGAATAATAAATGTTTGCTGGGTTTTTTTTGTTTTTTTTTTTTTTTTTTTTTTTTTTTTTTGAGATGGAGTCTCGCTATGTCACCCAGGCTAGAGTGCAGTGGCACAATCTCGGCTGGGAGGCTGAGGCAAGATAATCACTTGAACCCAGGAGGCGGAGGTTGCAGTGAGCCGAGATCATGCCACTGCACTCCAGCTGCACTCCAGCCTGGGCGACAGAGCGAGACTCCGTCTCAAAAAAAAAAACAAAAAAAAGCCCAAAAAACCCGGATGTCCAGGCTTCCTTTCTGCGCATGCGCACAGTAGATTTTTTAAAAATGTTTTTACAAAATTGGAGTTCCACTAAGCATGCTATTCTGGCATTTGTTTTCTTTGGCCTAAAATATATAACTTTGAAATCTGTCCAAATCAGTGCATATAGATCTACCTCTTTCTTTTTAACAGCTACATAATATTCGCCGTGTGAGTGGCTATCGTAATAGATAACATTTGAATATCTACTAAATGCCAGAAACTATGAATTAACTCCTCTCAACAAAGCTAAGAGGTAGGTCTTTTTGTTATCCCTGTTTCACAGATGTGGGGACTGGAGCACAGTAAGGTTGGGGAGCTTGTCCATATATGTGCCGATAAGTGGCCAAGGTGCAAGCCAGAGCATCCTGGTTCAGAGCCTATGTCCCAGACAATAATGCTGTGATATGTCTCAGACATAGTCTACTCACCAGTCCCCCGCTGGTGGACATTTGAGTGAATGCAGATTTTTGCTATTGCAAACAATACTGCAGCAAACATCTTTGTCCACTTCTGGAGGTCTTTTTGTAACATAGGCTCTTAGATTTCTCTGGTTTCTAGGTGGAAAGAGCTTATTTATTGAAAAAAAAATTTATTGAGCTCTAGGCATTGGGGAGGCTCTGAGCTTAAAATAGGAGACTTGACCAGAATTTCACTTCTCAGATGTCCTATAAAGGTCACTTAAGTGCTTTTCATGATTTGCCAGCCTGGTGCTGCCCCATTAGACTCACTGCATCTTATCTGTTTTTAATTGCTTGTGTCTTTGCCTGGGTAGTGGCATAACTGAGTCAATGCTTGGGCTCGCACCTGGTGGTCTATAGCCAAAAATTGTCTCCATTGTATCCATTGTATGGATACACTTTCCAGGTATCAGTGATTACAATGCCTCAGAGCCTGGGTTCTAGAATTTACAGAGGCAGAATAGCATAATGATAAATAACTTGTATTCTGAGACACAACTGCCTGGGTACAAATCCCAGCTCTTCACGATGTATTCACAATATGACTCTGAACAAGTTACTTACCATCTCTGTGCCCCCATTTTCTCATCCACACAATGAGGATAGCAATAGTAACTACTTTATAGGGTTGTTGTAAGGATTAAATGAGTTAATGTATGTAGACTGCTTAGTTAATATATATAAAACACAGAATACAGTTATTATTTATTTGATTATGGAAAAGCTGGCACACCAATCTTTCCATAAAATAGTTGTTGACCTCCTTGTATTTTGGTGGGGAGCGGAGAGGGGGCGAAGAATTAGCTGTTATTAAATAGGTAATGTGTTCACATGGGTCAAAATTCAAAAAGTACAAAATGATATTTAGTAAAAAATTTTATCTCCTATTGGCAACATGGGGCTTATGTGGTGTGGGGAATAATTCTGTTTCTCAACCTGAGAAGTGATTATATGAATTTACTTTATAATAATTTAATATACTTTACATATATGCTTTATGTACTTTTATAGGTATATTTCTCATTTTGAAAAGGGCAGAAATAGTAGAAATCCCAAAGACATGGGGAGAATTTTTACTGCTCAGTTCCCTTCTCCAATGGTAACAGGCTCTTTTGTATACTTCCAAAGATATTTTTTTGCATCTATAAGCACATATTTTTAGTATACAAATGTAGACTAACCACCACCTTGATTTTTCTCTTGTTTTCTTTTTACTTAAGGTATATCATAAGAGATCATTTTGTATTGGCATATAAAGAGTTCTTAATTATTTTTTAAGTAGCTGTATAGAATTCCATTGTATGGATACACCATTATTTAATTAGTCCCCTAGTGATAGACGTTTAAGTTTTTGCAATTTTTTTTGCCATTTCAAGCCTTGTTTCAAATGCTGACATTGTACTTATTATTGTACTTGTTTCAAATGCTAACATTGTACATTATTCCACACAAATTTAAGTAGCATATGTTCCTATACATCTCCAGTTTATGGGTGCCTAGCACTGTGTTAAAAATATGTGGGATATAAATAAATATCAGGTGTGGGTTTTGTCCCCCATGAGCCAACAATCTTGCTTTCATGCTGAAATCCTAATATCTCCCCTGTGTTTTTAAAGCTTTTTATCTCTGCTCAAGAGAAACAATGCCTTCCCACTGAATCCTCCTCAAACAGCCTGTGTATGGCTTTTAGAACCAGGAAGAGTATTTGTAGTAGCAAAAAGCCACAGTTTGGTATCCAGCAGGGTCCCTAGGGGAGGGCAGGGAAGGCTTATTGCCACCCAAAAAGCATCCTCCACACCTGCATATGTCAAAATCTTCTCTTTCACCTTAGCTCGAAAGCTTCTTTTCCATAAATACATCCCAAATCCCTCCAACTAGAAGTGAACACTTCCTCCTCTGTGACCTCTTATACCATAATTTCTGTGTCTTGCTGTCTCAGTCCATTTTCTGTTGCTTATAACAGAATACCTGAAACTGAGTAATTTATAAGAAAAGGAATTTATTTCTTACAGTTATGGAAGCTGAGAAGTCCAAGTTTGAGGGGCTGCATCTGGTGAGAGTCTTCTTGCTGTCATAAACTCTCTGAAGCATCCCAAGATGGCACGGAGTATCACATGGCTAGAGGGCTTAGTGTGCTAGTTCAGATATCTCTTCCTCTTTTTATAAAGCCATGAATTCTCCTCCCGTGATAACTTATTAATTCATTAATCCATGAGTGGATTAATCCATTCATGAGGGCAAAGCCCTCATCACCTCTTAAAGGCTCCAGCTCTCAATACTGTCACATTGGGGACAGATATTCAAACCACAGCACCCACGTATGGTATGAATAATTTTCCCCGCTAAAATTATCCTTTTTTTTGTTTGTTTATATGTCTTGTTTCCTACATTTGACCAGTTGGGGACCAAGTCTGATTCATCTTCAATCTCTCATAGCCTTTGCAAATTAAAAAGAGGAATAGGAAAAAAATCAGTATGTGCAGATGGTGATTTGAGATAGGATGGAGCTAGATAGAGGCAGAAGAATCTTTGTGTATAACAAAGAGTACTCGCCCAGGAATCAGGAGGCCCTGGTTCACTTGTGTCTCAGCATCTTCATCTGTAAAGTGGGATCTTAATTCTGACTGGGACAACTTTACTAGGTTGTACTGAGGATCATGAAAGACAGCACAGCCGACTACAAAGGCATGCTATATGAATACAGAGAATGATAGTGTTTGGTGCTTAGCAACCCTTAAACATTAACACTTGATACATTAGCAAACTAAGGCCTAGAGAGGCAATATGACTTGAGGTCACAGTCAGGGGCAAAGTCTAAAAAGAGCAGAGGATAGTCATTTTAGGACCAGAAGAAATCTATTCCTTTTCTGCCTGTGTTAGGATTAGAAGGTCTGAATTCTCTGACTCCTTGGTTTATCTTAGTTTTGTTTTGTGAAGCCTTAACCTAGCATCAGGTCAGTAGAGGAATAAGAAAGAATCTTATAATCTGGAGAGAAATGAATCTCAAAAGAGAAGAAAAGAGATAGTTGATGAAAGAAGAGATACAAACGACCACTAAAAGTGTGGAGGAAAAGCTAAATATCTTTAGCAATTAAGGAAACGCAAAGTAATCCTCAAAATGCCATTTTCACTTACAAAGTTGGCAAATAAAGTAAGAATACATACTGTGGACAAGTGTGCTGGGAAACTGGCACTCTCATACATTGCTAGTAGTAGTGTAAAATGATATAACTTTTTCTAGGGCAATTTAGACATATGTATCATAAACGCTTTGATCCAGGAATTCTCCCTTATAGGCAATTATCCTATGGAAAGAATCACAAATATGCACAAGGTTGTTCACTGCACTTTGATTTATAAAAAAGAAGAACTATAAACATATGTCTAATTGTTAAACTATGGTGTATCCATTCAGTGGGATACTATACAATGACGATAGCTAACACTTATTGAGTTGTGTATTGTTGCCAGACACTGTGCTAAGTTATTTAAATTATTAACTTTAATCATTAGAATAATTCTGTGAGGATGCTATCATTATTTATCCCCATTTTGCAGATGAGGACACTGAGGCTCAGAGAGGTTAACTTGTCCTGGACCACACTGCTAATAGGTTGAATAGTGTGGATTTGACTCTAGGTCTGTCTGATGCCAGTGCCCATGGCCTCAGTCACAGTGCTGTACTTCCTATGCAGCTGTTAAAAATCATGTTTTAGGCTGGGCGTGGTGGCTCACACCTGTAATATAAACACTTTGCGAGGCTGAGGCAGGCTGATCACTTGAGCTCAGGAGTTTGAGACCAGCCTGGCAACATGACAAAACCCCGTCTCTACCAAAAATACAAAAAATTATCCAGGCATTGTGGTGCACACCTGTAGTCCCAGCTACCTGGGGGTACTGAGGCAGGAAGATCTCTTGAGCCTGGGAGGTTGCAGTGAGCCAAGATCACGCCAGTGCACTCCAGCCTGGGTGACAAAGTGAGAGACCCTGTCTCAAAAAAAAAAATCATGTTTTAAGGGAATAGTTAATGACATTCTAAAATGACCATGATATAATGGCAAGTGAAAAAAGCAGGCTACGAAATGATAGCATGTGATGGCGATTTTATTTTAAAAGTGTATGTATATATTTTTCAGAGAAAAACTAAAGTTCATAGCTGTTAGTAATGATTATCTCTGGGTGGTAATATTACAGATTATTTTTATTTTCATCCTTATTATTTTTTGTATTTCCCAGTTTTTCTATCAAGAACATGTATTACTTCTATAATCAGCAAAAATAAAAATGTTAACATAAAAAGAGGTCTGAAAGCAAGCCTCTTGTAGCCTTTATGCTTATAACACATCCATAGCAGTACTTCATTTTTTAATCTAAGTGACTAATGCTTTTGTGGTGTCTGATCACAGAGGAGCCATATTTTCAGTCATTCTTTGGGGATGAGTAGCTACATAGCTGTATAATCTATAGGGACTTTGACTACAACAAAGTACCCTTTAGACCACAACCTCTTGTGCCCTTGTGATTTGTAATAATCTCCATTCTTTGGACTATGGTCTCCTGAGGAGGAGGGGTGGGTACTTAATGCAAGGAGTCCACATATCTTTAAATGCATAAATGTTTTTCTCACTCGGTAAGTTCTAAAAGTACAGCTACTATTGTGGGTGAGAGTGGGTGAAGTGAGATTTTTTTTTTTTAGTCTTAAGAAGGGCCTCTTATATCTAAAACATTGTGAACCACTGGAATAGAGTCTAAAAATGGTGGTTATTTAATTATCTGCATCATGAATAAAAGATGCTCAGTTCCGGCCCTTTGAATCAGGGTTTGTGTGTCTTTGCCCCACACTAAAAGAGATCACCTTATTATTTGCAAGCATCATCTTTGCCACCCATTCTCATCACATTTGTTTACATTCTCTAAACCATCAATTGGTTTGTACATCTAAACTTTGTCCCCATATTTCTCCTTTACTAAGCTTAGCTCTTTACATCTAAAGCTGAATATGTCTCAAGCATAGCTTATTATGCAACACTGCCCCTATTCCCTACACAGCAAATTTACTCTTTCTCCTGTCTTCCTTCTCTTGCTGTTGGCAACATTATCCACTCAGCTCCCAAATTAGAAACCTTTGACTCCTTCTCCTCCCTTACTGTTCACATCCAATTGATCATCAAGCCCAGTGTATTTTACCTCTCCAATGTACCTCAGAGTCATGCTGTCTGCTTCATCCTCACGGCAACTGCCTGCCTATTCTAACAGCTTCTCAACAGGTTCTTCCTTTTGGAGAATCACTCTATAAGGAAGGCAGGGGGCTCTTTCTAAAATGCAAATCTCGGCCAGGCACAGTGGCTCATGCCTGTAATCCCAGCACTTTGGGAGGCCGAGGCGGGTGGATCACCTGAGGTCAGGAGTTCAAGACCAGCCTGGCCAACATGACGAAACCCCATCTCTACTAAAAATACGAAAAATTAGTGGGGCATGGTGGCAGGCACCTGTAATCCCAGCTACTCAGGAGGCTGAGGCAGGAGAATCGCTTGAACCTGGGAGGCAGAGGTTGCAGTGAGCTGAGATCGCGCCACTGCACTCCGGCCTGGGCAACAAGAGCGAGACTCCCGTCTAAAATAAATAAATAAATAAATAAAATAAAATGCAAATCTCATTATGTCACTCCCTGCTTAAAATCTTCAGTGCCTCCCCATTGTCTACAAGATAAAGCCTACAATCCTCTGCTTGTCATTCAAGGCATGGCCCAATGTGGCCACAGCCTCACCTCCTGCTACACACAACAAGGCACCTACCTTGTACTCTGGTCACACGGAACACACCATATATTTAATTTTCATGTTTGTATTTTTTTTAACCTTCACTGCCTAATGACAAATCTGTTTCTCTTTCATGACTCACCTCAAGCACATTTCCTCTAGGGAGACTTTTCTTGACATGACCAGATAGAACTCACGATTCCCTCATCTGTCTCTTCACTTCATCCCATAAACAATTCCATTATGACCTCAAATAACACTTTATGGCCATTATTTTCTCCACATTTGTTCTCTCTGTATGTGATACTCCTCAGGGGAAGCCCCCATGTCTTTTTCATCTCTGTGCCTCTTAAACTCTAACCATACCGATCCCATTGTCCTCTGAACATGCTAGGCCTTTTTATGACATCCACCTTTGCACAGGTGGATCTGTCTGCTGGGAATGCCATTCTCCCTTTCTCCTCTGCACAAGCAAATATCTACTTATCTTTTGAGACTCATCTCAAGTGTGCTCTTTCTGAAATACGTGCATATTCTCAGAGTTAGCTGTTCCCCACTCTGTGCTCCCTTAGCCTTTTGGTAAACTCTTGATTTTAGCATTTGCTATGTAAGCATTTTATTATAATTATCAGCATACATGACTGCCTCCCCTACCCATCTTGCCCACCTCCACCCTTAGGCTTTGAGATCTCAGCAGTTATCTTTATGTCTCTAGCACAAAGCACTATAGGTAAACAATAAATGCTTCCTTGGTCAATAATTAAATAAAGTATTTTATGGTACATGGTGGCCTGGGTAGGTCAGTAAGTTTTGAATACTTATTTGTATATCTGGTCAAGGCACCTCTGGGTAGATGCTTGATTCATAGGCTTTTCTAGGTCTTGACTCGAAATCTCTCTGTATTGCTTTTCCAGGTGCTTAATGATCAATAGTTGGTGCACTGCCTATCCTCATCCCCCCCATGAGCCTTGGTTTTTATGCAACCTATGGTCATGCAGGGATGCCCTTACACCCTCCCACGATGTCATGACTGGCAGGCAGCTGACCAGTTCCATCATAGCAGCAGCCTCCGAAGCACCTGCCCCCACCCTCAGGTAAGAGTCTGATAGTGAAAGAAAGACCTGTGGAGAAAGTGGACACAGGATCTGTGTGTCCTTGGGGTACCCACGCTTCCTAAGGCTCAGGGGCACTCTCTGTATACATGCAACCCCTTGGATAGCATGGGGAATATATTGGGCCCATCCTTTATTACTCATTATGTCTTTTATTGGGGGGCATAAGGAAAGGAAGGGTGTTGGGCTGGGCAGCTCAGAGGGCCCACTGCAGCTGAGCGGGGCTGGTTCCATGTTAACCTTCTAAGAGTTACAGGTCCAGGAATGTCCTAGAAGAGTATGATCCTTCAGGGCATGGTCTAGGACTAGGCAGGTCCTTCCTTTGGCTTGGCTTCTCTGTGGCATGCCTTCCATTTTCCACAGGTGTCTCTCTCCTGCCATCGGCTTTTCCTCTCAAGTTCCTAGCCTTTTTCATAGCTCCTGGCTCATCCCCACTTAGAATTCCATGAGCTCCATATCTGCCTGTCCTCTCTGCTCCTGTAGTAGTGCGATGGTGGTGGTGTATGTGTCCGCCTGTGTATGTTGGTAGGCAGGTAGAGGATGTGTGTGAGACAGTAGAGAGGGCAGCCCCCTTTCCCGACAATGAGGGAGGTCTAGGGAAAGTTGACTGGAGAAGGGAGACGCATAAGCATACTTTGGTTGCCCTACAATGCTTTGGGGTCCAGAGACTATGGGGGTGTGAGAAAGTGCTATGTCTCCTGGAGCCTCACAGATGGGCTGCAGTGCTGAGTCACTGCTGGGAGGCAGGCAGCGGCCGAATATACAGGAAGGAGGAAGGGAGGAAGAAAGGAAGTGGGGATGGAGAATGTGGATGCTGGGGAGCCTGTTTTGGGGGCAGTAATGAAGGAAAGTCAAGGTCCAGAGAGACATTAGAGTCAGGTCCCCCTGAGCTATTTTCCCCACATCCAGCTAGAAAGAAATTACTGCCTCGAACATATTCTCAAAGCGAGAGTCAACATAGACTCCCCCATTAACCTACCCCTTCCCCGGAGTGGGACTTTCACAGGGTCGAGGGATTAAGAAAACTGAGCCCTTCCAAAGGCTTACCCTGTTCATTGTCTACCCCCTCCAAACACCACCATGTAGGCAGGGAAACCTGAGGGCTTCATTTTGTGATTGCCAATAGCATGGGCAACTTCTCTCTTCTGCCACGATCCAGTTTCTCTTCCTTTCCTGCAACCTTTTTCTCAAAGATTCAGGGGATGGATAGAGAGCCTTGAGGGGAGTGGGGTGCAAGAAGCAAATATCCTGGCTACAAAAGCCAGAAGTAGAAGGTAATTGATAGGGAAGGAGAAAGAAATGTGCCTATTGTGTGCCTGGCTCTGCTAGGTGTGACTTGAGAGTATACCGGGAAGTAGGAGAGGGAGAGCAGGGTGATGGAGAATAGTATGGCAGCTGGGTGGGGATTTGGGAAACCAAGAAGTCTGCAGGGAATGCAAAGCTAACATGGGTAGAGCCCAGCTCATCGTGGGTGCTCCCCTCAGAGCCAGGACAGCTTGGTTGTGGCTGGGTCACAAGGGGCTTTTTCTAACTCTGGACATTCCCAGTGCAGAGGACCCAGCATGAGTGAAGATATGGCCCAGAGCTAGAACGACTCCCTGCTCTTGGCCTGCCATCCCCTGCCATCCCCCAGCCACCCTGGGTGGCTCCACCCCAGAACCCCAGAAAGAGTCAGGCAGCTGTTCCAACTATTCCTGTAGGTGGACCTCAGCATGGAAACAATGTGGAACTGTTGGAAAGCCCAGAAGACTCTGTGGGAGATAAATAAGGATGGGAACAGAACCCTTTTTGGTAAAAACGATGTGTTTTCCCTCAGTGCTGAGGGATGGGGGACCAGCTTGGGAATGTTAACCTTTCCCCAGACAAGTCTGCTGGAAAAGGAGAAGAGTGGCCACTTCCAGGAGGGGCCCTACCCCTCAGGCCAGTGGCTTACAGGAAAGGGCCTTCCCCTGCCCCCACCCAGGGTAGCACAGGCAGGACACAGGAGCCTCCCTGGCAATGGCTGCCTACATGGAACTGCTGGGTCCCAGTGACCCCTTTCCCTCCCCTGTGAAAATTCAACGGGATGCCCACTAACTATCCATTTCCCTTTGGCCTCAGGGTACAGCGAGAGGTCTGAGGGCTATGGCTCTCCCTCCACTCCTCTCTGCCTCTCAAAGGCAGGGCAGAGCACCCCTCCATTTTCACAGTAGACTCTGACGAATCTCCTGGCCTCTGCACTCACCCAAGGATAATCACATTTAGAGGGATTCTGCTGCGCCTGCTTGCCGATGCTGCCATCCCATGGCTCTGTCCCCAGATGTGCCACAAACCTTCCTCACTGTCTCTGAGGAGGCTTACTTAGTTGAAGACAAGGCTTATTTTCCAAGCCCATCCTCTTATGTCTTAGGGAAATTGCTTACCAGAAGCTTGTCACCAAAGTGGTCTGATCTTATCCTCCACCTCAGGGGAGGGGTGGGCCTAGAGGCAGAGTGAGCCCTTTGTGTCTTCCATGGAAAGGGAAAATAAATCAACAGAAGCTGCCCTCTGCATGCCCCTCCTCAGCACCATGGAATGCCCAGTCCCACTCCCGCCATCCTTGCCAGCCTGAGAGGGCCATCCTGGCCCTGGTGTGGCAGGCCCAGTTGGGAGTGAACCGGAATTCTCCAGAGACAAAGCTCTGATTCACCAGCCAGGCCCTGACATAGCCGCCCCCTCCAGATTCCTGGGGGGTCAGTAAACAAACAGGGTGACCCCTGCCTCCTGGCCTGGCTCAGCCCCTCCTGCCTCCCTGAGAGGGCTTGCTCAGAGCCTGTCAGGATTCTGCCTGTTTGTGGCTCACCAGACACTAGGTCTGGATTCCTGGTGAGGGATGATCATGGAGCTGCCGGATCCTGCTATGGACTCCCCAGGCAGCACAGGTAGGATCAGCTCCTGGGGCTGCAGGCTGGCTGAGTGCTGAGCTTTTCCCATAGCTTGACTGCTTCCTCACTTCCCTTTCTCGGTGTGGCTGTGAGCTATGGTTTTAATGGGATGATTGGTTTCCTAAATTGCCTGGAGAGTCTTGTGTGGGAAAGAAGTATGGTTGGGGGCAAGGGGAGACTACAAGAGTCTTGGCCACTGACTAGCAGGGCCATTTTCTTTGCAAATGAAGGCAAGCATGTAGACAAGCAGGTAGGCAGGTGTGGGTCTCCCTAGTCTGGGGTAGAGCAGCCCAGGCTGATTTCCTCCTCCAATTCCCCTTCCCTCTGCCTGCTCCTGCCCCCTGGCTGGGCAGTTCTGACACTGTTCTATAGGTAGCTACCTTCCTTAGGGCTATCCGGGATAACCACCATTCCCCCAAACCCCACAATTACCCCCATAGGGCCTTACCAGTGCCCAGGAGAGCAAGCAATAGACTGTGTGCCTGAGGGCTCAAGACTAGACTTTGGCAGGCTCCATGGCTTGTCCTCTTGGCCATCAACTCTGGTCAGAGTCCTCTGCTCATCTTTATGAGCAGTTCTCTTGAAGACTGTGTCCAGGCTTCCTGACTGTGGTGGACACATCAAAGCCAAGTTTCATATGGGAAGTAAGACGTGGACCACTGATAGTTCTCTCTTGCCAGTCTACTCCCTCTATAAATCTTTATGGAGAAACTCCTCAGCTTGCTTTTCTAGAAGGTTGGGTAAACTGTAGGACCCTGAAGTATGAGCCAACAGCTTACCTGCAATGGTATGGTTGCCCATAATTTGGGCAATTCTGTGCAGCTTCTTACCTAATGCAGGTACTTCCAAGACCCCATCTGGGCAGTGGTCCTGAGGAGTGGGGGCCCAGCTTGGGAATGTTAACCTTTCCCTAGGTCCAAAATTTATAATCATGAGTAACAATAATAGTAGGCAGCAGTTCTATGTAACTGACCTGTACCAAGAGAAGACTTGGCAATGAACAGGACCACAGGGTCTTTCTTCATCTCAGTCCCTGAACACACAGAGAATAGCATTTCTGAACCCTGGCAGCAACCCTTCTCTCCCCTTGTTCACACTTGTCTCACCCTTGGCTTGGTGCAGACCAGGGTGTGGCACAATCCAAGGATCACAGGATGTTTGTGTTTCTGTCCAGGTTAGAGCTGCTGTCACCAGCCCTGCACCTCCTCAAGATGGTGCTGGGGTTCCCTGCCTAAGCCTAAAGCTGTTGAACGGGTCTGTTGGTGCCTCTGGACCCCTGGAACCACCAGCCATGAATCTGTGTTGGAATGAAATAAAAAAGAAGTCTCACAACCTCCGGTAAGAAACAGGTGCCTTAGGGAATTGGCTTAGATGGTGTTGGGCTCCTTTTGCTGCTGCACCCTGTCCTTCTCCTCTCAGCCTGTGCATCCCCCTTTCCTTAGCCCACCCACTTCTCCCTTTCCTACACTGGCACTGGGGAAACAGCCTTGCTTTAGAAGTCAGGAGACTTGGATCTGAGCCTCAGTTTTAAGTAGTTGTGTCACCCTGAATACTTTGTTTGAGTTCTCGAAATGTTAGCTTCCATTTGTTTTTTATAAGGACAAAAAATGAGTGGAGGAATAATACCTGTTCTAACTACCTCACAGTGTGGTCATAGGAATTCAAATCAGATGTGGAAATGCTTTCTAAACTTAAAAATGCCGAGGTATAAATGAAGGGGATGATTGCTCCCTTCTCCTCTTCCTCTCATAGCTGTCCTATATCTTGGTAGGTCTCATCTGTTCACTTCCCCATCCTTTTACGTTCTATCCATAAGTTTTCAGCCCACCTATTTCTCCCCAAACTAAGGGTAGCTCTGTAAGAGCCTGAAGTCAATTTTTTTCTCAGTTGATCGGCTTTCCCTAGCTGTCTGTGCATGCCTGCCACTTTTTTTCTCCACCCTCTATCATCAAAGTCCAAGCTTCTGGCTTCTGATGGGCTTTGTTAGGGGTGAGGCATTGTGGATAAGTTGAAAGAATGCAGGCTTTGGAGTCAGGTAAACCTGAGTTCAAATCATCGCTCTATCAATGACTTAACTGTGTGACCTTTGGGAACCTACTTACCCTTTCTGGGCAATAGGAATGCCTACTTAATAAGGTTTTTGTAAGAATTAGTTGAAGCAATAATTTAGGTAAAGATCTTGGCCTAGGTGGTGGTGAGGGGGGGGCAATGAATAAAGATAGTTATTATTGTCAGCCAAGGGGAATGGCTTGATGGCTGCACATATCCTTGGCCAGCCTCCAGCTTCCTACCATGGTTCATTTGGAGGGCAGCGGGGTAGGAGGGCAGACAGAGATAATTATACAGTACAGATTTTTCTGTTTCCATATCTCAGACCTCTAGCCAATGTTCCTTTGGGTCCCAAGGACTGTTATATTCGTATGCATCCTTGCACATGTGCATGCCTATACTCAACCACCCAACTTGCCCTTTCCACTTACTGAATCCTCTCCTGCTCAGAGGGCAGTTCGGAACAGCCTCTATGGTTGAGCAGTTTGGCATGACTTGAATTCTACCAGGGCAAGAGGGGAACCAGACAGCTGTCACCTCTAATGCCCTTGTTCAGTTTCCTACCCTTCCCAGCCTGATGTTTGGCATGCAACTGAAGTAACTGAGATCCACAAAGTGACATTTTAAGCCATTGAAGTTTGGGATGCCTCCACACCCATGGTTCTACCTACTGGTTTTAGTACTGTGCTCTATGTGGAGGTGCCTTGGGACCCTCTTTGGGTGGGTAAGAGGGAGGACTCCAGGCCTCCTCCCACTTGAACCAGAAAAGCTCCTCCTGAATTTGTTTTCTATATTAAAGTTCCATATAACTTAGTTTGGAAAAAAAAATGTTTTGCCACTTAAAAAGAAGACTGAACATCACTGGTTTTACTCATTGTGTGCAGCGCTCGCCTAGAGGCCTTCTCAGACCACAGTGGAAAGCTTCAGCTCCCTCTTCAAGAGATTATTGACTGGCTCAGCCAAAAGGATGAGGAGTTGTCAGCTCAGCTGCCCCTACAGGGGGATGTGGCCCTGGTGCAACAGGAGAAGGAGACACATGCGGTAGGTTAGAATCAGAGAAGCCGTGGTGTGTAGCCTCTCAGCTGGGGAGGAATCCCTTCTTCAGTACCCTGACAGACACCCAGCTCTGCTGAGACACCTAAATGAATAGGAGGCTGTATGCAGTCCTATTAGTCTGTGGCTAGCATGCCACAGCCTAAGTCAAATATTTTCTTTCTACCCCTCCCATCAAATTCTAGCCTCCCTTAAAATACTGCCATGATTTTTAATGGGAACATGGGGAAATGAACATAACATAATGCTAAGTGAAAAAACACAGGATACAAAACTAAGTGCAAGTGGATCTCAATTGTATAAAAATGTATATAGATGAGTGTGATGTTTACATACATATAACAGCATAGGAAGGAACTATATCAAAATGTTAACAATGGTTAACTCTAGGTAATAAAATTGGAGTTCTTAATTTTCTTCATATCTTTCTGAAATTTCTAATATTTCTGTGATATATATTACTGCTGTAGTTAAAATACTTCTTAAAATGACTACAGAATGAAATATAATACAGCAATAAAATAAACTATAACCACGTGCCACAGCATGGGTGAATCTTACAGACAGACAATATGTTGAGTGAAAAAAAGCCGGATACAAAAAGAGTATATACTGTATGATTCCACTTATACAAAGTTTAAAAATAGGCAAAACTAATCAGTGATTTTACAAGTAAAAATTGTGGTCACCTTTGTGGGAGGGGAGGGAGGGGTGGGGCATGAAGGTGAGATAGTGACTAGGAGGGCCCACCTGGGATGCTGATAGAGTTCTGTTTCTTGATCTCAGTACTGGTTACATCAAGATGTACAGTTTTAGTTTGTGTATCCCGTATATATTTCAACCAAAAATTTAATTATAATTTTAATATAAATCCTGCCTATCTTGGTTTTGATTTCCATAAGACCCTTACAGGAAGCTTTCTGAGTCTTCTGGAGAACCAAGATCCCCACATTTTTCTCTATCCTGTGGCATAGACAGACAAATTTCATACTAAACAGACCTTCCAGTGTCAGAGTTATTTTTCTGTCTATCAGGAGGATTGCACGCCTTTTTGTCTAGGTAGTTCAAAGATACCTGATAATGCCAAAGAATCAAGACACACTGAGAAGAAGAAAGGTTGTCAATTGCAGGATGGAATGTAAAGTGATTGAAAAACTTTCCTTTCCTGTTGACCATATTGCTAAACTTTATAGGCCTTTATGGAAGAAGTCAAGTCTCGGGGCCCCTACATCTATTCTGTGCTGGAGTCAGCTCAGGCCTTCCTGTCCCAGCACCCATTTGAGGAGTTAGAGGAGCCTCATTCTGAGAGCAAAGGTAGGTGGTCTTCTGTTTTTCCCACTTCTTCTTGAGCCATGTACTGCTGAATGCTGAACAAACACCCTCCTGCCTTCCCCAAACTCATTTTCTTACCTGTTATCTAGGAGGATAGTTTCCCCCAGGAGTCCATCCAAAGTTGGGGGGAAGCAAGATTCCTACTGCAGGAAAAAAAGCAAAGAGAATATAGCCTGGAGCAGGGGTCAACAGTTGTGTGACCCAAAGCTGTATGTGGCTCTTTGGAGCAGCATGTGTGGCCATTTAATGAGATGTGGAAAAGAAAAACAAAAAACCACTCAAATGAATTGAACTGACTCAATGAATAAAAGTACCAGTATGTCCTTTAAAAACATAGTGCTGGCTGGGCACAGTGGCTCATGTCTGTAATTCCAGCACTTTGGGAGGCTGAGGCAAGAAGATCACTTGTGCCCAGAAATTCAAGACTAGCCTGGGCAACATAGTGAGACCCCCATCTCTACAATTTTTTTTTGTGGGGGACGGAGTCTCGCTCTGTCGCCCAGGCTGAAGTGCAGTGGTGTGATCTTGGCCCACTGCAAGCTCCGCCTCCTGGGTTCATGCCATTCTCCTGCCTCAGCCTCCCGAGTAGCTGGGACTATAGGCACCTGCCACCACGCCTGGCTAATTTTTTGTATTTTTAATAGAGACGGGGTTTCACTGTGTTAGCCAGGATGGTCTCAATCTCCTGACCTCGTGATCCACCCACCTCGGCCTCCCAAAGTGCTGGGATTACAGGCGTGAGCCACCACGCCTGGCCCAAAATTTTTTTTTAAATTAGCTAGGTTTTGTGGTGTGTGCCTGTAGTCCCAGCTACTTGAGAGGCTGAAATGGGAGGATCACTTGAGCCCAGAAGTTCGAGGCTGCAGTGAGCTATGATTGCTCCACTGCATTCCAGCCTGGGCAACAGAGCAAGACCCTGACTCTAAAAATAAATAATATACAATAAAATAACAAACTAAAATAATCATAATTTAAAAATACTGCTTTATTCCAACATCGAGGGACATGCAAACCAGCAAATAATAAACCTTTATAAAATCTAAAAAGTTAGGTGATGATTGCCTTTGAAAGGCAAATTGACTATGACTCTTTGGAATTTTTTTGTGTTTAGTCTTTGTTTTTGAGACAGCCTCTCACTTCATAACCCAGGCTGGAGTGCAGTGGTGTGATCACAGCTTATTGCAGCCTTGACCTCCCAGGCCCAAGCTATCCTCCAGCCTCAGCCTCAGCCTCAGCATCCTGAGTAGCTGGGACTACAGGCGCATGCTACCACACCCAGCTAATTTTTGTGTTTTTTGAAGAGACCAGGTCTCGCCATGTTGGCCAGGCTGGTCTTGAACTCTTGGGCTCAAGTGATCGGCCTGCTTGGCCTCCTGAAGTGTTGGGATTACAGGTGTAAGCCACTGCCCCCAGCCGACTGTGACTCTTTGATACTGACTCCAATAACTTCTAGCCCCTTCCCTTGATAGAGAGGGCCACTCTGGTCTATAAGGCAGTGGGATGGGACTCATGGTGACTAGATCTGAGTGGTGGTCCAGCAAGCCCTCTTCTCCAAAAAGAATCCTCAACCCTCTGAGATGGATTGTGAATAGCCTGAAAGGACCCTTCATGAATTGAGCCCTTTGTCAATGCCATATGCCCATCTCAGTTTATTTCTGGCCCTTCAATGGGAGGGCTAGTACTTAATTTGATGCCCGATGGGCCTCAGATAGGACAAGCTCTAGAAAGAGCAGCACAATTCTAGTTAGCCTGGGGCTATGGGGCTCTGGATCTTCTGAGGAGAGATCTGAGGGAGGAAGAAGAAATCTACAGATTAGGAGCCTAGGTGGAAAAGCCAGACACATTATACCAACTTCTCCTGGGCTGAGCCTTCATAAAATGCCTCCCTTTGGCTGGAAGTGGGCAACAGAAACTAATGCAAAATCACATTCCAGGGTCGTATGAATAGGGCTCTAGATGACTTGCCTCACTATACCTTTTATAATGTCTTACTTTTTCATTTCCTACTGTTTTAAAATATGAGGAAATCCTCATGATATAGTAAGTGGAAAAACACAATATGGTCTCTTGACTGTGGTGGCGGATATATAAACCAACGCATGTGATAAAATCACATAGAACTAAACACACGTGTACACACACACACATACACACACGAATACAAGTAAAACTGGGGAAACTTGGACAAAATTGGCAGATTATGTCAATGTCAATATCCTGATTGTGATATTATACTGTAGTTTTGCAAGATGTTGTCATTTGGGGAAACTGGGTAAAGGGTACATGAAATCTCTGTGTTATTACTTATAACTGCCTATGACTCTACAATGATTTAAAAATAAACAGTTTTTTTTTAAAAAAAACGTGACTGTATTAAAGGGCTCAACCATGGAAAAATATGTATTTGTGTGTGTATGAATATATACACAAACATGCCCACATGTGCACACACACATACACACACATTTTATAAAGGGCTGTTTCTGTCTCTTTCTTTGAGCTGACCCTGCCTGGTTGGCCTAACCTGGCTTCCTGCCTCCTCTTGCAGATACCTCCCCGAAACAGCGGATCCAGAATCTCAGCCGCTTTGTATGGAAGCAGGCGACGGTGGCCAGTGAACTGTGGGAGAAGTTGACAGCCCGCTGTGTGGACCAGCACCGTCACATTGAGCGGACTCTGGAGCAGCTCTTGGAGATTCAAGGGGCAATGGAGGAACTAAGCACTACTCTGAGCCAAGCTGAGGGAGTCCGAGCCACTTGGGAGCCCATTGGGGATCTCTTCATTGATTCACTCCCAGAGCACATCCAGGCTATTAAGGTATGCAAGCCCCCTCCCCTGACTACAGTCTACCCTGAGACCTGACACTCTCCCCAGACACTGACAATGTTTCTGCTGCTGAGACTCCATTGTTGGCCTGGACTACAACTGAGTTGCTGTCAGTTTATGTGCTAGATTTGGGGCTGGTTTGGCTGGAGTCTCTTCTGTTTTCCTACTTTCTTCTCTTTTCCTGGTGTTTTCTGAGGATGAGAGGAAGAGGATAAGGACAGTGGCCGCCCACACCTTAGTCTGGTTGCCCTAATAGGCAAGCACTAGGCTGTGTTATTGAAACAAAACCTCTGGGTGAAGAGGGAAGAGTAGAGGTGAATGACTAATGTTTCTTCTTTCCCACTCTGTCTGCTGTGGCACTTGGGTCCTGGTTCTCCAGCTGTTCAAAGAAGAATTCTCCCCCATGAAAGATGGAGTAAAGTTGGTGAATGATCTGGCCCACCAACTTGCCATTTCTGATGTGCACTTGTCAATGGAGAATTCCCAGGCCCTGGAACAGATCAACGTCCGATGGAAACAACTACAGGTAGAAGAGCAGCCTGGAGTGAACCATGGGGAGGTGCCTCCATATAACTAGGCTTGGGGGAAACTTCTTCAGGGGTATGGAAATAGGATCTGCATGGGAAAAGAGGAGTGGAGAATGTGGAGCTAGGGAATGGGCTTTTCAACCTCTAAGCTGCAGGGAATGATTAAAATGAATAAGAGGGGTCTTTCTGGATTTGGGCACTCAGGGTAGACAGGGGCAGGGGAAGAGTGACTGTGGCCTGGAATTAGGGATGCTCTGCTGTGACCTTTGGGAGTTCTGGGGGATGGCTAGGAGTTGGGTGACGGTGGGAGAGGCTGGAACCAGAGAAAAGCCAGTCCCTGAGGAAGCTCATAAAGATTCCCAGAGGCACCTGGGGATCCCACTCTAAATAGCTGGAATGAATCTACTGACCTCACCCTGTTCTTTCCATAGGCGTCAGTTAGTGAGAGGCTTAAGCAGCTCCAGGATGCCCACCGGGACTTTGGGCCTGGGTCACAGCACTTTCTCTCCTGTACGTGAACCAAACTGGACTCCACTTAGCAGAACCTCAGCCATCTTCCTGGAGAGTCTATTGTTATCCCCTGGGGCCCTGGTGGGAGCCCAGTATACCTTGACATCCGAGAAGCAGTAAGGATAAAACAGTGTGGTATAGTGGTTAAAAGAACAGTCTCTCGGCTGGGCGTGGTGGCTCACACCTGTAATCCCAACACTTTGGGAGGCTGAGGTGGGCGGATCACCTGAGGTCAGGAGTTCGAGACCAGCCTGGCCAACATGCAAAACTCCGTCTCTACTAAAAATACAAAAATTAGCTGGGCATGGTGGCGGGTGCCTGTAATCCCAGCTACTCGGAAGGCTGAGGCAGGAGAATTGCTTGAACCCAGGAGGTGGAGGTTGCAGCCTGGGCGATAAGGATGAAACTCCGTCTCAAAAAAAAAAAAAAAAAAACACAATCTCTCAAATCGGAGAGATCTGGGTCTGAGGCACAGCACCTCAACCTAATAACTGTGCAGGCTCAAAAAAAAAAATAGCTTACTCTTTCTGAACCTCAATTTTCCCATCTGTAAAAGGAAGGAAAAATATTACCTAGCTCATCAGGTTATGGGAATTAAATGACTTTATTTTTTCAACAATATTTATTGAGGGCCTTCTGTGGGCCAGATACTGCTCTAGGCACTGGGGCTGCATCAGTAAACAAAACACACAGAAATCCTTAGACAGCTTATATTCTAGCTGGGGAAACCAGACCACAAACAAATAAGTAAAATATATATAAGGTTACTTGGTGACAAGGGCTATGGACAAAAAGCAGGGAAGGCGTGGATAGGGAGTGCTGGACTTAAGCATGGAGGTGTTGCAATTTTGAACAGGGTGGTTAGCAGAGGCCTCACTGAGAAGGTGGCAATTGAGCAGAGGTCTAAAGTAGATGAAGAGATGAACCGTGTGGATGATAGCTGAGGGAAGAGCATACCAGGCAGAGGGAACAGCATATTCCATACCTTTAAGGTAAGGATGTGTCCAAGAAACAGTAAGGAGAGCAAAGTGTGGGGGAGTAGGGGAGGCTGGAGCATGTAAGGCCTTGTAGGCAATGGGAGGAACTTCAGATTTTATTCTCAGTACAGTGGAGAACCATCGGCAGGGTTTGAGCCAAGGGATGGCATGATCTGCCTTATGTTTCAACAGAGTCAGGGTGTTGAGAAGAGACTACTGGGGAGCAAGAGTGGGAACAGGGAGGCCTATTTGGAGGTACATTGCAATAATCCAGGTGAGGGATTATGGTGGCCCAGACTAGGGGGCTGGTAGCAGTGGAGATGGTGAGAATATACAGACAGAAAAATGAGATATGCACACAAAGCAATGAGCATAATATCTGGCACATAGTAGGAGCTCAGTAAATGTTAACTGTGGTTAAAATTGTTGCTATTATAATCATTGGCATACAGCTATACCTGCAGGCGGAGGACTCTTGTACCGAGGAAAACTGCAGTGAGCAAGCTGGCCATGTAAACTGAGCCATTCGTGGAAGGTCCAAAAGATAGACACAGGCAGAGAGAGGCATGAGTTTCCAGAGTTCCTCATGAGAGAGAGAGAAATGGGCAGTACCATTACCCACAGTCCCACAGGACTGAGAAGCTTGACCTTCTAGGGGAAGAGCTTTGAGCCCTAAGGGGAAAGTGGAGTCTACTTCATATCCGCAAGAGTAATCCAGCTGCCTGCAGCTGATGGGTAGAAATGGCAGTCTGCTCAGGGAGAAGATTGTCAGGGTGGCCAAGGCCAAGTATTCCTGTTCATGCCCTTGCCACATCTCTGGTATGTTAGGATATCGGTGACAACCTCTTCTCCTTGCCTTGCCCTAACATCAGGGAGAGAAGCGTGTTCATTAGAACTCTTTGTCCCACCCTCAGAGGCTGTTAAGAGCTGGCAATGAAATTCAGACATCCCCTTTTGGGCTTGACAACCTCTTTGGGAGAATAGAGCAAGGGAGTAGCTGGGGGCCTTAAGAGCATTAGTGGCCAGCTTTTTTTCTCTTTCTCTTCTCCTTTACCAGCCTCTGTCCAGGTTCCCTGGGAAAGAGCAATTTCACCCAATAAAGTTCCCTACTACATCAAGTGAGTGACCATCTGAATCAGAAGCGGGTCAGTCACCTGCCCACCCCCTCCCTCTCCTGCCTTTTTGCTACCTGTCCTTGTCACTCTGTCTGTTGGGATTCCTCCATCCAGTTCGGTTTTTCTCCTACTCATCTCAAGATCTCAAGATTCTACTTGGGTAAAGGTGAACCCTTGGGCTTTGGCATCTTGGGTTTACCCTCGAACCCTGCAGCTTCTTGCATCCAACCTGTCACTTGAGTGGTGTGCACATCTGAGTGTGGGGGTGGGTGGGTGGTATAGATGCTGGTACTATTGATGCTATTGTTTGTAGCCACCAGGCTCAGACCACATGCTGGGACCATCCCAAGATGACAGAGTTATACCAAACCCTAGGTAAGAATGTGGGCTTCCTGTATAGGGTGGGCATATACACAGCTGCCTTTGTCCTATAATGTCCATCTACAGATGAATGGATAAAGAAAATGTGGTATATCCATGTAATGGAATATTCAGCCTTTAGAAAGAAGGAAATACTGCCATTTGAAACAATGTGGATGAACCTGGAGGACATTGTGCTAAGTGAAATAATAAGCCAGAAACAAAAGGCAAATACTACATGATCTCATGTATGTAAGGAATCTAAAATAGACAGACTCATAGAAGCAGAGAGTAGAATGGTGGCTGCCAGTGGCTGAGGGGAGGGGAAAATGGGGAGATACTGGTCAAGAGTACAAAGAAGTTTCAATTATACAAGATGGATAAGTCCTAGAGAGATCTACGGTGCAGCATATTACCTATAGTGAACAATACTGGATTGTATCGTTAAAAATTTGCTAAAAAGGTAGATCTTATGTTAAGTGTTCTTACAGAAAAAAACAATAAAGAGGGTAGTTGGAACTTTTTGGAAGTGATGGATGTACTAATGGCATAGATTGGGGTGATGGATTCATAGATGCATACTTGTCTCCAAACTCATCAACTTGTAGACATTGAATCTGTAAAGCTTTTTATATGTCAGCTATAACTCAATAAAGTGGTTTTAAAAAGAATAGAAGAGAATCGCAGTCAATAAGCAGGTGGGAGAGGGAATGAGTGCCTCATCGTTTCTCCAACAGCCTGCCTTCCTTTATCCTCGCACCTTTCTCAACTGGAGGCTCTACATTCCCCTCTGGACCATTTTATCACCGGATTAGTGCATTATTCTTACAGATGTGAAGTCTGATTTGCTTTAAAAGACTGTCCAGGCTGTGATGAGCGTAACTCTTGTGTGCCTTATCTTTGCCTACTGTGAGAGACTCATCATTATGTTTGTTGCACATTTTATCCATGCTGATGCATGTGACTACAGTTCATTCTTTTTTACCACTATAGAATGTTCCATTGTATATAGCACAGTTTCTGCTGTTGACAGACACGTGGGTCATTTCTTGTTTTAAGCTAATGAGGACAGTGCTGCTGAGGAGTTTCTTATATGTGTCTTCCAGTACATGTGTGCAAAGATTTCTCTGGGGCATGTTTTTCAGTCTGCAGGTCATAACATCATTTCAGTGTGTTGTGACAAACATTTAAAAAGTTGAAATAGACCAGGAAATATTAATATGCAACAGATCCTTAGCAAGAGTCATAGTTGATATTAATTTTGTTGTTTTCACTCTATGCAATCTAGTAAGGAATTGCTTCCTGAAATGTTTGATTTAGTTATTTTTACATATATACATGTATACTATAAAATGAATTTCATACTGTAAGTCTTGATCAAAAAGCATTTGCAAGTCACTGCTCTGGGATATATAGCTGGCTGGGTGGTGGGATATGTGACTGTTCCATTTTACTAGGTGATACCAAGTTGTTTTCAAAGATGATTGTGTCAGTTCACACTTTCACTGGCAGTTCTCATTCATCCCCACTCTTGTTGACACTTGCTATTGTCAGACATCTATTGGTTGCCAGTCTGGTGGGTGTAAAATGGTATCTTGTTGCGGCTTTAACTTGAATTTTTCTGATCTGAGTGGGTCTCTCTCCATTCTTTGCAGCTGATCTGAACAACATTAAGTTCTCAGCTTATCGCACTGCCATGAAACTCCGCAGAGTCCAGAAAGCCCTGCGCTGTACGTCTCCTGTTGTACTTCCCTATGACGTTCACCACCCCTCTCCTGTTCCTCATCTGTCTGCTGTTTCTCATTTTCCTCCCACCTTGGCAAAGGTTGTTGATTGGCTTGGTGGAAACTCTCCAAAGCCTGCAATATGCTAGCTGTCAACTTCTGCTCTTCCCAGTTCCCTTCCACTCTCGCTAGGCCCCAGACGTGTTTCCAAATTAACCCCACTGTTATGCTCCTCCTTGACCCTTTTCCCATGCTCAGTATGTATAATCAAGCAACTGCTTTGTGACAGGAAGTACTGCAACCCATGATTTGCCATCTTGGGGTTATTGGATGTAGCAGCAAAACTGTTGAAGCAAATACCAGTGGTTAGGGAACAGTGTGGCTGAGGATATAATATGCCTTCTGGCCTTTCTCGGAGACACTGTTCATTCAGACTTCCTGGCTCAGGCATGTCTGGCTAGGCTGAGCCAGCATTTGGGGGTAATTAAGATGTCCTCTTGATGTATGTCACATTTCCCCAACCATACCTGAGCCTTCATTGCTGGTGTCTAGGTTCTCAGAACAAAACTTACAGACGAACCTATTTGCAATTGAAACTCATGCAAAGACAGAAACTTAAAATGGGATTTGATCCCTTGAGAGTTAGTATAACATAGGAGTTGAGTTTACTCATGTCCCATCATCTTTTTGAAACTGATGTCAAAGAACATTGGATATAAAAACATGTTGGGTTAATTTGAGGAACATTTTGCTGCCTTCTGCCTCCTTGGATGAGGGTCTTAGTAAAGGACAAGCTTGTATCATATTTGCAAATGGTTGATCTGGAGATTGAGTCAAATTTGGTGATGCTGGTGGCTTTATCTCCTTATTTAATCCCTGGGGTTCTACTTTTGGCTATATTTTTTTTCTCTTCTCTTCTTTCCTTACCAGTGGACCTGGTAACTTTAACCACAGCCCTGGAAATCTTCAATGAGCATGATCTGCAGGCCAGTGAGCACGTGATGGATGTGGTAGAGGTCATTCACTGCCTGACTGCCTTATATGAACGTTTGGAGGAGGAAAGAGGCATCCTGGTCAACGTGCCACTCTGTGTGGACATGAGCCTCAATTGGCTCCTCAATGTTTTTGATAGGTAAGGGCTTTCAGCTCTGGAAGCCTCCAGGATAAAATTCAATGGGATATCTCAAGTGGGCCTGGTGGGAAGGTGTTGCTCCCATAGTAGACTTGGACCCAGCTCAGCTTGGGGCATGGTTGGAACAGGGCCCTGCTGGGATCAACTTTGTGAGGGAAATGATTGCCAAGATGTTAACCCTTTACATACATTCATATTCTCAGTCTCTTCTTTTTAAACCTAGTGGTCGCAGCGGAAAGATGCGGGCATTGTCTTTTAAGACTGGCATTGCATGCTTGTGTGGCACGGAAGTGAAGGAAAAACTTCAGTGTGAGTAGAACTCCAAAGTGTGGAGTGGTGTTGGGTAGAGGGAAAGGTGTTGCAGGGAGGAGGAAGGGTGTAAGATAAGCAGAAAGTACATCTTGTGACTCAGCAGAGGGCTACTTGGGCTACCTTATGATGCTTCTTGGTTCACACTGTTGCAAAGAACACATGACAGCCAAAGGACAAGATGGGCCTAAGGCCTATTACTATTCCCAGTGTCACTCCAACGGGCTTCATTCCTTCTGAATTGATGGAAGTACTTAGTCAGGATCTATGTTGGCATTTTGAGGTACCCAGGGCCCTGATGTTCTAGTTGCATTCCCCTGTGGCCTATCAGGCTTAGCCCTCTTCCAGTCTGAAGCTCAAGCCATGTCACTAGAGACTTCTTATATACACAGGCAGGGCACAATAATACCCAATATCTGGGAGGCGGACACTATGTTCTTCTGTAGTTTTTCACATCTTTGGCTTATAGTACCTTTGTGTTCCCCTCTGTCCTCCATCTTGTGTTCAGCATTTTGAACTTCTCAGTAGCAGCATGATTAGTTGTTGAGTCCTAATATGTGACTGCTAAATGGGGTGAGTGCTAAGTTAAATTAGACGTGGTCCCTGCTTCCAATGATTTACAGTCCAGAGGAGGAGATGGAAGTACACAGAAAGCATTTTTTAGAAAGTACTGATGAGAATAATCCAAATGGCCAAAAATATATCCTATATCATATGACAGAAAAGAGACAGATGACAGCAGTCTGGAAAAACTTTACAGGGAAGAGAACGTTTCCAAACATGTTCGTGGCTATGATATTATGTATTTCTCTCAACATTTCCTTGCAATGGGATGAACAGTGATTATTTATCATCAATTTAAAAGTAAGGAAACTGGGCTGGGCATGGTGGCTCATGCATGTAATCCCAGCACTTTGGGAGGCCGAGGTGGGAGGATCACTTGAGCCCAGAAGTTCAAGTCCAGCCTAGACAATATAGTGAGACTCCATTTCTAATTTTAAAAAGTAAGGAAATGGCAGCATAGAGAGGTTCATGACTTACCTATGATTCTACAACTAGGCAGTAATGGACCCAAAACTCGAACCTAGGCTCTCTGCCTTCTATTTCTGTGTATTTTCTAAGCCTTAATCAAGGTATGAAGCAGACAGAGAATAACCTCTGGAGGAGGTTTGCTAAGGCTGAATTGGGATGTGGAAGGGAACAGTCCTAGAAGGGCTTAAATAACCCATATACAAAGATAAGTATCATAGTAGATTCCACAGAGACTTAGAGATAATTTTTAGATGATCAGATGTTTTGAATTAGCTTCTCTTTTTGGATTATGCATGCCAGTGTTTCCTTCCATTTGTGTGGACAATTGAGAGATTACTGCAGTGTCAGACTACATAAACAGGAGAGATGGTATGGCAGCCTGACTGTGACTCATGTTCAGGTGCCCCTGAGCCCGTACCCCATCATCCTGCTTCTGGAAGAATCTGTTTTCCCAACAGTATCATATCTGTGTCTGGCACTGCTCTTACACACAGTGCACTCGACCTCTCTCTCTCTTGCTTTCACTCTCTCTCACTCTTTCTCTCTCTGTCTCCCCCTCCCCCTGATATTCTCTCTTTGTGTTGGCCTGATTTTTCTCTCTGAACTCAGAGAATGCTCTTTTTAGAACTCGGCTACTAGAAGGTCAGGGATAGACCTCTATGTAGTCCAGTTTGAAAAGTCATTAGCTCAGTCTGTGCTCTTTCCCTATTTTCCTTTTCTGCCCTTTCTCCTCACCATTCTCCGGCCATTCCTGTGTCGGGGTTGGCCATTCTTGACGGTGGGGCCAGCAGACCTCTTCAGCCAAGTGGCCAACTCAGGCAGCCAGTGTGACCAGCGCCACCTTGGTGTCCTGCTTCATGAGGCCATTCAGGTGCCCCGTCAGCTGGGTGAAGTGGCAGCCTTTGGGGGCAGCAATGTGGAGCCCAGTGTCCGTAGTTGCTTCCGTTTTGTGAGTATGGAACTGGGGAGTGGGGGAGGGAAGGGAGGTTGCAGGAAGGGTGGGAAGAAGGGAAGGAGGACTACGAGCTAGGCTTTTGATCTGAAGTACGCAGATGCAAGGGAGTTTATTGGGATGGAACAACAGGGCAGAGGGTTCTCTGGGCTCTAGAATCATAGTCCTGTTAGGGAGGGTGTCAGCTCAACTAGCACAGGGCAGAACGTGAACATCTCTGGAGAACAGGCCAACCCAGCCCCTGCTGGTTCTCCTGCCCCTCTGAGGGCTGCCATTCTAGGGATAAGACACTTTGGGCCTCAGTCATTCCCATTGGTCTTCTTGTTTCCGTAGAGCACCGGGAAGCCAGTCATTGAAGCATCCCAGTTCCTGGAGTGGGTCAACCTGGAGCCCCAGTCCATGGTGTGGCTGGCTGTTCTGCATCGGGTCACCATTGCTGAGCAAGTGAAGCATCAGACCAAGTGCTCTATCTGTAGGCAGTGCCCCATCAAGGGGTTCAGGTAGGGAAAACAATACCTGCTGGGATGATAATAATAAATATGTCATGTGACATATAACTCAGATATTAAAAAATAAAGTGTCACCTAATTATTATATAATTACAGCTAGTCTATTGTACATTATTATATACTGTTATAATCCTTTATATTGCAGAATGTTTAATTGTTTTTAAATGGGAAGTGAGGAAATATTTTGTTTTAGTTGTATTATAAAGTATTACAGACCTACAAAAATGTATAGAAGAACATAGGTGTAAGAGCACCTATGTACTAAATGGTATGCCAGCAAATGGTTCACAACCTACTCTCTAGAAAGAAAAAAGGAAAGCTGATCTGTAGCATTTGCTAATTTCTGTGATGTATATACTCCCACTGTGAATGACATCAGGCTATTTACAAGAGGTCTCTGAGCAGAGTCAGAAACAGATCCTCAGTTGCACACCATTTATATAGTATGTCAACCATGCAGATACAATAGATGTTAAGTAACCTCAAGAACATAGAGAGTAGCAAAGTAATTAGGAAGTAATGAGTTTTGAGTATTTATTACCTTTGTTTGTAATATAATTTATTTAATTGTGAGTTTATATAATTTAATAATGGCTAGATTTAACAACTGGCTTAGAAAACCCCTGAAATTTTAACAGCCAACTGTCGTGAGCTGGTATGAGCTGGCATCAGCACACCACAGTATATACCTGTGACCAACTTAAGGAATAAAACATTACTGCAATACATCTGAGGTCTCCTTGATTATATTCCTCTCCTTCCCCAACAAAGGTAACCACTATCCTGGATTGGACTTTCATCATAAAACACTCAACTTTTTACCTTTGTAAAACACTAACCCACAACTCTCCCTGTCATCACCCTGCTTTTCGTAAGATGAGCAAATGAGGCACACAGCTAGTTAGTGGTAGATCTAGACTAGATATTGGATCATATGACTCCTCTAAGTCTAGGCATTTCACTGTCCTATGCTACAAGGTTGGGCAGTTCAGCCAGGCTTTGGAAGTAGATCTGAAGGGCTATTCTTTGTTCTGCAATAATAGGTATATTATTATGAACAACCTTTGGAAATAACTTTTAGCCAACTTAGCCAAGGCTGGTAGAAAGAACTGCCTTCATATTGGAAGTGTAATTTCTCCAGGGTAGGTGGTGGTCCCTGGGAGCCTGGACCTGTTTGGGCCATCCTTGTTTAGAAGGCCATTTGATATGATGAGATATTTACCCCTGCTTCCCTCCTGTCTCCCTTAAACAAAGGTGGTGAGACAATGCTATTTCCCACACTTCATGGGAATCTGGCCTTGTGATTTCATAGAGATTTATGGTCTCTAGAATAAAGTTATTCATCTATTGAGAATTCAGCCACTGCTATGTATACGAGGTTGGGCATGTTATGGCTCCATGCCTCATTCATCCCCTTCTACTGTGTGTGTATATTTTAATGTTAGGGGAACAGCGGGGAGGTCACTGTGGCACGTTGGACTCTCTTTCCTACTACATCTCCTCTCCCCCAAGGTACCGGAGTCTGAAGCAATTCAACGTTGACATCTGCCAGACCTGCTTCTTGACAGGCAGGGCCAGCAAAGGCAATAAGCTGCACTACCCCATCATGGAGTATTACACACCGGTATGAAGCCTCCAGGCTGGGTGGGAGGGTTAGGCAGCTCTCAGGTACTAGGCCTTGATCCACTTTGCCCAGCATTGGCTCATTGTTTTCTGCTCTCCCGTGGGGAGCATTCTCCAAGGAGCTCTGGTGATTCACTGGTTTGGGAAATTCAGGCCTCTCTATTCTTCCAGCAGAGCTTCTCCCTCACCAGGCCTGGCCACAGCTGGCCCAGGACACTCTCAGCCATTTAAAGGGCACTCACTGTTTTACTGCAGAGAAAAGTCTCAGGAAAAACAAAACAAAGCAAAACAAACAAACAAACAAACTAAAACAGAGAGAGCAAGGCAGTTCCAGGTGATTCGCCTTCCATTGCTCACTTGAGTTTTTCCTGGCTAGCTTCCTATATTGCTTCTGTACTGGGTCACTCAGTCTTTCCCTGATGCTTTGTCATTATTTCTACCCCTTCTAGTCAGTACCAAAGCTTATGCTCAAATTAATTATTCATCCCTTGGAGGGAAAAAAGAAAGGTATGTCCTTTACCTGGACCCCCAAACTCCACTTGGTTTTCCCTGGTAACCATGTCCTCCATACTTGCCTTAGCCCAGTTCAGTCAGCATCCCTGAACTCCAGCCACAGAGTTGCTCCTGTGCTGTGTCTAAAACCCACAGCTCCATGCTTAGCTTCCAGCACTGACTCTGCTCCCTACTCATCTTTATCCTTTTCTGTCCCCGCAGATGCTCCCAAAGCCCTGATCATATCCCCAGCTCCCACCACTGCTCTCTCTCCCCTATTCTGTCTATTTTTCTTTTTTTTTTTTAGAATTTTTTTTTAATTTTACTTTCACCTTTTTTTTTTTTTTTTTTTTTTTTTGAGACAGAGTCTCACTCTTACCCAGGCTGGAGTGCAATGGTGCGATCTTGGCTCACTGCAACCTCTGCCTCTGAGGTTCAAGCGATTCTCCTGCCTCAGCCTCCCAAGTAGCTAGTGTCTCCTATTTTTCAACCTGTTTCCCCACAATCCATCTGTCCAAGCTTTCATCTCTTCAAATCCTGTTGACACAGAAACGTGTGGCCTGGTGGGAACAGGGACCATGCCCTTTACTTTTCATTTATTATCATTTTAAAGAAAACATTAGAAAAGTCATACATGGAAAACTGGCTGGATCTGGTAGACTGATAATCCTCTACCACCTGCTCGTCCTCTACATCCTTAGAATTCATAGAAAAGCTATTTTAAAAATTAACAAACATATGCTCATTATAAAATATTGGAATCATATAAAAGCGTTTAAAGTATAAAAAAAAGGCTGGGTGCCATGGCTCACACCTGTAATCCCAACACTTTGAGAGGCCGAGGTAGGAGGATTTCTTGAGCCCAGGAGTTCAAGACCGGCCTTGGTAACACAGTGAGACCCCTGTCTCTACAAAATTAATTATTATTATTATTAGTTTTGCTTTTAGAGGAACTGAGACAATTAAATTTTTAAGTATAAAATGAAAGTCCTCCTGTCTCCTCACCCTGGCCCCCACCCCTCCAGTTCAACTTCCCAGAGGCAACCAGTGTTGAGTTTGGCATATATCCTCCCAGACCTTCTTCTAGGAGCAGGGTATGGTGGGCATGAGCAAGAGTGGATTACCCAGCAGGCTGTCTGCTCTAGCAGAGCAGCCACACCTGCCCAGTATATCTGGAAGCCATTAGGGTAAGTTCCTCTGCCCTGTCTCCTCCTCAGACCACATCCAGTGAGAACATGAGGGACTTTGCCACAACCTTAAAGAACAAATTCCGCTCCAAGCATTATTTCAGCAAACACCCTCAGCGAGGTTATCTGCCTGTGCAATCAGTGCTGGAGGCTGACTACAGTGAGACGTGAGTACTGGTGGCTGAGCAGGGGCTGTGGGCAGCCTCACTGAGCCCGATCGTATGCTGTGAAGGGGCTGAGTCCCGAGTGGGCTAGGAGAATGTTCCAAGGTAAATCCCACTAGTGATAGGGCCGTTCAGCTTGGGCCTGACCTGCACTCTGGCCTGAGAAGTAGACTGGAATCCAGTCTTTGTATTTTGTTCCCATCAGCTCTTGCCCATGTCCATAATGTAGGGAGCAGGAGAGGGAGGAGGAAACAGGCTGCCCAGTCTTTGGTCCTCCGAGTCTTTGCTGCTTTCTTCTAGGCCGGCTTCTTCCCCGATGTGGCCACACGCCGACACACACTCCCGAATTGAGCATTTTGCCAGCAGGTACCACCAGGTTTGCGGGAGGTGGGTAGGAGCTGTTGTAGGAAGTCCGAGGGGAAAGGATCTTCAGTCGGGGCAAGGAGAATGGAGTCAGGGCCAGGGGATGTGCACAGTGGGGTGTGCAGCAGCCAGCAAGACCCAACACTTAGGAGTAGTTGGGGCAGCTCTCAAAGCCAATGATCCTGCTGTGAGATTAAAGTCCTTGAGATGGAAGCAGGCCCCACATCCTGTTTTCTCTCCTGCCTCTGCTCTTTATTCCTAGGCTTGCTGAGATGGAAAGTCAAAATTGCTCCTTCTTTAATGACAGCTTGTCCCCAGATGACAGCATGTGAGTTTCCACAGCTGCTTATTTGCCAGAAATAGTTCTCCTTGAGATCTTTGTGCCACTGTTTGGGAAGGGTATATCCTCCAGGGAATGGGGGTGTGTGGTGGTTAGGATCCTTAGCTCCCTAAGGAAGGAAGGCTGCTTTCTGGGCACGGTGTTCAGTAAGAAAGGCAGTCTTCCCTCTATCAATCAACCTAGGAAATGAGTGATGTACTAGCTCTCTGCCATCTTTCCAAGTCCCTTCCTGTTGCAAGATCCCATCCTTCTATACACAACTTTGAGGAACGAAGAATATGCCCTCCCTCATCTGAAGTTGCAGAAAGGAGCCATTATCTTGTGCTCAAGATGCCAAAGCCCTATCTAGTGCTACACTAACCCTGGGAGACATCAGGGACTTGGCTGAACTATAGCCAAGGGAACTCCCTGGTATGACAGCCCAGAGAAGGGGCCTTGTGTCTCTAGGGAGGTCCCCACCCTGCTCAGAGGTCCTAGGAGCTTCTGGCTACATGGATCAATCTGCCCTGACTGGGACCCAGATCCCTCTAGAGGAAGAGGAAACAAAGGAGGGTAGAGTAGGGGAACAGCACAGAAAGGGAAATGATTTGCTCATTGTTTCCCGGGGAGGGGGGTGGGCTGTAAGTAGAACCCAGATACCTGCATCCTGAAAACACTCTCTCAATACCCCCAACCACAGCCTCTGCCTCCTTTGAACACTTTCATCCCTCTCAAGCCTCAGTATATGTCCTTTCCCTCTCGATGTGACTTAGAAGTGAATCCTCCAGCATGCATTTCCTGGGGCCTGAGCTGAGAGCTGAGTTGTTTCTCTGTTCAACAACTGGTCACCTACTCTGCTTTCCCCACACCCATGCAGAGACGAGGACCAGTACCTGCTGCGGCACTCCAGCCCCATCACAGACCGGGAGCCAGCCTTTGGACAGCAGGCTCCATGCAGTGTGGCCACAGAAAGCAAAGGGGAGCTACAGAAGATCCTGGCCCACTTGGAAGATGAGAACCGGTGGGTGTGATGATAGCAGAAATCTGTGTGGGTTCTTGAGGCAGACAGATTGAATTTAAGTCCAGGCACTTCTACATCCTAGCTGTCTGACCTTGAGCAAGTTACTTATATTCTGTAATCCTCTATTTCCTTATCTGTAAAACGGGGATGATGATCATCAAACCTGCCTCCTAGGGTCACTTGTGAAGACCAAATGAGATCAGGCATATAATGTGTTTGGCTCAGTGCCTGGCTTATAGTAAGGGTTCAATAAATGCTAGCTATTATAATAATTATTTGAAAACTTTTAAATTTTTTTTTTTTTTGAGACAGAGTCTCACTCTGTTGCCCAGGCTGGAGTGCAGTGTCGTGATCTCGGCTCACTGCAACCTCTGGCTCCTGAGTTCAAACGATTCTCATGCCTTAGCGTCCCGAGTAGCTGGGACTACAGGCATGCACCACCATGCCTGGCTAATTTTTTTTTTTTTTGGTATTTTTAGTAGAGACGGGGTTTCACCATGTTGGCCAGGCTGGTCTTGAACTCCTGACCTCAAGTGATCTGCTCACCCCGGCTTCCCAAAGTGCTGGGATTACAGGCATGAGCCACTGTGCCTGGCCTGAATCCTTTTAATGTAACCCAAATTTTTCCAAGAACACACAAGATGCAAGCAGAGAGAATGCATAGAGAAAACAGGAGAGGGTATGACATGTTCCTGCCCTCAGAGACCTTTCAATGTTGGAAGTGGAAAGAAATGTGTATCACCTAGTAAAAGTATTCCAGAGGACAATGACACTACATAGAGCGTTGGAGGTCTGGAATAGGGATGGTGAAGAAGAATACAGGGAAGACATGACTTTCCATAAAGTAAAGGTGGCAGCAGGTACCTAAGGAGGGTCCAAGCCTCTTATGGGGCATGAAGTAGAATTCGTAGTACCCCTTAGAGCAGTGCTTTGCAAACAGTAGTGCATAAGATAGTCACTTGGGAAGCTTGGTAAAATACAAATTCTAAGTCACAGGTCTGGGTGGGGCCTGAGTTTCTGCGTTTCTCACTAGCTCCCAGTGGATGCCCATACTGCTGTTCCACAGGCCACACTTGGAGTAGCAAGTCTTTAGAACAGTGCTACTCAGAGTTTGGAGAGCAGACCAGGGCCAGTTTGTGACCAGTTTGTGACCAGTCCAAGGCAAGATAAAAAAAAAAAAAAAAAAAAAGAGAGAGTAAGCTTTTAGAAACTTTTACAGCAATTTGACATTGCTATGATATTCAAGCACCAAATTAGTAGGCTCATCTCGTTGAATAGGGTAGAGACCAGTTTGAGTGTTGTTGAACTTGTGTGATGAATTACGTGGTGTGAGCTATGTACTAGTCATGTGCATTGGGACCACATACTGGTCCACAACAGAGTGAAAAAAAAAAAAACCTGGATTTTTGCCATGAATCATTTGAGAAACACTGCCTTTGAGCAGCAGTCTGCAGGCCCTGGGAAACACTGGGCTGAGAGTGACTGTTCTGTTGCAAATAAAGAAAAAACGAACAAAGCCAAAAGTGATATCCCCAAAAGTAGGCCACCTGTTTGGAATTTGTTTTTTTGATGACCCAGCATGGGTGTTCAAAGTGGGCCAAAGAGGAGGATTGTGGAGAGAAGAGGCAAGACAGGTGGTCTCTTGTTTATGTTATGTTTTCCCTTGGAATCTAAACATCTAAAAATGGAGTAGGTGAGTCAGTGGCCCTAATGCCTCCTTTATTTGCAGACTGTGTTTCTGCCTGATTTTAAGGTCAGAATTAATCCCTAAAGCAGCACATCAAAGCCCTGAGACATTTCTTACGCAAAATGTCAACTTTCTCTGCTCTGAGGTCTCAGGATGGCAGAGTAAATGACATATGTGCTGGAGAGGAAGTGGATGTGGCCATTCAAGCAAGAGCACAGCTGGGGGTGGGGATGGGGGTGGGGGTGAGGTAGGGTGGAAGAGCACAGGGATTGTTCACACCTAGGCCTGAGGGGACATCTGAAACCTGGACAGTCAGAGCCCTGTTAGAGCCATAGGTCTTGGTGTCTCTCTCCATGGCAGGATTCTCCAGGGAGAGCTGAGGCGCCTGAAGTGGCAGCATGAGGAGGCAGCTGAGGCACCCAGTCTGGCTGACGGCTCCACTGAGGCAGCAACAGACCACCGCAATGAGGAGCTTCTGGCCGAGGCCCGTATCCTTCGGCAACATAAGAGCCGCCTGGAGACGCGCATGCAGATCCTCGAAGATCACAACAAGCAGCTAGAGTCCCAGCTGCAGCGTCTGAGGGAGCTTCTCCTGCAGGTGAGGATGGAGACAGGAAAAGAGCCAGGGTGGCCTCTGAGCCCAGGGGAAGGGCTGGGGAGCTGAGGGCTGTGGCAAAGAAGACACAAGAGAGAGCTCCTTGGCAGTGGCTGTCAGGTAACTTCCTGAAGAGAACTGGGCCTGCGGTTGGTGGGGGGGCGGGGGAAAGAAGAGACTGGTATGGTCACATCTTCAGCCAACTCTCTTCCACCTACCTTCCATGCCACCCTGTGTGTCACTCTCCAGCCACTGTGGGGCCTGGGGCAGAGAGAAGACTTCTGAGGGCTTATTTCTTCACAACCCATTGGAATCCCATACTAAAAGAACAAACTTCAAAAATCATCTAAAACATTGATTTTGCTAGTATGGTATTTGCTAGAAAGAAGTGGGTTGGGACAAGTTTGGCAAGAGAAAGATTAGTGCTATCTAAAGGTGTTTCTTGTTACTTTTTGCACCTTTCATCTCTGAGAGGCAATGTGTATGCTGTGGTAAAGCTCTGGAGTCAGGCAGCTCTGGGTTTGCATGTGGCTCTGCCAATTGACTGTGGGGTGTTTGGACAGTTAGTTAACCTCTCTAAGCCCCAGTTTCCTCATCTGTACAACAGAGATGGTAACAGTACCAACTTCATAGAATTGTGGTGAACATAAAAGGAGATAATGCATTTATGGAATTTAGCATGATGCCAGGAATTTAGTACACACTTCATAAATGTTACCTATTATTGTCATTATATGTAATGGAAAATACCACTCTTCTGCCTCTTCCCCAGATCCTCCAAGGAATGGCCTCTATGGATTCCTGGAGGTTTCTAACATATGCTATGTCATGAACCAAGGATCAGGTGTGAAACTCTACATTTCCAGAGAGAATTGTGTTCTAAATAGCTTAATTATAGCTGAAATGACAGCAAGAGACCTTTAGGTACAATGCCATTCTTTATTTAATTAATTAATTAATTAATTAATTTTCAAGACAGAGTTTGGCTCTTGTTGCCCAGGCTGGAGTGTAATGGCTCGATCTCAGCTCACTGCAACCTCCGCCTCCCAGGTTCAAGCGATTCTCCTGCCTCAGCCTCCCAAGTAGCTGGGATTATAGGCATGGGCCACCATGCCCGGCTAATTTTGTATTTTTAGTGGAGACGGGGTTTCTCCATGTTGGTTAGGCTGGTCTTGAACTCCTGACCTCAGGTGATCCGCCTGCGTCAGCCTCCCAAAGTGCTGGGATTACAGGCGTGAGCCACCGCGCCCAGCCTACAATGCCATTCTTATAAGAACTGGGAGCCTTTGACACATGTTGTTAAAGGAAGAAGGTAATGGGTAATTCAATATTCTAAGAAGTTTCCTAAAAGTGGAAGCCACTGTTTTAGGTAATACCAAAAGCTTCTTAAAGTCTAAGGGTAAAGGGATGGTATGAAGTCTCTCAGGTCCCTTCTAAGCTCAGGAGTCTGTCAGAGTAAGGTCAGGAAGGCAAATCCACTTAAGTCATGCCTTACCTCTTGCTAGCCACCCACCGAATCAGATGGCAGTGGCTCTGCAGGCTCGTCCCTAGCTTCCTCTCCACAGCAGTCAGAAGGCAGTCACCCCCGGGAGAAGGGACAGACTACTCCAGATACCGAGGCTGCAGGTGAGTTCCCCTGGCCTTTCCCAGCCCCTTTCTCCATGGCTTTGTCCTGCCCTCGATTTCCTGCCCAAGGCTTTGCGGGGCTGGGACTGGTTTCTCCTCTTGGCTTTGTGCTTAGGGTCAGGGATGATTGGTTTACTGATTGATTAATTCATATGCTTATTCCACAAATAAATATACATTGAGCACAACCTATGTATTAGGCATTGTGCTGGGAAGATGCAAATGCTGCGGGCAGGTCTGCCCTTCAGCTGGCAGAATTCTATCTGACCCCTTGGCCTCATAAAGGAGTCTCTAGTTCTCTTCTCAAATCTCTGTTTTTTAACCCAGATGATGTGGGGTCAAAGAGCCAGGATGTCAGCCTGTGCTTGGAGGACATCATGGAGAAACTCCGTCATGCCTTCCCCAGTGTGCGAAGTTCTGATGTGACTGCCAACACCCTGCTGGCCTCTTGATGGAGCCAGATCCCCATCCTATAGTTCATAGTCCTCTCCTGGTTCCGGTCAAAGCCTTTCCTCAGCCTTCACCCAACCTTTCCAGTTTCCACTGGCCCCACATTCCTCAACTAGTATTATTTGGGCTCTGGGCAGCAGCAGGGATCTGGTGGTATGTGAGGTGCATGCGGGCAGTGATGGGAGAAGGGGAGGCATGATTCTTCTGACCCTAGAAATGTTCCCTTTAATCTTCAAGTTCGAGATCAGCCCTTTAAGTACCTTTCTGTTGCAGCCCAGGCAAATATCACTTGGCCATTCAGATGGGGAGCAGAGAAGCTGCCTTGCAGAGCTAAGCGGTACATGTTGGCCCCTCTTCCTTCTCCGTGGAATTATGGAAAGAGAGAAGCCTAATTACCCCAAGGTTCCATCCAGCATTATGAATCCACAGGGTTTACCCCTACTCTCTGGCGCAACTCAGGGAGGCAAAAGGGTATCCCCGAGACACCTTCCCCACCCCAAGTGCCCCTGAAAAAGTCTGGGCAGTGTGTGTTCTATTACTTCAGCTCCAGGACAGATTGCTAGCCATCCTAATGCTACCTAGGTATTGGTTTCTCCTCAAATATCTTCATTTTCTTTAGCCTCAGTCCCTGACAGACCTTCCTTAAGGGGAGAACAGTTCATTCTGGTTCTTCTACGTTATATTTGGAAGCATTAAATCCATACTTATGGGTTTAGATTTTTTTTTTGCCCCACATCTTCCTATTTCTTAAAGTCCTCAGCATTTTGAGAGACCCACTGAGTTGCGAGTTGCTCTGGAAACCTGGCTGAAGCCACCCTTTGCTCCTCTGAGTCTGTCCTCACAGACCTGAGGACACAGTGGCAGCTTGCTGAGCAAGGGAGTGTTGCTTTCCTTGGGTAAGGAAGAGGAAGCCCACCTCAAGTCTGGAGTAGTATGACTGCCATCCAACACCCTTCCAGGCTGTGACCCTTCTAGCTCTCAGGCTGAATCAGGTGAGGTGGCTGATTGTCCCCAGCTAATCATAAGGCATTTGCAACTGGCTACCGTGTGTAGTGGCCCCTCCATAGGAGCCACAGGCCACAAATCAGGAAGCTGGCCACTTTCCACCCAGACAACAACAGCAAGGCCTTCCTGTGCCTAAAATTGTTATTTCTAACTCTGGAAGGTGAATCCAATCCTCAAACTGAACTAGCTCTTCCTAGGCGACATATACCATGATCTCTTTATCCAGAAACTGTTCAGAATAGATAGTAGGGGTGGGGGAGTGGGCTTGGGAATGTTGAATAGATTCAGAGCCCACTTAGGCAGCTTTCTCCCAAGAGGAGCTTTATAACCTAGAGCCCTGCAGTTGACTTCATTTGCCTAAGTTTATATACATACATATCTATTCTACATATCTACTGTACATCAGTGCTCTCCTGGCCTCACTCACACATTAAATTCTAATACCTCTTGAAGTATTAATGTTCTGCCTTGCTCTTTGTTAGCCCCAGCCTCTGGTTGGAAAGATAGATGTATCCTGGCTGTTCCCCTAGGATATCTCTCTCCATTGATGTTTGGGGTGGGCTGTCCTCAAGACCAAAGCAACAGAAACCTGTGGTCACAGAGAATCTAACAGGAAGAGTCACTGTTCTCTTCACTCATTCCAAATCTTGTTCCCTTGAGACCTGGGCCTTGGGTGAATTTTCCTGGGCTCCCCTAAATGGTTCAGGTGCCAAAATAGAGCAAACCCAAGCTCTGCCCACCCCATGCAGAAAAGGACAAACAGGCCTTTATTAGCCTTTGCCAGCTAAGACACAGAGAACATTCTCTGGTCCCTTCCAGCTCTTATGGTCTCACTCAGGGCTAAAGAAAGCAACAGTTGCCACCACAATCAGGAGGGAGTGACGGTTGGGGTGTTGTATTATAATCCAGCAGTGGGCCAGTGGGTAGAACTGCTAGGAACCTAGTTTGATCTGCTGCAGGGGAGGCAGGGCAGTGGCTTGGGTCCAGAAGCTTAGGGTTGCCTCCTCCACCACTAAGTCACAGGTCCAGGGTGTCAGACTTCACAGCATAACATCTGCCTTAGTGTTCATGAGGTCTCTGGGCAGGAGAACTGGGTATCTGGATAGATGGTTGAGCAGGTGGTAGGCGGGCATCAATCATAGAACCTGGGCATCAGTCAGAGTGGGAGCATATTTGTAGAAGCCTAGATTGTGGGCGGGAATGTGGGACGGAGGGCTCAAGGACTTTGGAGGCATATGCCTGCCTAAGCCTTAGGCGGGTACATGTTATGGAGCAATTTTTTACCAGGAAAGTCCTGGAAAATCTTTTCTGTTATCCCCACCCCACCTGAGAGCTCTTGGGCTGCTGAGGGCCTGTGGCAACTGCAGTGGGCCAGGCATGGTAGAAAAGATGTAGATCTTGTTATGTAGGATTTGCGTTGTAGGTGGACTGAAGCAGCAGGTCAAGAGTTGAATTCTCACTAAGGGGTCACTGACATTTTGTGGTCCTGTGTTTACCTTAATGCCTAAGGTGAGTGTATTGTTCAAGGGTCCAGGGACAGTCACTGCAGTATGTGTGGGGAATTTTCCCACAGTAAGGTAAATGGATCCTTGGGTACTATGAATCCAACTTGGGGTTGGATTTACCAAAATGTGTTGTATGTTGTTAGACATCTTGTTGTGTATTAGTCTTCTAAGGATATTGTGCATGGCACTGTGTAGTTTATAGCCCTACACTGGAAGGATGGTGAAGGGAGTTGCTAGATTGATAGCCTAAAGAAAACCTTCTGACTGTGGGATTAGCATCAATGATAAGGAATGTGAGCATTTGCTGGGGTTGTTGTCAAATAGTATCAGAGAACAGTTAGGACTGAGAGGTGATTTCTTCTTGACAGAATTTGATAGAGGCCAAAAAGCCATTACGAGGATACCTCTGCTTCCAGTGACAGCAGAGTGGATTCACATTGATTGGGCATTGTCACGGAAGGCTGACTAGCTGGAGGACATCAGGCTGTGCTATGCTTCCCTAGGGAGGACATGTGCCCTTCCCTCCAGATTAGAAAGGCTAGAATCAAGAGTTTCAAGTGCTCATTTTCTTCAAGGTCCAAGGTTGGGAACTATTTCCCTACAGAGAAATCTGTTTGAGTTTCTGGTGCTCCAGGAAATGGGTTGGCAGGACACAGAAATGAGAAACCCTGAGGCCAGGAAGAGGCCAATCCTAGGAGATGTTTTCCCTCCAGATTCATTTTAAGGAATATCTGTGCTTCCTGATGTGTGTGCTTGAGATTTGGGCTCTATATCCAGCATTTGAACTCACATTCTCAGTGGCAGAGTCATGGTCTGTGGCACCATTTCAAGGCCAAAAATCCCATCCAATTTCCCTTCACATAGATGACAGAAAAGCAAGAAAGTAGCTGCCTTAACTCGAACAGTTCTGGGAAAAAAACTGGGGGCCTTGTCCTGAGGCTGTGGAGACTTAATTCTTCAGCTGGGTGGTTCCCGTAGGAACAAGGAACACTTTAGCTACTTCTTACTCTTTTAACACCAATGGCTGTGGGAGAAGGAAAGGCTCAAGGCCAGGGCTCAGCTCGCAGAGTCCATCTTCTCCCACAGTTGCCACATTTGAGAGGGGGCCTGCTGAATGCCCTTGCTGTCCCCTATGGCAGTATTGAGGCCTGACCGAAGTCTGGTATGCTGCTTGCTGGCTACAAGAACTGGTCACAGGATGAAAATTGGGGAAAGGATTTGGGGGAGGTGACAAGGGTGGCATGGAAGTCTAGGGGACAAAGGGACAGGGTTGGGAACAAATTGGTTAACTTTGATTGCCACTCACTGTGGTGCTTTCCCCCTTTCCCTTGAATTCTGCTTTGAAAAGAATAAATTTGTACTTGTTTACTTTGGTTCCTCTGGTTATACTCTCTGAGTCTGATATTTCATATCTTTCCCTTATTTGGGGGTGGGAAGAGAGGGTAGACCAAGAAGCCACAGAAGTACTGTAAAACATAAGGCTACCAGATGAGTCCAACACCTGTGGGACACAAAAAGACCTCCCCATTGGGCTCATCTGCCACTGTTACCCGGATTAATCACCTCTCAACATCCTCCCAGCCCTCCCCAAATTAGCTAGTTAGCGCCTTATGAGATGAGCTGTATGTAGCAATCGTTTCTAAATTTCATCCTCCTCAATCTGAGGGTTTTTCACCAGCCTGAAGCATTGTAAGAAAAGTCAGGACAATGCATTGAGTTTTCATAAAATTATATTAAGTTTAAAGGTCTACCTTTTATTCTGAGATTACGGATACACACACACACAGACACACACACACACACTATATATATATATATATATATAGTGTGTGTGTGTATATATCCGTAATATATATATAGTATGTGTATGTATATATATATATCCATCTATATATATATATCCTGTGTGTGTATATATATCCTGTCAATAAGTAAAACCCTGTCAGTCCCTCTTTTTCTTTTTCTTTTCTTTTCTTTTCTTTTTATATTAAGGATATATATATATATCCGTAATATATATATAGCATGTGTATGTCTGTATATATATAATCCATCTATATATATATATCCATCTATATATATATATATATATCTCCTGTGTGTATATATATATCCTGTCAATAAGTAAAACCCTGTCAGTCCGTCTTTTCTTTTCTTTTTTTTTTTTTTTGAGACGGAGTCTCACTCTGTCACCCAGGCTACAGTGCAGTTGTGCAATCTCAGCTTACTGCAACCTCTGCCTCCTGGATTCAAGCAATTCTCCTGCCTCAGCCTCTCACCAAACTATAGCAACACTGTCCAGTATAAAATAATGCAAGCCACATATGTAATTTTAAATTTTATAGCAGCCATATTACAAAAATAAAAATAGATGGAATTAATTTTAATAACCCAATATATCCACAATATTACCCTTTCAACATGTAATAGTATAAAACAATTATTAATGAGATTTTAAAATATATTTTTAACCAAGTCTTTGGAAATGTCAAGCAAGCTGACACATTCAGCTGGGGGAAACACACACACACACACACACACACACACACACGAGATCCAGAGAGATCCAGACAGTTTATTCCTTATAGAGACAGAAAAAGCAAGATCAGCAATCGTATCAGCTCCCTGCATCCCTCGTCCCACAGAACAATATAACAGGGCAACAAAAGGGGCTAGATGACAGGCAACATGAATGGTAGGACCCCCTGGTACTGTGTAGCCAATGACACACTGCAGCTAAGCAGTTTTATGGCCTGCAACTGTACCCTCTGGAGTGGGAAGCAGGCAGAAAGCCCTATACTTAACTGGAACGAGGGAGGCAGGTGACAAGCTGTCTCATGGCAACCTCCCTCAAGATAGGGAGATGACTGAGAAACGCTCTTGTAGCAAATTCTCACAAGACTGCCTGTCTTCCTGTGTTCCGGGAGGATCACAGGATGTTATGCCAGGACCTGAGTCAGCCTGCAGTTGAGCCTGGCCTGTGTGGCCTATGTGGATAGTGTAAGGTCATCAGGATGCGGGCACAGAGCAGTTCCTTTATAGAAATCCAGTGTTTATTTTACACTTACTGCACATCTCAACTCAGGCTAGTCATGTGGTGCTCAAAAACCACATGTGCCTAGTGGATACCATATTGGACAGCACAAGTCTGTAGCATACAGAAGTCAAAATCACTGAGCTATAGCAAAGGAAAACTTTCTGAGGTGTCAGAGTGAATGTGTGCATGTGTATGTTGGGGTGGGGTGGAAAGTCAGAACGGCAATAGCTTTGGGTGACTGGAGGGCAGTGGTGAAGTAGCCCCCCTGGGTTACATTGAGAAGTGGTAGCAGAGGAGATGGAGGGGCATCGCAAACACACTAGCTTGCCCTTGCCCCTTCCTGTTGTGTTGTCTTCCCTACCACCCCGCCTCTCAGCAGAGCTCTGACTGTTCTCAGGCTGCAGTATCAGACAGAGGCTGTATGAGGGCTCTTCTACCTCTTCCACTCCTGGATGCCCGCTGTGGCACATGTGCCACACTCACTGGCCTGTCTCTCCAGCATGACCCCAGGGTACTTTCTATCAGTCCCCTGCCTGCCTTTATCTGGAAAGGCCTATCTTCTTTTCAAACTCTGCTTCTTTCCCCACCTTCTACCTCTGACACTCAACTTCTTTCCCTCATTCTTTCTCCTTATTCTCATCTTTTAAGTTACGGGTTTCTGAAAAAAACAATCTTTTTAAAATATCATCTTGGTTTTCAAGCAATCCTCGAACTTCTCTCCTAATCTGGGCTCCATTTTGTTTGCCTTTAACATGCCTATCTCCCTTAGTCCTACTTTTTCCCTTGCATTTCCCTCAGCATTCCTGCCGTCTCCATCCCAACTTCACAGGCCCTGCTCATACATGACCTCTCCTTTGCCCATGGCTTAACTTTGACTTGGAGTAGGAGCACTAAAAGTGGCACGGAGAACTGAGGATTATATTTCTTAAAGCAGCACTGACTTTGTCAATTGGGATCAGACCCGGGGCTAGCTGGGCTACTTCCAGAAAACCCCCAGATGCCTCTTGGTGGTAAGCATTATCACCCATGATTTACAATGAGAAAATAGAGGCTCTAAGAAGCGTAGGGGTGGGCAGGCATGATGGCTCACGCCTGTAATCCCGGCACTTTGGGAGGCCAAGGCAGGTGGATCACCTGAGGTCAGGAGTTCGAGACCAGCCTGGCCAACATAGTGAAACCCCGTCTCTCCTAAAAATACAAAAATTAGCCAGGCATGGTGGCAGCTGCCTGTAATCCTTGCTACTTGGGAGGCTGAGGCAGGAGAATCACCTGAACCCGGGAGGCGGAGGTTACAGTGAGCCAAAATCGCACCACTGCACTCCAGCCTGGGCGACAGAGCAAGACTCCATCTCAAAACAAAAAAAGAACCATAGGGGCTTGCCCAAGGCAAGTTCCATCCTTGTGTGAGTTCCACTACAGCATGGTAATTCAACCCAAATATTGGAGCCGCCATTTGTATCACTTCTCTAACCACCCCCCACCACCCGCTCCATCTCATATTAACCATATAGCATTGGGATTTGGAGCAAATCTTCTCACCTTAACAATACAGCATTGGGATTTTATTTGCTTAGTTTATTAGGAGTTACCCTAAGAACTCTGGAAGGATGCCCCAAGGCTGATAGCATCTTCTGCCATTTTCTAATCAGAGTGCTATGGTCCGAATGTGTCCCCCAAAATTCATATGTTAAGATATAATCAGTAATGTGTTAGTATTAAGAGGTAGGGCTTTTGGGAGGTGATTAGGTAATGAGGGCTCCACCCTTATGAATGGAATTAGCGCCCTTTTAAAAGAGGCCCGAGGGAGTTTGTTTGCCCTGCGGTCATGTGAGGATGCACCCCGAAGACGCTAGGAAGCAGACAAACCCCTCACCAGATGCCAAAGCTGCTGGCACCTTGATCTTAGACTTCCAAGCCTCCAGAGCTATAAGCAATAAATTTCTGTTGTTTATATTTACCCAGTCTATGGTATTTTTGTTACAGCAGCCCAAATGAACTAAGATATAGAGCTTATTGCTTTTCTTCTTGTTTCTGTTTGGATATGAGTACACTCATCATGGGGGATGGTTTAATAAATTGACAACAATCCATTTAAAATGAACAATTTATTTATTGCTTAAAGAACATAGACCATAAAACACTAATAATATACCTAGAAAAAAACCCAAACAAGATTGTTAAAGAAGTCTTCATAGGCATTATGGCATCTTGTTCTTCCTAACCTTAACTGATGAGGGTTAGGAGGAGAAGGCTCAGAATAAGGATAACAGTTCATAATTTCTTCATCTCTGCTCTAACTGTTCCCTTAGTTGGTGAATAACAACCAGCTCCATCCTAAAAACAACAGAACATAAGCAGCAGCAAGGAATCATCCTTGAGCAGGAATGCAGTCCTGTTACCTGAACAGAGACAGAACACAATCTAGTATTAACTGCTGCAAGGTAGGCACTTAAACTCACTATGGCAGGTCCTAGTGCTTAGTAGAAATGACCTCGTTTTTTCCCCTATGTTTTAGGAAATACTAAAAACCAAAAGAAAAGCTAAAACATATGCAAACCAAACAGCTGTACGGCCTCTAGGCTAGACTGCCTTTAGAAGCATGGCTGAATAATCTGCTGGTACCATAGCACAGAAGCAATATAATCAATTCTTGTTTGGTGTGGTGGTGCACAACTGTAGTCCCAGCTACTCAGGAGGCTGAGGCGGAAGGATCCCTTAAGCCCAGGAGTCTGAATTCAGCCTGGGCAACATAACAAGACCCCATTTCTAAATTAATAATAATAATTCCCAAATTGACAAAGAGAAAGTCTCATGGTCGAGTGGGGTCTTTAAGTCTACTACATTTTTATACTGGCCTTTTCTACATGACTACAAACTGTGAGCATATTTTAAGTAGCAAAGAAGGTACAGATAAATATAACTGATTCAACATAAGGCAACTGAAGGGACAAAAACGTGCACAGTTTCATCCAATCTGCAGTCTGGATGGTGAATCCAAGGTTTGTGGGCCACGCCAATGGCTCTCCTCACTTCTTCAGAAAACGCTGCAACTGTTCCTGTAGGGAAATGAGCTGTAGGGAGAGGTAGAAAGACATGAAAAATTCATTTGAAATTTGAGGTCCCATTACTTGATCTAGAATTTACTTAAATGAACCAAAAAGAACTACTGTTATTTGGCATTTATAAGGTTATCTTAGTCTTGCAATGTTCCAGAGAATACTGGCCACAGTCAAGAATGCATGCATACTGCTGTGGCCATGATGATGTCCTTTATTATGCCCAATTTATGAAGAGAAGCTTTGTATTAGTCAGTTTTCACACTGCTGATAAAGATATACCTGAGTTTGGGAAGAAAAAGAGGTTTAATGGACTTACAGTTCCACATAGCTGGAGGCCTCACAATCATGGTGGAAGGCAAGGAGGAGCAAGTCATATCTTACATGGATGGCAGCAGGCAAAGAGAGGAGAACTTATGCAGGGAAACTCCCCTTTTTAAAACCATCAGATCTCGTGAGACTTATTCACTATCACGAGAACAGCATGGGAAAGACCTGCCCCCATGATTCAATTACCTCCCACCAGGTGCCTCCCACAACACGTGGGAATTAAAGATGAGATTTGGGTGGGGACACAGACAAACCATATCAAGCTTTAAAATTGAATAGGCTTTAAAAAAAAACAATATTTTTGCTGTTAAGAATTTGTGCTTCTGTGAAGAATATACAGAGGTCACAGCTCACTGTAGGGGCAAAGGAGATGGGATCTCTGTAGCCATATTCTAAGAGTCAGATGATAAAACAGTTGGGACACTCTCTTGTCCCAATGAACACAATGGGTCTTAGACTGAGTCTTACCAGCTGCTTCTTACCACATTAGGAGATACTTAGAAACTGAGCCAGAGCCCTGACCAATCAGGAGCCTGATGATGTTCTACTTAATGCTTTCTAAGTTAGAAGCCCTGAACATTTTGTGGTATAGGATTTACTTTTTTTTAACTTGAAATGGTAAAGTGACCAATAACATTCAGAGATGTATGCCATCTTTACAACAAAGGTTGTTTTTGAATATTATTCATTTCAGGACACTCCATACCAGAATGAATTTTTAGTCTGTGAAATGAAAGGAACATTATAAAACAATCCTATGCTGCACATCACCTACCAAGCCACAATAATTGCTGTCCGCAGTAACTTAGAGGCTCTTCTCACTCAGTTGCTGAGTGACCCCTGATTGACCATGATTACAACCACTGACTGATCCAGTTCTTTCTCCTTTGCAGGCTCTTTCTCTTCCCACCACCCCCTATAGATAGGTTTTTCCTTAGGTTCAGACTTCTTGCTGAACAATCAACCAGGCTAACTCAACTAGCCCCACAGCTTCAATGATCATTTCTGTGTATGGGCCTCTCTCCAATTTCCCATTTTCAAAAGCACTTCTCCACATACCCCTCCAAATCCACTTTTTGTTATCCTATTTTCAGTTAATGGCACATCATTTCCCAGTTTCCCAGGCTTTGGACTCATCTTTGTTCCCCTTTTTGCCCTGTAAATCCAATCAATTGTTAAGCTCTGTTTGCTTCTACCACTTGCACCTTTGAAGCTCCAGGCTGTCCCCACTCCAATTTCTCCTATATACTTCTGGCAGAAAAATCTTCCTGAGTTATTCCCCAGGTAAAAAGGCTTTGAAGGTTCATTATGACCTACACCAAAAATCTAAACTGTTCACCCTGGCATCACCACCTCTGAGCCAGTGTGCATGCTGCTTTCTCATGGAATGCACTCCTTTCCCTATCTCCTTATTAAAACCCTACCTATATTTTAAGGCCCCAGTCAAACACCATCTTCTCCATGAAGTCTTCTTTAATATCCATGGACAATCTGTCATTCCTTTAAGTCCCTACCCCTCTTGCCAATTTCTCCCCAAATGAAGACAGAGACTACATCATAAGCATATCATAGCTCCCTGTAGAGCCTAGCTTAAAGTAGACACCTACTAAATCTAATTTGGATAAATGAACTAACATAAGGGACTCTGAGTAAATAAAGTTTACAGCTACATTTCTATGCTGCTCCTCAATACTAAATATAGTCATGTGTTACTTAACAATGGGGATATGTTCTAAGAAATGCATCCTTAGGCAATTTTGTCATGACGCGAACATGATAGAACATACTTACACCAACCTAGATAGTATAGCTTACTACACACCTAGGCTACATAGTATAGTCTATCGTTCCTAGGTTACAAACCTGTACAGCATATTACTGTACTGAATACTGTAGGCAATTGTAGCACAATGTTAAGTATTTGTGTATCTAAACATAGAAAAGGTAAACTAAAAATACAATATAAAAAATTAAAAATGGTACACTTATATAGGGCACTTACTATGAATAGAGCTTGCAGGACTAGAAGTTGCTGTGGGTGAGTCAGTGAGTGAGTGGTGAGTGAATGTGAAGGCCTAGGACATTACTATGCACTACTGAAGACTATATAAACACTATATACTTAGGCTATAGTAAAATAATTTAAAAATTAAGTAATTCTGCTGCTATGTTATGATGGCCACAGTGTCACCAGGTGACAGGAATTTCTTAGCTCCATTATAATCTTATGGGACTACCATCATATATGCAGTCTGTCATTGGCCAAAATGTTGTTATGCAGCATACAACTGTACTTACATTGATGAAAACAAAGATGTTTGGTGGGTACTAAAACAATCCTGGCATTAACTGTTCATCTGATTGTTTTAAAGCAGTATTAAGCAGTACTTGGATAAGTGATTTGCTGAGAGGAAGGGAATATATAGAACATAAAAATTCCGCTAGCCTTGTGGGGATGGGGGTGGGGAGTAGTGCCTGTACTTCAAGAGCACCATGCTAAGCCCATCCTCATAATACCAACTCCAGTCTCTTTAAAATTGTAACCCTCAACAGTATAAGGTTAGAGTCAGCACACATTTTCTATACAGCTGCTTGACCCTCATTTAGCCTATATTGCCTTCTTCTCTCTTCGCCCTGTACACTCTCTTGTGGCTTTGAAAAATACAGTTGTCGTTCAAGTTAGAAATACATACATCCTTAATGATTCCTTCTCCTTCAACACCCAGTAATTGACCCAACTCCTGTCAATTCTACCTTTAAAGTATATTCTCTAATATATCAATATTCATTGCAGCATTATTCATAATAGCCAAAAGTGAAAGCAACCCAAATGTCCATCAGCAGATGAATGAATAAACAAAATGTGGTATATTGATCCAATGGAGTATTAGTCAGTTTTAAATGGAAAAAAGTACTGATACATGCCATAACATGGATGAACCCTGAAAATATGCTAAATGAGAGGAGCCCGACTCAAAACACCATGTATTATATGATTTCACTTGTATGAAATAACTAGAATAGGCAGTAGATTAGTAGAAACTAGATGAGTGGTTGCCTAGTGCTGGGCAGGGGAGAGGTTCTGGAGAAGTGGGGAGTGACTACTAATGGATACAGGGTTTCTTTTTGGAGTGATGAAACTATTCTAAAATTGACTGCAGTGGTGGTTGTACAACTCTGAATATGCTAAAAGCCACTGAATTGTATAGTTTAAATGGGTGACTTGTCGGGGGTGGGGAGGACGGGGTTTGAGGCAGTCTCACTCTGTCACCCAGGCTGGAGTGCAGTGGTGGGATCTCTGCTCACTGCAACCTCTGCCTCCCAGGCTCAAGCAATCCTCCCACCTCAGCCTCCCGAGCAGCTGGGACTACAGGCATACACCACCATGCCTGGCTAATTTTTGGAGAGACGGGGTTTCACCATGTTGCCCAGGCTGGTCTCGAACTCCTGGGCTGAAGCCATCTGCCCACTTTGGCCTCCCAAAGCGCTAGGATTACAGGCACGCACCACCGCACCCAGCCTAAATGGGTGATATTGTATGGTTTATGAATTACATCTGTTATAAAAACATTTTTATTGCAGTTTAAAAATCTATATTCTTTCAATCTCCATTGCTACTAACTTAGTCCAAGTTACCATCCTCTGTTATTAGAGTACCACAAAGCCCCCCAACCAGCCTCTTTGCTTCTACTCTCACCTTCTTCCAACCCATTCTCCAGATAATAATCAGAGTAACCTTTTAAAAGTTTAAATTAGGCCAGACGTGGTGGCTCACGCCTGTAATCCCAGCACTTTGGGAGGCCAAGGCAGGTGGATCACGAGGTCAGGAGATCAAGACCATCCTCGCTAACACGGTGAAACCCTGTCTCTACTAAAAATACAAAAAATTAGCCGGGCATGGTGGCACGTGCCTGTAGTCCCAGTTACTTGGGAGGCTGAGGGAGGACAATCTCTTGAACCCGAGAGGCGGATGTTGCAGTGAGCCTAGATTGTGCCACTGCACTCCAGCCTGGGCGACAGAGCAAGACTCCATTTAAAAAAAAAAAAGTTTAAATTAGATGTGATTTTCCTATCTACAATTCTTCAAGGACTTCACATTACACTTAAGGCCAAACCCATCCTCCTTATCATGGCCTTCAAGGAACCATACACTATGGTCTCTGCCTACTTCTCCAACCTTATCTTAAGCCATTCTCTTCCTGGCTTTAAATACTCCAAAGGTCCTCAAAGAAGCCAAGTTCTTTCTGAGCATGAGACCTTGCATACGCTCCACCTAAGAGGCTCCTCATCCCACTCTTTGCCTGGACTTAATCCTTCCGGTCTCAGCTTCAATAGCACCTCCTAGGAGAGGTCTATCATGATCCCCCAATTAATTCAAGACCCTTTATTCTAATAGCACCACTGACTTTTTTCCTTCATAGCACTTCTTCACAATTTGTAACTTTATATTTGTATAATTTGTTTATTGTCAATCTCCCCTGCTAGACAGCTCCACGAGGATAAGTACAGCAGGTCCTTGAATAACATCGTTTTGTCCAATGTCGTTTTGTTACAGTAAGTCCTCACTTAATGTCATCAATAGGTTCTTAGAAACTGCAACTTTAAGCAAAATGACATGCAAAAGGTCTCCAAATAACATTGTTAGTTCAATGTCATTTCATTATAATTTTTTTTTTTTTTGAGACAGGGGCTCACTTTGTTGCCCAAGCTGGAGTGCAGTGGTGTGATCATGGCTCACTGCAGCCTCAACCTCCTGGGCTCAAGCAATCCTCCCACCTTAGCGTCCTGAGTAGCTGAGACTACAGGCTTATGCCACCACAACCGGCTAATTTTTTGTACAGTCAGCGTTTCACCATGTTGCTCAGATTGGTCTCAAACTCCTGAGCTAAAGCAATCCTCTCGCGTCGGCCTCCCAAAATACTGGGGTTACATGCATGAGCCACCACTCCTGGCCTCATTATAATGTTGATGAGAAAAATAAAATCACTTCCCTGTACACATTAGGTGAATTGGTTTGTCTGAATTGTCCCAGTCTGAGTGAGTGTGGGTGTGAGTGTGGGTGTGAGTGTGCCCTGCAATGGGATGCCATCCTATCCAAGGCTGGTTCCTACCTTGTGCCCTGAGCTGCTGGGATAGGCTCTGGCCATCTGAGACCCTGAACTGGAATCACTGGGTACATAATTGTCTTACTTGTTTTTATCAGTCTTTCTCAAATGTATGTATAGCTCACATTTATTTCAACGTTTAATTATTAGAAGCGTTTTGGTTTTTATTTAGAAGTTTGGTGATGTTTTTGTGACCAGAAATATGCTATAGGAACTTAATTCTTCTTTATATCAATTAGCCTATAGTAAAATTGGTTTCATTATATATACATTATTTTGCTTAAAGTTACAGTTTCCAAGAACCTATCAATGACACTGAGGATTTACTGTATTGCATTTGTCTTATTCAACACCGTACATCCAGTGCTTTTCACTTCATAGGCATTCAATATCTGTTGAATGAGTGAATTTTCACAAAGACCTTGTTCCACCCTGCTACCTTCATTTAGAAGATTTGGCTACCACTATTCCTATGAGAGGAACAGCCAGCAATGATATTGGAATTGAAGTGGGGGATTCTCTGTATCAAATGTTTTCTGGTTAATTTGAAAACATACTTCTTACCTTCTCATTTTTTTGTTTTTCCTGTAACTCAAGCTGCTCCAGCACAGACTGAAAATGATTCTGAAAAATAAATTGTATAAATGATGAACACTGAGTCTCAAAGAAAAAAAAAAAAACCAAGGGAGGCAAGGAGTTTGGCAAATAATTGTTTTTGTTTTTGTTTTTGAGGCGGAATCTTCCTCTGTCACCCAGGCTGGAGTGCAGTGGCGCAATCTTGGCTCATGCAACCTCCGCCTCCCAGGCTCAAGTGATTCTCATGTCTCAGCCTCCTGGGTAGCTGGGATTACAGGAGCATGCCACCAGGCCTGGCTAATTTTTGTATTTTTAGTAGAGATGAGGTTTCATCTCTACTAAAAGATCCCTTACTCAGGGATCATTTACTGTGATCCCTGGCAAGTTACTTAACCTCTTTGAGTTTCCATTCTTTATCTATAAAATGGGAGTGGTGACAGTATTTACGTTTCAAGGATGTGAGGATAAAATGTGATAATATGTGTACACAATTCTTAGCCCTTTATGTGCCTTTTACATAGCAAATGCTCAATATTGGCAATTTTTATCTCATATCACCTAGTCCCTTCCCCAAAATGCTTATATTAGATGATCAAAATTACTCAGGTAAAAGGAAACAGGGTTATCTTTTATTAGGAGTTTCTAAGAGGCTGTTTAGGTTCATGAATGAACAAGAACCCTGCACAGAGATAACATAAGTGGAAACACAAAGGCAAGATACTGAAAGTAAGATATCAGGATTTCTTTATGCCAGCCAAGAATTTACCTTGAGTGTCAGGTTTTCCACTTTCATGATGAGATCCTTCTGTCTTTGTGCTTTATTCTGAATCTTATGGAGCTTTTTCTCCTTTTTCTCAATCTGCTTCTGAATTTCCATGACTAATAGAGAAACATAGAACTTTATATATTAAATATAGCCTAAATGAATGGACCAAGATCCAAATCAAGTAAAACTCTACTACACATCGAAGCGATAACTTCTTGAGCTTAGCTTTGAGTCTAATGTATGCTTAGAGTCAACTGTTAGCACTGCCACCCACCCTGGTCCCATCCCTTTGTTTTTTCTGACTTACCTATTGAACTGGTACCTTCATTTGCCCTATACTGGCCAGATTCAATAAACTCGGCCTGCAGCTGCCTTTCCAGATACTCTTCAGAACAATCTTCCTCCTCCTCTTCTTTGTCTTCATCTTCATCCTCATCCTCATCCTCATCCTCATCTTCATCATCCTCATCCTCATCATCATCATTGTTACTTCTAGAATCACTGAACATCTCCCGAAGCATATCATATTCTACTAGTTTTAAGCAAGAAGAAGGTGAACTATCTAAAACTCTGCAAATGACTCATACTCCAGATATAATTATACTCCTTTCACATTCCCCAGGCAACCAGTGAATTTTATAAATCATTTTTTCATGCAGGAAGATTATTCCCTTTATAAAACAAGGACAGCAAATGCAAAACACTGTAACATTCATTCATGTAGTGAATGATCAAGATATTTAGAGACTCTAAGGGTCATAGGAAGTTAAAATACCAGGGGTGGATGGGAGATTAGAACACTAATCTAAAACCCCTAAACTGCCAAGAGACCAATAAGAGGGAAGAAGGGCTGGGTGTGGTGGCTCATGCCTGTAATCCCAGCACTTTGGGAGGCCAACGCGGGCAGAACACTTGAAGCCAGGAGTTGGAGACCAGCCTGGCCAACATGGCAAAACCCCATCTCTACTTACAAAAAAAAAAAAAAGAAAAGAAAAAAGAAAAATTAGCTTGGTGTGGTGGTACATGCCTGTAATCCCAGCTACTTGGGAGGCTGAGGCACAAGAACTACTTGAACCTGGGAGGCAGAGGTTGCAGTGAGCCGAGATCGCACCACTACACTCCAGTTTGGGCGACAGAGCGAGACTCTGTCTCAAAAAAAAAAAAAAAAAAAAAAAAAGGCCAGGCACAGTGGCTCATGCCTGTAATTCAAGCACTTTGGGAGGCCGAGGCAGGCAGATCACTTGAGGTCTGGAATTCAAGACCAGCCTGGCCAACATGGTGAAACCCCGACGCTAGTAAAAAATTAGCTGGGCATGGTGGTGAACACCTGTAATCCCAGCTACCTGGGAGGCCGAGGCAGGAGAATCACTTGAACTCATGAGGCAGAGGTTGTAGTGAGCCGAGATCACGCCACTGCACTCCAGCCTGGGCGACAGAGCAAGACTCCATCTCAAAAAAAAAAAAAAAAAAAGAGGGAAGGACGAAACCATCCTTTTTTTCTGGGTTTTTTTTTTTTTGGATTGGCCTATGAATTTATGGAAAATGATCTGATACCCAGTCAATACCTGCCCTATCTGAAACTCCTGCTTTGCCTTTACTAAAGTACCTGACGAGGTATGACCCTGCTTGTGGCTGCTCATTCCCGAGGATATCAAAAATCCTGGGATGGAGCCTTGACTTTCTATTTCCTTGGTTCCATCTTCAGCAATGACTTCCCAACCTGAAAGGAGTGGGTAGTCAAGGAAAACACAGAAGGAAACAAAAAGGCACAGCTGAAAGGGAAGGGGCTCTTTGGCTAACAGTGCTATTTAATTTAGTCCAACTTTAGGCCATTTGTATTGGAATTCCTAGTTTGGAGAAGTGCCTCATATTGAATTACACAATAAATAATTTTCTATTACATGAATTTACTGTTCCTAGCTAGAACATTTCAAAGAATCTTAAGTTCCACACATCAAGACTGGCACACAAACACCAGAGGTGAGGCTTCGTCAGCATGTACAAATGGGGCAGAACAGACTATGCAGAAAATATTTGTATAAAGGATACGGGTACTTACGGCTTCAGCATCCGAACGCAGCAGTCTCTTTACTTCATTTTCCACGTCTGGAGATTCAATGTACTGAAGCAAAGTTGGGGATTAGAGGGGGATACCAATACTGTCATTTAACACCCTGTGTGTTGCAGGAGTGCCCTCCTACGTACCAACGAATTCAAATGTTAGGCCTCTTTAAATTCTGATCCAACCAAATTTCTACTTTAAGTAGTGCTATTTATAAAGGAATCTTTAGCCAGGGTCTAGAATTTTGTACAGTAAACTTACTTTTTTCCTAATTAAACAAATTACTTGAGACATTTAATCTTTTCAATCTGCAGCTCTATGGTAAAGCCCTCTCTCAGAGGTGCAACCCTTAGGTCTCAGTTATAAATTATTTCTCCTGATTTATATTGGCAAAGAACTATAATTCCTTATTAGTTATTTAGAAATAATTTGGTTTAAAGATCCAAATTCCCAGATTTCACTTCCCCACATCTTTATTATTAGAGACGTTCCTATAAAAACTGGATCTTAGCTGCATGTTCTCCCTTGAATCCAGTTTTACATAATTATCTCCACAGCAACCAATTTGTTGTGCCACAAATAGAAATTAGGATTTTGATGGGGAATAAGCAATTGCAAACAACTGCTGTTAAAAGTGAGCTCTGGCTCCCAAGGAATGGCTTTTGAAATAAATATCAGAATAAAAAGAGCAGATTAGAATACACGGGGTCACTGGCCAAATTGTATCTTTTCCTCTAGCAGTTATCAAACATCAAACAATGAATTCATTTTTTAGTGAATCAAACCCAGTGTATGTGTTTAGGATGAGGGTTAGAGGTGAGAAGGAAGGCTCAAAAGTAGCTTCTGTGGTTTATTTGATTCATTTGAAACTAATGAGCTATTAAATAAAACACATTAAGGGTAAAAATGAAGTTATATTATGATTGCTCTACCTCAGTAAAGCTGCTTTTTTCCATTTCTTTGACATCAGGGACCTATGAAATAAAACACAATAAACAAGTTATATTATGATACCTATATTTCAGTAAAGCTTAAAGAGCTCTACAACTATCCTTAACTTAGTTTTACATTTAGTAGGCACTCAATAAATGTTGATTTACAGAGTATAAAAGCCAAGGCAACTGTGTTCATGGATTGGAAGACTCAATATAGTAAAAATGTCAGTTCTCCCCAAATTGATCTACAAGTTTAATGTAATTCCTGCCAAAATTCTAGCAAGGTTTTCTATAGCTATAGACAAGCTTATTCTAAAATTTATATTAAAAGATACAGGCTTTTGGCCAGGCGTGGTGGCTCATGCCTGTAATCTCAGCACTTTGGGAGGCCAAGGCGGGCGGATCACGTGAGGTCAGGAGTTCGAGACCAGCCTGGCCAACATGGTGAAACCCGTCTCTACTAAAAATACAAAAATTAGCCGGGCATGGTGGCCCATGCCTGTAATCCTGGCTACTTGGGAGGCTGAGGCATGAGAGTCGCTTGAACCCGGGAGGCAGAGACTGCAGTGAGCAGAGATCGTGCCATTGCACTCCAGCCTGGGCAACAGAGCGAGACTCCATCTCAAAAAATAAATAAATAAATAAATAAATAAAGATATGGACTCTAGAATGGCTAAACAATATTGACAAAGAAAAGTAAAGTCAGAGCAATCAGCCTTCTAATTTCAGGACCAATTATATAGCGACACTGTGATATTGGTGGAGGGATTGACAGATGGATCAGTGGAGGAGAATGGAGAACCCAGAAACAGACCCATAAAACCAAGCCCAACTGATATTTCACAAAGGTGCAAAAGCAATACAACAGAGGAAGAATAGCCTTTTCAACAAATAGTGCGAGAGCAATTAGACATCCTTTGGCAAGAAAAGCAAAAACAAACAAACAAACAAAAACAAAACAACAACAACAACAAAAAAAAAACCTTGAACTAAACCTCATAGCTTTTACAAAAATTAAGTCGAAAATGGGCATCAGGCTTAAAAAGATGTAAAAAAAAAAAAAAAGCAGGAGAAAATCTTCAGGATCTGGGCTAGGCAAAGAGTTCTTAGATTTACTATAAAAAGCAAGATCGTTTTCAAAAAAATCAATATATTGTACTTCATCAAAACTAAAAACTTTTGCTCTCTGAAAGACCCTACGAAGAGGATGGAAAGACAAGCTACAGACTGGGAGAATATATTTGCAAACTACATATCTGATAAAACACTGGTAGTATTTAAAATATAAAAAGAACTCTCAAAATTCAATAATAAAAAATCAATTTAGAAAATAGGCAAAAGGCATGAGCAGACATTTCGCTGAAGTGGAATAGATGGCACATGAGATGCTCAACCCCGTTAACCATCAGGGAAATGTAAATTAATACTACAATGGGATCACTATGCACCTATCAGAATGGCTAAAATGAAAAATAGTGACAACACCTAATGCTGGTGAGGAGGTGGAGAAACTGGATCATTCATACATTATTGGCAGGAATATAAAATGGTACAGTCACTCTGGAAAACAGGTCATTTCTTACAAAACTAAACATGTGACTACCATATGACCCAGCAATTATACTCCTGGACATTTATTCCAAAGAAATGAATACTTATATTCACACAAAAACCTGTTCACAGCTTTATTTATAATAGTCAAAACCTGTAAACAACCCAGATGTCCTTCAAAGGGAGAACAGTTATGTAATGTGGTACATTCATACCATGGAATACTACTCAGCAATAAAAAATAAACTATTGATGCTACAAAAACTTATATGGATCTTAAGTGAATTATGCTGAATGAAAAAATAAGCTAGTCTCTGATGTTATATACTATATAATTCCATTAATATTAAATTTTTGAAATGACAAAATTACAGAGATAGAGATCAGATTAGTGATTACCAAGTGTCAGAGACTGGGGTGTGAGGTGGAAGGGAAGTGGGCATGGTTATATAAAAGCAAAATGAGGGATCCTTGTGATGAAACTGTTTTGTATTTTGACTGTGTAGACAGATACATGAACTTACACATGGGATAAAACTGCATAGAACTAAACACATGCACAAAAATACACGAGTACAAGTAAAACTGGAGAAATTGGAATAAGATTGCAGAATTCTAATCATGTCAATTACCTGTTTGTGGTATTGTACTATAGTTTTGCAAAATGGGGAAAATGGCGAAAGGGTACACGATATCTCTCTTTTATTTCTTACAACTGTATATGAATTTACAATTATTTCAAAATAACATGTTTAATTTTAAACAAAAGAAGAAGCCAAGCCACAATACTCCTGTAGTTTGCCCAAGATTCTACAAGCCTGAAATAACATTAGGAATATAACCACAATTCCCAATTTTCAGGTTCTGGATGGGTTCACTTTAAAACTAGATCTTGCAATAGAAAACTGAAAGCATTAACAGAAGTTTCAAATGTATGATTCTTCCAGACCCCAAATGACTAGCCTATAACCTCAAGGATCAGGTCTTTTTATTCACTGCTATATTCCCTACTGCTAGCATACAGTGCCTGGCATTTAGTTCACATTCAATAAATGTTTATTGAACATATAAATGAATTAAAAATTAATTCCCAACTGACTTTTTCTCTTTTCTTCTGGCCCATGATCCTCTTCTAATCGGCCCGGCAGACACACAAATAGCATGTAACTAACCTTTTTTTGTGTTTTCCGGAACCTTTTCTTTCTGACATTCTTAAGTGGTGGCGTAACTAAAATAAATACAACACAGTGAAACGTTATATGACTGATGGTAGTCACATAGCTGAATTTGATAAAGACAAAGATCATGCTATAAACCAAAGGGTCATGACATCACTCCTTTTTTTTTTTTTTTTTTGAGATCGAGTCCCACTCTGTTGCCCAGGCTGGAGTGCAGTGGTGCGAGCTCAGCTTACTGCAACCACCTCCTCCTAGGTTCAAGCGATTCTCCTGCCTCAGCCTCCCGAGTAGCTGGGATTACAGGTGCCCGCCACCACACCCAACTAATTTTTGTATTTTTAGTAAAGACAGAGTTTCACCATGTTGGCCAAGCTGGTCTCGAACTCCTGACCTCAGGTGATCCACCCGCCTCGGCCTCCCAAAGTGCTGGGATTACAAGCGTGAGCCACCGCGCCCAGCTGACGTGACTCCTCTTAAAGAGTATCTGAGAACCTAATGAACCAAACACCTAAGTGTGGTAAGACGTCCCTGTTTCACAAGGAATTAGGATTCAGCAAATAAATTTTAGTCAGCAGGAATGAGCAAGGGGCTGGTGACTTACTGCCATGCTTCCAGACACATTTTTCTTCTCTCCCCCTTTCTTTTTTCCTGACTATATTAGGATCAGTAGAGGCAGCTGGTTCTTCTGGAGAAAGGTGGATATCACCATCAGCAGTGCACACAAGCATCTACATTTAACAAAGACAAAGAAGTTGACTATGACCACGAATTTTGGGTTAGCAATCATAATCATTCTTACCACTAGAAATGCACAGAAGAGACTGATACTTGCCATTTCCAGAAAACCAAGTATTTTGTAATGTACATTTATATTCTCTCATTTTTGCAGTCTCTCTCTCTCCCTCTCCTCCCCACCACCAGCCACCAGCAGCACTACATATGAACTCTGAAGGTGCTTTGTTTTGTTTTTTTTTTTCCACGAGAGTGTTTACCACTACAGAGGGAATATATTGGAAACAGATCTTGGAACTTAGCTTAGGTTTTTTGTTTTGTTTTTAGACAAAGTCTTGCTCTGTCATACAGGCTGGAGTGCAGTGGTACGTGATCATGGCTCACTGCACCCTCGACCTCCTGGGCTCAAGTGATCCTCCCACCTCAATCTCTAGAATAGCTGGGACTACAGGTGTGTGCCACCACACCTGGCTAATCTTGTTTTTGTAGAGATGAGGTCTCACTATGTTGCCCAGGTTGGTCTCAAACTCCTGGGCTCAGGTGATCCTCCCACCTCAGCCTCCCAAAGTGTAGGGATTATAGGCATGAGCCATTGTGTCTGGCCTATCTCAGCATTTTGATTTAGAGAGGAAATAAGAAATCAACAGCAGAGATGATGAATAAGAACCAATTTAAACCTCCAGAGTTAACAACATACTGTTTTAATACAAAGTTCAGAAGATCCCAGCAGCTCATATGTTTCAATTAATGAAAAGTCACTATAAGTGGCAAATGGGACTCTCTATAGGCTATTTGGTCAAAATACAATACTGAAAGCTAAGGATCAAACACCAAACGAGAACATGACATTTCATTCCTGTGCAGTCAATCTGGAAATTAGAAATGCCAAGCAGCCATTCACCAAGTGGAAAGGAGTACTGAAAGAAAGAAAAATAGGAAGAGAAAAGAATTCCTTGAAGGATGTGAGGCTAGTAAAGAAAACTAGTCCATACCTGAGAAATGTCTGCTGTTTTATAAAAGGTTTTTTTATCAAGCGTTCTCAGGCTTTCAATAACACAAGGCAAGTCAACCAGCTTAGCAGCTAGTGGGACATCTTCTACTTCAACAACTGCATGGCGCCCATCAGCTGAAGAGAAGTAAAGATTAAAGTTGATATCTTCCCAGTGAACTCTTAAACTTCCTAAGGTTTGAATAATGAAGACTTATGTGGGACAGATTAGTCTTTCCAAGAAACCTACTATCTCTCATAATGCTAGAATTGTGTACACAATTAATAGCTTCCTAAAGAAAAGAAATGGAAAGTATATGGAGCTCTTTTTTCCTAGTTTACGTCACTTGTGCAAAAGTAGCTAAGTTTCTTGTTAATGGATGTGAACTAAATATAGGTGAAGTAATAAATGTTTCATTCTCATCCTGAAAAGCAAATTCCATTCATTAAAACCAATTCCTTTTTTTTTTTTTTTAGAAGCATTCAATCGTGTCATTGTACATGTGTGTTTTCAAAGGGCTGGGTGAGGGAAGGGTTGACTGACCCTAGAATGGTGCTAATAAATCTCAAGTTAAATCTCTAATTAGCTTCATAAAGATAAAATTCTATACAACAGCCATATACTAAACTCTGAATATTGCTGCTCAGATGTCCCAAACATAAATGTCTTTTGACACAAGAGGATTCAGGTATAATCTTCTAGTATTATGTGAAAAAAGAAAGATACAAAACAATGTTTATCATTTTGTGTGAATTAACTCTAAAAATAGAGAGATTGCTTCAATTCTAGTATTATGCATAAGAGTTTTGTCAATAAGGAAGTAACAAGAAACAGTATCAGTTATCTGTGGTATTGAGGTTGGGGCACCATAAGGAAGAAGAGTTTTATTTCTCCTTTCGAACTTTTCTTTTTCATTTGATTTTTTTATTTTTCTTTGAGAAGGAGTCTCACTCTGTCACCCAGGCTGGAGTGCAGTGGCATAATCTCTGCTCACTGCAATCTCCGCCCCCTGGGTTCAAGCAATTATCATGCCTCAGCCTCCCAAATAGCTAGGATTACAGGTGTGCACCACCATGCCCGGCTAATTTTTGCATTTTTAGTAGAGACGGGGTTTCGCCATGTTGGCCAGGCTGGTCTGGAACTCCTGACCTCAAGTGATCCGCCCGCCTCAGCCTCCCAAAGAGCTGGGATTACAGGCATGAGCCATCACACCCAGCCTGTTTTATTTGAATTTTCTAACTATGAACTTATATTATCTTTTTTAAAAAATGTCAGTAAGTGTTAACTAACTGGTGAGATTATGAGCCACTTTTTGTTTTCTCCTTTATATGCTTCTCTGTATTAAAAAAAAAAACTAGCAAAATTTATTTATTTTTGGTTGTGTGTTTTTTAGGCAGATAAACTTGTGTGGAAACATTTATTTATTTATTTACTTATTTACTTATTTATTTACACATGCTCTTGGTGCAAATGGCCTCTAGATTCATCCATGGTGTCCCAAATGACAGAATTTTGTTCTTTTTAAAAGGCTGAGTAGTATAGCATTGTGTATACGTATCACATTTACACTTAGGTTGATTCCATATCTTGGCTATTGTGAATAATGCTACAATGAATATGGGAGTGCAGAGAGATATGCCTTCAACATGTTGATATCAATTCCTTCTGTGAATATATTCACAGAAGTGGGGTTGCTGGATCACATGGTTGTTCTATTTTTAGTTTTCTGAGGAACCTCCATACCATTTAAAAAAAATAATGGCTGTAGGCCAGGCACAGTAGCTCACGCCTGTAATCCCAGCACTTTGGGAGGCTGAGGTGGGTGGATCACTCGAGGTCAGGAGTTCAAGACCAGCCTGGTCAACATGGTGAAACCCCATCTCTACCAAAAATACAAAAAAATTAGCCAGGTGTGGTGGCGCATGCCTGTAGTCCCAGCTACTCGGAAGGCTGAGGCAGGAGAATTGCTTGAACCCAGGAGGTGGAGGTTCCAGTGAGCCAAGATCGCGCCACTGCACTCCAGCCTGGGTGACACAGCAAGACTCCATCTCAAAAAAAAAAAAAAAAAAAAAAGGCTGTATTAATTTACATTACCACCAATAGGGTACAAAGTTTCCCTTTTCTCCTCATCCTCATTAACAGTTGTTATTGTTCTTTTTTTTTTTTTAATAAAAGCCATTCTAACAGGTATGAGGTGATATCTCGCTGTTGTTTTAATTTGCATTCCCCTAATGATTAGTGATGCTGAGCATTTTTTCATGAACCTTTTGGCTACTTGTATGTCTTCTTTTGAGAAATATCTGTTCAGATCCTTTGCCCATTTTAAAATCAGGTTATTTGTTTTCTTGCTATTGAGTTGTTTGAGTTCCTTATATATTTGGATATTAACCACTTTATTGGATGTACAATTTGCCAATATAACAAATATTATTTAAAAGAAAAATATATGTCACTGGCCAGGCACGGTGGCTCACGCCTGTAATCCCAGCACTTTGGGAGGCCAAGGCAGGCGGATCACAAGGTCAGGAGTTTGAGACTAGCCTGACCAACATGGTGAAACCACGTCTCTACTAAAAATACAAAACTTAGCCGGGCATGGTGGCATGTGCCTGTAATCCCAGCTACTTGGGAGGCTGAGGCAGAAGAATCACTTGAACCCAGGAGGTAGAGGTTGCAGTGAACCAAGATTGCGCCACTGCACTCCAGCCTGGGCGACAGAGCGAGACTCCATCTCAAAAAAAAAAAAAAAGAAAGAAAGAAAGAAAGAAAGAAAGAAATACATGTCACCTTTATAAACAAAGAATGGCATATCCATTTGTCATTCCCTTGGATGTTCAGAAATCATAAAGTTTATATATGGGAGGCTACCAGCAGTATAAAAACCCCACAGTTGACCCCCAAGTTTCCTTAAACACACTATGATAATCACTCAACTCAAGGTGCAATATTCCTACTTCCTTTCCTCTTAAAAGAAGAGGACTTAAGCCTCTCTAAAGCATGAGTCCATCAAGTCAGAGACCATATTCTATCATTTTTCACATCCTTAGTACCAAGTACAGTGTATGGCACATAGCAATCCCTTAATAAATTATTGTTCAATGTATAGTGAATGGATATTAACTACTTACGCAATAAGTCAATTTTTAGTTTATCCTTCATCTTGACACTTTGAGAACGTGCTAGGTTCCTGACAGTACAAGCATGTTCCTAAAAAGGAGGTAAATTGAAAAATCAGAAGAACTAAACATCTACTTGGCAGCTAACAGAATAGATATATCAAAGAAAGCCCTCCCTTAAATAAAACTTTACACCTCCCAAATGTTACTAACAAGACCATGTACCATGAGATACTGTGCACTGTATAAGTCAAGTTAGGATGAAGCTGACTCTAAACTCATAATTGTCTCTTAGTAGCTACAGTTAATGCTTTCTCCTAGCTCTACAATCCTGCCTCTCACTGCTACCCTTCTGTTGTAGTTGCTAAAGAAAGGCTTACCTAGTTGCAGTTTGCTTGGTATATTAAGTAACCCTAATTAGGGAAATAGGTTTCTGAACCCCATCCTTAATATAGCTGCCTAGACTAAGTAATTGCTTGAATACAGGTATCAGTGTGGGGGAAGAGAGCCAAATACTTGTTGAGATGAGCTTTAAAAGTCTTGCATGGTGGTGAATAATGCTGGCCCTTCTCACTGCCCCTTTTGAGGTGACAGAAAGGATTTCAGAGGAGCCGTATCTTGGCTGTCCAGGGAACAGGCTGTTAGTATTGGTGGTAAGTGAATGGGTCCATCATTGTCACAGCTGTTTTGCCAGGAAATCAACCTGCATGATAGGTGGTATTGTACAGGAGGAAAAAATGCTGCCAAAAAAGTACACGCTATGATAGGACTGCTTAACAGAACATGATTCCTGGGAAACAAATGTTCTGAGTTTTTATAGCCTACCTGAAATAGAAATGTCAGAATCCAAGTAGAACTATAATTATAATTAAACTATAATTATGAAGATATTTGTTCTGAGATACAAGTTCTTACCAGAGGCAGACGCAATATAAACTGGTTCTCAACTTCATCAGGAACTTCATCCTGGCTTTCACTCATGTCTTGATTTTGAGTTCATGAAAGCAAAAAGAAAACCATCACTAAAAACTCCTCTTGCTCCCTCTCCTGACCACTTCTGGTAGTACTGGCTAAATTATACAAGATCTTGCCCATAATCCTCACTAGAATGATGTGTGTACAGTTAGACAATACCTTATTTGACATAACTTAATTATTTCTAGACGTTACCTTAGCTCCTCTCCAATATGTGTAGATTTTCCAAAGTCAATCCAAATTACATGATGTAATTTGATGAACAAATGAAATAAGAGCTGTTATGAAACATGATTTCGTCTTCTTAATCATATTCTTAGACTCTCAGGTAAAAGACTACAATTCAACAACACGTTGGTGGCTACCTAAGCAAACTAACCTCTGTAGGGAAGAATGCAAACCAAAAGCTGAAATTCGCCTAGAAACCACTTGCATAAATGTTCTGTGATGATTTGAAGTAAACAAGGGCTTGATTTTCAATATTTCACCTACATTAATGGATTAGTAGAAATTAAGCAGTCCATGGGAGACCAGGCAGTTTTTTATGACTCTAGAGCCAGCAACAACAGCTTTGAGCTACCCTGGGGAAAAGTTAGGAGTCCAGTTCTTTTTTTTTTTTTTCAAGACAGAGTCTCGCTCTGTCGCCCAGGCTGGAGTGCAGTGGTGCGATCTCGGCTCACTGCAACCTCCGCCTCCCAGGTTCAAGCCATTCTCCTGCCTCAGTCTCCCAAGTAGTTGGGACTACAGGCATGCACCACCACACCTGGCTAATTTTTGTATTTTTTAGTAGAGACAGGATTTCACCATGTCGGCTAGGCTGGTCTTAAGCTCCTGACCCCAAGTGATCCGCCCACCTCAGCCTCCCAAAGTGCTGGGATTACAGGCCTGAGCCACCGCGCCCAGCATGGAATCCAGTTCTTTTTTTTTTTTTGAGACGGAGTCTCTTTTTTTTTTCTTTTTGAGATGGAGTTTTATGGAGAACATAAAATCTGATTTGATTTATTCGTTACTACCCTTTCATTCATTACTACCCTTTATTGTGTGCATTCTGTATGCCCAGTACTACATTGAGTGCATTAGGTCTATCATTTCATATAATCCTCACAATCACCACTTACTTCGAATGCCCCCAAAAGCTATTTAAAAGAACTCCTAAGATGGATCTTTTTATTTAAAATATATATATATACCTTTGGTGAAGTGAATACTTTCTTCCAAGTTAATCTTTTTTTGACAAATTATAATCATATATAATTATGGGGTACACAATGATGTTATGATATAGTGTGAAATGACTGAATCAATCTAATGAGCACATCCATCACCTTAAATACTTATCAGTTATTCCCCCTAACTGCAACTTTCATTTTTTTTAATTTTAAAAGCCAAATTTGGAAGTGGGAGATTGTATACCAACTTTAGTGGCATTAATGTTAATAAGTTGTGATAATATCCCACTACTATTGGACCAGCCTAACTGAAATTTTCTGTTCTTTGATCAACATCTCCTCAATGCCCCTCCCGCTACTCCAGCCTGTAATAACCAACACTACTCTCTGCTTCTATGAGTTCAATTATTTTAGATTCCACATATAAGTGAGAATATGTGATTTTTGTCTTTTTCTGCCTGGCTTATTTCACTTAATATAATATCCTCCAGATTCATCCACGTTGTTGCAAATGACAGAATTTCCTTCTTTTTAAAGGCTGAATAGTATTCAGCTGGGTACACATACCACATATTTATCCATTCACTTGTTGGATACCTAGATTGATTTCATAACTTAGCTATTGTAATGCTGCAGTGAACATGTGTGTGCGGATATTTCTTTGACACACTGATCTCAAGTTTTTAGGATATACATCTAGACGTGGGATTGCTGGATCCCAAGTTTTTATTTTATTATTTTTTATTGTTTTCATTATTTGTTTTTCAATTTTATGTTCTTACAATGAACCAAGACTTTATTTCTAATCTTATTTTCCATGTATTTGGGATGTATTTGTAGAGCCCTGCATTTTGGGTATTAGGGCCCACACTTTTGTTTTGTTTTGTTTTGAGACAGAGTTTTGCTCTTGTTGACCCCAGGCTGGAGTGCAATGGCACGCATCTCAGCTCACTGCAACCTCTGCTGCCCGGGTTCAAGTGATTCTCCCATCTCAGCCTCCTGAGTAGCTGGCATTACAGGTACCTGCCACCACACCCGGCTAAATTTTTTTTTTGTATATTTAGTAGAGACAGGGTTTCACCATGTTGGCCAGGCTGGTCTCGAGCTCCTGACCTCAGGTGATCCACCCGCCTTGGCCTCCCAAAGTGTTGGGATTGTGGGCATGAGCCACTGTGCCCAGCCAGGCCCACACTTCTGAGGAAGATTTTTCTCAAAGGTGGAAAGACAGCTGGGCGCTGTGGCTCACACCTGTAATCTCAGCACTTTGGGAGGCTGAGGCAGGTGGATCACCTGAGGTCAGGAGTTCCAGACCAGCCTGGCCAACATAGTGAAACCCCATCTCTACTAAAGATACAAAAATTAGCTGTATCTTTACAGCTAGTTGGGAGGCTGAGGCAGGAGAATTGCTTGAACCCAGGAGATGGAGGCTGCAATGAGCCGAGATGGCGCCACTGCACTCCAGCTTGGGTGACAGAGTGAGACTCCTTCTCAAAAACAAAACAAAACAAAACAAAACAAAAAAAGTCAGCAGTAGAAAAGCAGACACCCAGGATGGGAGAGGGAAAGATGCATTATTTGTGATTGTAATTTCTTCTCTTCTTGTTTCATACAGATATATATGTATATATATGCATATATAAATACAAAAGAGAAATGTAAATGCAAGAAGAGAGTTGATCGAAATAAATAAAAAATCTGGGGGCTGAGCACATTCCCTAACAGAACATAGTAACAATTAAGGCTGGGAGCAGGAACAGATTATTTGAAGAACTAGCTGCTAAGCAAGATTTTATCAGATCAGTAGTAACTTTTAGATTTCTCAGCAGAACTAAAACTGGGGCATTTTGTTCATTTCCAAGCCTTTTTGGTAATTCCTCTTTTATGGAAGAAAGAATGTAAGAACTGAAACTATTTCAATGTATTTGTTTGATAAACAGACCTAATAAAAAGTCTGGTGGGAGAAAAGTTAGACAATCCTGGTTGAACTGGGTTTTAATTATTTTTTAAATTTACTTGCATTTACCTAAAAGACTAGTTGTACGGTATTCACTTTAAGAAAAAGCATCCACTTTTTTCCAGCAAGCACTCTTTGATGCCTGATTAAATTAACAGGACCCCTTACTACCATTCACCTCTAGTTCCATCTCGCTTTAGCAGAATTACAATTGGAATTATAATTGGCTGGAGGGCGCCTGGCAGCATGCTCCAGGCCATGCAAGTCAGTACACGCCTAAATGGGTGTTTTTTCAAGTTCGCAGTCTCCGGCTGCAGTTTAAGAGACTGACCTCCATCCTTATCCCCGGGGCACTAAGCTTTCAAAGAGAAAGTTTGACCCCTAGGCTTTGATCCACTTTCCCTTGAAAACTTCTCGCGAGGCCCAACAGGTCGCAACGGGTCCCAGCCTTCGCGCCTCGCTGTGCAGGCTGGCTGGGGAGGGCTGCGGGGTGCACCGCGGCGGGGTGCACACTGGCGGGGCGCTGACCCGGTCCCGGCCGCCCGGTCGGCCGCCCGACTCACCCGCTCCTCCGGGAACTGGCGCCGACACCGAAAAGGCTGGGACCTGCGTCTCTGGTCTGTGGGTTCCGGACGAACCGCGCGTGGGCTCCCGCGCGGAACGTAGAGGCGAACGCTGGGCTGCCGGCGCCTGGACAGTAAAAGCGGCGCGCGCCGGCCCCTCCCCGCCTCGCCACGCCTCCGCGGCCGCGCTGCCCAGCGGACTGGAGCACGACTTCGAGGCAGTGGCCCGCTCACCGCGTGCTGGGCGGGAAGGCTCGAAAGGCGCGGAGCGCCGAGGGGAGCGCCGAGGGGAGGGCTGAGGGGGACGCGACTGCTCAGGGACCTCGCGAAGCAAGACCGAGGCTTCAAAACAAGTTACCTTGGCCAGGCGCGGTGGCTCACGACTGTAATCCCAGTACTTTGGGAGGCCAAGGCGGGCAGATCTCAAGGTCAAAAGATCGAGACCATCCTGGCCAACATGATGAAACCCCCGTCTCTACTAAAAATACAAAAATTAGCTGGGCGTGGTTGCGCGCGCCTGTAGTCCCAGCTGCTCAGTAGGCTGAGGCAGGAGAATCGCTTGAACCCGGGAGGTGGAGATTGCAGTGAGCCGAGATTGCGCCACTGCACTCCAGCCTGGCGACAGAGTGAGACTCTGTCCGAAAAAAAAAAAATTACCTTTACACAGGGGCAACCTTCAGGGCGCCAGAAGATTTTTACCAGGGGACAGTGATACTCCTAAGAGGCGAGTTGGGCCGGGCGCGGTGGCTCACGCCTGTAATCCCAGCACTTTGGGAGGCCGAGTCGGGTGGATCACCTGAGGTCAGGAGTTCGAGATCAGCCTGGCCAACATGTTGAAACCCCGTCTCTACTAAAAATACAAAAAATTAGCCGGGCGTAGTGGCGGGCGCCTGTAGTCCCAGCTACTCGGGAGGCTGAGGCAGGAGAATGGCGTGAACCCGGGAGGCGGAGCTTGCAGTGAGCCGAGATCCCGCCACTGCACTCCAGCCTGGGCGACAGAGCGAGACTCCGTCTCAAAAAAAAAAAAATAAATAAAAAAAATAAATAAAAATAATAATAATAATAATTAGCCAGGCATGATGGCAGGCGCCTGTAATCTCAGCTACTTGGGCAGCTGAGGCAGGAGAATCTCTTGAACCCAGGAGGTGGAGGTTATAGTGAGCCGAGATCGTGCCACTGCACTCCAGCCTGGGCAACAAGAGCGAAACTCCGTCAAAAAAAAAAAAAAAAAAAAAAAGCGAGTTGCTCGCTTTTGGTTGCTCCTCGACTCCATTAGGTCGGACGGTTTGTCCCTAGGCACGGTGACCTCGCCTAGTGACAAACACGCCACCGTGCAAACCCACTGAACAACTAGAATCTGTGCCCAAAGCCCTCTAACACGATCGGTTGCTCCCCTCTCCTCAACAGAGTCAACATTTTACATCCTCTGGAGAGGGACACAGGTTACGTCGCCCATTGCTCCTCAAGGGGGCCGCAATTCAAACAAATTTTGAATCGAACTAAAAGCAGTTTGTTTCTCCGAAAGAAGGTCCTCGGCTGGGGGAACAAGCTTAAAAAACCACCTACCTTTCCCTTCCTGGAAGTTTTCTGGGGCCTGGGCAGCAGCCTGGGCGCTGCTGTCCGCATCCGTTTGAGTGTCCTCGTCGGCAGGAATCTGGGTGCCTTCGTCGCCAGCAATGTCGGCGCTGCTTTCATAGGTGGTTTCAGACCCACGGTCGACAAGAATTTGGGGTTCTTGTTGGCTAGTTACTTCCGATGTTGAAACTGTTGGTGTTGAATCATTTTCTGAAGAAATGGGGAGCTGTCCCTCGGGGCACTCCATGGCCCACCTCGTTGGGGTTGTAAAATGGCTTCCTGTGTAGTCATGTGACCTGGAGGGTTCCAGAACCTTCGTAAATGTAAAAGGTTTCTTTTATGTCTTTAAGACGTAATACTGTTAACGACATTGCCGGTGCCGGTTCAAGATTGTAGCAGCCACGTCTCCACTGCCTAACACTCACCCAAACTTAATCGCAGGGAATAAATATTTTCGGAAGACTATTCTACAATCATTTTCTTTTGGGACATGATATTTTTTCATTCAATTAAACTAGATTATCAGAGCTTCAGACCAAGACAAAATTGTTTTGATCCCTTTTAGAATCTATCTGCTAACCTTCATTTTGGCATTGTGCCATGGGGCTACATCAGGGGTTATGCAAGAAAACAGGCCAACGAGACCAGTTTTACATTTACTATACAATATTCTTGAAGGCATTAATTATACAAAAAAATCCTTTCATGAAAACGGAAATGAAAATTCTGTTTTTGGTAACTGAAATAGCTGAGTAATTGTTTTGACTTGTAAGGACAGTGTGAATTATATAATTAAGTTTATGATGGCTGCTAGGAAGCTCAGAACCAAATTTGCAACCAACCTGTAATAACTAAGCCTTACTGACATATGTTGAGTTTTATCTTAAGTAACTATGTTCTCTCCCATTTCCCTAATTATTTTTTGTCTCATGCAGTAAATAACACTAAAAGCTGCTCAAAGCCTTTTCATAAAGAATCAGATATATACATGTTAGGTAAATGAAAATAGTACTCCTGGCTGGGCACAGTAGCTCACGCCTGTAATCCCAGCACTTTGGGAGGCTGAGGCAGGTGGATCACCTCAGGTCAGGAGTTCCAGAGCAGCCTGACCAACACGGTGAGAATCCCCCGTCTCTACTAAAAATACAAAAATTAGCCGGGCGTGGTGGCGCGTGCCTGTAATCCCAGCTACTAGGGAGGTTGACGCACGAGAATCGCTTGAATCCGGGAGGCGGACGTTGCCATGAGCCAAGATCGCGCCACTGCATTCCAGCCTGGGTGACAGAGCGAGACTCCGTCAAAAAAAAGAAGAACGAGGGAGAGGGAGAGGGAGAGGGAGGAGAGGGAGGAGAGGGAGGAGAGGGAGGAGAGGGAGGAGAGGGAGGAGAGGGAGGAGAGGGAGAGGGAGAGGGAGAGGGAGAGGAAATAGTACTCCTGACAAAAGTGTCTCAGGGAGCATCTCTGTGGGTAGAGGAGGGGAGCACAATAACTGCTCACTTATAAATTCAATCATCCAACAAATGTTAATTGAGAATTTAGTGTGCCAGATCGGATTTGAAACATTTATTAAATGCTTAAAATATGGTTAAGTGTTTCATGGGAAGGAGGCAAAAATTATCCTTCAGAAATTTACAATCTAGTTAGAGCATACACATATGTAACTTTTTCATTATTGCCAGAGTTCCAGCCCCTTCTTAAGGAAACGGGGAAATATAAAGTGGAAGAAAGGAAAGGATATGAATTATGGTTTCTCTTTGGTAGAGGAGAGTTGATCCAAGAAGCAACATGATGTACAAATACAGAAAAAACTGTCCTATACATACTATCATATTATCAGGTACACAGAGAGTGTGTTTCCGGGTTCTAGTCTGTCATGCTGCAGTTTCTTTTTAATAAGTTCTTTTGCATGCCTTTCCCTATAAAGCACTCTTCCCCCTCCCTAACTATGCTTCAGTTTCATCATTATAGCAAATATGCAGTTGCATGTGTTCCTTCAATAGAAGTTTATTAGGTATCGGGAATTGTCCTAAGGTCATTAATAGCTAACATTCACTGAGTGTTTATGTGCTAGACTCTTTGCTAGTGCTTCGTATGTTATTCATTTAACCCTCACAATTGCCCTCTGAGTTTGGTATGATTATGATTCTGTTTATTGATTTTTGTTTTCAGATTAGCAAACAGATTTTAAAAGGTTAATTAGCCCTATCTTTCATCATATACAAAAATCAACTCAAAATGGATCCAAGACTTAAATGTAAGACCTCGCACTATGAAACTACTAAAAGACAATATTAGGGAAACTCTCCAGGACGTTGGACTGGGCAAATTTTTTTTTAAGACCTCAAAAGCATGGGTGACAAAAGCAAAGATAGACAAATGGGATCACATCAAGGTAAAAAGCTTCCGTACAGCAAAGGAAACAAACAACAAAGTGAAGAGACAACCCACAGAATGGGAGAAAATATTTGCAAACTATCTATGTAACAAGGGATTAATAACCAGACTATATAAGGAACTCAAACAACTCTATAGCACAAAAAATAATTAAATAAAAATAAACAGTTAATCCGATTTTTAAATGGGCAAAGACCTAAATAGGTCTCAAAAGAATAGATACAAATGACCAACAGATACATGAAAAAATGCTCAACATTACTAATCATTAGGGAAGTGCAAATCAAAACCACAATGAGATATCATCTCATCCCTGTTAGAATAGCTATTATCAAAAAGACAAAAAAATAACAAATGCTGACAGGGATGCAGATAAAGGGGAACCCTTGTATACTGTTGGTAGGAATATAAAGTAGTACAGTCATTATGGAAAACAGTATGGAGGTTCCTCAAGAAACTAAAAATAGGCCAGGATGGTGGCTCACACCGGTAATCCCAGCACTTTGGGAGGCCAAGCGGGAGGATCACCTGAGCCCAGGAATTCAAGACCAGCCTGGGCAACATACTGAGACACCATCTCTACATAAATAAATAAATAAATAAATAAATAAATAAATAAATAAGAAACTAAAACTAGAACTGTCATTTGGCCCAGCAATCCCATCACTAGGTATAGGTATATATCCAAAAGAGAGGAAATCAGTATATCAAGGAGATCTACACTCCCAAGTTTATTGCAGCACTATTCACAATAACCAAGATATGGAATCAACCTAAGTGTTCATCAACGAATGAATAGAGAAAGAAAATGCGGTATATAGGCCAGGCGCGGTAGCTCACGCCTGTAATCCCAGCACTTCGGGAAGCTGAGGCCGGTGGATCATGAGGCTGAGGCGGGCAGGTCACGAGGCCGAGGCGGGCAGGTCACGAGGCCAAGAGATCAAGACCATCCTGGCCAACATAGCGAAACCCCATCTCTACTAAAAATACAAAAATTAGCTGGGCGTGGTGGTGCATGCCTGTAGTCCCAGCTACTCAGGAGGCTGAGGCAGGAGAATTGCTTGAACCTGGGAAGCGGAGGTTGCAGTTAGCCGAGATCACACCACTGCACTCCAGCCTGGGTGACAGAGCGAGACTCCGTCTCAAAAAAAAGAAAAAGAAAAAGAAAATGTGAAATGCGGTATATATACACAATGGACTATTGTTCAGCCATAAAAAGGGTGAAATCCCGTCATTTGCTGCAACATGGATGGAACTGGAGGTCATTATGTTAAGTGAAATAAGCCAGACATAGACAAATACTTCATGTTCTCACTCATCTGTGGGAGCTAAAAAAGTAGATCTCATGGAGGTAGAGAATAAAATGGTGATTACCAGAGGCTAGGAGGGGAGAATGAAGAGAAGTTGATTAAGGGGTATAAAAATACAGTTCAGTAAAAGTAATAAGTTCTAGTATTCAGTAGCACATTAGGGAAATTATACTAAACAATAACTCATTGTATATTTCTAAATAGCTAGAATAGAAGAATTGTAATATACCCAATACAAAGAAAAGGTAAAAATGTTTCAGGTGATGGATATCCGAATTACCCTGATTTGATCATTACACATTGTAGACAGGTATCAAATATCACACGTATCCCCCAAAATATGTACTACGATTATATATGAATTAAAAAGAAATATGTAAATTGTGGATAAATTTGATCAGTTATTTATAATAATCAAAATTCTGTTTTCTAGGTATTAGATTTTGGTTTTATACACAGACTCTAAACTTCTAATTATTTCAATATACTTTTAAATATAAAATAACCTACAATTTTTCTTAATATTATATATTAGCAGTTAAGCCTAGAGTGTGATTTTTCTTCTCAGATCTATGTATATGCCTAAACTATATTTTATTTAAGTGTATTATGTACATAATATAGGAGAGACAAGAACTCAACATAAAATCAACAAAAAATGGATATGTAATAAGAAGTCCATTTTATTTTTGATGCTTACTATGCATCAGAATCTTTTGGGAAGCTTTTTTAAAAATGCAGATGTAAAGTTCCTAGCTTTTCAGAGACTCTGATTCAGTTGTCTTGGGGTGAGGCATGGGTATTGCTCTAGGTATGTTTTTAAATTTCAGATTTCACATTATTCCAATGTGTAGCCAGGATTGAAAGCCGTTGTATATCTAGTTTCCTTGGAGCATGGGCAAAGGAGGAGTCAAAAAGAATTGACTTTTTATATCCTGCACTCTCTAGGAGAGAGAGTCTGAAACTGGGAGATGTGAACAACTTTTTCTAGAAAGACAGGTACTGTCTGCTGTGTCTCACAAAAGTCTGGATTAGATTTTGCTTAAGACAATCCACATTTCTTTGCTAATTACTAACTTTACAAGTAACATCAGCCTCCTTGATACTTCAAAACTATAAAAGGATGTGCCTGAAATAAGGTGTTTAAGTATTCTTTCTAGATACTTGAGTATCTAAAATTGTCATTCTAGTTTATCTATTGGTATACCTTGTGAGTTTGCTAACAAGGGGAACTGACAAGATCGAGTTTTAAAGTTGTGAGTCTGAATACTGGATCCCGATTCCTGGTAAATTTACCAAATTAGCTGGGCTAGGTGGCTTATCCCTATAGTCCCAACCCTTCTGGAGCCTGAGGTGGATGGATCGCTTGAGCTCAGGAATTCGAGACCAGCCTGGGCAACATGGTGAAATTCCATCTCTGAAAAAACTACAAAAATTAGCTAGGCATGGTGGCATGTGCCTGCCGAGATAATCGGGAGGCTGAGGTAAGAGGATCGCTTGAGCCTGGGAGGTCGAGGTTTCAGTGGCCTGAGATAGTGCCACTACACTCCAGCCTGGGTGATAGTGTGAGATCTTGTCCCCCCCCCAAAAAAAAGTATTAAATTAGTGACCCTGTATTATCTCTTAACAGTTAGATATTCTACATTTATTGATATAAAATTTATGAAGCCCTGAAGAATTTGCAATAAAATTTTGTAAATAAATAAATAAAAATATGTAATTAAAATTAAAAAGTTAATTAACTCGACCCATGTCGCACACCTAATAAAGGGCAGAGCCAATAATTTATTTAAGCCCAGTTTCATTTGATTCTCAATACTACCTATGTCTACATATTCAGATCTCTCCCACATAATTAGATTTACAGTTAGTCTCCTTTCTACCCTCCCCTCCTGAGCCCCTGCTAACTTCTACTTTCTGTCTCTATGAATTTGCCTATTATAGGTACCTCATATAAGTGGACTCATGCAGTACAGTGGCCCTCTGTATCCTTGGATTCTGTGTCCATAGTTTCAACCAATTGTGGCTTGAAAATATTTGAAAAAAAAATGGATGGTTGCATCTGCATTGAATATGTACAGACTTTTTTGTCATTATTCCCTAAACAATACAATATCTATTTACATAGTATTTACATTGTAATTAGGTATTATAAGTAATCTAGAAATGATTTAACTTATATAGGAGGATGTGTTCAGGTTATATGCAAATACTATACCATTTTATATAAGGGACTTGAGCATCTGATTTTGGTACCTGCCTGAGAGGCCTAGAACCAATCCCCCACGGATATCGAGGGATGACTGTATCAGCCCTTTTGTATCTGGCTTCATTTGCTTAGCATAATGTTCTCAAGGTTCATCCATATTGTAGCATGTATTATAATTTCATTCCTTTTAAAGACTAAATAATATTCCATTGTATGGATATATCACATTTTGTTTATCCATTCATCTGCCCATGGACATTGGGTTGTTTGTAACTTTTAACTATTGCGATGAATGCTTCTATGAATATTGGTGCAAAAATATCTGTTGGAGTCCCTGCTTGCAATTCTTTTAAGAAGACACCTAGAAGTGGAATTGTTAGATCACACCATAGTTCCATGTTTAGCTATTTGAAGAACTACCAAACTGTTTTGTACAGTGGCTGTACGATTTTACATTCTCACCAACAGTGCACAAAGGCTTCAATTTCTCCATGTCCCTGCCAACACTTGTTAATTTCCACTTTTAAAAAGTAATAGCCATCTTAATGGGTATGTAGTAGTATCTCATTGTGGTTTTGCTTTCCATGTCCCTGATGGCTAATGATATTGAGCATCTTTTTCATGTGCGAATTGGCCATTTGTATCTCTTCCTTGGAGAAATGCCTATTTTATTACTCCAAGGAAGAGATACAAATGGCCAATTAGCATATGAAATATTGAATAGAAACATCTATTCAATTTCAATATACTCCTAGGTATTTTTTTAGTTACTGTAGATGGGTTTGCTTTTTTACTTTCTTTATCCACTAGTTCATTATTGGAGTGTATAGTTACTACTGATTTTTGTGTGTTGATTTTGTATTCTGCAACTTTATTGCCCACTTATTAATTAGGTTAGTTGGGTTCTACTTTGTGTTGTTCTTGAGTTGTAAGAGTTCTTCATATATTCTGGCTGGGCGTGGTGTAATCCCTGCACTTTGGAAGGCCAAGGCAGGCTGATCACTTGAGGTCAGGAGTTTGAGACCAGCCTGGGCAACCTGCTGAAACCCCATCTCTACTGAAAATACAAAAAAAAAAAAAAATTAGCCAGGCGTGGTCATGGGCACCTGTAATCCCAGCTAGATAGCATCCTTTGGTACACAAAAGTTTTTAGTTTTGGTGAAGTCCAATTTATCTACTATTTCTTTTGTTGCCTGTGCCTTTGTTGTTATATCCAAGAAATCATTGTCAAATCCAATGTCATGAAGCTTTTCCCCTATGTTTTCTTCTAAGAGTTTTATAGTTTAAGGTCTTACATTTAGGTCTTTAATCCATTTTGAGTTAATTTTCTTTCTTTTTTATGTAATCCCACTACTCTATTTTTGCTTTTGTTGTGTGTGCTTGGGAGGCGTTAGCCGTAAAATCTTTGCCCAGACCAATGTCTTCAAGTATTTCCTCTGTTTTCCTTTAGTCGTTTCATAGTTTCAGGTCTTACACGTAAGTCTTTAATCCATTTTGAGTTGATTTTTATATATGGTGAGATATAGGGGTATAGTTTCATTTTTCTGCATATGGATATCCAGTTTTCCCAGCACCATTTATTTAGTAGACTGTCACTTCCCCCAATGAATGTTCTTGGCACCTTTGTCAAAAATTAGTTGGCTGTAAATACATGGGTTTATATCTGCATTCTCTATTCTCTTCCATTGGTCTATGTGTCTGTTTTTATGCCAGTACCACGTTGTTTTGGTCACTATAGCTTTGTAGTATATTTTGAAGTCAGGTAGTGTGGTGCCTTCAGCTTTGTTCTTTTTGCTCAGAATTACTTTGACTACTCAGAATCTTTTGTGACTCCATACAAATTTTAAGATTTAAAAAATATTTCTATGAATAATGTCATTAGTGTTTTGATTGTGATTGCACTGAACGCATAGAGAACTTTTGGTAATAGATTACTTTTTCAAAATGTTGATTCTTCCAATCCATGAACATGAAAGTCTTTCTATTGTTTTTTGTCCTCTTCAATTTCTTTCATTAGTGTTTTATAACTTTTTCATCTTGATCTTTTACCTCATTTAAATATATTCCTATGTTTTTTTTTTTTTGACCAAGTTTTGCTCCATCACCCAGGCTGGAGTGCGGTGGCATGACCTTGGGTCACTGCAACCTCCACCTCCCAGGTTCAAGCAATTTGCTGCCTCAGCCTCCCGAGTAGCTGGGATTACAGGTGCCCACCACCATGTCCGGCTAATTTTTGTATTTTTAGTACAGACAGGGTTTCAACATATTAGCTAGGCTGGTCTCGAACTCCTGACCTCATGATCTGCCTGCCTCAGCCTCCCAAAATGCTGGGATTACAGGTGTGAGCCACTGCGCCTGGCCATTCCTAGGTATTTTTTCTATTTATTGTAAACAGGATTGCTTCTTTTGCTTTCTTTTTCCACTAGTTCATTGTTGGGGTGTATGGAGTCACTACTGATTTTTTTTTTTTTTGATGGAGTCTTGCTTTGTTGCCCAGGCTGGAGTGCAGTGGCATGATCGTGGCTCACTGCAAGCTCCGCCTCCTGGGTTCAAGTGATTCTCCTGCCTCAGCCTCCCCAGTAGCTGGGACTACAGGCACCCGCCACCACGCCCAGCTAATTTTTTGTATTTTTAGTAGAGACGGGGTTTCACCATGTTAGCCAGGATGGTCTCAATCTCCTGACCTCATGATCCGCCAGCCTTGGCCTCCCAAAGTGCTGGGATTACAGGCGTGAGCCACCGTGGCCGGCACTACTGATTTTTATATGTTGATTTTGTATTCTGCAACTTTACTGAATTTGTTCATCAGTTCTAGCAGTTTTTTTGCTGGAGCTTTTAGGGTTTTCTCCATATAAGATCGTGTTGTCTGCAAACAGGACAATTTGTCTTCCTTAATTTCCAATTTGGATTCTCTTTATTTCTTTCGTTTGCTGAATTACTCTGGCTTAGACTTCCAGCATTACATTAAATAAAACTGGTGAAAGTGGGTATGCCTGTCTTGTCCTAGATCTGAAAGTAAAAGCTTCCAACTGTTCCCTCTTTTTGTATTTATTGTAAATGGGATTTATTGTAAGTGGGATTGCTAGTCTGATGCTGGCTGTAGGTTTGGCCTTTGTTGTGCTGCTGTACATTCCTTCTGTACCTAACTTGTTGAGACTTTTTATCATGAAGGGATGTTGAATTTTATCAAATGTGTTTTACTGAGTTTATTGAGGTGATAAAATGATTTTTGTTCTTCATTCTGTTGATGTGTTATATCACATTTATTGATTTGCATACACTGAAACATCCTTGCATCCTTGGGATAAATCCCAATCATGGTGAATGATATTTTAAATGTGCTCCTGGGATTGGTTTACTAGTATTTTGTTAGGGATTATTGCATCTATGCTCATCATGGATATTGGTCTACAGCTTTCTTTTCTGTTGTGTCCTTGTCTGGTTTTGGTAGCAGGGTAATGCTGGCCTAATAGATTCTTCCAAATGAGTTTGGAAGAATTTTCTTTTCTTCAGTTTCCTGGAAGGGTTTGAGAAGAACTGATATTAGTTTTTTGTTTTTCAGTTTTTTTTTTTGACGGAGTCTCACACTGTCACCCAGGCTGGAGTGCAGTGGGGTGATCTTGGCTCATTGCAAGCTCCACCTTCCGGGTTCATGCCATTCTCCTGCCTCAGCCTCCCGGGTAGCTGGGACTACAGGCACCCGCCGCCACGCCTGGCTAATTTTTTGTATTTTTATTAGAGACAGGATTTCACTGTGTTAGCCAGGATGGTCTCGATCTCCTGACCTCGTGATCTGCCCACCTTGGTCTCCCAAAGTGCTGGGATTACAGATGTGAGCCACCGTGCCTGACCTAGTTCCTCTTTTAAAGTTCAGTAGAATTCAGCAATGAAGCCATCGGGTTCTGGGCTTTTCCTTGTTGGTGTTTTATTGTCTTGATTTACATCTTATTATTTTTATTTTATGTATTTATTTTTTTTGAGACAGAGTCTCACTCTGTTGCCCAGGCTGGAATGCAGTGGCAGGATCTTGATTCACTGCAACCTCTGCCTCCCAGGTTCAAGTGATTCTCGTGCCTCAGCCTCCCAAGTAGCTGGGATTACAGGCATGTTCCACCAGCATGGCTAATTTTTATGTTTTTAGTAGATACAGGGTTTCGCCATGTTGGCCAGGCTGGTCTCGAACTCCTGGCCTCAAGTGATCTGCCCGCCTCAGCCTCCCAAAGTGCTGGGGTTACAGGCATGAGCCACCATACCCAGCCAATTTACATGGTTTTACGTTGCCCATCTACTATAAACTTGTTATGGTTATTATTATTTTTGATAGCCTTGTCTTTTAGTTTTCATACTAGAGATCTGAGTGGTTTACACATCACAATTACAGTATTAAAGTATGCTGAGTTTGTCTGTCTACTTACTTTTACCAGTGAATTTTATGCCTTCCAATATTTTCTTATGGCATGTTAGCATCCTTTTCTTTCAGATAGAAGAAATGCCTTTAGCATTTTTTGTAAGACGGGTCTTGTTGTGATGAATTCCCTTGGTTTTTGTTTGGGAAATTTTTTCTCTCTCCTTCATGTTTGAAGGAGATAAAGCTTTGCTGGGTACAGTATTCTCATTTGGCAGTTTCTTCCTTTAGCACTTTGAATATGTCACCCCACTGCCTCCTGATCTATATGGTTTCTGCTGAGAATTCTGTCGCCAGACAAATGGGAGCCCCTTTATACATTATTTGCTTCTTCTTCTTCTTTTTTTTTTTGAGATGGAGTTTTGCTCTGTGGCCCAGGCTGAAGTGCAGTGGCATGATCTCGGCTCACTGCAACCTCCACCTCCCCGTTCAAGCAATTCTCCTGCCTCAGCCTCCCAAATGTCCAGGATTACAGGTGTGCACCACCACACCTGGATAACTGTTATATTTTTAGTAGAGACAGGGTTTCACCATGTTGCCCAGGCTGGTTTCTAACCCCTGACCTCAAGTGATCCTCCCACCTTGGCCTCCCAAAGTGCTGGGATTACAGGCATGAGCCACTGTGCCTGGCCCATTATTTGCTTCTTTTCTCTTGCTGCTTTTAGGACCCTCTCTTTGTCCTTTACCTTTGAGAGTTTATTATATACCTTGGTACAGTTTTATTTGCGTTGAATCTGTTTGGTGATGTTGGCCTTCCTATACCTGGATATTTATATCTTTATCTAGGTTTGGAGAGTTTTCTGTGCTTATTTTTTTTAATAAGATTTCTAGCCCTTGCTCTTTCTCAGTTCCCTCTTTAAGGCCAGTGTCTCTTAGATTTGCTTTCTGAGGTTAACAACAGAATTGATCATGCAGAAGAAAGAGTCAGTGAGCTTGAAGATAGGCTATTTGGAAATTTAGTTGGTTAATGTATTTCTTAGTACCAGGATTTCTGTTTGACTTATTTTATTATTTCAAGCTCTTTGTTAAATTTCTCTTATAAAAATTACTGAATTGATTTTCTGTGTTATCTTAGAGTTCCCTGAATTTCCTCAAAACTGTTATTTTGAATTATTGATCTGAAAGCTCATGTATCATTGTCTTGTTGGGATTGGTCACTGGCTTATTACTTTGTTCATTTGGGAAGATCATGGTTCCCATTTGCTGTTGTTTCTTATGAATATATGTCTATGGATTCACATTGAAGGATTAGTTATTTATTCCAGTCTTCGCTCTCCGGCTTGGTTTGGTCCTTCTGGAGTATGTCTGATTAGAAGTTCTGTATAATTTGCTTGTTGAGTCCCCTTAATCCCATATTGCTGTTTCCTTTTTGGCACTAGTTAGCCAAGATTTGCCATAGTTCTCACAAAAGTTCCGAGCATTGCCCCACACTGGGGGGCTGGGGGTCCCAAAGGGAATATCCTGCCTGTGTGGGAAGGTTGGCTAAGGTTAGTGGCCAGAGGACCCTTGGAGCGTGCCTCCTACAGCATGATGCTGCTGAACTGCCTCTCTGATTTGGCATCTCCTTTGGCTGAGATAAAGAGCAGCTCCTGAGTTTCCCTGCAATGGGGGTCCTAGCCACACCTCCACTGTTCGTCCCTAGCTACCCTCAGGGGTTTTTCTCCTTCCAGACACTCATGATGCTTCCCATGGGTTGAGCAGGAATGGCTTTCCTACAAAGGAACCCAAGATAGTAAGAGAGCTGGCTGTCCACCTCAATCTCACTTTCTCCAGTGTAGAAACCATGAGTCCAGGCAGACTTTTCTGCAAGGTGCCTGGCAGCTGGGGAAAGAGGTGTCGCAGGTAGAGGTGTCTGTTTCTCTTACCTTCTAGTCACAGTTTTTCAATTCTTTGTGGCCCCAGAGATTGACACAGTCTCAGTTTTGAGTTCTGGGATATTGCTAGTAACAATCTTGGCACTGAATAGTTGTTTTTAATTTTATGTGGGGGAGAATGAAGCCAGATTGCTTCTACTCCACCATTTTGGTGACTGTCCCTTGGGTTTTCTATGTATACAAGCACACATGAGTGAAAAGAGATAGAAAATTTAATCTCATTTTTCCCCACTATATATACGTTTTTTCTATCTTATTTCATTCTCTAGAATAGCATTATCTAATAGAATTTCCTGTGATGATGGAAAAGTTCTATAGTTGCACTGTCCATTATAGTAGCCACTGACCATGTGTTGCTACGGGGCACTTGAAATGTGGTTAGGGGGCCAGGTGTGGTGGCTCACGCCTGTAATCCCAGCACTTTGGGAGGCCGAGGCCGGCAGCTCACCTGAGGTCAGGAGTTCGAGACCAGCCTGGCCAACATGGTGAAACCCGGTCTCTACTAAAAATACAAAAATTAGCTGGGTTTGGTAGCACGTGCATGTAATCCCAGCTACATGGGTGGCTGAGTCACCAGAATCACTGGAATCCCGAAGGTGGAGTTTGCAGTGAGCCAAAATTGCACGACTGCATTGCAGCCTGGGCGATAGAGCAAGACTCCATCTCAAAAAAAAGAGAAAGAAAGAAAGAAAAAAGAAAAAGAAATGGGGCTAGGGAGACTGAAGAGCTAATTTTTTCAATGTAATTTCAATTTATTTAAATGTAGACAGCCACATGTGGCTAGTAGCTACCATATTGAACAGTACAGCTCTAGAATATCTAAAGTAATGTTAAATAATAATGACAATAATACATGTATTTGTATAGTCCTACTTTTCATTAAAATTATTTTAGTCATTTGCTACTTAGTCTTGTAGTCTTTTGCTACTATTTGCTGTTGCATTTTGGTAAATAAACCATGATATTTAGGTAGGTTTTTAAAATTTTTCTTAAAGGCCGGGCGTGGTGGCTCACACCTGTAATCCCAGAACTTTGGGAGGCTGAGGTGGGCGGATCACAAGGTCAGGAGTTCGAGACCAGCCTGGCCAATGTAATGAAACCTGTCTCTACTAAAAATACAAAAATTAGCCGGGTGTGGTGGCGTGTACCTGTAGTCCCAGCTACTCAGGAGGCTGAGGCAGAAGAATTGCTTGAACCTGGCAGGCAGAGGTTGCAGTGAGTTGAGATCGTGCCACTGCCCTCCAGCCTGGGTGACAGAGCAAGACTCTATCTCAAAACAAAACAAAACAAAAAATTTCTTAGAATTTTTATTAGGAATTCCTGCTAAATTTTTATCAAATTTATTTAAATTATTTATTTATATAGTCATAGGGCTTTCTCCTTTAATTTGGTGATATAATGGGTTATACTGATAGATTTTCTTATGTCTAACCACCCTTATATTACTGGAATAAACCATGCTTGGTTATAGTCTAACTTGTTATGAAGTGATTTTAAAATAAAAATTAAAATGTGGTATATAACAAATGGCATACTATTCAGCCATAAAAATGAATGAAATATTGTCATTAATGGCAAAATGGATGCTCCTGGGGAGCATTACTTTAAGTGAAATAAGTCACTCAAAAAAAAAAAAAAAAAAGACCTGGCGTGGTGGCTCACGCCTGTAATCCCAGCACTTTGGGAGGCTGGGGCTGGTGAGGTCAGGAGGTCAAGACCAGCCTGGTCAATATGGTGAAACCCCGTCTCTACTAAAAATACAAAAATTAGTCAGGCGTGGGGGTGCATGCCTGTAATTCCAGCTACTCTAGAGGCTGAGGCAGGAGAATCACTTGAACCCGGGAGGTGGAGGTTGCTGTGAGCTGAGATCATGCCATTGCACTCCAGCCTGGGCGACAAGAGCGAAACTCTGTCTCAAAAAAAAAAAGAAAGAAAGCAGTCTCAGTCACAGAAAGATAAATATCACATGTTCTCACTCATGTGTGAGAGCTAAAAATATTGATCTCATTAGAAGCAGAGAATAGAATAATGGTTACTAAAACCTGAGAAGAGGAGGGGGCAAGGGGGATGGGGAGAGGTTGGTTAACCAATACAAAATTACAGTTAGAGAGGAGAAATAAGTTCTGGTTTTCTATTGCACAGTAGGTTGACTGTAGCTAACAATAATTTATTGTATACTTTCAAGTAGCTACAAGAGAGGGTTTTGAATGTTCACAACACAAAGAAATGGTAAATGTTTGAGGTGATAGATATGTTAAGTACCCTGATTTGATCATTACACATTGTATACATGTATCAAAATATCACCCTGTATGCTGTAAATATGTACAATTATTATGGGTCAATTAAAAATTTAAAATAATAAAAATAAAATTTTAAAAATAAAAATTAAAAATTAAGTAGGTAGAGCTCCAATATTGTAGCTTTTTTCACTGCCGGTAAACCAATTGCTGAATCATGTATTTTGTTAACACTTGGCAATAAATGTAATTACTTTTTCAAATAGAAAAAACATCATTTTAAAATAAAAATTATCTCCTATTTAGTTCAATTAGTACCTGGATTTTTCCATTTCTCAGCCGTCTGTGACAAGGTAGACATCTGTTCCCCTTGTTGGACATAGATCATCATTACATAGAGCCCAGGACACTTAAGATGCACTTACGATCTTACCATGCACATTCAATTGTTCATTCAAAAAGTAAGAAGATAGAGTGGAACTGTGGGAAAACAGAGGAAAGGTAAATAAACCTAGAATTCCTTCTCCAGACATAGGCTAGGCAATTCTTTGAAAAATGATGAAAATGACCAGATTCACTCAATGTTCTTGTACCATGTAGAATTTTTCTAGTGTTTCAATAGGGATAAAATGAGTTATTGGGCCAGATGTGGTGGCTCATGCCTGTAATCCCAGCACTTTGGGAGGCCCAGGCAGGTGGATCACCTGACGTCAGGAGTTTGAGACCAGCCTGGCCAACATGGCGAAAACCTGTCTCTACGAAAAATACAAAAATTAGCCAGGTGTGGTGGCGCATGCCTGTAATCCCAGCTACTGGGGGGCTGAGGCAGGAGGATCCTTGAACTCGGGAGGCAGAGGTTGCAGTGAGCCGAGATCGTGCCACTGCACTCCTGCCTGGGCAACAGCAACAGAGCTAGACACTGTCTCAAAAAAAAAAAAGACGGTTATTTTAATTCTACCAAGGAGCTCCTAGAAAGAAGCGCCTTATTAAACTAAAGAAAAATTATTGCAGAAGTGACAAATCAAGCAATGTTATAGTTGGTGGGTTTTATACATGGAAGAATATTTACTGAAATATATAATATCTTCTAAAAATTAAAATTTCTCCTAAATAAAAGAGATAAGGGAAATAAAAGATCATCCTCAGCAGAAGTAAAATACTATCAGCCAGAACTCATTTGGGGGTATGAGAATTAAAAATAAGAATGGAGGAGAATAGAGTAAAAATGATGCTGATATTTACAGAAAGTCCAAATAAAGCATCTTAATTCTGTTTACCTGAATAATACACTCAGTACACTCAGATTTGTTACCAGTGTTGCCAGGGCAAAGGCACAGGCTACGAAAAGGGCGGCTTCTCCAATTTCCACTGCATACATGACACAAAGTTCATGGTCAAGCAAGGTGATGTGACTATAAACAAAACTTAGTGTCTGTGTACTGTTTTTTTTTTTTAACATATACTGCAGTTTTTAAAGTCCAGCCCATGTAAAGAATCAAAAGCTCTTAGACATACACTTGTGTTATGTAAACTCTGAACTTCTACCAGATTTCAGTTGAGCCCTATCTCTTTTTTTTGGATTAAATAAATCCACAGCAGCTATAAGCAGGATAGTTCTGATTCTCTAGTAATTTATATCATTATTCTAGTGAGAAAAGACTAAAAGATTTTTTAGATTGATAGTTACTAATAGTTTATGACCCACTAATCAAAATAGAAGAAATAGCACAAATGACTGGTAAAAATAAGGAGCAAATCTATCATGTTTCCTAGAGAAATGAGTAGCAGATAAGCATTTCATTTCTATTTTACTATGATTAAGAAAGTGCTGCTTCTGCCAGAACAAAAGACCAAAATGACAGGCCTATATTGAAAGTCTCACAAGCAGTCCCAATTTCTAGGGTCTGACATCAACTTTATCCTTATCTCTTTCTGTTATTTGTTCCCAGAATGCCTCATTTATTTGGATCATTTTCCTAGGAAAGTTGCTTCCCTATAGTATAGCCTTGAGTTGTGAGATTCAACTGTAACTCCAGGTCAAGCAACAGAAGCTAAAGTTAGGTTTGCTTAGACAGGCTGGGCGCAGTGGCTCACGCCTGTAATCCCAGCACTTTGGGAGGCTGAGGCGGGCAGATCACAAGGTCAGGAGTTCGAGACCAGCCTGGCCAATATGGCAAAACCCCGTTTCTACTAAAAATACAAAAATTGGCCAGGCATGGTAACGTGGCCTGTAATCCCAGCCACTTGGGAGGCTGAGGCAGGAGAATCACTGAACCCAGGGAGGCGGAGTTTGCAGTGAACCGAAATCATGCCACTGCACTCCAGCCTGGGTGACAGAGTGAGACTCCATCTCAAAAAAAAAAAAAAAAAGAAAGTTTGCTTAGACAGAAACTGATCAGATTAAAGGGCAGAGACAGGAATATACTCTTCTTTTATTTATTTATTTATGTATTTATTTGGAGACAGAGTCTCACTCTGTTGCCCAGGCTGGAGTGCAGTGGCACGATCTTGGCTCACTGTAACCTCTGCCTCCCACGCTCAAGCGATCTTCCCACCTCAGCCTCCCAAGTAGCTGGGACTACAGGTGTGTGCCACCATGCCCAGCTGATTTTTTTTTATTTTTGGTAGAGATGGGGTTTTGCCATGTTGGCCAGGCTGGTCTCGAACTCCTGACCTCAAGTGATCCACCCTCCTCGGCCTCCCAAAGTGCTGGGATTACAGGCGTGAGCCACTACACCTAGCCTTATGCCTGAGTAGTTTTATTTAACCATTCACCTCTTATGGACATTTGAGTTGTTTCTCGTCTTTGGTTGTTATGAATAAAGTTGCGATGAGCATTTGTGTACAGGTTTTTGTGTGCACATCAGTTTCATTTGTTTGGCATAAATTCCCAAGTGTGTGATTTCTGGGTTATACAGTAATAGCATGGTTAGTTTTTTAATAAACTGCCAAGCAGTTTTCTGGAGTGTCTGTGCCATTTTATGCTCCTTTCAAGTTTCTTTGCATCATCACCAACATTTGATGTATTCACTATTTTTTATTTTAAGCCATTCTGATAGGTATGTAGTGATATCTTGTGGATATCTTTTAAAAATTTTCATTTTCCTAATGGCTGATGATGTTGCACATCTTTTCATCTGTTTATTTGCAATCTGTCTTCTTTTTTTGTTTTTTTGTTTTGTTTTGTTGAAATGGAGTCTCGCTCTGTCACCCAGGCTGGAGTGCAATGGCGTGATCTTGGCTCACTGCAACCTCTGCCTCCCAGGTTCAAGCGATTCTCTTGCTTCAGCCTCCTGAGTAGCTGGGATTACAGGTGCCCACCACCACGCCCGGGTAATTTTTTTGTATTTTTAGTAGAGATGGGGTTTCCCAGTGTTGGCCAGGCTGGTCTTGAACTCCTGACCTCGTGATCTGACCGCCTTGGCCTCTCAAAGTGCTGGGATTACAGGCGTGAGCCACCGCGCTCAGCCCATCTGTCTATCTTCTTTGGTACATTTCTGTTCATGTCTTTTGCCAATTTTCTAAATGGATTTTTTTTTTTGCTGTTGAGTTTCGAGATATATATATATATATTCTAAATTTTTCGACAGTTATATCGTTTGGAAATATTTTCTCCTAGTCCGTAGCTTGTCTTTTCATCCTCTTAGCAGGCTCTATCAAAGAGCAAAAGTTTTAAATCTTCATGAGGCCCAATTAATCAATTTTTCCTTTTATGGATCGTGTCATATCTGAGAACTCTTGGCCTAACCCTAGATCCTGAAGACTTTCTTGTATTTTTTCCTAAAAGTTTTACACTTTTTTTTTTTTGAGATGGAGTTTTGCTCTTGTTGCCCAGGCTGGAGTGCAATGGTGTGATCTTGGCTCACTGCAACCTCCACCTCCTGGGTTCAAGCAATTCTCCTGTCTCAGCCTCCCGAGTAGCTGGGATTACAGGCACATGCCACCATGCCTGGCTAATTTTTGTATTTTTAGTAGAGACAGGGTTTCATCATATTGGTCAGGCTGGTCTTGAACTCCTGACCTCAGGTGATCCGCCCACCTTGGCCTCCCAAAGTGCTGGGATTACAGGAGTGAGCCACCGTGCCCGGACTAAATTTATACTTTTATATTATAAATTTGAGTCTGTGATCCACTTTGAGTTAATTTTTGTATACGGTGTGAGGTCTAAGTCAAGGTTCATTTTTGCCATTTTGTCCAATTGCTCCAGTACCATTTGAGTTCTTTTGTGCCTTTGTCAAAATCAGTTGGACATATTTATGTGGGTCTGCTTCTGGGTTGTCCATTCTGTTCCTCTTATCTGTCTGTCTGCCCTTCCACTACTACCACAGAGTCTTGATTACTGTAGTTCTCTAATGTCTTGAAATTAAGTATATTGATTCCTCCCACTTTTCTCTTCCTTTGCAAAATTGTTTTTGCTATTCTAATTCCTTTGCCTTTCCTTATGATTTTTAGAACGATCTTGTCTGTATTAATAAAATATCTTGGCCGGGCGCGGTGGCTCACACCTGTAATCCCAGCACTTTGGGGGGTTGAGGCGGGTGGATCACCTGAGGTCGGGAGTTCGAGACCAGCCTGACCAACATGGAGAAACCCCATCTCTACTAAAAATACAAAAATTAGCCGGGAGTTGTGGTGCATGCCTGTAATCCCAGCTACTCAGGAGGCTGAGGCAGGAGAATCTCTTGAACATGGGAGGTGGAGGTTGCAATGAGCCGCGATTGCACCATTGCACTCCAGCCTGGGCAACAAGAGCAAAAATCCGTCTCAAAAAAATAAAAATAGGCAGGGCGTGGTGGCTCACACCTGTAATCCCAGCACTTTGGGAGGCCAAGGCGGGCGGATCATGAGGTCAGGAGATTGAGACCATCCTGGCTAACATGGTGAAACCCCGTCTCTACTAAAAATACAAAAAAAAAAAAAAAAAAATTAGCCGGGCATGGTGGCAGGCGCCTGTAGTCTCAGCTACTCAGGAGGCTGAGGCAGGAGAATGGCGTAAACCCAGGAGTCGGAGCTTGCAGTGAGCCGAGTGAGCCGTTGCACTCCAGCCTGGGTGACAGAGCGAGAATCCATCTCAAAATAAATAAATAAATAAAAATAAATAATAAATAAAAATAAAACTAAAATAAAATATCTTGTGAGGATTTTTTTTAAGACAGAGTCTCCTGTAGCCCAGGCTGAAGTGCAGTGGCACAATCTCGGCTCACTGCAACCTCCGCCTCCCGGGTTCAAGTGATTCCCCTGCCTCAGCCTCCCGAGTAGCTGGGATTACAGGTGCACACCACCATGCCTGGCTAATTTTTGTATTTTAGTAGAGACGGAATTTCACCATGTTGTCCAGGCTGGTCTTGAACTCACAACCTCAGGTAATCCACCTGCCTTGGCCTCCCAAAGTGCTGGGATTACAGGAGTGAGCCACTGCACCCAGCATCTTGTGGGGATCTTGATAGGATCCCCGCTATATCAATTTGGTGAGAATTGACATCTTACTCTGCTGAATCTTCCAATCCATGAACAAGATATGTTTCTCATTGGAGGGTTTGAAGCAGGATAGTAACGTGATCTGATTTGTGTTTTCTGAAAATCATGCTGACCAATGTATGGAGAAATAATTCTTTTTTTTTTTTTCCCTGAGGCAGAGTCTCATTCTGTCACCCAGGTTGGAGTGCAGTTATGTCATTGCAGCTCACTGCAGCCTTTACCTCCTGGGCCCCAGCGATCCGCCCACCTCAGTCTCCAGAGTAGCTGGGACTAGAGGTGCATGCCACCACAGCTGGCTAGTTTTAAAATTTTTGTAGGGATGGGGGTCTTGCTATGTTGCCTAGGCTGGTCTTGAACCCCTGATTTCAAGGGATCCTCCCACTTCAGTCCCCCAAAGTGCTGGGATTATAGTAATAGTAGTAATCTATCAATTCTAGAGCCACCACCATGCCCAGCCCGGGATACACTCTTGTTTTTTTATTATAGAAAAGCGGAGTTTGTAGTGAGTCAAGATTGCGCCACTGCACTCCAGCCTGGGAGACAGAGCGACACTCTGTCTCAAAAAAAAAAAAAAAGAAAGAAAGAAAGAAAGAAAAGTAAGTAAATATGATGTGTCTAGGCTTATGTGACTCTGTCTGTGTATGGGAAAAAATGAAATTTTATTGAATATATTCTGGAAAAGGAGAAACTCTGAATGCTTGTTGACTTATTCTAAACCTGACCGTGATCCATGAAAAAAAAAAGTTTTTAAAATATTGTTCTGCTGGCTTCTCAACACAAACTTATTTTTAAATTAGCATTGGGTTAAATGTAATTCCAATAGGTTGTAAAGTGAAGAACACTTGCTGAATATGAATCTAGCCCACCAGAATCATTTCTTCAGGTATCCATCACCACTGTGAACTAAAGAAAGGGATAAAAAGTAGTAATCTATCAATTCTAGAACACTGTAATATAATAAAGTAAAACTACAACTATTTATATTTTTCTTCAGGGGAAAAGATAATTTAAAAATTTAACTGTTCTTCATAAGCTGTAGTAAGGAGCTTGAATTCTTTCTTATTACATTCATAAATCTTCTTTTATTCCACTTATAAAACAAGATATTTACATGTCTTTTTATAAAATTTAAATGCATGTTGACTATAAAACGTTTAAAAAAATACAGAGGCCAGGTGCGGTGGCTCACGCCTGTAATCCCAACACTTTGAGAGGCCGAGGAGGGCAGATCACGAGGTCAGGAGTTCGAGACCAGCCTGGCCAACATGGTGAAACCCGTCTCTACTAAAAATACAAAAATTAGCCAGCCATGGTGGTGCATACCTGTAATCCCAGCTACTCAGGAAGCTGAGGCAGGAGAATCGCTTGAGTCCGGGAGGCAGAGGTTGCAGTGAGCCAAGATCACGCCATTGCACTCCAGCCTGGGCAACAGAGCAAGACTCCATCTCAAAAAAAAAAATACAGAAAAGTGCAAGGAAGAAAATGTGCTAGTGGGAAAAAAAGAAAGCAAGAGGAAGAGAATAAAAGCTAAATAATCAACCTTTTAAAAATTTAGACATTGTTGGCTGGGCACAGTGGCTCACACCTGTAATCCCAGCACTTTGGGAGACCAAGACGGGTGGATCATTTGAGGTCAGGAGTTCAAAACCAGCCTGGCCAACATGGTGAAATCCCGTCTCTACTAAAAATACAAAATTAGCCGGGTGTGGTGGTGCATGTCTGTAATCCCAGCTACTCGGGAGGCTGAGGCAGGAGAATTGCTTGAACCCAGGAGGCGGAGGTTGCAGTGAGTCGAGATTGAGCCATTGCACTCCAGCATGGGCAACAAGAGTGAAACTCCGTCTCAAAAAAAAAAAAAAAAATTTAGACATTGTTGTACCTGGTTTAATGGAGCTACTGCTTATGGTTTTAATAAGGCCCATCTCCTGTAAGGTAAAGCTTCTGCCAATGAAATTGCTGGATCTGAGAGTTATGACTAGACCATTGTAGAAGCCAGAGTGGTCAGACATTGTCTTCTTCCAGCAATGACTCCCTGTTGGAGTAAAATACTGAAATGGACAATTTTCCCTAATAAAGATACCTGAATTTAAGTAACATTAGCAAAAATGACAGAGTAGGGAACTCCAAAAGTCTATCCCTTCACAAAAGCGGAAAATAAACCAGCAAACAGTGTCAAAATCAACTTTATCAGAGCTCTGGAAACTAATCAAAAGCTTATGACAACTATACTTGTTCATGATGTCATGGAAAATGGCAAAACAGGGAACCCCAGGGCTCCATCTCTCCAAAATCAAACAACAAGCTGGCAAAGACTGTCAATTTTTGCAGAACTCTGGAATTTAGTCGAAAACTTACAACAAGCAGGGGAAAGCTTAATGAAGAAAGAAGCAGCTACATTGCAGTAAAAGAATGCTCTGGTGTTTTTAATCACCTGCTTGCCAACTCCCTGCTTTAGATCAGCAGCAGCCATGAAGGTAGCATCCCACACTCCTGGTATAACTTTATAGTGCTGGAGGGAGCAATGCAGACCTTATTTCCAAATGTGATTTTATGCTTCAACCTGACTAGTGGTTCTCTCAAGAACTGGTGCAAGGACCTGCCTCATTTCACCCAACTTGGAGCATTCTCAGAAGCAGGTAGCTTTTGCTGAAAGTATTTGAAGGCACAATATTGTCTGGAGCAGCCTGGGGAAAGAGATAACAGTCAGAACAAATAATAGACTGAAGGAAGGAAGAAGATCGGAAAGGAAATATGTGGGGAAATAAGGGATTTTAACAGCTCCTGTGTATACCAGAGAGTTGAAAAAGGCCACATGCACGCCAGGCGCTCATGCTCAGAAACATGCTCAGAAAAGGGCCGAGAAGAACCTAAGTTTTCACCTCTGGCTGACGTCAGGATCCATGTAAGCAGGAACTGAACGCCAAGGGAGAGCTGTAAACGAACTGGCTAAGCATTGAGTCCCCCAGTACAAAACTAGTCTGAAAACGGAGTAATTTTTTCTTCCTCTTTTTTCTCTTTTTGCTTTCTTTTTTTCATTTTCATTATTTTGTGTATGTGCGTACATAGTAGATGTATATGTTTATGGGGTACGTGAGATAGTTTTGATGAGGCATGTAGTGCATAATAATCCCATCAGGGTAAATAGAGTACCCATCACCTCAAGCATTTATCCTTTGTGTTACAAACAATCCAATTATACTCTTTCAGTTATTTTTAAATGTACAATTAAATTATTGTTGACTATAGTCACCCTGTTATGCTATCAAATACTAGGTCTTATTCATTCTTTCTATTTTTTGTACTCAGTAACCATCCCCATTTCCCCTCCACTCCCCTACCACCCCGTTCCCAGCCTCTGGTGGCCATCCTTCTACTCTGTATCTCCATGAGTTCAATTGTTTTAATTTTTAGCTCCCGCAAATAAGTGAAAACATGTGCAGTTTGTCTTTCTGTGCCTGGCTTATTTCACTTAACATAATCACCTCCAGGTACATCTTTGTTGTTGTAAATGACAAGATCTCACTCTTTTTATGGCTGGATAGTAGTCCATTGTGTATATGTACCAAATTTTATTTATCTATTCATCTGCTGATTAACATTTAGGTTGCTTCCAAATCTTGGCTATTGTGAAATAATGCTGCAGTAAACATGGGAATGCAGATATATGTTCAATATACTGATTTTCTTTCTTTAGAAGTGGGATTGCTGGATCGTATAGTAGCTCTATTTTTAGTTTTTTGAGGAAATCTCCCAACTGTTGTCCATAGTGGTTGTACTAATTTACATTCCCACCGACAGTGTACAAGGGTTCCCTTTTCGCCACATCCTCACCAGCATTTGTTATTGCCTGTCTTTTGTATAAAAGCCAGTTTAACTGGGGTAAGATGGTATCTCATTATGGTTCTTTAGGGAGTTTTCTTTTCTTTCTTTCTTTCTTTCTTTCTTTCTTTCTTTCTTTCTTTCTTTAGGGAGTTTTCTTTTCCTTCCTTCCTTCCTTCCTTCCTTCCTTCCTTCCTTCCTTCCTTCCTTCCTTCCTTCCTTCCTTCCTTTCTTTCTTTCTTTCTTTCTTTCTTTCTTTCTTTCTTTCTTTCTTTCTCTTTCTTTTTTAGACGAAGTCTTGCTCTGTGCCCCAGGCTGGAGTGCAATGGCACAATCTCGGCTCACTGCAACCTCCGCCTCCCGGGTTCAAGTGTTTCTCCTGTCTCAGCCTCCCGAGTAGCTGGGCTTACAGGTATGTGTCACCACACCCGGCTAGTTTTTTGTATTTTTAGTAGAGACGAAGTTCACCATGTTGGCCAGGCTGGTCTCGAACTCCTGACCTCAAGTGAACCACCCGCCTCAGCCTCCCAAAGTGCTAGGATTACAGGCGTGAGCCACTGCACCTGGCTGGTATCTCAATATAGTTTTGATTTGCATTTCTCTGATGATCAATGACCTTTTCATAAACCTGTTTGCCATTGGTATGTCTTCTTGTGATAAACGTCTATTCAGATATTTGGCCCATTTTTAATTGGATTATTAGTTTTTTTTTTCTTATAGAGTTGTTTGAACTCCTTACATGTTCTGGTTATTAATCCCTTGTCAGATGAGTACTTTGCAAATGTTTTCTCCCACCCTTGGGTTGTCTCTTCACTTTGTCGATTGTTTCCTTTCCTGTGCAGAAGCTTTTTAAATCACTTGCCCATTTTGCTTTGGACTGTGCTTGTGGGTTACTCAAGAAATCTTTGCCCAGACCAACATCCTGGAGAGCTTCCCCAGTGTTTTCTTGTAGTAGTTTCATGGTTTGAGGTATTGGATTTAAGTCTTTAATCCATTTTGATTTGATTTTTGTAGATGGTGACAGATAGGGACCTAATTTCATTTTTTCTGCTTATGAATATCCAGTTTTCCCAGCACCATTTATTGAAGAGACTGTCTTTTCCCCAGCCTATTTTCTTGGCAACTTTGTCGAAAATGAGTTTCCTGTAGATGTATGGATTTGTTTCTCTATGTATGTATGGATTTGTTACACTATGCTGTTCCATTGGTCCACATATGTCTGTTTTTATGCCAGTACCATGCTGTTTTGGTTACTATAGCTCTGTAGTATAATTTGAAGTCAGGTAATGTAATTCCTCTAGTTTTGTTCTTTTTGCTGGGTATGGTTTTGGCTATTCTGGGTCGTTTATGGTTGCATAAAAGTTTTAGGATTTTTTTTTCTATTTCTGTGAATGTCATTGGTACTTAGATAGGGATTGCATTGAATCTGTAGATTGCTTTGGATAGTATTGACTTTTATTTTTATTTTTATTTTTTAGATGGAGTTTCGCTCTTGTTGCCCAGGCTGGAGTGCAATGGCGCAATCTCAGCTCATTGCAACCTCCATCTCCTGGGTTCAAGTGATTCTCCTGCCTCAGCCTCCTGAGTAGCTGAGATTACAGGTATGTGTCACCATGCCTGGCCAATTTTTGTATTTTTAATAGAGATGGGGGTTTCATCATATTGGTCAGGCTGGTCTCGAACTCCTGACCTCAGGTGATCCATCTGTCTCGGCCTCCCAAAGTGCTGGGATTACAGGCATGAGCCACCGTGTCCAGCCAGTATTGACATTTTAACAACATTTATTTTACCAGTTCATGAACATGGAATATCTTTTCATTTTTTTGTGTCTTCTTCAAGTTCTTGCATCAATGTTTTATATTAGGTTGGTGCAAAAGTAATTGCAGTTTTTGCCATTAAAAGTAATGGCAGCTGGGCGCAGTGGCTCATGCTTGTTATCCCAGCACTTTGGGAGGCCGAGGCAGGTGGATCACTTGACGTCAGGAGTTTAAGACCAGCCTGGCCAACATGGTGAAACCCATCTCTAATAATACAAAAATTAGCCGGGCATGGTGGCATGCACCTGTAATCCCAGCTACTTGGGAGGCTGAGGCAGGAGAATCGCTTGAACCCAGGAGGCAGAGATTGCAATGAACCGAGATTGTACCACTGCACTCCAGCCTGGGTGACAGAGCAAGACTCTGTCTCAAAAAAACAAACAAAAAACAAGTAATGGCAAAAACTGCAATTACTTTGTACCAGCCCAATAGTTTTCATTGTAGAGATCTTTCACATCTTTGGTTAATTCCTAGGTGGGTTTTTTTTTTTTTTTTTTCTGTAGCTATTGTAAATGGAATTGCTTTCTTGATTGCTTTTTCAGATTGTTCACTGTTGGCTTATAGAAATGCTACTGATTCTTGTATGTTAATTTTGTATCCTGCAACCTTACTGAATTTATCAGTTCTAATGGTTTTTTGGTGGAGTCTTTCGGTTTTTCCAAATATAAGATCATATTATCTGCAAACAAGGATAATTGGATTTCTTCCATTCCAATTTGGATGCCCTTTATATCTTTCTCTTCTTTGATTGCTCTAGCTAGGACTTCCAGTACTATGTTGAACAACAATGGTGACAGTGGGCATCCTTGTTGTGTTCCACATCTTAGAGAAAAGGCTTTCAGTTTTTCCCCATTCAGTATAATAATAGCCATGGGTCTGTCATATATCATCTTTATTACATTGAGGTATGTTCCTTCTATATCCAGTTTTTTTAGGGTTTTTATCATGAAGAAATGTTGAATTTTATCAAATGCTTTTTCAGCATCAATTGAAATCATCATATGGTGTTTTTTTGTTTTTGTTTCTGTTTCTTTTGAGATGGAGTCTTGCACTGTTGCCCAGTTTGGAGTGCAGTGGCATAATCTCAGCTCACTGCAACCTCTGCCTCCCAGCTTCAAGTGATTCTCCTGCCTCAGACTCCTGAGTAGCTGGGATTACAGATGTGTGCCACCACACCTGGCTAATTTTTGTTTTTGTTTTTGTTTTTTTTGAGACGGAGTCTCACTCTGTCGCCCAGGCTGGAGTGCAGTGGCATGATCTCAGCTCACTGCAAGCTCTGCTTCCCGGGTTCATGCCATTCTCCTGCCTCAGCCTCCTGAGTAGCTGGGACTACAGGCGCCCACCACCACGCCCGGCTAATTTTTTGTATTTTTAGTAGAGACGGGGTTTCACCGTGGTCTCGATCTCCTGACCTTGTGATCCGCCCACCTTGGCCTCCCAAAGTGCTGGGATTACAGGCGTGAGCCACCATGCCCACCCACATCATTTTTTATCCTCCATTGTGTTGATATGATGAATCATATTGATTGATCTGTGTATGTCTAATCAACCTTGCATCCCGGGGATAAATCCCACTTGGTCAGGATGAATGACCTTTTTAATGTGTTGTTGAATTCAGTTTGCTAGTATTTTGTTCAGGATGTTTGCATCCATATTCATCAAAGAAATTGGCTTGTAGTTTTCTTTTTTTTTTTATGTGTTTTGTCTAATTTTGGTATCAAGGTTAATACTAGCCTTGTAGAATGAGACTGGAAGTATTCCCTTCTCCTCTTCTTTTGGAATGGTTTGAGTAGAACTGGTATTACTTCTTCTTTTAATGTTTGGTAGAAGTCGTTAATGAAGCCATTAGGTCCTGGGCTTTTCTTTGCTGGGAGACTTTTTATTATGCCGTCGATCTCATTACTTGTTATTCGTCTGTTCAGGTTTTGGATTTCTTCCTGGTTCAATCCTTGTAGATTATATATGTCTAGAAATGTATCCATTTCTTCTAGATTTTCCAATTTATTGGCTCATAGTAGCCACTAATGATCCTTTGAGTTTCTGCAGTATCAGTTGTAATATCCCTTTTCATCTCTGATTTTATTTATTTGGGTCTTCTTTGGTTTTTACCCTCATTGTTCTGGCTAAGGGTTTGTCAATTTTGTTTATTTTTAAAAAACCAACTTTTCCTTTCATTGATCTTTTGTATTGTTTTCTTCATTTTTATTTTATTTCTGCTCTGATCTATATTATTCATTTTCTTCTAGTAACTTTGGATTTTGTTTGCTCTTAGTTCTCTAGTTCTATAAGATTCATGGTTAGATTATTTATTTGAAGTTTTTCTTCTTTTTTGATGTAGGTGCTTATAGCTATAAACTTCCCTCTCACTACTGCTTTTGCTGTATCCCATAGGTTTTGGTATGTTGTGTTTCCATTATCATTTGTTTCAAGACATTTTTCAATTTTCTTTTTAATTTCTTCATTGACCCACTTGTCATTCAGGAGCATACTGTTTAATTTCCATGTGTTTGTATAGTTTCTAAAATCCCTCTCGTTATTGATTTCTAGTTTTATTCCACTGTGGTCAGAGAAGATGCTTGATGCTATTTCAATGTTTAAAAATGTTTTAAGACTTGCTTTGTGACCTAACATATGGTTGTCCTTGAGAAAGATCCATGTGCTAGGAGAAGAATGTGTATTTTGCAGCTGTTGGATGAAACGTTCTGTAAATATCTATTAGATTCACTTTTTCTATAGTGCAGATTAAGTCTGACATTTCTTTGTTGATTTTTCTGTCTGGAAAATCTGTCCAATGCTGAAAATGGGATATTGAAGACATGATTGTGCCACTGCACTCTAGCCTGGGCAACATCACAAGATCCCATCTCTAAGAAAAAAAAAAAAGAAGAAGAAAATGTGGTATATATACACAATGGGATACTATTCAGCTATAAAAAAGAATGAAATCATGTCATTTGTAGCAACATAAATGGAACTAGCTAGATGTCATTATATTAAATAAGCCAGGCACAGAAAGACAAATACTACATATTCTCACTCATATGTTGGAAACGAAAAAAGTTGACCTCATAGAAATAGAGAAGAGAATCATAGACACCAGAGGCTGGAAAGGGTGTGTGGGTGGGAGGGGGGTGATAAAAAAAGGTTGGTTAATGGATCCAGTCATACAGTTAGAAGAAATACGTTCTAATGTTCCATAACAGAGTAGGGTCACTAGAGTTAGCAACAATATATTGTATATTTCAAAGTAGCTAGAAGAGAGTATTTGAAACGTTACCAACATGTAGAAATGACATGCCAGGCACAGTGGCTCACGCCCGTAATCCCAGCACTTTGGGAGGCCAAGGCAGGTGGATCACGAGGTCAGGAGATCCAGACCAGCCTGGCCAGCATGGTGAAACTCGGTCTTCACTAAAAATACAAAAAATTGGCCAGGCATGGTGGCGCGCGCCTGTAGTCCCAGCTACTCGGGAGGCTGAGGCAGGAGAATCGCTTGAATCTGGCAAGCAGAGGTTGCAGTGAGCCAAGAGTGCGCCGCTGCACTCCAGCCTGGGCGACAGAGTGAGACTCCATCTCAAAAAATAAAAAAAATAAAAAATAAAAAACTCAACTTTGCTCTCATACACTGCCAGTGAGTATGTAAATGGTTTTAACCTTTCTGAAAAGCAGTTTGCTAACATATATTAAGACCCTTAAAATGTCATACTTTCTTTACTTAGTAAGTCCACTTCAGAGTAACTCCCCTAAAAGGGTTTATCTGAAGTGCACACAATATTTTATGGGCAAAGATGAGCTTTACCAGGTTATTTGTCATAGGAAATAAATGGAAAGGATCTAAATGTGCAACATTTGAGGAATATTGTGGTGAACTTTATGATTTGTACATACTATGAAGCCTTTAAAATGATATGGAAGAGGCTGGGCGCGGTGGCTCACACTTGTAATCCCAGCACTTTAGGAGGCCGAGGCAGGCGGATCATGAGGTCAGGAGTTCGAGACCAGCCTGACCAACATGGTGAAACCCCATCTCTACTAAAAAAATACAAAAATTAGCTGGGTGTGGTGGCACATGCCTGTAATCCCAGCTACTCGGGAGGCTGAGGCAGGAGAATTGCTTGATCCCGAGAGGCGGAGGTTGTAGTGAGCCGAGATCGTGCCACTGCACTCCAGCCTGGATGACAGAGAGAGACTCCGTCTCTAAATAAATAAATAAAATAAAATAAAATAAAATAAAATAAAATAAAATAAAATAAAATGATATGGAAGAACAGTGTAGCACAACAATCGAAAGCATAGGTTTTGGGGATAGATCTGAATTCAAGTCAAAGCTCCATCACTGGCCATATGATTTTGGGCAAATCACCTAAGAGTCTTCCTAAGCCCCACTTTTCTCATCTATAAAAATAGGACCAAGAGCAGTTTCTAACCCACTGGTTTTTTTTTTTTTTAAATAGCATTATTCATGTGTTTAGCACAGTGCCCAGCAGATAGCTTAGTAAACAGGAACTCACAAGGCTGGGGGCGCAGTGGCTCACGCCTGTAATCCCAGTACTTTGGGAGGCTGAGGCGGGTGGATCACTTGAGGTCAGGAGTTCGAGACCAGCCTGGCCAACATGGTGAAACCCCATCTCTACTAAAAAGACAAAAATTAGCTGCGTGTGGTGGTGAGCGCCTGTAATCCCAGCTACTGGGGAGGCTGAGACAGGAGAATCGCTTGAACCTGGCAGGCGGAGGTTGCAGTGAGCCGAGATTGCACCATTGTACTCCAGCCTGGGCGACGAAAGCGAAACTCTGTCTCAAAAAAAAAAAAAAAAAAAAGTAAATGGTAACTCACAATAACCCCAGGATGTAGGTTTTTACTACTGAGGACATGGAATCAGAGAGAGGATGAGTCACTTGTGCAATGCCACATGGCTAGTAAGTGGTGAACTGGGACTCAAACACAGAAAGTTTGATTTCAAAACCCATACTCCTGACAACAACACTAAAATGTTAGTTGTCATTTACACTGTTATTGCAGCTATTGCTGCTGCTTAATAACATAGGAAAATGCTTATGGTAAAATGTTGAGCAAAAAAAAAAAGAATACAAGTTTTTATGTATAGGATTATTCTGATTTTGTTTTGAATTTTTGTATTGTGCATATACATGCATCGATAAAACACTGGAAGAAAATATACCAATATATTAAAATGATTATCTCTTGGGTACAGTGTTTAGAACAATCCTGGCACATAGAAAATGTTAAGTATTATCTCCAGGATCATTCGTTTTGATGTTCTAAAGATTCAATAAAATGGTCTAAATGTGAATTTAGTTGTATTTATCTTGCTCAGGACTCATAGTTTCTGAATTTGAGAATTCACATTTTTATTATTTTTTTAATTTTAATTTTTTTTTTTTCTTGAGACAGAGTTGCAGTCTGTCACCCAGGCTGGAGTGCAGTGGCGTGATCTCAGCTCACTGCAACCTCTGCCGCCCGGGTTCAAGCAATTCTCCTGCCTCAGCCTCCCGAGTAGCTGGGATTACAGGTGCCTGCCACCACACCTGGCTCATTTTTTTGTATTTTTAGTAGAGACAGGGTTTCACCATCTTGGCCAGGCTGGTCTTGAACTGCTGACCTGGTGATCCACCTGCCTCGGCCTCCCAAAGTGCTGGGATTACAGGCGTGAGCCACTGCGCCTGGCCCGAGAATTCACATTTTTAAATAATCAGTTCTAGAATACCCTCAGTCATTACTTCTTTGAATATTACTTTTAAAATTTGTCCTGCATGTTTCTTTACCTCTTTTCATATTTTTTATTTCTTAATCTCTCTGTGTTGCATTCTATATATCTATTTTTCCAGTTACCACTTTTCTCTTTAATTGTGCCCAATCTGTGGTTTAACATGTCCATTGAGTTCTTAAATTTAAAACTTTTTTTCATGTCTAGAGTTCTTTTTCAATACTACCTGGCCTTTTAAAACTAGTGTACTGGAGTGGAATAATAGACATTGTAGACCCAGAAAGGTGGGAGGTGCAAGAGGTGTAAGGGATAAAAAATTACCTAATGGGTCAGGCACAGTGGCTCACGCCTGTAATCCCAGCACTTTGGGAGGCCAAGGCGGGTGGATCACCTGAGTTCAGCAGTTTGAGACCAGCCTGGCCAACATGATGAAACCCTGTCTCTACTAAAAATACGAAAAATTAGCTGGGCTTGGTGGCACACGCCTGTAATACCAGCTACTCGTGAGGCTGAGACAGGAGAATCGCTTGAACCCAAGAGGCAGAGATTGCAGTGAGCCAAGATGGCGCCACTGCACTCCAGCCTGGGCACCAAGAGCGAAACTCTGTCTCAAAAAAAAAAAAAAATTACCTAATGGGTTCTACGTATATGATTTGAGTGATGGTTACACTTTAAAGCCCAAACTTCACCACTACACAATATATCCATGTAACAAAGCTGCATTTGTATCCTCAAATCTGTAAAAATAAAATAATGTCTTGTTCTTTTCTTACATTTTCAATTATATCTTTAATCATTTTAAGCAATTTTATAGTGTGTATTAGATTGCATATTTCGGGGTCTAATTCTATGTGTTGTGTCTTCAGACATTTGATTATGGTGTGGTGTTTTTTCATGTGTTTTGTAATTTTTTATTTTAAATTGTGTTCAGTGCAGCTTTACTTGTGGGGATCTTGTGAGGGATATGTCTCTCTAGAGCTGTTTTATGTTGCTTCTGCTTGGTAGGAATAACAATAGTTATACTCTTAAGTGCGTATACACTTTGTACTCATTTTTTAGTGTGGAGGGTTCCTGGACAGTGTAGGAGTTATAAATTTTGAATCCCAAACCCATGTGAAAGCAGGCCTCAGAGGGAGACCCTGTTTTCTACCTTCTTACAGCCCAGGTTGTCTTCCTATACTAGTGAATGAATTTTTGTCTAGTTCAACCTTATTGAAGGTGTTGTCCTTTGAAACTCCCAACTTCCTACAGGTGTTTCAGTTCCAACCTCCTGCCTTACTTAGGCCCAAGGCTCTGTCTCCTGCCTCTACAGGCCATCAGAACCTAAGCACGTGTGCTTGCTTCAGCAGCACATGTACTGGAATTAGAATGATGCAGAGAAGATTAGCATGGTCCCTGCACAAGGATGATGCACAAATCCGTGAAGTATTCCATATAAAAACAAAGAAGAAGAAGAAGGTGGATCATGGCAGACGGGAGGCAAGACTAGATTGCAGCTCCAACTTCGATGAACAGAGCAGCATGTGGAGGCTCGCATCATGAATTTTTGCTCCAGAACGACTGCAGGAATAAATCAGGAAACCCAAGAGAACCCACAGACCCTCTGAAGGAAGCAGACTGCTCTTGCAGGACCCAGGAGGCACACCAAATACTGTGAGTGCCCAAATTGTGGAAGTGGGAAAGGGAGATCGTCTGCCCCTGAACACATACCCCCACTGGGGAAACTGAAGGCCTAGGTTATGGGAGAAGATTCTGACCTTACCTGGAGCTGAGTCAATTTAGATACTGAGTGAAATACAGGAGTAGAGGAAAGAGCGGGAAAAGCCCTGTGAGCTCACTGGGTCCCCTAGCAAACCATTTCTGCCTGGCCTTACAGGGGTCCTTTGGTAGGGCGGCCAGAGGCACTTGGAAAAGGTCACAGGGAGAAAGAAATCTCCAGCCGAACTTTGTAACAATTTGAACAGAGGCTGGGCGCAGTGGCTCACGCCTGTAATCCTAGCACTTTGGGAGGGTGAGGAGGGTGGATCACCTGACGTCAGGAGTTCGAGACCAGCCTGGCCAACATGGTGAAACCTCGTCTCTACTAAAAATACAAAAATTAGCCAGGCGTGGTGGCGCATGCCTGTAATCCCAGCTACTCGGGAGGTTGAGGCAGGAGAATCACTTGAACCGGGGAAGCGGAGGTTGCAGTGAGCCGAGATCATGCCACTGCACTCCAGCCTGGGCGACTGAGCAAAACTCCGTCTCAAAAACAAACAAACAAACAAACAACAAAAAAACAGTTTGAACTGATCAAGAAGTCTTCTGGCCAGAACTCGGCGGGGGGTGGGGCATGAATCTGGTGTGCAGACTCCACAGGTGGGGGAAGAAGGAAAGCCATACTTGCTTTCACAGCTGGGAGGTGGGTAGCCTGGGGCAAGTTCTCAGCCCTGCTCACTCAGTGCTGTTGGTGGGGTGGGGGTGGGGGTACAGTGGGAGTGAGACCAGCCCTTTGGATTCTGTGGGAGCTGTGTGAGGCCTGTGACTGCTGGCTTTCCCTCACTTTTCTGACAACCTGCACAACACAGTAGAGACATCCATAATCCTTCTAGGATCATAACCCCATTGATCTGGGAGCCTCACCCCCATCCCCCACAGCAGCTGCAGCAAAACCCGCCCAAGGAGACTCTGAGCTCAGACACACCTAGCCCTGCCCCAACCCAGTGGTCCTACCCTACCCACCCTGGTAACTGAAGACAAAGGGCATATACTCTTGGGAGTTCTAGGGCCCCGCCCACCACCTGTTCCTCCCCATACTATCACAGCTGATGCTCTCTGGAAAGCGCCACCTCCCAGCAGGAGGCCAACCAGCACAAAAATAGTGCATTAAACCACCAAAGCTAAGAACCTTAACAGAGTCCATTTCACCCCCTTTCCATCTCCACCAGAACAGGTGCTGGTTTCCACAGCTGAGAGACCCATAGACGGTTCACATCACAGGACTCTGTGCAGACTACCCCCAGTACCAACCTGGAGCCTGGTAGACTTGCTGGGTGGCTAGATCCAGAAAAGCTGTAACAATCACTACAGCCCAGCTCTTAGGGAGCCACATCCACAGGAAAAGGGGGAGAGTATTACATCAAGGGAACATGCCATGGGACAAAAGGATCTGAACAACAGCCTTCAGCCCTGGACCTTCCCTCTGACAGAGCCTACCCAAATGAGAAGGAACCAGAAAACTGACTCTGGTAATATGAAAAAACAAGGTTCCTTAACACCCCCAAAAGATCACACTAGCTCACCAGCAATGGATCCAAACCAAGAAGAAATCCTTGATTTACCTGAAAAAGAATTCGGGAGGTTACTAATTAAGCTACTCAGGGAGGCACCAGAGAAAGGTGAAGCCCAATGTAAGGAAATAAAAAAATTGGCCAGGCACAGTGGCTCACGCCTGTAATCCCAGCACTTTGGGAGGCTGAGGCGGGTGGATCATGAGGTCAGGAGATCCAGACCATCCTGGCTAACACAGTGAAACCTCGTCTCTACTAAAAATACAAAAAAATTAGCCGGGTGTGGTGGCACACACCTTTAGTCCCAGCTACTCGGGAGGCTGAGGCAGGAGAATCGCTTGAACCTGGGAGGCGGAGGTTGCAGTGAGCCAAGATTGCGCCACTGCACTCCAGCCTGGGCGACAGAGTGAGACTCCATCTCAAAAAAAAAAAAAAAAGAGGAAATAAAAAAATGATACAAGAAGTGAAGAGAAGCCCGGGCACGGTGGCTCATGCCTGTAATCCCAGCACTTTGGGAGGCCAAGGCAGGCGGATCACCTGAGGTCAGAAGTTCAAGACCAGCCTGACCAACATGGAGAAACCCCATCTCTACTAAAAATACAAAACTAGCCAGGTGTGTTGGCGCATGCCTGTAGTCCCAGCTACTCAGGAGGCTGAGGCAGGAGAATCGCTTGAACCCGGGAGGCGGAGGTTGCAGTGAGCCGAGATAGCGCCATTGCACTCCAGCCTGGGCAACAAGAGTGAAACTCTATCTCAAAAAAAAAAATAAAAGTGAAGAGAGGAATCTTTAATGAAATAGACAGCATAAGTAAAAAACAATCAAAGCTTCAGGAAACAATGGACACACTTATAGCAATGCAAAATGCTCTGGAAAGTCTCAGCCATAGAATCGAACAAGTAGAAGAAAGAAATTCAGAGCTCAGAGACAAGGTATTCGAATTAACCCAATCCAACAAAGACAAAGAAAAAAGAATAAAAAAATATGAACAAAGCCTCTAAGAAGTGTGGGATTATGTTAAATGACCAAACCTAAGAATAATTGGCGTTCCTGGGGAAGAAGAGAAATCTAAAAGTTTGGAAAACATATTTGGGAGAATTATCGAGGAAAACTTCCCCAGCCTTTCTAGAAACTTAGACATCCAAATACAAGAAGCACAAAGAACATCTGGGAAATTCATTGCCAGAAGATCATCACCTAGGCACATTGTCATCAGCTTATCTAAAGTTAAGATGAAGGAAAGAATCTTAAGAGCTGTGAGACAAAAGTACCAGGTAACCTATAAAGGAAAATCTATCAGATTAACAGCAGATTTATCAGCAGAAATCCTGCAAGCTAGAAGGGACTGAGGCCCTATCTTCAGCCTCCTCGAACAAAACAATTATCAGCTAAGAATCTTTTTTTTTTTTTGAGACGGAGTTTCACTCTTGTTGCCCAGGCTGGAGTGCAATGGCACTATCTTGGCTCATTGCAACCTCAGCCTCCCAGGTTCAAACGATTCTCCTGCTTCAGCCTCCCGAGAAGCTGGGATTACAGGCATACACCACCATGCCCAACTAATTTTGTATTTTTAGTAGAGACGGGGTTTCTCCGTGTTGGTCAGGCTGGTCTCGAACTCCTGACTTCAGGTGATCCACCTGCCTCAGCCTCCCTAAGTGCTGGGATTACAGGCGTGAGCCACTGTGCCCGGCTAAGAATCTTGTATCAAGTGAAACTGAGCTTCACATATGAAGGAAAGATAGGTTTTTTTTTTAGACAGACAAATGCTGAGAGAATTTGCCACTACCAAGCCACCACTACAAGAACTGCTAAAAGGAGCTCTAAATATTGAAACAAATCCTGGAAACACATCAAAACAGAAACTTTTTAAAGCATAAATCTCATAGGACCAATAAAACAAAAATACAGGCTGGGTGCAGTGACTCACACCTGTAATCCTAGCACTTTGGGAGGGTGAGGAGGGTGAATCACGAGGTCAGGAGTTCGAGACCATCCTGGCCAAGATGGTGAAACCCCATCTCTACTAAAAATACAAAAATTAGCTGGGCATGGTGGCACTTGCCTGTAATCCTAGCTACTTGGGAGACTGAGGCAGGAGAATCACTTAAACCTGGGAGGCGGAGGTTGCAGTGAGCCAAGATGCCATTGCACTCCAGCCTGGGCAACAAGAGCGAAACTCTGTCTTAAAAAAAAAAAAAATTAAAAACAAAAAGAAAAAAAAACAAGCTATACAGGCAACAAATAGCATGATGAATGGAATGGTACCTCACATCTCTGTACTAACATTGAATGTAAATGGACTTAATGCTCCACTTAAAAGATACAGAATTGCAGAATGGATAAGAATTCCATTAAAAAAAAAAAAAAGAATTCACCAACCAACTATCTGCTGCCTTCAAGAGACTCACCTAACACGTAAGAACTCACATAAACTTAAGGTAAACAGGTGGAAAAATATATTTCATGCAAATGGACATGAAAAGCGAGCAGGAGCAGCTATTGTTTTTGTTTTTGTTTTTTGAGATGGAGTCTCGCTCTGTCACCCAGGCTGGAGTGCAGTGGTGCAATCTCAGCTCACTGCAACCTCCGCCTCCTGGATTCAAGCTATTCTCCTGCCTCAGCCTCCTGAGTAGCTGGGACTACAGGCACTTGCCACCATGCCTGGCTAATTTTTGTACTTTTAGTAGAGACGGGGTTTCACCATATTGGCCAGGCTGGTCTTGAACTCATGACCTTGTGATCCACCCACCTCAGCCTCCCAAAGTGCTGGGATTACAGGCGTGAGCCACGGTGCCTGGCCAGGAGTAGCTATTCCTATATCAGACAAAACAAACTTTAAAGCAACAGCAACTAAAAAAGACAAAGAGGGACATTATGTAACAGTAAAAGGCCTTGTTCAACAGGCAAATATCACAATCCTAAACATATAAGGACTAACACTGGAACTCCCAAATTTATAAAACAATTACTAATAGACCTAAGAAATGAGATAGACCTCAACACGATAATAGTGGGGGACTTCAATACTCCACTGACAGCACTAGACAGGTCATCAAGACAGAAAGTAAACAAAGAAACAACGGATTTAAACTATACCCTGGAACAAATGGACTTAACAGATACTTACAGAACATTCCATCCAACAACCTCAGAATATATATTCTATTCAACAGTGCATGGAACTTTCTCCAAGACAGACCATATGATAGGCTACAAAGCAAGCCTCAATAAATTTAAGGAAAATGAAATTATATCAAGCACTCTCTCAGACCACAGTGGAATAAAACTGGAAATCAACTGCAAAAGGAAGCTTCAAAACTATGCAAATACATCGAAATTAAATAACCTGTTCCTGAATGATCATTGGCTCAAAAATGAAATCAAGATGGAAATTAAAAAATTCTTCGAACTGAATGACAATAGTGACACAGCCTATCAAAACCTCTGGGATTCAGCAAAGGCGGTGCTAAGAGGAAAGTTCATAGCCCTAAAAGCCTACATCACAAAGTCTGAAAGAGCACAGACAGACAATCTAAGGTCACACCTCAAGGAACTAGAGAAACAAGAACAAACCAAACCCAAACCCAGCAGAAGAAAGGAAATAACCAAGATCAGAGCAGAACTAAATGAAATTGAAACAAACAAACAAAAAAATACAAAAGATAAATGAAACAAAAAGCTGGTTCTTTGAAAAGATAAATAAAATTGATAGAACATTAGCAAGATTAACCAAGAAAAGAAGGGAGAAAATCCAAACAAGCTCAATAAGAAACCAAAGGGAAGATAGTACAACTGACACCACAGAAATACAAAAGATCATTCAAGGCTACTATGAACACCTTACATGCTTAAACTAGAAAATCTAGAAGAGATGGAAAAATTTCTGGGAAGATACAACCCTCCTAGCTTAAATCAGGAAGCATTAGATACTCTGAACAAACCAATAACCAGCAGTGAGACTGATATGGTAATTTAAAAATTACCAAGAAAAGGGCTGGGCGTGGTGGCTCACACCTGTAATCCCAGCACTTTGGGAGGCCGAGGCAGATGGATCACCTGAGGTCAGGAGTTCAAGACCAGCCTGGCCAAACATGGTGAAACCCCATCTCTAGTAAAAATACAAAAACATTAGCTGGGCGTGGTGGCGGGCACCTGTAATCCCAGCTACTTGGGAGGCTGAGGCAGGAGAATTGCTTAAACCCTGGAGGCGGAGGTTGCAGTGAGCTGAGATTGAGCCAGTGCACTCCAGCCTGGGCAAAAAGAGTGAGACTCCATCTCAAAAAACAAAAAAGGGCCAGGCGTGGTGGCTCACGCCTGTAATCCCAGCATATACTTTGAAGACCAAGGCGAGTGGATCACGAGGTCAGGAGTTCAAGACCAGCCTGGCCAATATGGTGAAACCCCGTCTCTACTAAAAATTCAAAAAAATTAGCCAGGTGTGGTGGCACGCGCCTGTAATCCCAGCTACTCAGGAGGCTGAGGCAGGAGAATCTCTTGAACCCAGGAGGCAGAGGTTGCAGTAAGCTGAGATTGCACCACTGCACTCCAGCCTGGGTGACAGAGCGAGCCTCTGTCTCAAAAAAAAAAAAAAAATTAACAACAAAAAACAAAAGTCCAGGACCAAACGGATTCACAGCAGAATTCTACCAGACATTCAAAGAAGAATTGTATTGACACTATTCCACAAGATAGAGGAAGAGGGAACCCTCCCTAAATCATTCTATGAAGCCACTATCATTCTAATACCAAAAGCAGGAAAGCACATAACCAAAAAACAAAACTACAGACCAATATCCCTAATGAACATAGATGCTGAAGTCCTTAACAAAATACAAGTAAGCAAATCCAACAATATATCAAAAAGATAATCCAGGGGCCAGGCATGGTGGCTCACTCCTGTAATTCCCAGCACTTTGGGAGTCCAGGGCTGGCCGATCACCTGAGTTCAGGAGTTCGAGACCAGCCTGACCAACATGGAGAAACCCCATCTCTACCAAAAATACAAAATTAGCTGGGCGTTGTGGCGCATGCCTGTAATCCCAGCTACTCGGGAGGCTGAGGCAGGAGAATTGCTTGAACCCAGGTGGCAGAGGTGGCGGTGAGCCAAGATCGCACCATTGCACTCCAGCCCGGACAACAAGAGCAAAACTGTCTCAAAAAGAAGAAAAAAATAAAGATAATCCACCATGGTCAAGTTGGTTTCATACCAGGGATGCAGGAGTGGTTTAACATATGCAAGTTAATACATGTGATACACCACATAAACAGAATTAAAAACAAAAATCACATGATCATCTCAATAGATGCAGAAAAAGCATTTGACAAAATCCAGCATCCCTTTATGATTAAAACTCTCAGCAAAATCGGCATACAAAGGACATACCTCAATGTAATAAAAGCCATCTATGACGAACCCACAGCCAACATAATACTGAATGGTGAAAAGGTGAAAGCATTCCCTCTGAGAACTGGAACAAGACAAGGATGCCCACTCTCACTACTCCTCTTCAACATAGTACTGGAAGTTCTAACCAGAGCAGTCAGACAAGAGAAAGAAATAAAGGGCATCCAATTGGTAAAGAGGAAGTCAAACTGTCGCTGTTTGTGGATGATATGATTGTTTACCTAGAAAATCCTAAAGACTCCTCCAGAAAGCTCCTAGAACTGATAAAAAAGTACAGCAAAGTTTCCAGATACAAAATTAATGTACACACATCAGTAGCTCTTCTATATACCAACAGCGACCAAGCTGAGAATCAAATCAAGAACTCAACCCCTTTTACAATAGCTGCAAAAAAGATAAAATACTTAGGAATAGACCTAACCAAGGAGGTGAAAGACCTCTACAAGGAAAACTACAAAACACTGCTGAAAGAAAGCATAGATGACATAAGCAAATAGAAACACATCCCATGCTCACGGATGGGTAGAATCAATATTGTGAAAATGACCATCCTTCCAAAAGCAATCTACAAATTCAATGCAATTCCCATCAAAATACCACGATCATTCATCACAGAATTAGAAAAAACAATTCTAAAATTCATATGGAACCAAAAAAGAGCCCACATAGCCAAAGCAAAACTAAGCAAAAAGAACAAATCTGGAGGCATCAGATTACCTGATTCCAAGCTATACTATAAGGCCATAGTCAGACAAACAGCATGGTACTGGTATAAAAATAGGCACATAGATGAATGGGACAGAATAGAGAACCCGGAAACAAACCCAAATACTTACATCCAACTGATCTTCAACAAAGCAAACAAAAACATAAAGTGGAGAAAGGACACCCTTTTCAACAAATGATGCTGGGATAATTGGCTAGCCACATGTCAGAGAATGAAACTGAATCTTCATCTCTCACCTTATACAAAAATCAACTCAAGATAGATTAAGGACTTAAATCTAAGACCTGAAACTATTAAAATTCTAGAAGATAACATTAGAAAAACCCTTCTAGACATTGGCTTAGGCAAGAACTTCATGACCAAGAACCCAAATGCAAATGCAATAAAAACAAAGATAAATAGCTGGGACTTAAACTAAAGAGCTTTTGCACGAAAAAAGGAACAGTCAGCAGTGTAAAGAGAACCCACAGAGTGGGAGAAAAGCTTCACAATCTATACATCTGACAAAGGAATAATATCCAGAATCTACAATGAACTCAAACAAATCAGCAAGATAAAAACAAACAATTCCATCAAAAAGTGGGCTAAGGACATGAAAAGACAATTCTCAAAAGAAGATATACAAATGCATATGAAAAAATGCTCAACATCACCAATGATCGGGGAAATGCAAATCAAAACTGCAATGCAATACTACCTTACTCCTGCAAGAATGGCCATAATCAAAAAATCAGAAAACAGTAGATGTTGGTGTGGATGCAGTGAACAGGGAACATTTTTATGTGCTGGTGGGAATGTAAACAAGTATGGCCACCATGGAAAACAGTGTGGAGATTCCTTGAAGAACTGAAAGTAGAACTACCATTTGATCCAGCAATCCCACTACTGGGTATCTACCCGGAGGAAAAGAAGTCGTTATACGAAGAAGATACTTGCACACACGTTTATAGTAGCACAATTTGCAATTGCAAATACGTGGAACCAACCCAAATGCCCATCAATCAACCAGTGGATAAATTAACCGTGGTATATCTATACAATGGAATACTACCCACCCATAAAAAGGAATGAATTAATGGCATTCACAGCGACCTGGATGGGATTGGAGACAATTATTCAAAGTGAAGTAACTCAGGAATGGAAAACCAAACCTTGTATGTTCTCACTCATAAGTGGGAGCTAAGCTATGAGGATGCAAAGGCATAAGAATGACACAATGGACTTTGGAGACTCAGGGGGAAAGGGTGGGAAAGGAGTGAGGTATAAAAGACTACAAATTGGGTTCAGTGTATACTGCCCGGGTGATGGGTGCACCAAAATCTCACAAATGAACCACTAAAGAACTTACTCATGTAACCAAATACCACCTGTTTCCCGATAACCTATGGAAAAAAAAACAAAAAACAAACAAAAAAACCTGAACACCTTATTTAATGAGATAACCAAGCAACCTGCACCCCACCCCACCCCCACCCCTAGTGGAACAACTGACATTTTAACTCCTACCCAATGCTCTGGTTTTGGGTTTTTGCACTTTGTTTTGACCCCTGGGGATTTCCTTTACTTACTTGCAAGTTCAGCTGTACATTTAAAAGGATTTTATATTGTATTTGGTATTTCTAAGTGTTTTGTAGTGTGGGAGGACTTTCATTCAGGTTATTTTGGCTACCATATTACTGGAAATGGACATCAAAGATTATTTTAAAAGGAAAATAATTTTAGGATGGCAAGCAGCATTGGCTTAAATGCCAATATTAGATTGAATTCTTAAAGAATTTTTATTTAGAAGGACATCCTCCTTTCTTTCATAGAAGAAGGTAAATGGATTTTTTTCTGCCCTATTTTATCTTTAAATATTTTGGCTTGCCTAAAAAAGTAAACAAAACAGTCGACCTGCCAGCCACTATATATAATATGAATATATACATTCATATTTATGTAGAATAATTTGGGAGAAGTTCTAGTAATCTGGTGCAACTTAAATGCAAGGTAGACATTGAAGAATCTCTGGAGACGAGAATCACAAGGTAGACATGGACTACATAATTATGCCACGCTAAGGAGTTTAGATTTTATTTTGAAGGTGATGGGGAACCTCTCTATCTATATATGAATCTTGGCATATTTGGCAGAATACCAGTTTTCTTGCCAGTTTCTTAAAAGAAGACTTTCTTGAAATGGACTGTAGTGGGGGTGAGGAGAAGGATACATCTTACACATGTGCATGTGTATTCTGGATGGGTATGAGAATCTTGATAAGATTAACGGTTCTCAAGTTTTGTTTTTTGTTTTTTTTTTGAGACGGAGTTTCACTCTGTAGACCAGGCTGGAGTGCAGTGGCACGATCTCAGCTGACTGCAAGCTCCGCCTCCCGGGTTCACGCCATTCTCCTGCCTCAGCCTCCCAAGTAGCTGGGACTACAAGCCCTCACCACCACGGCTGGCTAATTTTCTTGTATTTTTAGTAGAGACGGGGTTTCACCGTGTGTTAGCTAAGATGGTCTCGATCTCCTGACCTCGTGATCCGCCCGCCTCAGCCTCCCAAAGTTCTGAGATTACAGGTGTGAGCCACCGTGCCCAGCGGTTCTCAACTTTTTATGGTGAACTCTGCCCCACAAATAAGAGGTGCTTGGCATGCTTCTTAGAAAAGAGAGAGTAACTTATTTCCTTTCACACATGTCAGGAAGAAGATGTAATGTAATATGGATAAAGAGCAGATTGTTTATGGTAAGTCTTGAGTGGTCATCCTCTTTTGTTTCCTCTTACTCCTCATATTCAGAACCTAGTCTGTCTGTCTGGGAATTACATTTCTACCTTAGAAATCGACTAAGTCTCTACTCCAGTCTTGTCCTTGTTGACTTCAGCACTCACGTGATTGTAATCTTCTGGAATTAGGTGCTTAAAATATTTGAGAGGTTCCCCATCACCTTCAAAATAAAATCTAAACTCCTTAGCGTGGCATAACTATGTAGTCCATGTCTACCTTGTGGTCCTCATTTCTAGAGATTCTCCGATGTCTGCCTCGCATTTACATTGCACCAGATTACTAGAACTTCCCCCAAATTCTATATATTAGACCTAAGCTTGTGATTTTTATTTATTTATTTATTTATTTGAGACGGAGTATCGCTCTTGTCGCCCAGGCTGGACTGCAATAGGGCCATCTCGGCTTTGCAACCTCCGCCTCCAAGGTTCAAGCGATTCTCCTGTCTTAGACTCCCGAGCAGCTAGGATTACAAGCATGTGCCACCACCCCCGGCTAATTATTTGTATTTTTAGTAAAGTTGGGGTTTCACCATGTTGGCCAGGCTGGTCTCAAACTCCTGACCTCAAGTGATCCGCCCACTTCGGCCTCCCAAAGTGCTGGGATTATAGGCATGAGCCACCGTGCCCAGCCAAGCTTCTGATTTTTTTTTTTGAGGGAATGTTTATTTATTTATTTAGAGACAGAGTTTCTCTTTCGTCGTCCAGGTTGGAGTGCAATGGCATGATCTCAGCTCACTGCAACCTCCGCCTCCCGGCACAAGCAATTCTCCTGCTTCAGCCCCTCGAGTAGCTGGGATTACAGGCATGGGCTACCATGCCCAGCTAATTTTGTATTTTTAGTAGAGATGGGGTTTCACCATGTTGGTCAGGCTGGTCTTGAACTCCTGGCCTCGAGTTATCTTCCAGCCTCGGCCTCCCAAAGTGGCGGGATTATAGCCGTGAGCCACCGGGCCCGGCCTGGAAGGGATGTTTAGAGATATACTGACAAGTTGCAGAATGCACTGAACCCATTAACTTCTACAATGGATTTCCCTTTCAGTCTCAAAACACTTCTGGAGGTTGGTAATTTCTTTATTGATTTTTTTCTGAAATAAAATCAATTAACATCCATTATAAAAACTTAAAAACCACAGTAGTGTAAAAATAGGATATTTAGAAACTCCTTTGCACTCCCCTCATTTAGTTCTACCCCACGGAATTAACAATTGTCAATATGTCCTTGTTTATCCTTTCAGAGAATGGTGTCATATAAAACTTCTTATCTAGACTCAGGAGGCTGAGGCAGGAGAACCGCTTAAACCTGGGAGGCAGAGGCTGCAGCCAGCTGAGACCGCACCACTGCACTCCAGCCTGGGAGGCAGAGCGAGACTCCGTCTCAAAAAAAAAAAAATAAAAAATAAAAAGGAAAAAGAAAAAACGTCTTAGCCAGGCACAATGGCTGATGCTTGTAATCACAGCACTTCTGAAGGCCAAGGTGGGAAGAAGATCCCCCGAGGGCAGGAGTTTGAGACCAGCCTTGGCAACTCAGAGAGACCCGCTCCCCCGCCCCACATCTCTTATGTTTTTTCTTATGCTTTCTCTTGGACATTTCTTTATTACATTTCTTCCTCTTTTTACAAAACCGTTGACTTATCTGTTTATGTGTCATGCCAAATTCAAATGAGATCGATAAACTCTCTTGTATTGTGGGGCACCTGTTTAACTTCAGCTTTGCCCAGAGTGTCCATGAGGGATTTGCTGACTAATCTTTTCTTGGGATATTGTTTCTCATTTTCCCTTTCCCTTTTTTATTTTCCTGTTCATCTTCCAGCTCCTTTTCATTTTCTTCTTTTTCTCCCTCTCTCTTTCCGCCTGCTTCTCCTCCTCCTTCTCTCCATTTCTGCTTTCCCTTTTGTTCATCTTCACTGTAATTTCCATTTGATTGTTCTGGATTTTGATCCCAAGGCATAGCTGGTTGTTTCTGCATAACAAGATCCCAACTCTTCAATTGTTTGCAGTTATCACCACCTTCCAGCCCTTGCTGATTTAGATCCATGATTGTTTTGCTTTGGGTTTTCTCTCTTAGAGGCTCTGTTTGATTTTTAGAAATAAAAAAATTCTCAGCCAGGCGTGGTGGCTCACGCCTGTAATCCCAGTACTTTGGGAGGCCGAGGCGGGCGGATCACGAGGTCAGGAGATCGAGACCATCCTGGCTAACACGGTGAAACCCCGTCTCTACTAAAAATACAAAAAATTAGCCGGGCGTGGTGGCAGGCGCCTGTAGTACCAGCTACTCAGGAGGCTGAGGCAGGAGAATGGCGTGAACCCAGGAGGTGGAGCTTGCAGTGAGCCGAGATCGCGCCACTGCACTCCAGCCTGGGCGACAGAGCGAGACTCCGTTTCAAAAAAGAAAAATTCTCAGCTCCAGATGGTTTCACCTCATAAAAATCACAATTGTAGGAACTGTATTGGCCAGTCTGAAAGGATCCAAGCTTCTGATTTTAATGAAAATATTTCCTGGCTGGGCTCAGTGGCTCATGCCTGTAATCCCAGCACTTTGGGAAGCCGAGGTGGGCGGATCATAATGTCAGGAGTTCAAGACCAGCCTGGCCAATATGGTGAAACCCCATCTCTACTAAAAAATAAAAAAATTAGCTAGGTGTGGTGGCACGCGCCTGTAGTCCCAGCAACTCGGGAGGCTGAGGCAGGAGAATGGCATGAACCAGGGAGGCGGAGGTTGCAGTGAGCCGAGATCACACCACTGCACTCCAGCCCGGGCAACTGAGCAAGACTCCATCTCAAGAAAAAGAAAAAAAAAATTTCAATAGGTTTGCTTCCACTAAAGCCAAGAAAGTAGAATTTAATAAATTCTAGTTTTGGTGTAAATAACATGTTTTAAACTTAATTGCTGTGAGTTATAATTTATCTATTTTTCAATATTTTTTCAACTCCTGTAATGTTCCGGGAAAAAGTTAACTATTCAAGAATACATAAAAGCCTGTATATGGAACTTGTATTTTGCCTTTTGCCTCAGGCTCCGATATGGTTGGTTCAGTATGGCACTGTTACTGGTCCTGTCTTTATTAAAAATATTGATATTTTGTTCATTATGGACTTTTGCATTAATTTGATTTTTAAAATATTTCATTAAAACATCTTTCCTCAGGCCAGGCGTGGTGACTCACGCCTGTAATTCCAGCACTTTGGGAGGACGAGGTGGGCGGATCACGAGGTCAGGAGATTGAGACCATCCTGGCCAACACGGTGAAACCCCGTCTCTACTAAAAAATACAAAAAAATTAGCCAGGCATGGTGGTGGGTGCCTGTAGTCCCAGCTACTCGGGAGGCTGAGGCAGGAGAATGGCGTGAACCCGGGAGGCAGAGCTTGCAGTGAGCTGAGAACGTGCCACTGCATCCCAGCCTAGGCGACAGAGCGAGACTGCGTCTCAAAAAACAAACAAAACAAAAAAAAAACCAAACAAACAAAAAATTATTCCTCTTGATAACTGAATTTTTTGGTACCCCCTTAAATTTTGCACATGAAACAAGTGCCTCATTCACCCTACCCTATTCCCAGCCCTGCTAGAGGTCCTTAGATGTAAATAACCTATTTGATATGCCAGTGTTGTGTGGGAAGTATAATTCTTTTTTTAAAAAAGAGCTTCCTTTTGGCCGGAACTGCCATCTTTCAGTAATTTGCCAAAATGACGAACACAAAGGGTAAGAGGCGAGGCACCAGATAGATGTTCTCTAGGCCTTTCAGAAAATGGCTGAGGTGGGAGGATCACTTGAGGTCAGGAGTTCGAGACCAGCCTGGCCAACATGGCAAAACCCCATCTCTACTAAAAATGCAAAAATTAGCTGGGCGTGGTGGCAGATGCCTGTAATCCCAACTACTCGGGAGGCTGAGGCAGGAGAATCACTTGAACCCAGGAGGTAGAGGTTGTAGTGAGCCAAGATCACGCCACTGCACTCCAGCCTGGGCAACAGAGCAAGACTCTGTCTCAAAAAAAAAGAAAACACAGAGTTGTTCCTTTGGCCATGTACACACAAATCTATAAGAAAGACGATATTATTAGCCGGGCGTGGTGGTGCGTGCCTGTAGTCCCAGCTACTCAGGAGGCTGAGGCAGGAGAATCACTGGAACCTGGGAGGTGGAATTTGCAGTGAGCCGAGATCTCACTACTGCACTCCAGCCTGGACAACAGAGTGAGACTCTGTCTCAAAAAAAAAAAATATATATATATATATATATATCTTTTCTATATATATAGAGAGAAAAATATGTGTTCATTATGGACTATATATATTTCTATATCTATTTATATATATATTCTATATATAGAGAAAAAATATATATATACACACACATATAGAGACATCGAGGGAATGTGTACTATTCAAAAAGGAATGTCCCATAAGTGTTACCATGGCAAAACTGTGTCTACACTGTTAACCAGCATGCTGTTGGCATTGTTGTAAACAAAGAAGCTAAGGGCAAGATTCTTGCCAAGAGAATTAATGTGCGGATTGAGTACATTAAGCACTCTAAGAGCCAAGATAGCTTCCTGAAACGCATGAGGGAAAATGATCAGAAAAAGGAAGCCAAAAAGAGAGGTACCTGGGTTCAACTCAAGTGCCAGGCTGCTCCACCCAGAGAAGTGTACTTTGTGAGAACCAATGGAAAGGAGTCTGGGCTGCTGGAACCTATCCCCTATGAATTCAAGCATAATAGGTGCAAAAACATAAAAGACCTCTGGACTGTAAAAATGTTTCTCTTCATTAAGTAGAAGTGTGCTGTCCCCTCCCCCTAATAAAAATTAAAACAAATTTTAAAAGTGTCCTAATTCATTGTGTAATGTCTTTATTATTCAAATTTAATGTATTTCTTGCTGAAAGATGTGAGGTGGCTTATTGTGCAACAAATTACTCAATTGGCTAGAAATGGCCAGATATTATTTATGAAATATTTGTACTTGTTTGAAGATAGTCAGGCCAGGCATGGTGGCTCATGCCTGTAATCCCAGTTACTCGGGAGGCTGAGGCAGGAGAATCGCATGAACCCGGGAGACAGAGGTTGCAGTGAGCCAAGATCACGCCATTGCACTCCAGCCTGGGCAACAAGAGCAAAACTCCGTCTCAAAAAAAAAAAAAGAAAAAAAGTCCATTTAAATCATCATGGAAGAAATAAAATAATTTACAAAAGTTAAAAAAAGAAAAAAGAATCTATTTGAGACTAGGGGATATCTGAAAGTACTGTAGTTGAAATATAAGTTTTTTATTCCTAAAAGTGGTTTCTATCACACATCCCCACTTTTTAGTACAGAGTTTATAGTGCTGAAATGGAGAGAAATTTTGTTATTTTTTAAAATAATATGTATTTTTCTGAATAGGTAATTCATTCACATGATTCAAAACTCAAAAGGCATAAAGAAAAGATAAATGGCAAAAAGTCTCCCACCCCTACTCCCCAACCACCCAGTTCTTTTCCCCAGAGGCAATCAATATTAACAATATCCTTCAAGAGTTAATTAATGCTTATTCAAGCAAATATGCATACATATATTTTAATCCCCCCCCCTTTTTACACAAATGGTAGTCTTTAATCTTGCTTTTTAACTTTAACAATATGTATTGGAGCTCATTCCATAACAATTTATAAAGAAGTTTGTGATGGTTAATAATGAGTGTCAACCTGATTGGATTGAAGGATACAAAGTATTGATCCTGGGTGTGTCTGTGAGGGTGTTGAGTCAGTGGGCTGCTATTCCTTGAAAATGGCAAGTGAGTCATGGCAGTACTCGGGAAAAGTACATACTACATGGAAATGACTGCACTCCAGCCTTGGAAACAGAGCGAGATCTCATCTTAAAAAAAAAAAAAGGTATTACAATGGGGAAAAATTGGTTTTTAAGAAAAGGACCATCGATTGTTTTCCATTATTCCATGTAAAGACTATTTTACATGGAGTTCATTGATTTGTTAACTTTAGAATTCAAATTCCTTATGGAGTTTATTGTAAATAAAGAGCAAGTTTTTGCTTGATTTCCTTCTGTTATCCCTAATACATAGACTCACTTTCAGAGTGTGCTTGGTAAAACCTGGAAGCTTGAAGATGAGCCTTAGGCATCACTGGCAGTGCAGGTGGGTGACAACACAACAGTAGGAAGGCTTCCAGATACTAACCACCAGAGTAGCTTGGCTTTTCTGCTTTACATAACAGGCTTCTAAGTAAGATTTCATTTCATGAAAAGGGTCTGCTAATCCAATTCTTTTGTTTTACAACTGAGTTTTGAATTTTCTACCTTGAATATTTGAAATGAGGACTTTGAATGTCATCAGGGCTAACAGTACCACCTATCAAAGTTCTGAAACTGCATTTCTCAGATTGACAAAACAAACAAAAGCCCAAATTGTTGCCTTGGGGCTTATTAATCTCAGACAGGGGATTTGTTACACCTTTTCTTTTCCATTGTCTTTGTGCCCAGTAGTGTCAAAACACATAATTGGTGCTCAAGTTTACTGTATGAATCTGACAGACCTTTCTCATGACATATATTCGCTGAGCAAGCAATACTGTAAAGCTAAGACATTTAAATTTGTGTGTACAAGTAATGAGAACACTTTAATACTAAATAAGGTGGGGCGCAGTGGCTCACGCCTATAATCCCAGCACTTTGGGAGGCCGAGGCAGGTGGATCACGAGGTCAGGAGATCAAGACCATCCTGGCCAACATGGTGAAACCCCGTCTCTACTAAAAATATAAAAATTAGCTGGGTGTGGTGGTGTGTGCCTGTAATCCCAGCTACTCGGGAGGCTAAGGCAGAAGAATCGCTTGAACCCAGGAGGCAGAGATTGCAGTGAGCCGAGATCGTGCCGCTGGCTTGGAGACAGAGTGGGACTCTGTCTCAAAAAAAAAAAAACTAAATAATATAGTAATAAATAACATAATAAATATAATAATAAGGAAAAGACTAAAGAACCGTTCCTATGACTTGAGGTTTTAAGAACACATTTTCTTTTTATTTTTGAGGCAAGGTCTCACTGTCACCCAGGCTGGAGTGCAGTAGCGTGATCATGGGTCACTGCAGCCTCGACCTCCACAGGCTCAGGTGATCCTCTCGCCTCAGCCTCCCATGTATCTGGGACTACAGGTATGTGCCACCATGCTCAGCTAATTTTTGTATTTTTTGTAGAGATGGGGTCTTGGCATGTTGCCTAGGCTGGTCTCAAACTCCTGGGCTCAAGCAATCCTCCCACTTCAGCCTCCCAAAGTACTGAGATTATAGATGTGAGCCACCGTGCCTGGCCTCACATTAAATTTTGTAGGGAAAAAAAAGTCAACGGGGACATATAGTTACAAGGTATATGCATTTTAAAGTCTCATTTTCCTGGATTTCAAAATGCCATTATTCTTACTACTACTGCTACTGTTACAACTTCTTCACCATGTGATGTTGCCCAAAGAGCAGCCAGACCCTCCTAAAATTAAGTTATGTTACATCATTCATCTGTTAAAATCCCTCAAATGGCTCCCCACCTTGCTTAGTAAAAGCCCAAAGTCCTTGCCATGGCCTACAAGGCCCCACATAATCAGTGCACACACACCCGTCACCCTGATCCATTGCATGCGTTTTTCTCCAACCTTATTTCTTTTTTTTTTTTTTTTGAGATGGAGTCTCACTCTCTCACCCAGGCTGGAGCGGCTCACTGCAATCTCTGCCTCCTGGGTTCAAGTGGTTCTCCTGCCTCAGCTTCCCAAGTAGCTGGGATTACAGGCACCTGCCACCACACCTGGCTAATTTTTGTATTTTTTGCAGAGACAGGGTTTCACCATGTTGGCCAGGCTGGTCTTGAACTCCTGACCTCAGGTGATCCATCCATCTCGGCCTCCCAAAGTGCTGGGATTACAGGCATGAGCCCACCGCACCCGGTCTCTCCAACCTTATTTCTTACCATTCTCTTTCACTCACTTTACTCCAGCTATAATGACCTCTTGACTGTTCTCCACGGCATCATGCATGCAGTTCCTACCTTGGGGCCTTCGGACTTACTGTTATTCCTGCCTGAAATGTTCTTGTCTCAGACACCCACAAGGTTTTGTGGGGTTTTTTTGTTTGTTTGTTTGTTTTGAGACGGAGTCTTGCTCTGTCACCCAGGCTAGAGTGCAGTGGCACAATCTCGGCTCACTGCAAGCTCTGCCTCCCGGTTTCACACCATTCTCCTGCCTCAGCCTCCCAAGTGGCTGGGACTATAGGCGCCTGCCACCACGCCCAGCTCTTTTTTTTTTTGTATTCTTAGCAGAGATGGGGTTTCACCATGTTAGCCAGGATGGTCTTGATCTTCTGACCTCGTGGTCTGCCTGCCTCGGCCTCCCAAAGTGCTGGGATTACAGGCGTGAGCCACCGTGCTCGGCAACACCCACAAGGTTTGGTTGCTTAGTTCATCCAGGTCTCTGTTGGACTGCCACCTTCCCAAGGAGGCCTTCTCAAACCATCTTATATAAAATAATCACACTCCATAAATATTCCCTAACACCCTTACTCTGCTGTTTCTCCATGGCACTTATTACATTGACATATTTATGTGTTTATTGTCTACCTCCCCTAACTAGACCAATAGCTCCTCAAGGGCAGGGACTGTTTCTGTGCACTGCTGAAATCCTGTCACTAAAAACAACGGCACAGAGTATGAACTTAAATGTTTAACTGTGTTTTCATAATGATTTAAAAAAAATTCCAGCTGGGTGCGGTGGCTCACGCCTGTAATCCCAGCACTTTGGGAGGCCAAGGTGGGCAGATCATGAGGTCAGGAGTTTGAGACCAGCCTGACCAACATGGTGAAACCCCGTCTCTACTAAAAGTACAAAAATTAGCCAGGCATGGTGGCGTGCGCCTGTAATCCCAGCTACTCAGGAGGCTGAGGCAGGAGAATCACTTGAACCCGGGAGGTGGAGGTTGCAGTGAGCCGAGATCCCACCGCTGCACTCCAGCCTGGGCGACAGAGCAAGACTCCGTCTCAAAAAAAAAAAAAAAAAAAGTCCTTCTAGCACCTTTATGGGGAAAATCTAAACAGGGACTTGAAGCTTTTAGAGATGTTCATTTCCCCAGATTTCATGGATTTGCACTAGAGGCTCCCAACAAGTAGGTCCATTTTAGGTCTATACTCCAGTCTACAAGGATTTGAAATAAGAGGAGAATCCAGTCAATACAACCTCTACTATACTCACGGACTTGACTGCCAGCACATAACCGCTTCCCTCCCCATCTCATCTCTAGGTTCTCTTTTCTCTCAAAAAGGTCAGGAACCCCTGGAATACTGTGCTGTACCTTACACAGAGCAGGTACCCAGACTGACTGACTACATTTTAACCTTGGAATCAGCCCATGCTAAATCTCTCCGGGTTGCAGATAATAACTGCAATAGGATGCCTTCTCAATCACAGAGTTGAATCTTATATAGCTTTTATTTCAGTGATCAGAAGAATGCAGTAAATGGAATCTACACTAACTAACATTAGGCATGCACCTCTACCTGAAACTGCTGTTAGCTTCTGATTGGCCTAAATCTTTATAACTTATTTAGGCACATCACTGAATTTTTTGTACCCTGATATACAGGGTAAGTTAATTTCTTCCTTGTGGCAGTCTAGTAATAAGAATTATGTTCACTGGCTAGATTCCTTTATAACTAAAGGCCTCTAGACTCTCAGGCTGCCTACCCTACCTTGAGACTTACTTAATATGGATATTTAAGCAAATCATCATATAGGAAAGGGAGATCAAGATAACTGAAGTGTACTGTATAAACACTCTTACAGATATTTTTCTCCAGCATTGACAATCAAACACTAGATAAGGATACCAAATTATTCTTCCCCTACTTCTGCCCTTTCTGATAAACACAAGGATCTCCCCTGAAATCAGAAATGACTCCACACAAATGAGAGATTTTTACGTATGTGGTCCCACTATCAAAATTATAGGAAGCAGTTAATGGGGCTTTGAGAAAAGCATAGTCCCATGTACAGTAATATGCATCTAAATAGAGTTTTCTTTCGCCTGTCAATTATTTTCACAAGATTAGCATTAAAAAATACAAGCAAACATATGACCCTTAAGCTTCACACACAAAAAATTGGTCTTTGTTCATTCTCAGATGACAGGATGTCCCAAGAGTAACAAAAGATGGGAGCCAATCCTCTCATAGCTGTTTCTTCAATCATCCCATCAACAGCTCTTCATTTCTTGAACTACCTTCCTTTTCCAAAGAGGTAATGCTGAGATCAGTCAGAAAGGCTTTCTGAGAAAACTGGCTTGGATTTCTGGGTCTGTTCCAGTCGATTCAAGATGAACTGGCTTGTATCAATGAAGCGCTCAACGCAGTTCACAAAACAGGCCTCAGCCCGACTGTCCAACTTTGGCCCAGGCTTGTCCATGCACTTCTCCTGCTCAGGACAAGATACAGAATCACAAAGGGAACTTGGAAAGAAAAAGACGGTTGGGGGCAGGGGTCCCTTTTTGTTGCTTAGAGAAAAAAAAACTTTACCTAAAAATAATATCTGATATGTTACTGATAGTTCACATTTGGCAGCTGACCAAGTATATAGCAATGTTCTCTAGCCTTACATTAAATTCTTACAACAATACTATGGAATAGATACTATTATAAATCCTCATTTTACAAAGAGGAAAACTGTGGCACAGAGATACTTTACCCAAAATCATAGGGCCAGAAAATGGCAGAGCTGGGATATTCCAGAGCAAGAAAATGGCAAAATATAAGTGAAGTAACCTTTCAATGAATTTGGTTTTAACTCCACAATGCTGTTTGAACTAAATGCCTTTAAGTTAACTACAGAATAAAAGGGTGAAAGGATAAATCATTTCAGCAAGGTACCCTAAAACCTACCAAAGAAGAAAAAAAATATGACTTGAGATTCTATAACCTTGTCTACTTAAGCTAGAGATTCTTGAATCCTGTCATGATGAATGGAAAATTGAATGCATTTTCCTAAGGGGTTCATCATAGCTTACAGTTTTTTTTCCTTTCTTTTCTTTTCTTTTTTTTTTTTGAGACAGAGTCTGGCTCTGTCACCCAGGCTGGAGTGCAGTGGCATGATCTCACTGTAACCTCCGCCAGGTTCAAGCCATTCTCGTGCCTCAGCTTCCTGAGTAGCTGGGATTACAGGCGGGTGCCACCCCGCCCAGCTAATTTTTTCTATTTTTAGTAGAGACAGGGCTTCGCCGTGTTGCCCAGACTGGTCTCGAACTCCTGACCTCAAGTGATCCACCCGCCTCCCAAAGTGCTGGGATTACAGGCATGAGCCACCGCGCCGGGCAGCTTACAGATTCTTGCAATAGTACTTAACCACACGCCCTCCTAGCCCCAAAGTAACGAATCACAGATATTTTTAAAAAAGAATCAAAGCACTCTGGTCCAAGGCAGACCAGAGTTAAGTAAGCATCTGGTAGGTGTCATAGTCCAGCAATACTGTAAGTTTATGGGAAAGGGCCTATGGAAACCAATGACTGTATATAGTTCAAGTTAAGTGGTTCAAAAATTTCGTTCATTATTCTCTGCCATGTACACAAGCCTCAGACCCTCTAATTCCAAGGAAAATTATCCTTGGCCTCTGAATTCTGTGAATTGTGTACATTAAGGGAGATCTGTCCTTGGCAAGCAGAACACGTTGTTGGCAAGCTGCAAATACCTTCCACCCTTTTGCCAAAGTCCCCTCACAGGGCAGGCTCAATTCCTCAACCTTCAGACCCAAAACGGCTTGGTATTACACAACAATCCAACAAGAAAGCAAATAAGTATGTACGTTGGAAGAGATTACACCACTTTTATAGTTACTGGGCTGGAGCCACTCATTTTTCAGCGGAGAGGGTTAGAACTGGGTAATGAAGGTAAATCCCGAGGAGTCCAGGAATAGCAGATTCACTGATTCACTGACTCTCTGGGACTCGGGCTGCCAAAAATAAAATCCCAGTACTGGGGGCTCCGATCAGTCTTGGTGACCAGCACTAGGCAGCTTCAACCTCGGGTGCCTGAAAGTGCTGGGTGTCCAGTGGCATAAGTCTTCTTTGATACCCAGTCCTCTACACCAACAAAGCCGAGGTCCGGAATGACAGTCCCCAGAGAAGCGGAGTCACCCTTCTCCCATCCGGCTAGGCCACAGGAACCTGAGAAAATCAAGGGTTGCTGCCAGGTGCCCGCCCCCCACCCCGAATCCCCGACGTTGTCGCGAGTCCCGCGGTACAAGGACAGAGGGAAAGTAGGTACAGTGTTCAGGTCCCAGCCCCAGGCTCCTCACCCAACAAAGTTCAGTCATCTGGTGCACCAGCTGCTGGAAGCGCTGCTTTTGAGTCTCTACCTCGATGAAATGCTGCAACTGCGGGTCCACTGCACCCAAACCCGCCGCGGAGGAAGAGGAGGAGGAATCCATCCCAGGGCGACCAAGCTTGCAGAGACGAACTCCGCACCGACCTTCACGTGTCTCCGCGACGGAACCGGAACCACAGCTAGCTGCCTCTGGGACCGCCCCCGTGAGTGCACTGCGTCGGCGCGAGGCAGGCGTCCAACTCCACCCCGCCGCCTCCCACACCTTGGCGCCGGTGCTTCGTTCCCGGAGTCGGCGGGTTCCACTCCCCGGACCCCGCAATCCCGTAACCCCGCAACCCTGCCGTTGCGCCCAGCCTTGCGCCTTGAGATCGCAGGGCTTACAGCCCAGAGCCGAGGTGCCGTTGAGATGTTACTCCAAAAAGAAAAGAAAGGAGAAAAGGAAGTTACTTCAGACCACGTGATCCATTCCGTGCTGGCCCCACAGCTCCGCCCCTGTCCACTTCCAAATTAGCCCGCGTTTTCTGAGCTACCAGAGTTGTGCACTGGGTCAGTTAGTTGACTGGGTCGATTAGTTGGCTATCCTGGGCCCCTGGCTTTCGTTTTTTGATGGAGTTTTCCTCTCCCGACGTAGGGAAATGAGGCTATGGCAGTTTGTGCCCAACTTTCAGATTCATTCAAATAACATTGCATGCGTGCTGTGACAGGCACTGTTTTTGCTTAATGCATCTTTGATTCAGAGGCAGGAGTTAACAAGAGGGCTTAAACCTGGAGGATCCTGTCGAGTTCTCAGTGTAGGAATATGCCAAACTAATGCTACACAGCAGCTTTCTGGAATACTGAGATAGGGCGCTTCAGGGAGGCTGCATGATTAATAGAGATACCAAAGACTTTCAAGCTTTCTAGTAATTTTATTTTATCAAAACACCCTCCCCTCCCATCTTTATGACACCATTTCATTCTTGCCAAATTCGGTCCACCCCCACACACACACCCCCAAGCTCTACCAAATGCCTACTCAAAGAGCTGTTGGACCCCTTTGTGCGGCTATTTACATCCTCCCTCCTAAAAAATATTTTCATCGCAAATTCAGTCTGTCTTAATTCTCTCGGGAAATTTCAGGCACAATAATTTCTTGGCCTTTGCTCAGAAGCCACTATCCCAGGGAATCAAAGAAGAGGTGCATTCCCAGATGTAGAGAGGGGCCTTTTTGTATTGAGTGGGAGCACAAAGGCTCCAGGGCTCCTAAGCTTGGGATTTCCTCTGAGAAAGTGAAATTGGGGCTTGTGGAGAAGAGAAGTAGAACCAAGAAGCTTATTGGCGAGCTCAGGATTCTTCATCCATGACATCTAGAATATTGCTCAGAAGAATTTTGAAAGTGGGACGCTCATCTGCTTTCTAAAACCAAAGAAAAAGTAAAGTGTTAGAGTGGCTAGAATCCAGAATTCAAGGGAAATGCAATGAGTAAGCAGCAAATGTTTATTAAATATATGCTCTATGCCCAGTAGCATGCCCTGTCGATTACAAAAGGAAAAAAAAAAAAAAAAGAAATAGCAGCTCTCCATAAAGTCTTTGTGCACTTTTCATCTTTAGTAACTCAGGTTATTAGTGTGATAAGAACAATTTGCAAATTAAACTGACAATCACACTGATCAAAATTGAGGGCAAGTTCATTATGTAACTGTATACAACACATTCTTATTTTGGATCCTCAAGTGAAAAATGGCTACCAAACAAGTTCAAGTGGTTGGCAGAACAGAAATCCCATGTGATAATTTTTAGTGATTAATATTTCAAAACCACAGGCTGTATTACTGAGCAGGGATTCTGAGTACCTGGGACCTTTTTTTTTTTTTTTTTTTTTTTACCACTGGTAACAAAAAGACTAAGGTTTTTTTTTTTTTTTCTTTTTGAGACAGAGTCTCACCCTGTTGTCCAGGCTGGAGTGCAGTGGTGTGAGCTCAGCTCACTGCCACCTCCCAGGTTCAAGCGATTTTCCTGCCTCAGCCTCCCAGGTAGCTGGGATTACAGGTGCACGCCATCACGCCCAGCTAATTTTCGTATTTTTAGTATAGACCGGGTTTCACCATGTTGGTCAGACTAGTCTCGAATTCCTGACCTAAGGTAATTCCCCCGCCTCAGCCTCCCAAAGTGCTGGGATTACAGGCGTGAGCCACCGCGCCCGGCCTACGACTAAGGTTCTTTTTGATGGCCATGGCCCATAAGCCCCCGAGGTATTTGGTATTTAGTGGTTCAGGGAACATTCATGCCAGAATGCTCTCAATCTGTTAGAACCAATGGTCATCAATTTCTTGATTCCTTGACTCAGTGATTCTTAAACTTAGCTGAGTATCAGAATTTCCTGGGAAGTTTAAAAAGAGATTTCTGGGTTCCACTTCAGGCATAGCTAATCAGAATTTCTGGAGAAAAGTCCCAGTTACCTGAATTTTTTTTTGTGACACAGTCTCGCTCTGTCACTCAGGCCAGAGTGCAGTGGCAGGATCTCGGCTCACTGCAACCTCCACCTCCTGGGTTCAAGTCATTCTCCTGCCTCAGCCTCCTGAGTAGCTGAGATTACAGGCACACATCACCACGCCTGGTTAATTTTTGTATTTTTAGTAGAGACAGGGTTTCACCATGTTGGCCAGAATGGTCTAGATCTCCTGACCACGTGATCCGCTTGCCTTGGCCTCCCAAACTGCTGGGATTACAGGCATGAGCCACCATGCCCAGCCAGTAATCTGCATTTTTAAGAGCTCCTTAGGGTTTCTGATATGCATCCAATTTTGACCACTCCTTTAAACAGGCTGTGGATAAAGTACCTGTCTGAAATCATTTTTAATTAGCAGAGTAAGAAGGTCCTGATTGGGAGGGAGCATAGCCAATCACCCTTAATCCTGCATCACACAGAAGAAAGAAGGAGTCCTCCCTTTCTGCACTTTCTCTGTGATCTGTCATTTGTTCGAGGGAAACCAGCCATGCTCGGATCCAGATACCCACTTTTCACCTCACCAAGAAGGCTCCAGATTCACATATGCACTTGTTGGACACTCTGAAGAGTTGAGCATTTATTTCCTACTAGAAATTTAGGTTGCCAAGGATCTACTGAAAAGTAGAGAAGGCATCTTGGGAAGAACTCGAGGTAAGAGGAGCAAAGCAGTTTAATAGTAGTAGGACAGATTTCCTTATTTCCAAAATACCACACCTACCCACATACCCCACGATGCACCATATTAAAAAGCAAAACAAAACAAAGCAAACAAAAAACCCACTACCTGTTTTAGTTCCCTTTCAAGCAGTAGGTTTTAAAAAAAATCTCATTTAGCCGGGCGCTGTGGCTCATGCCTGTAATCCCAGCACTTTGGGAGGCAGAGGCGGGTGGATCACAAGGTCAGGAGATCGAGACCATCTTGGCTAACACGGTGAAACCCTGTCTCTACTAAAAATACAAAAAATTAGCCGGGCGTGGTGGCGGGCCCCTGTAGTCCCAGCTACTCGAGAGGCTGAGGCAGGAGAATGCTGTGAACCCAGGAGGCGGGGCTTGCGGTGAGCCGAGATCACGCCACTGCACTCCAGCCTGGGCGACAGAGAAAGACTCGGTCTCAAAAAAAAAAAAAAAAAAATCTCATTTAGGACCTCAGCCAGAAACGGTTGGCAGCTAATAAAGTAGAAGAAAGGGCCAATGACACACAAAGGAATGAACAAACTTTCATGACTTTTCTTTTGTAATGCCCATTCACTTGTCTGAATGCCTCTGGCTGCCTGCTTATGCTAGATGACATGGCCCCACAACACCTCACTCCCTAAAGCTGAGCTGGCATTGGAGTGTACTAATGACACTCTAGTGAGAATCGGAGTGGGCCTGGGAAAGCCTCTGGCCATCAGATGATCAAGTTGCAGGCCAAGGTCAGAGAATGTGTGCAAGGCCTGGCGTGGTGGTTGATGCCTCTAATCCCAGCACTTTGGGAGGCCGAGGTGGGCGGATCACTTGAGGCCAGGAGTTCGAGATCAGCCTGGTCAACATGGCGAAATGCCATCTCTACTAAAAATACAAAATTGGCCAGGCTCAGTGGCTCACGCCTGTAATCCCAGCACTTTGGGAGGCCGAGGTGGGTGGATCACCTGAGGTCAGGAGTTCAAGACCTGCCTGGCCAACATGGTGAAATGCTGTCTCTACTAAAAATGCAAAAATTAGCTGGGCACGGTGGCATGTGCCTGTAGTCCCAGCTACTCGGGAGGCTAAGGCAGGAGAATCACTTGAACCCAGGAGGCAGAGGTTGCAGTGAGCCAAAATCGTGCCACTGCACTCCAGCCTGGGTGACAGAGCAAGACTGTGTCACCAAAAAAAAAAAAAAAAATTAGCTTGGTGTGGTGGTGCACGCCTATAATCCCAGCTACTTGGGAGGCTGAGACATGAGAATCGCTTGAATCTGGGAGGCGAAGGTTGCAGTAAGCCAAGATCGCGCCACTGTACTCCAACCTGGGTGAAAGAGCGAGACCTTGTCTCAAATTAAAAAAAAAAAAAAAGGAAAAAAAAGAATGTGTGCAGCTATCAGTCTTTGGTGGCTGAATGGCCAGCTAAATGGGCAAGTAGATTCAAGGAAATAATTTAAGAGATCCTAATAAAGCACTTACCTCATGCCAGCAACTGTACATGATGGTATATACCTTCTCTGAAGCCAGATGAGGCCTGTAGAGACGTAGGCCTTGGGCAATGTGTTCAGCAGTCTCACTGTTAGTAAATCTCTCATATGGCATCTTCCCCAGGGAGTAAATTTCCCACATCAAAACCCCTAGAAGGTGAAAAAAATTATTAAATTGGTTTGCAGTCTTTTTGGATAGCAGGGGTCCTAGTCTTCCTAGATCAACCTCAAAGATTAGAATCAGTTGGTTCCCCGCTCTGTGCTTTTTATATTTTGCCCAAATTTCTGCTATAGTACTGACCACACTAGATGGAGATCAAGGTCGTACTAGACTATTAACTCCTCTAGAAGAGAGACAGCATCTTATTTGTCTTTGCAGTTATAGGGTCTGGCAGAGTGCCTGGTACATAATCAGTATTCAGAAGCTGTTGAAAACTGAATGAATTGTTTTCCTTAACATGGTTTAAGTTCTAAAAAGGCAGAGATCATGTCCAGTTTAGTTTTCATCCTCAGAAACCCCTGTGGTGGCTGACACACAGTAAGCACTCCCCAAGGATTGGAAGAATGAAAGCAAGAACAATATCTCTGTGGAGGTTGCAAAGTGTGAATTTTCCCATTGCATTTCTTATCCTTTGAGCTGTATAATCTGTGTAATCTTATCCACTTACCAAAAGCCCAAATGTCAGATTTGCTGCTGAACTTGCTATACATCAGGACTTCCGGTGGGGACCACCGGACTGGAAATTTGGAGCCTACTGAGCTTGTGTATTCATCATCCAGGACATACCTGCAAGGGATTCAGGACTTGTTGCATTAGGATTTGGAGGCTTGATATTTGCTTACGTTTTCTTGGCACGGTCACAAGAGTGTCACAAACACACACAGGCTTTCTCAAAAGTCTCTCCTCCTCAACTAGTATCTTCTACAAACGTTACTTTTAACGAATTTCCTGTTTTTGTATCTGATTGAGCTTTCCTGATTGACAATATGGTTACAAGAAGGATGAAGTGAAATAAGATCTAGTAGGTACTCCCTTCCTCTTCTCTATCCACCTTTCCTTTCTCTGCTCTTCTCCTTCCCTTCCTTTTATCTGCAGTTGTCACTGGGAATTAGACTGATTAAGAAAGAAGGAGGAATGGAGTAAAGTCATCAGGATTAATAGATCAAGATAAGGTATTGGGGAAATAGATTTAAAAAAGAGGAGGTAGAGATAAAGGGAGAAAGGAAGGAAAGGGATATGACAATAAAACAAAAGGATGAAAGAGGTGGCTTAAATAACTCAGAGGAAGAAAAAGAATAGAAAGATCGGCAGAAAACGCTAGAATGAGAAAAAAAAGAAAAGGAGAGGATTAAAACTGTAACACCTACCCATGTTTCATACTGTGCTATTTTTACTTCTGGAGGGAAAGATGAAAAAGCCACACTCACCTGGACAGGCCGAAATCAGATACTTTAACAACTCCTTGATCGTTTACCAAACAGTTTCGAGCTGCCTGTAGTGCAAACAGAGACCAGTGAGACTCCGTCCCCAGCACAGAGGTTAAAGGCACAAAGCTTCTGCTGACCAGTAGAATGAAGCCAGGGAAGCTTCATCTCCTTCGACTACAGACACCTTCCCACCTAATAGGAATCTGTTGATGCCACCAAGAAATTTTGATTCATTTCCACCACGTGGAAAGCAACCTGCTGTGTAGTCCTAGGTAAAGCACTGAGGACATACAGAACGATTGCATTCTCATGGGCAATTCCACACCACCCCATTCCCTCACTGATATGCTGAAAGAATTAAGGGAGAGGCTGGGTGCAGTGGCTCACGCCTGTAATCCCAACACTTTGGGAGGCCGAGGTGGGTGGATCACCTGAGGTCAAGAGTTCAAGACCAGCCTGGCCAACATGGCGATACCCCATCTACTAAAAATACAAAAATTAGCTGGGCGTGGTGTTGGGCGCCTGTGATCCCAGCTACTTGGGAGGCTGAGGCAGGAGAATTGCTTGAATCTGGGAGGCGGAGTTTGCAGTGAGCCGAGATGGTGCCATTGCACTCTAGCCTGGGCAACAGAGCGAGACTCCATCTCAAAACAAAACAAAACAAAACAAAACAAACAAAAAACAAAGAAGGGAGAATGAGAAGTAAGTTTTTTTGCTTTCTGCTTTTCTGCCAGTGAGACTAGGACAATTTGAGCCTTGGCCTGACTGAAAGAAACAGGGGCGCAAACTCTGATGCTTACAGGGGCCAGGCAAGTTAAGTAAGAGTGAAGTGAAGTGGATCGAGATTGCAGGAAATGGAGAGTACATGCCTAGAGGAAAGGAGGCGGTTCGTGAGAATGTGGACCTGGTATTTCCAGACGGTGTAGATTTTCAAGAGAAGCTGGAAATTCCAGGGTTTTTTTTTTTTTAAGCGAAATGTTTCTTTTTAAGGGTTTGCTAATTATTATATAACATAAAAAAAACCCACACATGTGGGCCAAATGCATCCACAGGCCCCAGTATGTGACTCTGAAGGAACCAAATGATGGCCCCATGCCAGGAGCAGTCCCATTGGGAAGCACAGTCCCTTCTGTTCCAAATCCAGAATGGCCACTGAAAGACCCCACCATTTTCTTGTGGGTGGTAGGGGGTTGGGAGTGAGTGACTGCTCTGATTCCCACCACGGCAGACTTCATGGAGCTGAGGCTGGAGATATTTGATGGGCTCAGCACTGGGGCAGAGGCACGCCTAACTTATAGTACTTTCTAGATAAAATTGAAATGATGGCACCAGCAGCCCCCCTCAACCATGTATGATATATCTTCCACTGCTACTTCCACCCCATCAGCCCTTTGTCCTAGGCCAATCCTTCTAAGGTCCCACCAGGTCTCGGTGAAGGAACTGCTTTGACTCCAGGTATTCCATGGCTTCACAGACATCCTTGCACATCTCTAGCAGCTGCTGAGTCTGGAAGCGGTGGCGCATCTCCCTCAGGTAGTTCAGGAGGCAGCCATTGGCCATGTACTCAGTGATGATGAAGATGGGGCGCTGCTTGGTGCAGACGCCATACAACTGCACCAGCTTCTCATGGGAAAGATTCCTACAGGAAAGGCAAGGAACTAGTCTTCTCCTTTTGGCTCTGCATAATAGCAATAAAGGGGCTGGGGAGGAAGGGGCTGACCTAGGAGTAGAGCATCAGATAAGGGGTCACACCAGCAAGTTTATTTTCCTCTTTCCCACCCTAAATCTCAAAAGTGCTTAAAATGTGGAAGCAAGCAGGGATTTGGAGCCCATCAATTGAAAAAGAAACAAGTCCAGGAATGAAAGAACGCTAAGGCTAAATTAGAATATTTCTCTTGAAAGTTTAATTTTCTACATCTACCCCCAAATGCTACTGAGATGGTACACACCCATGATCACCACTATTCTCAACCAATATCTAAGGCACAGAAACTATTATCTTAGCACTTAGGACTACCGCCAGTTAAAGGTAAACTTCAGTCCCTCGTCCCAAACCTCTCTTACTGTAAGTCATCTTTAAGCCTCAGTGGGTTGTTGTGTGAATTCCTAGACTCCAGCAAATAGATTGAGAGTTGAGTTTGGGCTATAACTCACATCATGACTTTGGCTTCTTCAATGAATTCATCTTCAGACATGGAGCCTTCTTTGATCATCTTGATGGCCACGTCGTACTGGCCTCTCCATTTCCCATACTTCACTACCCCAAATTGTCCAGTCCCCAGCTCCTTCAAGAAGGTCAGGTCCTTTGGATCAATTTCCCATGATCCTAACAATAAAGTCTTGGTGTGATTCTTTGGGGTCATGAATGTATAATTCTTACAATAGACAAAAATCCCTACTGGGGTAGAAATAGGAAAACTAGTAAAAGGGAAATTTTTAGAAGTACTAATCTGTCTTTGCTTAAGTCAATCTCAGAAACGGGATTCATTGGTTAGAGGAATCTGGGAATTTTAGGTTCAAGGTGGCCATAAGGCAAGAAGATAGACTAAGCAACCTCCCCAAATCCCTTTATGATTATGTTAGTGATGGTAGTTAATGAACTCAGGGATAGTACTGAAAATTTTCCCACAATTAAAAATAAAAGACAAAAAGACCCAAGACAACGACAAAGCCCTTTATGAATCTATGTTTTTGCAGTCCCAGTCGTAGCCACTAGAGGAAGAAAATCAGTGAATAACTTTTGCTTGGATCTGTCTTGAGCGTCCTTGAGGCAGCTGCTGCAGAACAGTGTACCTCAAGGACACTCCCTAAGGCAAGGCCAGCAAAGGTAGTTTTTGCAACTGGCCAGTCCACCCTACCCCAGAGAAATAAGGAGTTACCGTATCCCAGGCCTGCAGTGGAAGGTGCATTCTTGTTTTGTTGAGACACTGGATATTTGAGCCTGGATATGAGTCCTGAAACAGAGAGAGAGGTCATGCTGTTGGTGTGGTGTAGGAGGTGGGATGCCTCACACATCCTCACTTAAAGCCTCACACTTCCGGTGTGTATCTTTCTAGTACATTTTGAATCCCAGAAGACCTCCATGAACCCACATATTTCCAGAGGTTTCTCCTCTCACAAAATACTTTTCAGGGACAAAAAAGAGAAAATACTAATTGAAATACACTGCCTAACTGAATATATTCCCACCTCCCAGCCCAGGCTTAGCTCACATCCTACCTTCTTGATGAAGCTGTTCCCCCATATCCATGCCCTCACTAATGTCTCAGTTTTTAGAAATTTTACAGTGCTTATAAACTTTCTTCTGATGTTGTCTAACCTGTATGTTCTTTGAGGACAAGGACCTCGACTCAGAATGTTCCCGTGTTCTCCTCTAGAACTGAGGAAATCGCTGAGTACACAGTAGGAACTCAATGAATACTTGCTGATGAATCAGTCACCAGCCTCTTTTGTGTCTTCTCTTAACACTGAACATCAATCACCAAATAAAGAGTCAGTCCCTGTTGGGTGTAGGTCTGCCTCTGACCACCTCTTTACCAGCTTCTACCCAGTATCACAGGGATTTCCTTTCACAGTGAATTCACACTGTCCTGTGAGGCAGATTCTTCCTCTTATCACCTTGTCCTGCATTGCTTATCCTGGTGTCTGTAACTCCCTTCTCAGTTGCCCCTGGTACTCACCTGCAGAGTTGTGCTGATGGTAGTTAATGAGCTCAGGGATGGTGCTGAAAAGGTGCTTCTCAGCCAGGTAATACTGGCTCTGAGGTGTGGAACACACAACATAATGACGTATCACCCCTTGAGGGTCCCTGAAGAAGTGGATGCTTAGTCAGTAACTTGGGCACAAAGGTCAACAGAACCCAGGAAGTGAAGTGAGATGAGTTTTGAGTTTCAGAGACAGAGGAAGTGGGACGGGCACAGCATCAAGGAGCTATTAGGAGGGTACCCCTGTTCTTTGTCCTCAGGGCCTTGGAATAGTAGCACTCACCCTGTGGATTTAGCAAACACAGACACTGTATATTTGCCAGCTTTGCTGGAGTCTCTGACAATGAAACCTCCTTCTTTCCCCTGAAACAACGAAAAAGAAGCTGTCTGTAGGAGGAAGTGGTGCTCACACCTGCATCCCACCTGCCCAAACTTGAGAGAGAAAATAGAACAACCCCTGATTTTACTGCCAAGTTCCACGCTTGAGCTACAGCCTCATTGCTTTTAATATTAAAAGGTGCAGGCCGGGCATGGTGGCTCATGCCTGTAATCCCAGCATTTTGGGAGGCCGAGGTGGGCGGATCACCTGAGGTCAGGAGTTCGAGACCAGCCTGGCCAACATGGTGAAACCCCGTCTCTGCTAAAAATACAAAAATTAGTCGGGCGTGGTGGCATGTGCCTGTAATCCCAGCTACTTGGGAGGCTGAGGTAGGAGAATTACTTGAACCCAGAAGGCGGAGGTTGCAGTGAGCCCAGATCACGCCACTGCACTCCAGCCTGGGTGACAGACCGAGAGTCCGTCTCAGAAAAACAAAAACAAAAAAAATGGTGTAATTGGGATCCCAGACGATGGCAGCTTTGACACTGCCTTGCCCAAAGGTAGGGGGCAGAACAGGCCCTCAGTTCAAGATCCTCACTTATGCAAGGAGAATGCTGTGTGCTAGTGGTTCCACACTTACCTCTTGCTTTAGCAGTTGCTCAGCCTGACTCCGAGTCATGTGTTTGGAATACCACCTGTGAAGGGAGAGTGCTGCTTGAGTGGCTCCTGGTCATAAGCAGATTGGAGGTTACAGCACCCTCCAGGGCTTGTCCATGTCAGTGATTCAGTCAACTCACTCAAACCCTATTTACTGAGCATCTGTCATGTGCATAGCACACTGTATCCCTTTCCCAAACCCAGGTTGGCATTGAAGATTCATGGAAATGGAGAGTAGCAGGCAAAGGCAAGCAGCAGGGAGTTGCAGGGAAGAGATCAGGGACTAGGGCACTTGAGAACAATCCACTTCCATGATTAGGGAGGAAAGGACAACAGTAGCAGTTTGACATTTTAATTCTTTCATCAGGTCGTCAACTCCTTTTTCTTTGAGTGTGATTCTTCTGGATTTGAGGGCATGGTGACCTCTCCAGCTCTCATAAATGGAGGGTGTTTGGGGGGTAAAGGTAAGACAGATACACTAATTTGAGGTGGTGGCATCATTTGATTCAGATGGTACTAATTTTAATATATATCTTGAAATAAAAAATATGTTGAAAGTAGAAAAAAGTGTATATATATATATACACACTTGTGTATGTATACATAATATACCTATATATACACCAGTGTATGTATACATATGTATACATATATACACTTGTGTGTGTTATATATATATATAAATATATATAAAATATATATAAATAAATAAATATATATATATATAGAGAGAGAGAGTTCCTCCTGGAAGATTGTGGACTGACATAAACATACTTACTCATACATTTCTATGGAGTCTTCTGCTTCAGTGACATAGTTACTAGGAATGTAGCCTTCCTGCCTGTGAAGGAAACAATGTGGCAGTTCATCCAGCACCTCCCCAGCCTCCAGGAGACAGATTCATATGCCCACGTCCCTGAGCTCAGAACAAATCTCAAATGGAGGTATATGTATCATGCACCTCCCTCAAAGACAATCATGTCTCTGATGCATGGTTAGGCAGTGAGCCAGTGAGGTGCAGAGCTTATGCACATGTTGCATTGGTTATATGTGCCCAACAACAGAGGCTCAGAGATGTGGCAGAGGCCATGTATAGGGAGCTGCACGCTGGGAAGTACTTGGAGGGAGAGCATGTTCAGTCTGGTGTGGGAAGAACAGTCTCTGATGAGGATGCTGATCACGGGAATTATGCCGCAGCACTTTTTGCGTGTAGGGAGTGGGCAGGCACCAGGCTCAGGAAGGGCTGGTGTGGACTCACCCATTTTTATCTCGTGCTCTCCACCATGGTAAGTTGCTTTCCTCCAAGATAAAATATTCATCACCCTTCCGCAGCTGTAGATCATTTGCATTCATTGGCATGTAATCATAAAGGGCCACAACCTTTTTCAGCTCACTTGTGGAGACTGGTGCTGCTGCTGGCTCAGGCGGTAGTGGCTTTTTCAAGATCTATGTAGTTAGGAGAAAAGGTAGGAGGGTTTGTCAAGATACCAAGCACTCTTCTCTTCTCTCCCAACTCTCTGGCTTACTCAAGACACCCAAATCAGGCATACTAAAATATTACTCAGCAGTCATTCAACAACCATTTTTAAGCACCAGTGCAGGAGTTCTCAGCCTTGCACACATATAAAGACCATGTATGGAACTTTTAAATTCCAATGTACTTTCGGAGGCCAAGGCGGGCGGATCAGTTGAGGCCAGGAGTTCGAGACCAGCCTGGCCAACGTGACGAAACCCCATCTCTACTAAAAATGCAAAAATCAGCTGGGCATGGTAGTGTGTGCATATAGCCCCAGCTACTCAGGAGGCTGAGGCAGGAGAATAACTTGACCCCAGGAGGCGGAGGTTGTAGTGAGCCAAGACCACGCCACTGCACTCCAGCCTGGGTGACAGAGTGAGACTGTCTCAAAAAAAAACCCACAAAAAACAAAAAACCAATTCCAATACCTAGTCAGTTTCCTCACAGACCAATTACATCAAAATCAAACTCTCAGGAATGGGACCCAAACATTACTATTTTTAAAGCTCACTAGACAAAAACCATTTATAGCTAAGGTCAGGAAACCGGCTTGGCACTAAACTTGTACGTGAATCTACTAAGTGGCTCAGAACCTTGGTTTCCTTCTTTGTAAAATGAGTATAATAATACCTGCTCTACTTACTTACAATATGTGAGAAAGGGCTTTCTAGCCCTCAAGAAGGAACCAAAAAAAAAAAAAAAACTTCTGAAGTGTTAGTGATAGGTGGTGTTAGTGCTAAGTGTTGAGTATGTTGGTATTAAGTGTTAAATTCTTCTAACTTTACTGTATGTTTGAAAATACTTTCCAGCTGGGCACGGTGGCTCACGCCTGTAATCCCAGCACTTTAGGAGGCCGAGGCGGGTTCGAGACCAGCCTGAACAACATGGTGACACCCCCATCTCTACTAAAAATACAAAAATTAGCTGGGCGTGGTGGTGCATGCCTGTAATCCCAGCTACTCAGGAGGCTGAGACAGGAGAATCACTTGAATCTGGGAGGCGGAGGTTGCAGTGAGCCGAGATCATGCCATTACACTCGAACCTGGGCGACAGAGCGAGACTCCGTCTCAAAACAAAAACAAAAGCAAAAACAAAACAACAACAAAAACTTTACATTAAAAAAATCAGGTTTTGTTCTAAACAGGTGATTGGATTACATGGTTGCTGAGAGCCTTCTATCTTTCCATCGAGGAGGAAATCCTAATTAGAAGAACAAATCCCCCATCTTAGCAAGAATACCAATTAACACTGCCAAGTCCCAGGGTAATTCTAAGACTCTAGTGTGTTCTTAGGGCTTGACTATAAGTTTCCATTTAAGCAGTGGCAGCACCCAGTTTCCCTGTATACCTGGTCCTCCTCAGGCGTTGGGGGAAGAGGCTTTTTTGTCTTCCGGTGAGAACTCCCAGGTTTTAAGCCTGCAAAACAAGAAGCCAGTGATGATATGGAATGCACTTTAGGAAAGGGGCCAAGGACAGGTTTGGTCAGGGACTTTGCCGTCCATATTGAGTGCCTTTAGGCAAGTTAGAAAAAGTAGCTAGGCATGCCAGGTCACATAGCTTGGAGAGCAGATTACCAGCTGGATTTCAGCCCCCATGTGCCTCCTCCCTCCCCCAGGACCCTTTGTTTAGCACCCAAAGTGTACAACCTTATGCTATGACCCTGGGCTTGACAGACCCTTGGGAGAGTGATGGAAACAGTCAAAGGAGAAAGAAATTATATCGATCAGATTGCTTACTTCCATTCCTGTTCTCCAAAATTTGGCAGCCCATAGCATTTTTGGCTGTCTGAGAGCAGCAGAGATACTGCCCATCGATCCAGAAGCAAGGGTGATATTTCTGAACCAGATCACTGTTGTACCGGATTACTGTAGCAGGAAAGAAGAGAGAGATCACATCTGACATGGAGGAGAAGCCACCATTTGCATGTTTTCCTCTTTGAGCTTAGTGGTGAACTTCAAGCAACTGCCCCCTCCTTGGCCACCCTGAAGGAGAGCAGATCACAGGACCAGTTGGCTCACATGACTGGCCTGCCTGACTGTGCCCTGGTCCCAGACAGTTCCTGTGCAGTTTTCTTTAGTGGTCTGTGATGAGGAGTATCTCCCAATCAACAAGATAAGACTATCTGATGGCTTGAGAGCCCAACAACAGAAATATGTTATCTATGTTTTCCCAGTAGCCATTACAATGTTCCTGTAAGGCAAGTGTTTCCCAGATAAGGGAAACAGTGTGCCCAGGCCAATCTCCCCAGCTTTTAATACTGATTTCTCAGTTCCTTGAGTGATCTTTTAGGGATAATTAGCCTTAGTGAGAACTTCTGCATGAGGCTTTCTGTATAGAATAGTCAACAGAGCTGATCTCAAGGGCAAATGAAGGTGACTTTGCCTCTAGAATCAACATGATTTGAATCTTCCTAGGGCCACTGAGGTAGACTGAGCTCATTGCCAGAGGTAACACAGCAGCTTCATTCCCTCATGGAGTTGTGAGGCCCAAAAGATCTCCCAGAGTAAAAGTATTTTGCAAAGAATAGAGTGGATGCAGAGAGGAGGAATTAGTATTGGTGTTTATAATACTATGGCATATCAAAAACCTTCACATGAAGTCAATTAGAAAAGTTGGCCAGACGCGGTGGCTCACGCCTGTAATCCCAGCACTTTGGGAGGCCGAGGTGGGTGGAGCATGAGGTCAGGAGTTCAAGACCAGCCTGGCCAAGATGGTGAAACCCCGTCTCCACTAAAAGTACAAAAATTACAGCGTGCCTGTAATCCCAGCTACTCGGGAGGCTGAGGCAAGAGAATCGCTTGAACCTGGCTGGCGGAGGTTGCAGTGAGCCGAGATCGCGCCACTGCACTCCAGCCTGGGTGACAGTGTGAGACTCTGTCTCAACAAAAAAAAAAAAAAAGAAAAGTCATCCAGGGTTCATAGTGTCAGATAACTGAGAGAAGCAAAGACAATTGAAATAACTGATAGCAGCAAACACTAGAGCAAAGACCCAGGCTGGTCCAGGAACACGCACATTTGAGAACATATACATTTCAGCATTTACAGCTAAGAAGAATCCCGCACATTATTATTATTATTATTATTATTATTATTATTATTATTATTATTATTATTGGAGATGGGGTCTTCCTGTGTTTCCCAGGCAGGCCTTGAATTCCTGGACTCAAGCAGTCCTCCCACCTCAGCTTCCCAAATACCTGGGACTACAAGCACTCACCACCAGGTCCAGTGGCTGGCATAACTTTTTTTAAAAAAGACAAAAACAAAACAAAACCTTCCACTGTAGAAAACAACTAAAATCCGGCTGGGTGTGGTGGCTCGCACCTGTAATCCCAGCACTTTGGGAGGCAGAGGCGGGTAGATCACCTGAGGTGAGGAGTTCAAGACCAGCCTGACCAATATGATGAAACCCCGTCTCTACTAAAAATACAAAAATTAGCTGGGCATGGTGGCATGCACCTATAATCCCTGCTACTCGGGAGGCTGAGACAGGAGAATCACTTGAACCCAGGAGGTGGAGGTCCCAGTGAACTGGGATGGCGCCATTGTGCTCCAGCCTGGCCAACAGGAACGAAACTCCAACTCAAAAAAAAAAAAAAAGAAAAGAAAAAAGAAAAAGAAACAACTCAAATCCTTAAGGGCTTGCTAGTCACACTTCACTCACTTAAGGCTTTGCAGGAAAGCCTAAAAGCTGCTAGTAGCTGGTGCATTTTGCAGGCAAATGAACAAAAGTTCTTTTTTTTTTTTTAAGAGCCATTTTGGTACTTTTCTCCACATAGATTTGAAAACTTCAAACCATTCTCCCCTACCCACCCTCACCCTGACTTTTTCAGCACTCCTCTTCACCAGTGTACCAAGGACAGAATGGTGGGAGCTGTTCAGATAGAGTGCAGGCTATAAGGGACTGCATTGCATAGAGGGAATTTTTTTTTTTTGAGACAGTGTCTCGCTCTGTTGCCCAGGCTAGAGTGCAGTGGTGCCACCTCGGCTCACTGTAACCTCCACCTCCTGGGTTCAAGCGATTCTTCTGCCTCAGCCTCCCGAGTAGCTGGGACTACAGGCACGCACCACCAAGCCCGGCTAATTTTTGTGTTTTTAGCAGAGACATGGTTTCACCATATTGGCCAGGATGGTCTCGAACTTCTGACCTCGTGATTCACCCGCCCCCCATCGCCCCTCAAAGTGTTGGGATTACAGGCATGAGCCACCACGCCCAGCCCCTAGAGGGAATTTTAAAACAATAATAAAACCGACCCAAAGTCTGTCTGCCTTTTGTTATTACTAAGCACTGGTAGAGTTGTGAACAATGTCATTGATACTCCTCCCTGCCAGGATTGATTACTCCTACCACATCCACACTCTGGCCCCTCCCCGCATGCCACTCCCTGTCACCTAGGGATTTGAAGATCCTCAAGTTTGCTCTGTCTTCTGCAGGGCTGGGCACCAGTAGACATGCCAAAGAATACCTAATCGACAATTAGCCACTCTAATAAACTAAGCTTGCTAATACGATAATGAGGGGAAATAAGGCTTCTTGTCTTCCCCACCCCTAGCACACTCATTAAGAAACCTCCCTACATTCTCAAATAATGTCTGCCTCTTAAGAGGTCCCTTGAAGATGACACCCCTTCTTTTGTTGGCTAATCCAAAGCTGGTATTTCCAGCTACTTAGGACAGGATTGCAAAAGCAGGGTGTACAAGTGGGAGGGCTGGGGGAGACTGCTTGCTTCACCAATGCACATTCCCCTATTGGGAAGCACTAATGGTTAGTACATATTCTCCAAGCACTTGATGGGCTGGTCTTTTCTATCCATATTTATGAGGTTAATGTCTAAAATTCTGTTTCAGGCATACATGAATCATTCCTTTCCATACTGTTTGTAGGAGATTTGCCAATGCTATTCTCTTATTCATTTTGGTGAGGTCAGGTCATTTGCCTACTTTTGAATTTGCAATTAGGATAGGTTCTATTGAGCTTGACCAAAGATTCAAGAATAAGTATAGGCAAATATTTGTGGTGCTGGAACATAGAAGGGCCCACTGCCATATTTAAGGAAATGGAAAGAGAGAGTCTGTGGCTAAGCCCACAGGAATACAACCTTTGCATGGCAAGCACCATTGAGAAAATGTGGCAGCTGGATATGAGGTATCTGAGGCTATGCTTTTAAAATTGAGGTATAGGCCTGGTGCAGTGGCTCACGCCTTGGGAGGCTGAGGTGGGCAGATCACTTGAGGTCAGGCATTTGAGACCAGCCTGGCTAACATGGTGAAATCCCGTCTCTACCAAAAATACAAAAATTAGCTGGGCGTGGTGGTGAGCGCCTGTAATCCCAGCTACTTGGGAGGCTGAGGCAGGAGAATCGCTTGAACGCAGGAGGCAGAGTTTGCAGTGAGCCGAGATTGTGCCACTGCACTCCAGCCTGCACGATAGAGCAAGACTCTCTCTCTCAAAATAAAAAAAAATAAATAAATAAAATTGAGGTATAATTTACATATAATAAAGTGCACAGATTTAATGTGTACAGCAAACCATATTTTTCCACACCCATTTAACCTCCTTGAGATCCAGCACCTCATGCCTCTTCAGTCAATATCCCTGCAAAGGTAACCAGTATTCTCATGAGGTCCCCTTTTCATGTCAATGATTTCTTATTGGTGCATTTTACCCAAGAGTAGGATAATAAAAACATAAAAACAAACAAGAAAAAAACAAAAAGAGTGGAATAATATCATTATTTTGTGGCTCCTAGGCTAACTCACTATTGACATTGGCAGCACCTGGGACTGTCCTGGGATTGTTAGGACTTGCACCTAAATCTCCCAGCAATCATGGTATTTGTCAGAAGGTGCCTACTTTTTGGCTCTTGTTGTTAGCCCAGGACGGTTCAACAAGACTATACCCAGGTGGAACTACTGGGAAAAAAAATGCCTTTGGTGAAACATAAGGGAAGAGAAGGCAAAGATGTGCCTAGCCACACTCCCTGATCACACTGATGACCCAGCTGAAGTGATGGTGTTTCTGTTTATTTATTTTGGCTTTATTTTTAGCCTGTTGTGAATTTACTTAGCTAATGAACCTTAAAAGCAGCACATAATCAAGATTGTAAGGTTAACATCTGAGTTAGGAAACCAAGCTCGGCTGGGCATAGTGGCTTACGCCTGTAATCTCAGCACATTGGGAGGCCGAGGCAGGTGGATCACCTGAGGTCAGGAGTTCAAGACCAGCCTGGCCAACATGATGAAACCCTGTCTCTACCAAAGATACAAAAATTAGCCGGGCATGATGGTGCACGCCTGTAGTCCCAGCTACTCGGGAGGCTGAGGGAGGAGAATTGCTTGAACCTAGGAGGCGGCGGTTGCAGTGAGCCAACATCACGTCACTCTACTCCAGCCTGGGCAACAGAGTGAGACTCCATATCAAGAAAAAAAAAAAAGAAAAAAAGAAAGCTCACAAGCTCACAAGCTGGATATCCTTATCTTCGGTCATTACTCACCCTTAAATATAGTGGACATTCAATAAATATTTGTTGGGCCAGGTGTGGTGGCTCATGCTTTAATCCCAGCAGTTTGGGAGGCAGAGGCGGGTGGATCACCTGAGGTCAGGAGTTTGAGACGAGCCTGGCCAACATGGTGAAACCCTGTCGCTACTAAAAATACAAAAATTAGCTGGGCATGGTGGCAGGCGCCTGTCATCCCAACTACTCGGGAGGCTGAGGTAGGAGAATCGCTTGAACTCGGGAGGCGGAGGTTGCAGTGAGCCGAGATCGTGCCATTGCACTCCAGCCTGGGTGACAAGAGCGAAACTCCATCTCAAAATAAATAAATAAATAAATAAATAAATAAATAAATAAATAAATAAATATTTGTTGGACTAAACTATGACTGGTTTTGAAATTAGTATATGAAGTGTAAAGAAGTTACCAACTTGAGCATGCCAGTTTCTCCCTTATTTCTCCTTCAGCTAGTCTGCCTTGCATTCCCCCATTTCCAGACTAAAACCTAGCCATTTATCGATGTGGAGCCCAAGCTGGTGATGGTTGTTTATTCCCACAGATAAATCAGTTAACACAACTACTGATCCCTTTCTGTGTGCAAGGCGCTGTATGAGGCATTGTGGAGAGAACTAAAGAAGTACAAGTATACATGTCCTGCAGAGCTCTTATCCCAGTCTCTGCAAATATTTCTGTGGCTGGAGATAGTATATTGGTTCAGGACATGGAGTCTGGGGCCTGAATTCAAAGCCTGACCCTGCCATTTACCAACCGAGGGCCTTTGGGCAAGTTACTTAACCTCTCTGTACCTCAGCTTTCTTATCTGTAAAATGGGGATGACAAGATAACTGCCTCATATGGTTAATACAAAGTTAATATATGTAAAGAACTTAAAGAAGAGCCTGTATCACAATAAGCAGTATTAAAGAGTTTGCTCATTTTGTAGCCCCAGGGCTAAAGCAGACCCCTTATCTTAAAATATGCCAAGAACTGAACTGTGTATTGCAGGATATCACCTATTTGTAATATTCAACATAGCTTTACTATAGAATATTTTGCAACCAACTACATGTGAAATTTCTGGACTTGGAAACCAAGCAGCGCAAAACTATGCAATGAGCTTGGGCTTTGGAGTCATACAGACACAGGGATGTGATAAGAATCCAGGCTCCACCATTCACTGTGTGCCCATGAGCAAGTTGCATAACATCTTTGAGCTTCAGTTTCCTCATCTGTAAATAGGGGAATAATACATACTTCTTAAGGCTACTGCAAAGATCAAATAAGTAATACATTTGAAGCACTTGGGACAGAGCCTGCTACATAGTAAGTGCTCATTAAGTGTTAGTTATCATTGTTGTTGTTTTTAGGCCAAGGTTGTTGTGAAAATTAAATGAGATAATATATAAAAGGTATTTAGCTCAATATCTGGCACATAGCAATAATTGAATAGATGATCCTTCATCTTCGTTCCTCCTGTTCCCTTTCAGTTTGAAAGACTTGGCTAATATAATTTTGACCAACCAAACTTGCATTCAAGGGAGTGTACAAGGCTGGTATAGCCAGCCAGTGAGTATCAGAATCTAAATGTTTATTAAGACAAAGGGCTGTCATGCAATAACCCAACCATACCATTATCAGTCTGCCATCCTTCCTGTTTCTCTAGGCAGCCTTTCCTGATGTCAACTCAACCAGTTAATCTCTCAGTCACTTGACATGTGGCTATATATACACACAAATATGTGTGCATGCATCCTGTGCTGCAAGCATTTACAGTCAAGTTTATCTGAACACACTGTATGGTTGATGTGAAATGCTGAAACTGTTCAAGTTTAGGTCCTCACAAAGCAAGGAATATGAAATATTTCCTTGGGAAATATTTATCCACAACAAAGAGATGTACAGTGCTTTCGTATACAGTGATTTACAGTTTTCCATGTGCTTTTACATGTATTATTACTTCATTTGATCCTTACAACAACCCCAGAGGTAGATGTGGCATGAATTACCATTATTCTCCTTTGAGAAGAAGAAACTGAGCATCAAAGAAGCTTGTTGGCCTTCTTGCCAGAAATCACCCAGTTTGTAAATGGTAAAAGAGGGCTTGAAACCAGGTTCTCTGACTCTGACTTCAAGCACTCTCATACATCATCTATTTAATTTTTTGGAGCTAGGTATTTTATACTTAGGATTCTAAATATTGCATAACCATTGAATGCCACACCACCCTTGTATTCAGTGCAAAAAATGGGACTTTTCTTAATAAATAGAGAAATGGAGGTGCCTAAAATTACAAAATTGCACTAGAGAGATAGTGATAGAACTGGGAAACTCTTAGTCTAATATTTTATCTTTTATTCATATGATGGAATACTAAGCTCAATTGTATTACTAATATTGAAACAAAATACAAACTTTCCTTTGTTTCTTTGTTATTTGTCTTTCTTTCCTCCCTCATCCCCTTCCTTCTTTCCTTGCTTCCTTCCTTCCTGTCTCCCTCCTCCCCTCCCTCTCTCTTTCTTTTCTCCCCTTCTATCCATTTTTTTCTTCTTTTCTCTCTACGTTTCTCCTTTCTCTTTCTTTCTCGTTTCTCTCTTCCTTCTTTCCTTTTCCTCCCGTCTATCTCCTCTTCCTTCCTTTCCTTCTTTCTTTGGAAACATTTATTTTCCAAATAATTCTCACCGTTTTTGAGCTGGTGAATCCACCGCTTCCTTAGTTCTTCAGTTGGGGAGAAGACGTAGAGAGGCCCTTCATCATATACAACCTGGGTCGATGAAAACACAGACTTCAGCAGTTAGGATTCAGAAAAAAGGAGAAAGACCTTGAAAGTACTAATCTTAGGGGACAATTTGTATATTTATTGTAGAAAACAAAGAAAGGCAGAATCTTCAGTCAGCAATGGTGTTCAGGTTATGTGAACTATCTGAAGGATTCCTGAACTCTTCATATCTAGGAATGTAGCGTTTAAAAGCTCTTAGAATTTTTCATACTCTTAGGTCCTCCTGACTTGTGCTTCAATTCATGCATAAACTTATTTTATAAGGTCTCCGTCTGCCCTTGCTGGAGATAACATTTTTGTTTATCCAACAAAGGGTATTTTATCTTATTATTAAATTCTGACTTTGTATAGAAGAGAAATGAAGTGATAATCTATATAAATTAAGTCTTGATTAGTACATATGGGTTATTCACTTGGATAATATGGAGTAAAATTTTAATTCATGGCTAATTACCTCCACCTCCACTACCTAGTGGCCTCCCCTCACCAATATTAGCCAAAATAAATCAAATTTGGAACTACAAACCTACTTCAAAAAGGGTAAGGTATATAATAAGCAATATCATCAAGTCAAATAGTATTTTTTTAACCATGTACAAGGCATCATGCTAGGTGTTACGAAGATGCATGAAATATATAAGATGTGGTTCCAACCCTCACAGAGTTTATAGACATCACATAATAAATTCTGAAGTCAAATATAAATTAATTTAAAATTATCTGCTGTTCAGCATTGTTCACTAGTGCAGCCAAACAATGTCATCTTGTTGAAAGGCATTGGTAGTAAAAACTGTGTCTGAAATACCCCTCTTTCAAAGGTTTCGTAAATTTGATATAGTCAGGGACACGAACAAGATCCTTTTACATTTTTCTTTTTGCTTGTTAGTCTTGCTGTGCTCATAAATCCATGACAGAAAGCCCCCTCCCCTGAGACTTTCCACTTCCTTTTCTGGCTTTCACTGTTGCAGAGGCTGCTATATTCACGACATGTGGCCTACAGAGTTCTCAGGATGTAAGCAAGCCAAACTGAAGACCAAATTTGTAGTTCTTGCTCTCCTAAACAGATGCATATGTGGCACTTCAGCTCTTCCAGATTACAACAGAATTTAGGTTTATGCATAAGTCTAATAAGTCTTCCTCATACTGAACTTCCTAATACTACTCCCCTTTTCTATCTTTTCAACCCACATGACCACTATTAGACAGATAGTCAGAACCAGAAGGAAGTGAAATGCTCACTCAACAAGCAGAGCATCTTTCTCAATGCAGTTATCATAGACAAGACACACTATGATAGAATTGGTGCTGCTATGTATTCTTTTTGAGGTATAGAGACTAAAAGAAACTATGTTAGATTAGGTAAATAGAAAAGCAAACATTCTTAGCCCATGCCAGTCTCATTTCTTGGTTCAGCATCCTTGTCCACCTCAACTTCTATTCACTGGGTCCTCGTAGCCTTCCCTCTGCCCTGCACCCCACCACCCCTTCTAATTGTGTTACAGGGGCCTTTCGAGATTTGGTGAGAGAAAATAACTCACCTGGAAGGGATAAGGGAACCTTTCAATGATTGAAATTTGCTCCATTTCACTGGACTCTTCACCTCTTCTCTGTAATGAAATAAGAAAAAATGGTTATTGGTTGATGCATTGCTCTTTTCTGAATTTCCTTAGGTACTAGAAGCCTTTTGCTGTGGCTTCAGAAGTTTCTCCTGCACAGACAAGGCTGATTCTTAGTGATTACTTTCTATAGGCCAATAGGGACACATATCCAATACGACCCAACACATACCCAGTCAAGAGAGACTCAGGTATTTCAAATCACTGGGAAAATGGAGGTTTCTAAAAAATTGTTGTTGGGACAAATATTTAACCACTAACGTTGTGGGGAGGAGAGGAGTTAGGTAGCTATGCTACACCATACACCAAAGAAAATTCCAGATGGATTCAAGAGCTTAATATAAAAAATAAAACTATGAATGACTGAGAGTAAATATAAGCAATTATTTATATAATCCTGTGGGAGGCAAGCTTTTTCTAATATAAGGATGAAACTTAGAACTATTAAGAAAAACCTGAACTAATTTGATGACATAGACTTTAAATCCCTATATGGCAAAAAGCATCATAAACAAAATTGAAAGATAAAGGATAAACTGAAAAACATTTTCAACATACTTTACAGTTAAAGGATAAATGTTCTTATATCAAGATCTCTTTAAAAGTATTAGAAATGAGGTAAACATCTCAATGTAAAAAATGGACCAAAAATTAATGGGCAATTCACAAATAAAATATAAATGAGCAGTAGACCAACTTTATGAGTAAAAGAAATTGCAAAATAAGTTAGCAATAAAATGCTATTTTTTTTTTTTGAGACGGAGTCTTGCTCTGTCGTCCAGCCTGGATGTGCAGTGGTGCGATCTCGGCTCACTGCAACCTCCGCCTCCTGGGTTCAAGGGAGTCTCCTGCCTCAGCCTCCCGAGTAGCTGGGATTACAGGCTCGCGCCACCATGCCCAGCTAATTTTTGTATTTTTAGTAGAGACGGGGTTTCACCATGTTGGTCAGGCTGGTCTCGAACTCCTGCTCATGATCCGCCTGCCTTGGCCTCCCAAAGTGCTGGGATTACAGGCGTGAGCCACCACGCCCCACCTGAAATGCTATTTTTCTTGGCTGTCAAATTAACTAATATTTAAAATATCTAGTGTTGGGCTGGGCACAGTGGCTCACGCCTGTAATCCCAGCACTTTGGGAGGCCGAGGTGGGAGGATCACTTGAGGTCAGGAGTTTGAGATCAGCCTGACCAATCTGGTGAAACCCCATCTCTACTAAAAATACAAAAATTAGCAGGGTGTGGTGGTGGGCGCCTGTAGTCCCAGCTACTCAGGAGGCTGGGGCAGGAGAATCACTTGAACCGGAGGCAGAGGTTACAGTGAGCGGAGATCGCACCACTGCACTCCAGCCTGGGCGACACAGCGAGACTCCATCTCAGAAAATAATAATAATAATAAAAATAACAAAATATCTAGTGTTGGAAAAAATGTACAGAAACAGGCACTCTCATACATAGCTTGTAGGTGTGTATGAAATTCAATTCCACTTCTAGAAAATGAAATAAAAAGATAAAAATAACCAAAGTGCACAGATTTTCTTAAAGAGAAGAACAAAATTTTACTTCTAGGAAATTATCATAAGGAAAAGAATAAAAAAAGTACAGAAAGATGTATGCAAGATTGTTCCTCTCAACATGGTTTATACTATCAAGTACTTGTAGACAAACCGAATGTGTAATAATGGGAGATTAAACAAATTACAATACATCCATAATAGGGAATACCATACAGTCATTAAAATCATGTTATTAAAGAATATCTATTGTCATGGGGAAAAGTTTCCCACATATCGTTACATTGAAAAAGTACGTTACAAAGCAAGATGTGTACTATGAGTCTATGTTTTAAATATATGACATATATATAAGTGTATGCGTATGTGTTCTCAGTGAAGAAAAACATCTGTAAGTCTATGTACACCAATATGTTGATAGTTGTTTTAACTGGGTAACAGGATTATGCATCATTTTAATCTTTTTGTATTTTTTATATATTCCAGAGTTTCTGTAATAAATACGCAATTCTCCTGTGATCAAGAAAATACTGAAAATGGTCAGACCCAGTGGGTGGCTCACGCCTGTAATCTTTGCACTTTGGGAGGCCGAGACAGGCGGATCACTTGAGGCCAGGAGTTCAAGACCAGCCTGGCCAACATGGTGAAACCCCGTCTCTACTAAAAAAATACGAAAAATTAGCCAGGCATGGTGGTGCACACCTGTAATCCCAGCTACTTGGGAGGCTGAGGCATGAGAATTGCTTGAACCCGGGAGGTGAAGGTTGCAGTGAGCCAAGATGGCACCAGTGCATTCCAGCCTGGGCAACAGAGCGAGACTCTGTCTAAAAAAAGAAAAAAAAAAGAAAAAAAGAAAATACTGAAATTGATATATATTTTTTAAAAGTGAACTCAAAAATCAGTAGGTTTTATGTCTCTCGCTCCGGAAAGTGAGAAGAGAATAAATAGTAAGGTATTAAAGGATATCATGTGACTCAGAGCCCTAGGATTATGACATTCAGACTTACTTAAGCCTCTAAATCTGATCCTGAGAGAACTGAGGGAATAAAATCAATGATCTCTGACCAGTTTGAAAACTAGATATAGCATCATTTAAAAGTTTGTGTTAACAAATTTTCCATGTTTAGTGAGATGTTCTGAATATGAAGGAAAGAAGCTAAGATTCTTTATAACCAATATGGTAGAGTGAAGAATTTTTAAAGGAAACTTGACCGTGTTCCACGTTGCACAGCATCACCAGTCTATTTACAGAGAATTTAAATGTTGCAAATTTCTTCAAATCTGCTGTTCCCCATCTCAGACATTGGTCTCTTCTTACCGGAATCTGTCTTTCTGGAGGAGGATTTTTTTCAGGAACCACTGTTTCAACACAAGTGATCTTCTCAACATCTATTGAACCCTTCTTACTGCCTCTTCTCTGAGAAGTAGAATGAGGAAGAAAATGGAGAAAGATTAAGAGGGATTAAGCAACCAGATGATTAGATTTTGTTATCTAATCATTCAACAAAGTGAGGTGGCACCAGGACCTGTCATGTGGGGGAAGAAAAAAAAATCCTTCCAGATCTATAAATCTATGACTACCAAATGGAGGGCAAATACCATGGAAGAGTGAATGACTGTATGTACCTTCCTCATAGGAAGTAAGGAAGCAATTTCCAACTCTTCGATTTCATTTTCAACAATCATTTAATGAGTGCTCATCAATTCCAAGATTCCATGGTAATATTTTCCTTGTGGCTTCTTAGGACCTTTGACTTTCCGGCTTTAGCTAGTTATAGGCTAGGAAATATTTTGCTGAATTTGAAAGAACTTAGGTCCATTCTACTCCCCTCCTCCTACCAACGAAAATTTACCTCTTCCCCAAGAAAGATCTAAGGCCAAGTCCTTGATATCTTGAAACTCAGTTTTCATAGTCGAGAAACTTACCCCACGTTCAAAGTCATACTCATAGTAGGAGAGTTTGTGCACGGTCAAGAGAAACAGGCGCTTCTTGAAGTTTAGAGGTGATGTTTTCTTTTTCTGTTGGGATCGCTTCAGAAAGATGCTCTCCAGAATCACTGCGGCCATAGCTTCTTCTTTCTGGAGTTCACCTGTGTGCTGTTGATAATGAAAGTTCCTGAGGACCCAGGACATTAATCCTCATCCCTCTTGGTTCCCCCTCAGCCTAGCTACCTAGTTTCAAATGGAACAAAAATGTGCACAGCTCACAAAATAATTTCTTCCTACCAACCTCCTCCCACAGCCCCCAGCTCTGTCAGGTTTCAGGTATAATGGATGCACACTGAATTGGGGGGGGATTGGTTCGATGTTGTGAGCTCATATAAACTGAGTTCTTGTATAAGGCAATGGAATGCTCTAGATGTTAAATGGCACGCACCTGTGTGCTTGGTAAGGTGTAGAGGTAGCTTTACACTATTCACCTTTATATGATATGTGTAGAATCTGTGAAAAGCAAAAGTATCTGTGCAGCTGTTGATCTTGATATACCCAGAAGGGATAATGCAGGTGCCAGAACTCCACTGAGGCAGATATTGGACTTTCAGTTCCCAATTTCCTAGACGGTGAATATAATTTTTCAAACATTGTCCCACTGGGGTCTGTAACCAAGGGAACTAATAAGGATATGGAGGCTGCACCTGCAGTTCTGGACACACACTAACTGCTGCCCAACTGATTTTGCCCACACCCACTGACTGAGCTACAAAGGATAGAAGATTTGTTCTAAAGTTGAAAACATAATTTTTTTTGGTGGGTTTTGGTGGGGGGGGGGTAGTTGTTGTTTTCTGACCTTTTCCCCATTTAGCTTAAATTAGTTCTTTTAGACAGCATCATGCAAAAGTGATGCAACTGTCTTACTGATATAGATGCCACCTCTGTTCATTTATGAAACACAACTTATTTAGCCTCCCCAAACCTACAATACTCCAGAAGGATTCAATTTAGGTAACTGAAACACAGAAAGACAAATAAAGTTCCCAAAGTCACCACTGGCTTTTTTATTCACACCAAGCAACACTTCATATCAGTTATTCACTTACAGTTTATGCACAGTGTAATATTATTACTAATTCCGAACTTTCATTGGAAAGATAAAGTGAAAACAAATGCTGTCATAAAAATAGAACACTAGGCCGGCGCGGTGGCTCACATCTGTAATCCCAGCACTTTGGGAGGCCGAGGCTGGCGGATCACCTGAGGTCAACAGTTCAAGACCAACCTGGCCAACATGGCAAAACCCCGTCTCTACTAAAAATACAAAAATAGCCGGGCGTAGTGGTGGATGCCTGTAATCCCAGCTACTCGGGAGGCTGAGGCAGGAGAATCGCTTGAACCCAGGAGGCGGAGGTTGCAGTGAGCCGAGATTGTGCCATTATACTCCAGTCGGGGCAACAAGAGCGAAACTCCGTCTCAAAAAACAAAATCAAAAACAACAACAAAAAAACACTAAGTAAGTAACGAAAAAACCACCAGCCCTCCATTCAAGTTTAATTAGTGGTAGGGATTTTTCCTCTGGTGGGGGGGTGGGGGTGGGAATGTGTCTATTTTTTAAGTAAACTCCTTATGCTTTTGGTGGCACCGTGGAAGCAGAATGAATAAAGCCAGCAGTTTTTTTCTACTTTTTAAGCAGATTATTGCTCACACTAGGAAAGCAAGGGAGTGAATTTTATCAAAGCCTGGGGGCTATCCACACTGTTATTTTGCTCTTTCCTGTGGTGTAGGAGGTTCTATTCTCATGCTGGGGAGACGAAAATACGTCAAAGGAACACCAGGGGTGTTCTGGAAGATCGCTTTGCCACTTATCTACCATGTGTATGCCACTATCTTCTGGAGGTGGATTAATTCAATATTTTGTAAATTAGATTTTGAGAAAAATTGGGCAAGAGTGCAAACCTTTCCCTCCACCCTGCCACACACCCTGACTCCCTGGTTTAAATGGTCTCTCACTGGAGTGACAAATTGATGAGTTTACAATCAGCCCTTCCCAACACTCAGTTTTAGCTCTAAACTCAAAGAGGTTCATTTTAACATTACAATTATGCATTTACTCAGGAGTAGTGGTAACCAAATAATACTACTCTATTCTCAGGAACTACCAACTCATTGAGAGCCCTGTAATCATACCACAATTATTCTTGTGGCAAATTATAATTAAGTACCTCTTCACAATCAAAGACTCAAATTACAGGATAAAAAATAAAACCCTAAATAAATTGAGTACTGTGACCAGTAAATGGGGTCAGAAGCATCCCAACAAACCATGTCTGGTGTACTTCTCTTAGCCGAATAAATCGCAGGCAACATTTTATCTTTAGTTTTGTTGCAGGCTCTTGGTGGATACATTCCCTGCTTAGACCCACCATCTGTTTCATTCTTGTCCCCTGCTCTTACTTCCTATAAGACAGGTCCTTCTGGAAGCTGCCTCTACTCTTTCTCTGTTTTAGAACAAATCCAGTTTGTACAAGAGGAAGTCTTCCTCTCTCTCAAGTATCTGTGTTTGGGCAGGGTTTAGTGCTGCTCTGACTATGAGGAAGTAAGCAAGTCTCTCACTAGCCATCGCCCCTCTGAGCAAAAGGTGAAATGGCCTCCACCTCTAGATCATTGAGCTAGAGGTCTACCAGAATTGCCATGATTTGGTACCACCTTCTTTGACTGCTTTTCTCCTGTTTCTTATGATCCAGTCCAGACTCACACAGCCTGAAAATGTGGTAGCTCTTCCTTAGGTGCCACTGGTCCATCACTCAATAATGTGAAAGGAAAGGGATCCATTTTTGAGTCCTCCAGAAGGTTGGTGTGTAACACACAGCTCTGAGTTAAAAAGTAGTTAGAGGGTAAAGCTTCTGTGGGTACTTATTGTGAAAGGCCCCATTTTTTTTTTTTTTTTTTGAGACGGAATCTTGCTTTGTTGCCCAGGCTGGAGTGCAGTGGCACGATCTTGGCTCACTGCAACCTCCATCTCCTGGGTTCAAGCAATTCTCCTGCCTCGGCCTCCCAAGTAGCCGGGATTACAGGCGTGTGCCACCACACCTGGCTAATTTTTGTATTTTTAGTAGAGGTGGGGTTTCCCCATGTTGGCCAGGCTGGTCTTGAACTCCTGACCTCAGGTGACCTGCCTACCTTGGCCTCCCAAAGTGCTGGAATTACAGGTATGAGCCACCGTGCCTGGCCAGTAAAGGCCCCAATTTTTTTAAAACAATTTCAGTAGCCTACAGAGTCGGTTTGACCACAAAATATGCACAATGATGGCTAACCCTGAGCTCCACTCAGGGTGAAGGGTGGAAATGGAAGTGACTTGAATGTCTCAAACATACAGACACACACACACACACACACACACACACACACACACCACTGTTGTTTATAGAAAGAAAGAAATGGGGGAGGAGAAAAAATAGACACAGAGCTCTTCATTTAAAATATGGAGTTCCAGTGTTACAATGTCCCCTTTATTAAATTATAAATGCAAAGATTTTTACAGGGCCACCTTTTGCAGCCTCCCAGCTCCCTATGGAGCAACAGAATTCAGAAAGACGAAGCTTATTAACAAGAGTGCAGCCATCATACAAACTGCAGTATGCCAAGGAATTAATAGAAATAGCACTTGCAGAATCAGTAAACTAAACCATCTTGGGCTCTTATCTTCGCTCATAAGATAAAATACTATTAAGAATAATAAGTCCAGGCGCAGTGGCTCATGCCCGTAATCCCAGCACTTTGGGAGGCTGAGGCTGGCGGATCACTTGAGGTCAGGAGTTAGAGACCAGCCTGGCCAACATGGTGAAATCCCGTCTCTATTAAAATACAAAAAATTAGCCGGGCGTGGTGACAGGCGCCTGTAGTCCCAGCAACTCAGGAGGCTGAGGCAGGAGAATCGCTTGAACTCGGGAGGCGGAGGTTGCAGTGAGCCAAGATCGTGACACTGCACTCCAGCCTGGAGTCTCAAAAAAAAAATAAAAAATAAAAATAAAAAAAAAAAAGAAGAAGAATACCAGAGCAAAATTCAGAAAACTACACAGCCAGCCTATGATTGGGAAGAGTCTATGAGATATGATTTAAAATAAAATAACCAGTCAACTGTACTTCAAATGACTACTTAGCCAAAATATCCAAGAAGTAGTGTTTTCTCTTGATTTCTCCTTGAAAGCACTACTCAATTGGCTAGGAAGATTCTGGCCATTCCCTGTCTTTCCTTAGGGGGATGGAATGGAACTTCTGTTCCTTTCAGTGACTTCTACCTGACAGGCATTTTACAGGCATTATTTCATTTATTCCTCACAACAAACAGATGAGGAAACTGACACAGAGGTTATGTGACTTGTCCAACCTCATCCATCTGTAGCTCTTGGTATATCATCTATAGCCCTTGCTTTTTTTGTGGTGTTTCACTGCCTACCGGAGGGATTTTTGTTCGTTTATTTGTTTTTTGGTCTTTGATGAGGTTGATGCCATCTGCCTTGGGGCCCCTGTCATTCTCCATGGCTATCATCAAAGAGCAGTTGTGACAAACTCCTCTCCATTTTCTAGGAATGTTCAGCAAGAGAGGAAATGGTGGTAAATACAGGAGATAAGAGAGTATTCAAGATCCTAAGCTCTTTCCTCTGCAATATTCCTCCAGGCTGGTAAGGATGATCTGTCTCTGGTAACTGTCAACTATACTTTTTTTGCACTTGAGGACTCTTCTTAGTCTTGCCAGGTTTTCTTACATTTTCCCTCTTTAAATCATTCCCAAGGAGATTCTGTCTAACTAGTGAATTTCTAGAGTCACTTGTTGTTTCCTTTCCTGGATGTTTCATTGTTGATGGAATGAAAGCACAGTGTTTAGGTGGAACATCCACCCTTCTCTGTCCCTAGGGTTCTTATTGCTTACTGTGAATATAAAACTTTGATCAAATATACCTTCTATTTTTTTGAGACAGGGTCTCACTCTGTCACCCAGGATGGAGTGCAGTAGCAAGATCACCACTCACTGCAGCCTCCACCTCCTGGGCTCAAGCGATCCTCCTGCCTCAGCCTCTCAAGTAGCTGGGACTACAGGTGTGCACTACCACACCCAGCTAATTTTTAATTTTTTTGTAGAGACACGGGTCTCACTTTGTTGCCTAGGCTAGTCTCAAACTCCTGGATGCAAGTGATCTTCTTGTCTCAGCCTTCCAAAGTGTGGGGATTACAGGCATGAGCTGCTGCACCTGGCCTCAAATATACTTTGTTTTATATTATGAAATATTTCAAATAGAAAGTACAGGGACTATAACATTACAATCTTGGACTCACCGCTTAGCTCTACAAAATCCTAAAATTGTGCCATATTGCCTCACGTGTTAAGAAGTGAGATACAATCTATATAATCAAGACCCCTTTATGTACTCCAAAATCTTAGTCTTCTCCCTCCATAGAGATTACCAATATCTTGAGTTTGGTGTTTATCATTCCTAGGTATGTTTTCATATTATTATTACAGATGTAAGTATCTATAAAAGATATATAGTATTGGTTTACATGTTTAAAATTTACATATGGCCAGGTGCGGTAACTCAGGCCTGTAATCCCAGCACTTTGGGAGGCTGAGGCGGGTGGATGACAAGGTCAGGAGTTTGAGAGCAGCCAGCCTGACCAACATGGAGAAACCCTGTCTCTACTAAAAATACAAAAACTAGCTGGGCCAACGCTACTCTCCCAGCTACTCAGGAGGCTGAGGCGGGAGAATCCCTTGAACCCGGGAGGCAGAGGTTGCAGTGAGCCGAGATCTTGCCATTGCACTCCAGCCTGGGCAACAAGAGTGAAACTCGGTCGCGAAAAAAAAAAAAAAAAAAAAAGAAAATTTATATATATATATATGGTACACATTCTCCAGCAACTTGCTTTTTTCCCCTCAATATAATATGTTAGGATTTATTTATCTGGCTAGTTCTACTTCATATGTTTTAATTCATTTTTATATGCATAAAATATTCTATATGATGAATACATTCCAATATATTTATTCATTCTCCTGTTGATGGACATTTAGGTTGTTTGCTTTCAGTGATAAACAATGCTGCTGTGAACATTATTTTGATTTTTTGATCTCAGAATGAATTCTCAGTTACTTAGACAAACTGGCAAACCTAGGTCCAGCTTATCTTTTGGACTATGCAATTTGCATCATTCCTTCTTGCCTTTTCAGTCCTGTCTTCCTGATGCTTCACTATGAAATGTGGTAGAATTATCAACTATCTCTAGTGGGAGGTTAAATTTGGCCTACGGAAAATCTCTTCCCAGTCCCAAGAAGCATCCTTCACGTTCTAACTGAGATTTCAATTGAGAATTCCTTGGCCTTGGGACCAGAAGAGAACGTGTTAAGAACTGAAATACTATCTATATAATCAAGACCCCTTTATGTACTCCAAAATCTTAGTCTTCTCCCTCCTTAGAGATTACCAATATCTTGAATTTGGTGTTTATCATTCCTAGGTACGTTTTCATATTATCATTACAGATGTAAATATCTATAAAAGATATACAGTATTGGTTTACATGTTTAAAATTTACATATGGCCACGTGTGGTAGCTCATGCCTGTAATCCCAGCACTTTGGGAGGCTGAGGCGGCTGGATGGCAAGGTCAGGAGTTTGAGAGCAGCCAGCCTGACCAACATGGAGAAACCCTGTCTCTACTAAAAATACAAAAATTAGCCTGGCGTGGTGGCGCGCACCTGTAATCCCAGTTACTCAGGAGGCTGAGGCAGGAGAATTGCTTGAACCCAGGAGGCGGAGGTTGCAGTGAGCCGAGATCGTGCCACTGCACTCCAGCCTGGGTGACAGAGTCAGACTCCGTCTCAAAAAAAAAAAAAAAGAAAAAAGAAAAAAAAATCATACCCACAGCAACAAAGCAACCTTTAATCTTGTTAAATTCCCAAGATGCTTTTGTTCGGGCCCCAGTGAAACCCAATTATTTTATGATAAGCTTCATAGTCAAGGCTACAGGGGACCAAATTTGTGATGAAGGCATCAAGCCAAACTCAATTTTCGAAAGCTGCATGCTGACCAGGGAAACTCTCCTGCTGTAGTCATTTACAGGAGGCCTTAGGGCTCTCTGGTTCTTCCACAGCAGTTCATGTTTTATTTATTTATTTATTTATTTATTTATTTTTGAGACAGAGTCTCGCTCTGTCATCCAGGCTTCGGTACAGTAGCGCAATCTTGGCTCACTGCAATCGCTACCTCCCAGTTTCAAGCAATTCTCTTGCCTCAGCCTCCTGAGTAGCTTGGACTACAGCCGCACACCATGACACCTGCCTCGGCCTCCCAAAATGCTGGGATTACAGGCTTGAGCCACCGCGCCTGGCCTTATGTTTTTAGCATTTTACATTTTTCTTCTGTGGTTTTGGAAACTTCTAGGTCTCTGTGATTCATCATCTCTTTTTGTCTTGCATTAGCGACAATATATTCTGGCCAACTGATGATGGAAGGAGAGCCAGAGAGCCAATCTGCAAGTTTATAGTCAGTGCCAGATCAGATCAGTGGTAATACTTTCAATATTCTCCCTCTGCTCTGAGGGTGACTGCTGGGGTGTCTGTCTTTCACTCTGGACTTGTGTGCCCTTTTGGCCTTCTTTTTCAACCTAGTTTTTGTTTTCCTTGGCTTAAACATTTTATTTATTTTTTCCATCGATATCAAAATAACACACGCAGCTGGGTGCAGTGGGGTGCACCTGTAGTCCCAGCTACTCAGGAGGCTGATATTGGAGGATTGCTTGAGCCCAAGAGTTCAAGGTCAGCCTGAGAAACATAGGGAGACCCCCATCTCAAAATAAAACAAAATATAGTAAAATAAAACATGCTTATTGTAGAAAATATGTCAAGTACAGGGATATAAAAAAGAAAAAATCATTCATAAACTCATCCAGAGGCATTAATATATCGGCATATTCCTTCCATTTTTTTCTGTGTGTGTTTCTTATAATATTTGAGATCATATTGCACATTCAGTTAATTTACCTATTTTTCGTAACATCTATGTATGTATGTATGCATGTATGTATGTATCTATCCATCCATCCATCCGTTCAAGGTACCTTTTTCCAAAAAAAGATCTAATGTTCTTATTTAACATTATTCCTAATTATTTTCCCATGTTATTAGGATCTCTATACAAGCATCATTTCCAGAGTCAAAAAAGTATGTGCATTTTGCATTTTGATACATACTGCCAAAATAGTTTCCAGAAACATTGTCCCAATTTCAGTTCCAAATAGTTTTAGAGAGCCCCCTTTCTCATTATCCTTATCTCTTTTCTGGTCCATTTCTAATCATTTTTAAAACTCTGGTTTTACTGCAGACAAATCTTTTTTTTTTTTCATTGAGTCAATGATCTTAAACTCCAGTATATTCCAACTTCCAGCTTGTCTAAAACTTAACTTCTCTTGACTCTAGAATTTCCTTCTTCTAGGGTGAGCTAACAGACTACAGTTTGTTTTCAGTTCAGGGAGGTAGGGCAGTGAGAGGAGCTTCTCCTTGAGATTCAAATAACCAATATAATCCTAAAGACATCTTGTGAGAACTTTCTAAGAGCGGAGAGAAGAGCCTGGTATTAAAGCTTCTGGGTTTCCAATGCTCTCAGATTGCCCTCAGCCACTGCACATGAATCTCCATAGAAACTGAAAGTCACACGTGGCCCAATTGTTTCAGGGTCCTCAGAGGAGTTCTCCCTCCTCCTTCCCCTCCCCAGATGGCTTCATGCATAACCAAGTAGCTTTGGAGTCAAATATGTCAAGGCCTCTTTTCTAGCTTCTTGCTGAGCACTGTGTCACTGAAAATTCTAGTTCTTCCTTATTTTCAGTAGTTAGCAATCAGATCTCAGCAATCAGATCATTGTGGGTGTAGAAGGGGGTATCTGATAACTCTTTGGAGAACGCCCAAACTTTGGTTTTCGAAAGCTGTATCTTCCCTTTATACCTAAGTCACTTCCTGATATGGGTCTAGTCCACTGAAAGGAAACTCTATAGGAAATTTGCTCAAATGGAAATAGCAAATCATAGTGATAATTTAAAATTGCACCAATCCCCCATAACTGGATGGAAAGTTACATTAGTTCGCACCATAAGGAGTTTACAAAGAATTCCAGGGTGGGTGCGGTGGCTCACGCCTGTAATCCTAGCACTTTGGGAGGCCCAAGCAGGCAGATCACCTGAGGTTGGGAGTTCGAGACCAGCCTGACCAACATGGAGAAACCCCGTCTCTACTAGAAATACAAAATTAGCTGGGCGTGGTGGCACATGCCTGTAATCCCAGCTACTTGGGAGGCTGAGGCAGGAGAATTGTTTGAACCCGGGAGGCGGAGGTTGCGGTGAGCTGAGATCCCGAGATCGTGCCATTGCACTCCAGCCTGGGCAGCAAGAGTGAAACTCCGTGTCAAAAAAAAAAAAAAAAAATTCCAAACAAAAATATCAATAGCCATACGCAATGGAAATTTGGACTTCAACACAAGCAAGCAGTTTAAATAGTTTGAATATAAAAGGAGTCAGAATAGACAGGACAAGCCCTAAGGGACACTGTTTGGGTATAATGCTTTAGGTTGCCATGAGTATTTGCATTTTGTGGCTTATTTGGAAAGTGACATTATTTTATCAAATAACTGAGGCTCCAGAGAGGCTGGAGTCTGGGCAACTTATCCAAGGATGTCTTGATTGGGGTCACCAATCACTTTTATTCTAAATGTCATATTATTTGCTCTAGGTAGGCCCTCTGGGGGACATTGGCAGGTCTGAGGCAGAGTAAAAATTATAGCAAATACTGAGATCCAGCACTTACTATTGCCAGGCCCTGTTTTAAAAGCTTTACATGTATTTGCACATTTACTGCTCACAACCACCTTATGGGGAAGGTGCTAGGCAGGCAGGGAGGAGGAAATGGAAAGGGAAAGGAAAAGGGAAAAGAGCGGGGGAAGAAAGGAGCAAGAAAAAGTCAATGCAATTCGGCAATTATTTGTTAAGTGCTAACTGTATGTCAGGGTCTGGTAATCAACAGAACAGAGGAGGGTATAATGAAGAGGGGATATAGGTAGAGAAAAGAGGATGAGTGGGAAGAGGAGGAGGTTGGAGAGGAGGAAAGGAAAGGAGAAATAATGAAGACAAGAGAAAAGCAAGCCATGCACATGGAGGGCAATGGTAAGAGGAGAAACCTTTGCCACAACCTCAAGGGTTGGCCGCACTGTCTGGGCTGAGGCAGAGGCTGCTTTCTCCTGGCCCAGTCTTTTACCCATTGTTACCACGAGGTTGGCACAGCTTCCACACAGTCCTTTAATAAGCCAGCTCTGACCCTGGCGACATTTGGCCTGGTACAGCTCAAGGCAGGTAGCCTACACCCTGGCCTAGCCAGGCCTTTCCCTAGCTCACAAAGGTCAACTTCATAACGTGGAGCGTGAGCTTTTACCATGTTCTCAGAGAATCTGCCTCTTAGTATTTCTTTTTCTAAAGGCTTCATTGACCCATGTATCCCTATTGAGTCTTCAAGCACTATTTGACAGAAGGGCTTGTTTTTATCTGACTGCTCCCTGCAATATTACTTTTCCACTAAGTTTGCCAGAGGTACCCCTTTCTAACATTTGCTACCTGTTCGGATGGTCACCTCATGTCACATTTTTCTCTTCCTGTTCCGCCCACCCTCAGCCCTTGTCGGAAAGGACCCTTTCGGCCTCTCTAATCACCAGAAGGGACTGCCAGGGCCTTGTGCTGATGACACTCCCACCCTCCGTCAGCCTCCTCCACTAGCTGATAAATGGCACCAGCCATGCTGTCTCTCTGGTTTTTAGGGGTCCCAAGCAAGGTACATTGCTGCTGCTGCCCAGCCCCTGCCATACCCCAGACCCACCTCAGTCCTGACTTAATGCAGGTAGCTTCCCAGATGCATTGAGATGCCAGGACTTGGAAGGTGGGACTCGATCGCAGCAGACACTGGCCCTGGAGACATATTCTTACAGTCCAGAGAGGAAGGACAGTCTGAGCAAACCCCACCCTTTCACAGCCACTCAGTTCCCTTTTTTTGCTTCCTGACCTAAACCAATGTCTTTTTTTCTTCTCAGCAGCATGCTATCTGGTTCCCTGCTGCCGTCCCTATTCCACCCCCTCAACTGTCCCCGCCCTTCATTTGCTTGGGACCTCTGACACTACTATCTTGAGTCTATCTTTGAAAGAACCTTTCTCAACATGACTGGGGCCACTGAGACTCTAGATGGGGCTGGCCTGAGCAGACAGGTCATCAAGCTATCCTCCCAGAGGTAAAGGGACAACATACCTAAAGTACTATGAAGACAGTCAGCACAGGGAGAGGGGCTTACAGGAAAGAGGAGAGATGCTGGGGGCTGGCAGACACAGAGCAAAGAGACTGGCCAGGAAGAGCGTTTTTCGAGTCTCCTGTCCTCCGGGGCAGAGGAGTCTCAGGGACACACAGTTGAACTTGATAGTGAAGGGACCCCAAAGGACAAAACAAGACAGAGGTAGAGACAAGACTTCCCCGTGCTGAGTCATTTTCTAAGAAAGCATTTTTCCCCTACAGATAAAAATGTCGGAATATAAGCCCACAGAAATACTTGTGCCCTTCCCCATTTTCTGTGGATGTTGACTTTCTCCATTTAAGATTTGGCCTCAGGGATTAACTCTCAATGTCCACCTTTCTCTTGAGTCCTGTAAACCGGTAAAGCAGACTAGGTATGTCACTTGAAGCCTGGAGGTTTTCTCAGGGGCCCCCTACATTATGCTCCAACTGCAATGATTCCCCCAGGGATTCTCCTAGGAAATGCAGCCAGTATTGAATGCAGACCATGATGGTGGAGCCCCTGCTGACTGATCTGCCTGCCCACCTTGACACCTCGGGCACTGCCATATTTCCTTGCCCCAAGGCACTGTATCCTAATGTAGAAACAGATCACAGGTCCCACTACAATTTCATCCGAAGTTTTAAGTCAACAGGACCTTATTTTTTTTTCTTTATTTTGTCTAAAAAACAAACAAACAAGCAAACAAAAAAAATGGGGTATATGTGCAGAAGGTGCAAGTTTGTTACATAGGTATATGTGTGACATGGTGATTTGCTGCACCTATTGACCCATCCTCTAAGATCCCTCCCCTCACCCCCAAGCCCCAACAGGCCCTGGGACCTTTTTTTTTTTTTTTTTTTTTTGAGACAGGGTCTTGCTCTGAAGCCCAGGTTGGAGTGCAGTGGCGTGATCATGGCTCACTGCAGCCTCCACCTCCTGGGCTCAAGTGATCCTCTCACCTCAGTCACCCTAGTACCTGGGACTATAGGCACACATCACTGTGCTGGGCTAATTTTTCTACTTTTTGTAGAGATGGGGTTTCACTATGTTGCCCAGGCTGGTCTCAAACTCCTGGGCTCAAGCGATACTCCTGCCTTGGCCTCCCAAAATGCAGGGATTACAGGAGTGAGCCACCTCTCCCAGCCATCAACAGGACTTTAAATAAAAACATTTAAAGTATTTGTAGACTGATGATAGAGTGGTTGATACTCACATTTGCACAAGACAGATGGACAGCATGTGTTGTATGATTGCCTTACTTTATTGACAACGTCTATCCTTTCGCTAGTCACCCCCAATAGCTGTTCCACTCACCTGCCTGAGGGTTGGCCACAGGCATTCATCTTCCCTCCTCTTTTCTTCAGTTTTTTTTTTTTTTGAGACGGAGTCTTGCCCTGTCGCCCAGGCTGGAGTGCAGTGGCATGATCTCGGCTCACTGCAAGCTCCACCTCCCGGGTTCACGCCATTGTCCTGCCTCAGTCTCCTGAGTAGTTGGGACTACAGGTGCCTGCCACCACGCCTGGCTAATTTTTTGTATTTTTAGTAGAGACGGGGTTTCACCATGTTAGCCAGGATGGTCTCGATCTCCTGACCTCGTGATCCACCCGCCTCAGCTTCCCAAAGTGCTGGGATTACATGCGTGAGCCACCGTGCCCAGGCTCTTTTCTTCAGTCTTATGCCACTTGTTGTCACATGCCCTGTCCTTTCTCAAGATCCATCTTGGGGTGGGGACTGGGAGGTGATAGGCATCCAATGGGAGAGCTAAACAAGAGAGAGAGAGGAGCACAAGGGAAAAGAGCAAGTAGACGTAGGCTTTTCTTCACCCTCTGCCCACGACCACTCCCCTAGCACACTCATCCATACTGACAGAAAGACTGTACTCAGATAGTGCAAATAAACAGCTGAGTGTCACCTGAAGAGATTCCCAATGCAATATAAGGTTCTATTCTTGGTGCTATCCTGTTCAGCATTTTTATTGATCATCTTTGAGGAAAATATAAAAAGTAGCCCGGTTAGTCTATGAATGGTGCAAGGCTTTGTGTGCTAGACTGGATGACAGAAGAGGGCAATTAGTTCCCAAAAAGATCTTGATCACCTGGTGTGAGAAGCCAAATTCCACAAAGTGTATTTTACCAGGGCTAAAGGTGATGTCTCATAATTGGGCCCCAAATTTGAACTTCAAATGACTCCAGGAGAAAGTGGAGTAGCAGTAGCATTTGTGAAAATGGTTCAGGGGTTTTTGCTGATAGTAATCAAAAGGCATGTCATCAGTTAACATGGCTTCCAGAAAAGCCAAGGTGACATTGAGGCTTCCTTATGGAAGTAAAATATCTAGACAGAGGAAGGTAACATGCCACTTACTCTGCAAAGCCAGACCACACCTAGAGTCCTGCATTCAGTTCTGAGTGCCTCGTCTTAGGGGAAATTAATGAGCAGGAGCATGTCCAAAACAGAGAACAGCTCAAGCGATCCTCCCACCTCGGTGTCAGCATTGGTGTACAAACTTTCACTTATAGGATGTATAAGCTCTGGGGATCTAATGTGCAATATAGTGACCATAGTTAATAATACTGTATTATTGAAATTTGATAAGAGAGCAGATTTTAAGTGTCCTCACCACCCCCATGGTAACTATGGATGGTGATGGATGATAGATGTGTTAATCAATTTGACTGTGGTAATCATTACACAGTGTATACACATATCAAATCATCATGTTGTACACCTTGAATATAAACAATTTTTGTCAATTAAATATTTTTAAGTAAACAAAAACAAGCAAAACCCCCACAAAGCCACATAACACCAGATATGATAGAAAGAACTAAGGTTGATTAAATGAAGAGGGGCCATGTTCACGGTCTTCATATTTCCATGTTACTAACATAAACCCCTAAAGGCCAGTGAGATTGCTTAAGAATCTGGAAAGAAAAAGAAAATGCTGGAAGTTTGGCAAAGAAATTTTCAGGAAATGTAGCAGGTAGTGGTAATATATTTATTATCTCATTCCCAGAGACCACCCAACAAAAAAGGGGGTGATCAGAGTGTCAGCTCAGGTCCCACGCGTGTTCCTGGAGGGTTGTGCAAGCAAGATACCCCAGACTCTCACGGTTCTTCAGCCCCTATTCCACTGCCACCTCCTCCTGTGTCTCAGCCCAATTCTGTCTCCTCACCATCCTCTACACTGCAGATGCCCCTGCTTCCTTTGTATGATGTAGTGGTTAAGTGCAAGGCTATAGTGTTAGACTACCTAGGATCAAATTCCAGCTCCACAAAAAAATAACAACCTGTGTGACTTCAGGTAAGTAAACTTAACATCTCTTGTGCCTCAGTTTCCTCACCTGTTAAATACTAATACTGGTATATACCTCCTGGGGTTGCTGTCAGGATTAAAAGGGGTAGTATGTAAGGTGGTTAGGAGAATGCCTGGCATATAGTAAGTGCGCCATAATTTTTTTAGCTATTATAATTACCAGGCCACAACAGCAATATTTTATAATGTTAAAGGAACGCGGGCTCTAGAGTCAGTCTACTTGGGTTTGTATCCTAGATTCACTAAATACCGTTGACATTGGGCAAATCGTTTAACATCCTACAGCCTCAATTTCTTAATCTGTAAAATGAGAATAATAGTACCACCTGTCTCCTAGAATTATTGTGAGAATTGTATGACACAATCTATTTAAAATGTTTAGCACCCTGAAGTCTTTCTATGCTGGACTCTCTTGAGACCTAGTATATGCCTTCTGCCAGGTTTGCAAGGAAGGGAAGAGCCGCTAGGTACTTTCTACTTCTAGGCTTGATGATTGCTATTACAGGAGCCAAACAATTTCATTGTCACTTTTCAGAACCTAGAGCTGCTGACTTACTCCCTCAACAGAAGGGTGCTGCTTTAATGCCAATCATTGTTCCTTTTCTTCAAAGTACTTAGTTCATAATTGCACATTTATAAGCCTATTAGATTACTGTACCTCTCCCCCGGAACAGTGCCTGCCACATAATGGGCATCCAATAACCATTTGTTGAATGGACCAACTGGCCATGTGATAGATGAACTGGAACAATTGGCTCCCTCCAGGTCTTCATTGAATTAGCAGTTTGCTGCGAAAGGTGTTCCCAGTGACCTTGAGGTGGAACAGGAATGGAACGTGGAGGTGGAGGACCCCTTCATTCGACCCTAGTCCTGGCTTCCCTCGGGGACGGGGAGGCCAGAGGATCTGGGAAAAACACTGCTCCCTTCACTGAACGCCACTACGTAGCAGAGTCCACCAAAAGAGATAAAGTGACGAAACGTTGAAAGCTGCGGGGCGGGAGGAAGTCGGGGTGAGTGGACCACCCTTTAGGCGGAGTCCTTCCTTAAGCTCCCGCCCGCGGCTCCGAACTGAGTCCTCTCAGCCGCCCGAGGGCGCTGCGCTGAGCCTTACACTCTATGATTGCTCCTACCGACTCCCATGAGGAAGTGCGATCGGGAACCTCCTATATACTTCCGTTTGCCTCGCGGTTTCTTTCTTTCCGCGCCGATAGCGCTCACGCAAGCATGGTAGGACTTGCTGGTGGGGGCCGAGTAACATCCAGCTTAATCTTTCCCCCCCTTCGTCGCCCGTGCTATGCCGGGATGGGTCCAGGCTCCTGTGTGGACTCGATATATCAGAGCAACCCAATCTTGCCGGGATCAACCCTAAAGGGACCGGGCTACGGGGCCAGGAATTGAAGTGATGGGTTCAAAGAGGTAGAGTTAGCCGGGGGTGGAGTTAATGAGGTCTCTTCCCTCTTTGGGGCTCGACGGAGGGAGGAAGCTCTGCTTGAAGCACATGGGGCTGGCCCACCCTGTAGTCAGAGGTAGCAAGTAATGAGGAGTCCTCCTGGAGTGCCTCAGCTTTAGCTGGGTAAGGTAGGGCGTTGTGCCATTGTGGTCAAATAACATTGCACGTTCTGAACTGTTTCTTTACTAGGTTAACGTCCCTAAAACCCGCCGGACTTTCTGTAAGAAGTGTGGCAAGCACCAACCCCATAAAGTGACACAGTACAAGAAGGGCAAGGATTCTCTGTACGCCCAGGGTAAGATGGATTCCGCATAATTTGGTGTTAATGTGACATTTGTGTTGTAGAATAACATACGAGTCCGGGTCTCTCTCCCTCCACGCCTGGCTTGAGCGTTAATATTTCTGCTGCGAAATTAAGATAAAACCTGTAAGACTTACTTGCTGATCTTCAGTATTTTATAACAAATACCAATTCGTTTTCCCAGGAAAGCGGCGTTATGACAGGAAGCAGAGTGGCTATGGTGGGCAAACTAAGCCGATTTTCCGGAAAAAGGTGAGTGGTAGTTACTATTTGACGTTTCCCAGTTAATTGCCGTAAGGATATGCACTTGTCTCTAGTCCACACACTTCATGATATAGGTATAGCGTTAGTTTAGCGAAGTTTTCACTGCACTGATATATCTAGTAGGTGATGGAGCTGGGAATGCAACTCATGTCTGACTAGTCCACAATACTGCACTATTTCAGTGTTTACGATTTTTTATCCTTTCCCTTCTGAAGAGGCAAAAAATTGAGGAATGTGCCCTGCTTTCCTAAGAACTGAAGTGTGAGTACACTGGTAAATCCTTTCATTTGCCTTGTTCCTTATCTGTCAATATGTCTGAATCCTCGCTTGTTGGTTGCACTAAGAATTGTTCTGTTGTTTCTCATCACAGAAATCTGCAGTCAACTACCTGTTCTCGTGAAGTCTTAAAACTCTTATAGAATAGCCATTTAGGCCTTTCTGCTAGCCTCCTGAATTCTGTATTCTCAGGCTGAGCGAGTTTCTGTTTACTCTCAAACCTTAGGTGATTTGGCTAACTCTTAAAGTAATTAGCACGATGATTGGAACGGAGCATTCTCTCCAACACAGCATTTCTTTTGGCACTTTGCTTCTTGTGCAGTTTAGCTCCAGAAAGTATTAAGGAATGACTTTAGTGCTCATTTGGATGCAGTAAGTGGTTTGATCTCAGGGTGGCAAAAAGAATGCTTTTTTTATACCTTTTCACATTCGGATAACTTGTTTAGAAGACAGAGGTTCTAACTAGGTTTTGGCCTATTAAGAACTGCAAACTAGCAGCAGCAGAACTCTGGCTAAAGGGGCAAGCTTATTAGGAAATTGAGTATTTAAAAGTTGAGCTACCATATGATCCAACAATCCCACTGCTGGGTATATACCCAGAAGAAAATCGGTATATCAAAGAGATATCTGCACTCCTATGTTTGTTGTAGCACTGTTTATAATAGCTAAGATTTAGAAGCAACCTTAGTGTCCATCGGGATGAATGGATAAAGAAAATGTACCTATACGCGGCCAGGCACGGTGGCTTGTGCCTAGCACTTTGGAAAGCCGAGGCGGGTGGATCACCTGAGGTCAGGAGTTCGAGACCAGCCTGGCCAAGATAGTGAAACCCCGTCTCTAGTAAAAATACAAAAATTAGCCGGGCTTGTGGTGTGGGCCTGTAATCTCAGCCACCCGGGAGGCTGAGGCAGGAGAATCGCTGGAACCTGGGAGGCAGAGGCTGCAGTGAGCCGAGATCACGCCACTGTACTCCAGCCTGGGCGACAGAGCAAGACTCCATCTCAAAAAAAAAAAAAAAAAAAAGGGAAAAAGAAAATGCACCTATACACAGTGGTACTATTCAGCCATAAAAAGAATGAGATCCAGTCATTTACAACAACATGGGTGGAACTGGAGATCGTTATGTTAAGTGAAATAGGCACACAAAGACAAGCATCACATGTTCTTGTTTGTGGGATCTAAAAATCAAAACAAGTGGACTTGTCATATAGAGAGTAGAAGGATGGTTACCAGAAGCTGAGAACTTCTGGTGGCGGGAGGTGGGGATGGTTAATGGGTACAAAAAGAAAAAAGAATGAATTAGACCAACTATTTGATAGCACGACAGCGTGACTAAAGTCAATAACTTAGTTACATATTTTAAAATAACTTAGAGTGTAATTGGATTGTTTGTACCTCAAAGAAAAAATGCAATAAAACTTTACAGTGGAGAAACCTAACAAGCACTACCTCAGCCAGGTAATCAAGGTTAACATCAACAGTCACGAGTCATGTTGATATATACCCTTGATAAGGTGTGATGAAAATGACACTTAAACCTAAAAATCCATAACCCTATCTAATGAGAAAAATAACAAATCCCAAGAGGGGCATTTTACAAAATACTTGACCAGTAGTGCGGAAATTGTCAAGGTCATCAAAAAAGTCTGAGAAATTGCCACAGCCAAAGGAGTCTAGAGACATGATGACTAAATGTTAGGTGGTGTCCTGCGTGGGGTCCTAGAACAGAAAAAGGACATTAGAAAAACATAAGGAAATAAAAAAAAAGTATGGACTTGAGTTAATAAGGCATCAGTGTTGGTTTGTTAATGAGTCATACTAATGTAAGATGAGAAACTGGTAAGGTTTATAAGAACTCTGTAGCATGTTTGCAATTTTTTGGTAAATAGAAAACTTGTAAACAATAGTTCTGTTGTTTAGGTAAAAGGAGCAATCAAGGCCGTGCGTGGTGGCTCGCGCCTGTAATCCCAGCACTTTGGGAGGCCAAGGCGGGTGTATCACCTGAGGTCAGGGGATCAAGACCAGCCTGTCCAACATGATGAAACCCCCATCTCTAGTAAAAATAAGAAAAAATTAGCTGGGCGTGGTGGTGGGCGCCTGTTATCCCAGCTACTCAGGAGGCTGAAGCAGGAGAATTGTTTGAACCCAGGAGAAGGAGCTGAGATCACGTCATTGCACTCCAGCCTGGGCAACAAGAGCAAAACTCCATCTCAAAAAAAAAAAAAAAGAACAATAAAAAAAGTTGAGGATTAGTGGGGAGTGTAGTTTGAGTTAAATAATTCAGTTGAATGGACATAAATTCTAGACATAATTGTAGGTAGTCTTAGAATTTATTGATCTTTTATAGAGATGGGGTTCTCACTATGTTGCCCAGGCTGGTCTCAAAATCCTGGGCTCAAGTGATCCTGCCTCAGCCTCACAAACTGTTGGGATTAAAGAACTATGCAGAGCTGCTGAATGGCCACAAGTTCAGGGTGGCAAGATGAGTTGCCCATTTGATAGGAAGCTCTAGGATGTTTGATCTGAATGGGGTTTGGATTCAAACTTGATGACAACTGGGTGACATGCCATCTTTGCTATTACCACATTTTCTCTTTATATATATATATTTATATATTATATATTATATATATTTTTATGTTTTTTATATATATTTATATATATAATATATATATATATATTTTTTTTTTTTTTTTGAGATGGAGTCTCTGTTTCCCTGGCTGGAGTGCAGTGGTGCGATCTCTGCTCACTGCAACTTCCGCCCACCTCCCGGGTTCAAGTGATTCTTCTGCCTCAGCCTCCTAAGCAGCTGGGATTATAGACACGTGCCACCATGCCCGGCTGATTTTTTTGTATTTTTAGTAGAGATGGGGTTTCACCATGTTGGTCAGGCTGGTCTTGAACTCCTGACCTCATGATCTGCCTGCCTCGGCCTCCCAAAGTGCTAGGATTACAGGCATGAGCCACTGTGCCCAGCCTTCTCTTTATTTTTTTTAGTCCACAAGTTCTACACATTTTCTCTTAAATTCACTGATTTTTAGATTATTTTCTCCCTATGGCTTAAGAGTATACTGAGTACTATTTAAAGCAAAGCATTGCAAAAGAATAGTTGCCCCACTATTCATTTGCAATGCTTTGCTTTAAATAGTACTTAAAGTAGTCATTTTTGAAGAAAGTGATCTTCTGTAGTTATTTATTAAGGCTTTAATTTAATTTTTTTTCAGGCTAAAACTACAAAGAAGATTGTGCTAAGGCTTGAGTGCGTTGAGCCCAACTGCAGATCTAAGAGAATGCTGGCTATTAAAAGATGCAAGCATTTTGAACTGGGAGGAGATAAGAAGAGAAAGGTATATAATTATGGGTGGAAGGTGCAATCTTTTTCATAGCTTTATTATTTGAAAAGGTGAACATCTATTCATTGTGGCATAGAGCTCAGGGGTAATCCTCTAAAAATATTAGATCTATAGCTAAAGATATGTGAGGTCTTTTGCTACAAGGAGGAAAGGAAGAATGAGGCAGCTTAACAGCATGGTGAGTATTTTAGGAACAGATAATGTTCTTAATGGGGCAGTAGTTCATGGCAAAATACAAAACAACTTTTTTCTGTTCTGTTACAGGGCCAAGTGATCCAGTTCTAAGTGTCATCTTTTATTATGAAGACAATAAAATCTTGAGTTTATGTTCACTTCATTTGTTTGCTGTTCATCTTTTGGGAGGGAATAAGCTAGAGCCATCAATACAATTCCGCTTGTGGGGAAATTTATGCCTCTTACTGGTACTACTTGTTTTGCATTGAAGCTGACTGGTTGAGTTCACATCATATGTTGCAATTTTCTAATTTGGCACTTCAATCACTAGGGGCCTTATGAGGCAGTTTGTCATTATGCAATGGTTATTGGTTATCATGTGAGTAGACACATTTCAGGCTAATAGGGAGAAGTCAGTAACACATTCATAGTGAATATGAGATGTCTTTGCTAAGAGTTAAGTGTCAGATCTTTGTTATAACAGTTAATTTAATAAAGAATTTTGGCATTGTTCTTCAGACACAGTACACTGTAACATATATAACATTGTCTGTGGACTTGGTCTTACACTCTTGAACATTTTGACATTCCCCCTCACATTTTAAAGTAGATATATTTATACCAAAATAACTACAAAGAATAGGTTTTCTAGTGTATGAAACCCCCCAGTGGAGTTTTTTTTTTTTTTTTGAGACAGGGTCTCCCTCTCGTAAGTGCCAGTGGTGTGGATCATAGCTTGCTACAGCTTTGAGCTTGCAGGCTCAAGTGGTCCACCTGCCTCAGCCTCCTGAGTAGCTGGGACTATAGGTGCCTGTTACCATACCTGGCTAATTTTAGTTTTTGTGTTGGGTGTCTCTCTTTGTTACTCAGCTAGTCTGGAACTCCTGGCCTTCAGTGAAACTCCTATCTCAGCATCCCAAGATGTTGGGATTACAGGTGTGAGCCACCAGGTCTGGCCAAACTCCCCGGTGGAAGAATCTTAAGAGACAAAATATCCATTCTTTAAAATGCCTCTTAACAGTTCCAAATTATACATCTTTTTTTTTTTCTTTTTTTGAGATGGAGTGTTGCTCGTTACCTAGGCTGGAGTGCAATTGGTACAACCTCAGCTCACTGCAGCCTCTGCCTCCCAGGTTCAAGTGATTGTCCTGCCTCAGCCTCTGGAGTAGCTGGGATTACAGGTGCCTGCCACCTGCCTGGCTAATTTTTGTATTTTTAGTAGAGAGGGGGTTTCACCATGTTGGCCAGGATGGTCTCCATCTCCTGACCTCGTGATCCGCCCGACTTGGCCTCCCAAAGTGTTGGGATTACAGGCGTGAGACACCGTGCCTGGCCTATACATCCTTCTTAATACATTTCAGTCTTAATGATGTTTAGCTCTTGGTAGTTAAATATGCTACACATTTTGATAATTGGGAGAGAATCTCAACAAGGGGGGTGGGTATCTGGATGAGTAAATATGGGTTTAATAGTTTTATTCCTAAAGTTTAAACTTCGGAAAATTTTATTCAAGGAAATAGAACTTTTTTTTTTGAGATGGAGTCTTGCTCTGTTGCCCAGGCTGGAATGCAGTGGCGTGATCTTGGGTCACTGCACCCCCCCACTTCCCGGGTTCAAGTGATTCTCCTGCCTCAGTCTCCTGAGTAGCTGGGGCTACAGAAGCTCGCCACCATACCTGGCTAATTTTTGTATTTTTAGTAGAGACAGGGCTTTACTATGTTAGCCAGGCTGGTCTTGAAATCCTAACCTCAAGTGATCTGCCTGCCTCAGCTTCCAAAAGTGCTGGGATTCCAGGCATGAGCCACTGTGCCTGGCTTTTTTTTTTTTTTTTGAGATGGAATCTTTGTTGCCCAGGCTGGAGTGAGGTGGCATGATCTCAGCTCAATGCAACCTCCACCTCCCGGGTTCAAGCGATTCTCATGCCTCAGCCCCCAGAGTAGCTGGGACCACAGGCGTGCGCCACCACACCTGGCTAATTTTTATATTTTTATTAGAAATGGGGTTTCACCATGTTGTCCAGGCGGGTCTCAAAGTCCCGACCTCAGGTGATCTGCCCGCCTCAGCCTCCCAAAGTGCTGGGATTACAGGCATGAGCCACCTAGCCTTGAGCTTTTAAAGTGAATGGAGAAAAAGGTGGACAGGAAGTAGTAGTTGGCAATAAAATAAACATTTTAAAGTAAGTCTTTTAATGACATCTGCATTGTATTTTCTAGCTGAAGCAAAACAGTGCCTGTGGGATTTATGTGACTTCTTAACCTTGAAGTCCATTCATAGAACCCTAGCTTCCTTTTCACAGGGAGGAGCTGTGTGATGAAGCAGGCAGGATTACAGGCCACTCCTTTACCCAGGGAAGCAACTGCGATGGTATAAGAGCGAGGTCCACCAATCTCCTGCCGGTTTATCATAGCTACAGCCCAGGCTAAGCCTGAGAGAGGTCGTTCCCACACTTCAAAGTTGTCTCCCTGAAAAACCAAGAAAGTGTGGTTGCTTAGCAACTAGTGATAAGTGGCCCTGTTAGTTTGGCATTCATTCTTAATGTCAGAACTATCAAGCACTTGTAGGAAAAATTAAAATGATCCTGTAGCATTATTTTGGAAATAAAGTAATGTTTCTAGCAAGAAGCTTTATTACTGATAGTAACATCAAGAGCAAGGGAAAAAAATAGATTTAGGCCCAAGACAAAGTTGGTATTGGGTATATAAAGCCATCTTAAAATATATACTCTTATTTACCTGTCTAAGCTGGTACCCTTGCTTGCCCAAGGGGTCCTGATTGATGGCAATTACGTCCTTATCCTGAAGGAGAGCTTTGGCTTGAGGGCTGATGTGTCGGAGGTCATTAGACATGAATAAAGGAGCAGCCATGATAGCCCAGAGGGCCATCTGAGTTACTTGCTGATTCCAGCTGAGGCCAAAGTTGCCAATCACTAACTGAGAAAAAGAATGAAATAATTCAAACAAGAGAGGAGGAAACATTCTTAAAGTTACCTAGATGACCCATATGGAGAAACCACTTTCCACAGCATCCTGCTCTAAGTACTCTCACATAAAGCCTCCTCCCAGGAACTTTACCTGTATTTACCTTGAATGTCAAAATAGGAAACAAGCCTACCGCAGGGTCTTGAACAAGGAGGGCTCAAGTTTTTACCATATCTGGGTCATTCCAACCCCCTGGTCCAGCAACATCAACAATTCTCTCCTGGTTAAAAGATGTCCAGTCCAAGATACTCTTTATACTTTTCCAGGAATCATCAATGTCAGCAAAATTTCGCCAGTGATTGCAGTACTGTCGGATTTCTGTATAATTGGGCTGTGAAAACAGATATGACTCTTCTGTTTACTTTCTACTAACATCCTTGTGAGATGAAAACAGTTTAAAGGAGGCACTTGTAGCCTTCTCTTGAGTTTACAGATTGAACGTCTCCATAAGGAGGTCTAAACCCTTATAATGAATTTTCACTGTAAGAAGTTTGCTTCAGAAGTAGGCCATATAACTTGAAATCCCTTAAAGTTAATTTACTTCTATAATCAGAACTAAAATGGTCTTAGTAAAATTAAAAGCTGCAAAATTACATAGGACTCCATCAAGTATTAAGAAAACTTAAATCCCAGGCATATAGTTTGTTAATGGAATAAAAAGTTTGTAGAGGCTGGGCACGGTGGCTCATGCCTGTAATCCCAGCACTTTGGGAGGCCGAGGCAGGTGGATCATCTGAGGTCAGGAGTTCGAGACAAGCCTGGCCAACATGGTGAAACCATCTCTACTAAAAATACAAAAATTAGCCAGATGTGGTAGCGCACGCCTATAATCCCAGCTACTGGGAGGCTGAGGCAAGAGAATCGCTTAAACCCGGGAGGCGGAGGTTGCAGTGAGCCGAGATGGCGCCACTGCACTCTAGCCTGGGTGACAGTGAGACTCTGTCGCAAAAAAAAAGTTTGTAGATAGGCAGGTGGGATATCAGGTTTAAGATGTTGAGAAAAAAGACTATTTTGCAGAGATAATGAGGGAATAATAGGGATTCATTCCATAAATAACTATTCAACACTTAACCATATGCGAGAGATACAGTCAAAGTCAGACAAGGTCCCTGCCCTCATGAAACTTACACTCTAGTGGGGAGACATGGTAACAAGTCAACAAATACTTCCAAATAGTGTGGAGCTCTGAGAAGAAAATTAAACAGGTTAATGTGATGAAGAATGAATGGACAGAGGGCTATTTTAAAGTAGTTAGAGAAGAACTGTCTGCATATGTGGCGTTTGGTCTGCGACTTCAATGTTAAGGAGCCCGGCCCTTTAAAAATCTTTGGGGAAGAACTGTTCTAGGCAGAAAAAAAGCAAGTGTAAAGGCCCTGGGGCAGCAATAGGCTTGCAGTGTTGAGGGACAGAAAGAAAACCAGTGTAGCCAGGGAAAGAGCCATGACCCCTTGGACTTTGGGGAGGCAGGCAAGGGCTGGATCAGTGCAGTTTGGTTTCATTCCAAGTGCAATTGGAAGCGAGTTAAGGGTTTTAAGCAGGGAACTGATGATGACATTTATATTTTTTATAACTCTGTTAAGTCTCAGGGTTTTTTTCTTTAAAAAAAAAACTGATATTTACATTTTAATATGATAACTCTAGTGCTGCTTGGAAAATAGATGGGGGTTGAGACAGAGTGGAAGCAGAGAGATCAGGTGGTCCCAGCAGTCTGGTTGAGAGCCGATAGTAGCTTGGAAGGCCAGGGTGCATGTAGTGAAGATGGAAGGAAGTGGGCTGATTCAGGAGATATTTTAGAGATACTGGTGGAAGGACTGTTGATAGACAGGACATGAATGGTGAAATAAAGGGGAAGACACAAGGATGACTTTCCAGGTGATGGTAGCTTAGGCTATAATTACAGCAGTGGGGATGGTGAGAAGTGGTTGGAACCTGGGAGAGATGGTAGGATGATAGTAAGTAACGTTGGACTTTGAAGGAGACCTTGGTTTCCTTTGTTGTCAAGTTCTATCTATCAGTACAGTTCTATTGGATTCTGGGCTCACTATCTCACCTTTTGAAAGGGCCACATATAAAGAGGCCACTCACAGGAGTACACAATGCTTCTGCCAGTCCTATTCAGGGCCAAGGACATGTGCTTATAACCTGTATGAGAAAACAATGGGTAAAATAAGGGAAAGAAATGAATTTCCAGCTGGGGCTATATATATAGTTATTTTATTTTATTTTATTTTAATTTTTTGAGATGGGGTTCAGTCTGTCATCCAGGGTGGAGTGCAGTGGTGCGATCTTGGCTCACTGCAACCTCTGTTTCCCAGGTTCAAGTGACTCTTCTGTCTCAGCTTCCCAAGTAGCTGGGATTACAGGCATGTGCCACCAAAGTCAGCTAATTTTTGTATTTTTACTAGAGATGGGGTTTCACCATGTTGGCCAGGGTGGTCTCGAACTCCTGACCTCAAGTAATCCACCCGCCTCAGCCTCCCAAAGTGCTAGGATTACAGGCATGAGCCATCATGCCCAGCTGGGGCTGTATATTTTAAGAAGAGGCTACCTGGAAGGTTCATGTTTAAACTAGCAGCAGGGACAGGCAGTTGCTCTGTGCTTAAATTGTGTAAAGTACCTCCCAGACTGCTGGGATTGTTCTGAGGAAGTAGTGCAGAGATGGTGTGTATATTGAGGAAAGGCAGGAATGAAGATGCTTCTTTCTCTGTGACCGATTGACAACCTGGACTCCCCTAAATGATGTTATAGAGAGTTACAATTACTAATTAACTCTTAGAGCCCTCTTGAATTATAAGTGCACAATATTAGCTATGGTTAGGTATGCATGGATTTTACATGAATTAATTAATTAATTAATGAACTGAAAGAGAAGAGATGGGAGCTCTGGCACATGGAGAATAATTATTTCCAGTATTGTGACAGGGTATTTAAAATTCTGAAGATTGGTTCTTTGGCTCAGCTACCATGGCCTCAAAGTTCTTTCCTTTGTGGCTAAATCTCTGGAATGAAACATTACCATCTGCCAAATTTTCCAAACTGTCACAGTAACAACCATCAAATTTTAGCAGATCTACTCCCCAGTCAGCAAAGGTCTGGGCATCAATGTCGTAGTATCCAAAACTCCCAGGGAAGCCTGCGCAGGTTTTATTTCCAACATCTGCATAAATCCCTAGCTTCAGTCCTTTGCTGTGAACCTGAAATGAGAGGGAGGAAAAGAGTCACCATTGTAGAAGCACAATCGTGAGGTAGCAGAAAGAGAGAACCATTCCAGGCTGGGGGAAGAGACAAGGTTACTTCACCAGGTATTGGGGGCTTTTCCCCACAAACCCCCAAAATCATCCAGATGAGTTTGTTGGAAGACAAAGAATAAATCCCCCAGTTCTGCTGAGCTAGTTCAAACTAGGCATGTGAGCTATAGCCCAGAACTGAGGAGAAAGCTAGCAGCCATGCTAATCTTCCTGATGGGATCCTGAAAATTACCTTTTGAGGGAAATGATAGATTTACCTTGACAAAGACTCTTCTTGACCAAACTTTAGTTAGACTTCTCTGATGAGCCTTCTTTTCGACTAGACCTCCACCTTGGCTTCCTATGTCTGTCCTAGCAAGACCTCTTAGCAAGAATCCTGCTAAGTCAATACTGCCACCATTGATATCTGATCAATTTCCCTCATCCCCCACCCTTCTTGTTTAAGTACATGAAGCTTTAGCAAGAAGCTCCCTACCCTTGATGTCTTCTTAAATATTCCATCCACTGACCCCCTCAATCTGCTCATTGGCTATAAATCTCCACCTGTCTTTGTTGTATTTGGAATTGAACTTGGCTCTTTCCTCTACTGTGGTAGTACTGAATAAAATCTGTCTTCATCGGCCGGGCGTGGTGGCTCATGCCTGTAATCCCAGCACTTTGGGAGGCCAAGGTGGGCGGATTACAAGGTCAGGAGTTCGAGACCAGCCTGGCGAATATGGTGAAACCTTGTCTCTACTAAAAATACAAAAATTAGCCGGGCGTGGTGGTGTGCGCCTGTAGTCCCAGCTACTTGGGAGGCTGAGGCAGGAGAATCACTTGAACCCAAGAGGTGGAGGGTTGCAGTGAGCTGAGATTGTGCCACTGCACTCCAGCCTGGGCGACAGAGCGAGACTCCGTCAAAAAAAAAAATCTGTCTTCATCATCTTTAACTAGTGTTGGACTCCATTTCTCTTCAATGATCTCCAGAATATTTTCCTTCTATCTTCTAAAATTCTAGTTTATAGTACCATTGCAATAGCTTCCTAAAGGTTATATGGAAATACATGCACACATATGTCAAGAACCAAGTTCCTTTTTCCTCCTAGAGAGTTCAGTGGTTTTAGCAAAAGGAGAACTCCAAGATGGGCCTCAAGAGCTATTACAAAACATTTGTAGGCTAGGCGCGGTGGCTCATGCCTGTAATCCCAGCACTTTGGGAGGCCGAGGTGGGCGGATCACGAGGTCAGGAGATCGAGACCATCTTGGCTAACATGGTGAAACCCCGTCTCTACTAAAAATACAAAAAATTAACTGGGCATGGTGGCGGGTGCCTGTGGTCCCAGCTACTTGGGAGGCTGAGGCAGGAGAATGGCATGAACCCAGGAGGTGGAGCTTGCAGTGAGCCGAGATCGCACCACTGCCCTCCAGCCTGGGAGACAGAATGAGACTCCATCTCAAAAAAAAAAAAAAAAAAAAATTGTCTGCTGATGGAATGCAAAGTCCACCTGATAAGCCTTACAATTCAATGTTCAGATAACAGCCAGCTATTCTACTTTCTAAGTGTCATGAGGGCTGTTTCTTTTTTTCCTTGTTTTTTTTTTTGAGATGGAGTTTCTCTTTTGTTGCCCAGGCTAGAGTGCAATGGCGTGATCTCAGCTCACTGAAACTTCCACCTCCTGGGTTCAAGCGATTCTCCTGCCTCAGCCTCCCAAGTAGCTGGGGTTACAGGCGTTCACCACCATGCCCAGCTAATTTTTTGTACTTTTAATAGAGTTGGGGTTTCACCATGTTGGCCAGGCTGGTCTTGAACTCTTGACCTCAGGTGATCCACCCGCCTCGGCCTCCCAAAGTGTTGGGATTACAGGCGTGAGCCACCACGCCCGGCCATGAGGGCTGTTTCTAAACAAGCTTCTGTACAGAAGTGCTTACAGTCCTCTGAATGAACAAGAACATTATCTATAAACTCACATAATTAGCTAGCTGGCGAATCCCATGAGGAAAGCGCTGAGGGTCTGCCTGAAGTCTGCCTTCTGAATCTCTTTGGGGAGCCATCCAACAGTCATCAATGCAGAGGTACTCATAACCTGCATCCTTCCAGCCTTCTGAGACCATGAGCTCTGCCATCTCCATGAAGAGCTTCTCACTGAAAGAGAAATTCCAATAATCATTACAATTCATTAAATGAACACTTAGGTACCTCCCATTTATTAGGCACCTTGGGATTTCACAATTTTTTCCAACCCAGTAATAGTGTGGTAGTAATCACAAGCAATGTAAGGTAAAATGAATTGTTTTTCCAGATTTTCTTTTGTCTCTCTTATCCCGTTAATATTCCCGCCCTAAAAACCCCAAACAAAATAGGAATGAGAAATATATGATGAAATTGAAAAGAGTATTAGATCTAAGAAGACAGTTCAGTAAAGTCAGAAACTACAAAGTTAACATAATCAACAGATATCAACAATAATCCTATTTGGAGAAAAAGATCCCATTCACAAGAACAACTGAACAACCTAAAATGCCTAGAGATAAATTTAAGATACGTGCAAGGCCCATATGTTAAAACTATGATGCTCCTAAATGATTTGAATAAATGGAGAAATATTATTTTGCTCTTGGATAAGCATACTCAATATTAAAAATAAGTTAATTTTCCCTGCAATCCTTTGTATATTTAACAAAATCCTTAACAAAGCCCAAGAGTACTTAGGTTTCCTTTTTATCTTTTTTTTTTTTTTTTTTTTTGAGATGGAGTCTCCCTCTGTCACCCAGGCTGGAGTGCAGTGGCGCCATCTTGGCTCACTGCAACCTCTGCCTCCCCGGTTCAAGCGATTCTTCTACCTCAGCCTCCCGAGTAGCTGAGATTACAGGCATGTGCCATCGCATCCGGCTAATTTTTGTATCTTTAGTAGAGACAGGGTTTTGCATTTTGGCTAGGCTAGTCTTGAACTCCTGGCCTCAAGTGATCCACCTGCCTCAGACTCCCAAAATGCTGGGATTACAGGCGTGGGCCACCTGCCCAGCTTCCAAAAGGGCTTTTTAAGGAACTTGGCACAACATTACAAAAAGTTCACCTAAAAGATTACATACATGTACATTCATTAAAAGATGAAGGCTGGGCGTGGTGGCTCACGCCTGTAATAACAGCATTTTGGGAGGCCGAGGCAGGCAGATCACCTGAGGCTGGGAGTTTGAGACCAGCCTGACCAACATGGAGAAACCCCATCTCTACTAAAAATACAAAATAGCTAGGCGTGGTGGCGCATGCCTGTAATTCCAGCTACTCGCGAGGATGAGGCAGGAGAATTGCTTGAACCTGGGAGGCGGAGGTTGCGGTGAACCGAGATCGTGACATTGTACTCCAGCCTGGGCAACAAGAGCGAAACTCCAGCTCAAAAAAAAAAAAAAAAAGAAAAAAAAGATAAAGGAAGCTAGTGTGGAACTATTAGCATTAGAATAAGAATACACAGATTAATGGAATTAAACAAAGTTTCGAAAGAGGTCCTTCCAGCCATCTGATACCATGGGACTTATTATTTATTAAATGTGGCATTTCTGATAGAAGAACAAAGTTCAGATGGACTAAAGATTTAAATATTTTAAAAATCCACAAAAATACTAGTAAGAAACGTATATACTGTATTATCTTCAGGTAGGAAAGGACTTTCTCAGCATGACCCCAAAGTCAGAAATCAGAAAGGAAAAACTGATGTGTTTGATTACATAAATATCAAAACCAACACATAGGAAGAACCACTGTATTTGCAAGGTATGATAGACTAAAAAAGAAAAAAGAGGCCGGGTGCGGTGGCTCACACCTGTAATCCCAGCACTCTGGGAGGCCAAGGCGGGCAGATCACTTGAGGCCAGGAGTTCGAGACCAGCTTGGGCAACATGGTGAAACCCGTCTCTACTGAAAATACAAAAATTAGCTGGCCGTGGTGGTGTGCCTGTAATCCCAGCTACTCAGGAGACTACGACAGGAGAACTGCTTAAACCCGGGAGGTGGAGTTTGCACTGAGCAGAGATCGCGCCACTGCACTCCAACCTGGGTGACAGAGTGAGACCCCCTCTCAAAAAAAAAAGTAAGGCTGGGCACGGTGGCTCACACCAGCACTTTGGGAGGCTGAGGCGGGCGAATCACGAGGTCAGGAGATTGAGACCACCCTGGCTAACATGGTGAAACCCCGTCTGTACTAAAAAAAAAAAAAAAAAAAAAAAGAGCCAGGCGTGGTGGCAGGCGCCTGTAGTCCCAGCTACTCGGGAGGCTGAGGCAGAAGAATGGCGTGAACCCAGGAGGCGGAGCTTGCAGTGAGCCGAGATCGTGCCACTGCACTCCAGCCTGGGCGACAGAGCGAGACCCCGTCTCAAAAAAAAAAAAAAAAAAAAAGTGTAATTTACCCAATGTCACAGGGCTAAGTAACAATGAGGCAGAATTTGAGCCCAGACTGGGTGCCAGGGTCTTGCCATTAGCCAAACATGACATAAACATGATCCATTTTTTATGGAAAATAATGAAATAAAGAAATCTATGTTTTCATTTATATAGAAAACAATTGTAAGGTTGTATATTAACATTTAAACCATGATTATTTCTGGGTGGTGGAACGGTGGGGGGAAATCTTTATTTTCATTTTGCTCTTCTTTATCTACATTTTTTGCAATGATCATGCATTAGTTTTATAATCAGATGCAAATACCAATAAAAAAAAATCCGTGATGGGCAAAATTGCCACACATACTGTACCACAGGGTCACATGAAACTTACAAGGCCAATTTCTTCTGTGATGTCTGACCAACATCCTGACTTTATCTATAAAGATATTCATAGGAATAACTTATGGACACAGAAATGTACTGTGACTGCCACCTTTTACCAACATCTATCAGTGATTCCTAACCTTTTTTAAATCACAGAGCCCTTTGAGAATTTGAAGAAAGGTAAATATCCTCTCTCCAGAAAAATACACATATTCATTCAGATTTGTAGATTTACATTCATTTTCCCATTGAACATTTGCTCTGTAAGCGCAGTTGAATGGTCAAGCGCTGTGCTATGTACTTTAAATAGGTTATCTCCTTGAAAACTCACCTGTGTGAGATAAGAACTATTTTTCAGATTTTTTTTGTCAGCTCCCTGAAATTAAAAGGTTGTAATCCCAATTTACAGATAAGGATTGTGAGGGTCAGATATGTTCAATACCTATCTAATCCAGCCTCAACCCTCACGCAAAGGTGTAAATGTATAAAGTTCCTCCATGTCAACCTTCCAGCCTGATGCCACGCTCATGGGCGAGGTGGGAGAGATCTCAGCGACCTTATGGTCTCTCTAACTCCCTCGAGATACTGCCGAGAAATCCACGACCCCAAAAGGAGAAAAAATGGCACGAATCTTAGTTCCCCATTCCTCCTACCCACCCTAGATGTTCTAACGGTTAGCACCCGGCAGAGGAAGAGCAGAAGTTCACAAGAAGGGTCTGAATAGAACCGGGCAGGGCTACTTTGGGCACACTGCCTATGGGGTGGCCCTGCTCTGCAAGGAGCAGTGAAAAAAGAGAACCGGGCAGGGAGAGAGAGAAAGAGAGAGGAAAGAAGAGAAAGAGAAAGAGAAGGAGAACGAGAGAGAGAGAGAGAGAGAAAGAAACAGGGGCCGCTGGCCGGACTCCCATCCCAGGAAAGGTCACACAGAGAAAGTTTAGGGCTAGTCCTGATTCGGGACAGTTTGCTGGGGATAAAAAAGCAGCAGCAGAGTCGGGTGGGGGAGCTCTCCCTCGGGCTCAACTGTTCCCGTTGAGACTCTCCAGTTCCCCAAACACACCCAAACACATGGAAAAGCAAAGGGAAGGGAGTACCCAATATCTGATACCTGATGCAGGAATCTGGCTCTTCCTGGCAGTCAAGGTTGCACATGAAGCGCTCCCAGTGCAGCCAGCCCATGGTAGGCGTCCTTGCCAATCCATTGTCCAGTGCTCTAGCCCCAGGGATGTCCCAGGAAACGAGGGCCAGGAAGCGAAGCGCAAGCGCGCAGCCCAGATGTAGTTCTGGGTTCCTCAGCTGCATTGTCACGGTGACCGGACAGCATAAATTTCCGCGGGTAACCTGGGCTTTTAAGATTAACCTCAGGGGCGGACCAATCACCGATGACTTATTAAATAATGACGTTATTGTTTCTCTGGCAACTGGGACGGTTATCCCCAGAGGTAGACCAATAATCAGTCACGTAAGACGTTCCGCTAACCAATCACCCTCTTCCTTTCTTGATATTGACCCGCCCTATTTCCATACCAGAAGGAAGTGCGGCACCTTAGTGATCCCGAGTTTAAGCCGAGAGTTGCTCACGTGACCGAGATCTCACATGACGTAGGCGCTCACGTGATTACTCGCTTACGTGAGCAGAAGTAGTTCTGGTCGTCGTCTACCGTCTCGCTATAGCCGTTTGAGGGAAGAAGGAGGAAAATTACCCGGTATCGTTAGAGGTTGGTGTGTGGGTGGGAACTGGGGACCCAGGGGTGGTGATGATGAAGACCAGAGCGGGGTTCGGGGGCCGCCTCCGCCTCTTTCGTTCTCTGCTTTCCCCTCCCCCCTCGCGCTCTCTCCCTCCTCCCCCCCATCTCAGTGCCGGGAAGCCGCCTGTGCTGCGCCTGGTGGGGAAATGGTGGACGCTCATGACTGTGTATGTGTTTTTGTATATCTGTCTGTCTGGGCCGGTCTCGGGGGACCCCTAAGGGTGACCGTAAGGCGAAAAACGTTTGAAAACCACGGCCCTGAGTTAAGAAAAACAGATACTGAAAATAGTGGTCTGAGTGCTGGTCTATCCATTCAGGCACTCAGTCTCCACTGCCTGATTGTCTGTAAGGGGAGGCCCCAAGTGAATTTTATCTGTAGAGTCACATCTAGGCAAATGCGTGCTTGACAAAGGCGCCCAATAAATTACTTTACTGAATAGAGTATTTGAATAATGTTTATTTTTCTGCTGATAACAACAATCTACATATTCAATTTCGAACATTTGAAAAATAACAATATAGTATAAAATTTAAAAATACACATAATTCACCACCCGGAGACGACTGCTCAACCTGATGTCGTTACAGTTTTTTAAAAAATGTGTATAACACACATATAAATACACAAATTCTTAACTCACAAAGAGTCCTGGTTCCCACTTTAGCCAGCAGTCCTGATGGCCTTCCCAGGAGACGCAGTAATGAAGTAGAACCTCTCTGCCCCTACAGAAGGGCTCTTAAGGAATAGAGCGGTGCAGGGAATTAAATGGGACGGGTTATCCCAGGGATAAGGCAAGCAAAAAAAAAAAAAAAAATCCTGCAAAATGAAATAAAAAAACAGCTTGTAAATCTGTCACTGAGACCTTAGGATGGTTAATAGGAAAACTGTTATCACTGCAGATGCAGTGTGCTAGGCACATAATCGGCAATCAGTAAATGTTTGTTAAATCGTTTCCTCAGTGTAGTTTTATGGCCGTTATTACACTTTGTACTTTGTTTCCAAGAGGCCCAGTGCTCCCAGACCATTTCAGATAAACCATCCACATACAAAATTAGAAAATTTTATAAAATTTCCTATACCAAATCCCAGAAATGCAAACATTTTAATTTGTTTTATGTTACTTTTTTTGCTGAAGTAAAAGTAATTATTTCTGTAGAAATTTAAGGCTGCATAAAAAAATTGGAAAAATAACATGGAAAATCCATAAACCTCCCACTCAGAGTAACCACTAATATGTTCTTTCTAACTTAAAAAGAAAAAATCCCAGTACAGCAAATGTAAAGAATTAAAACTGTATAGAAGTATATAGGGTAAAAAGCGAAAAGCCCACTTCACCCCCCCACCCTTCAGTTCTCTCAAAAACAAGTTTGCTTCCAGATCTTTTATTTATTTACATACGTATATACATGCATGCCAATCTTTTACTATAAGTAGGATCATACTATGTATATTCTTTTATTTAATGTATTTTGGAGATCTTTCTGGGTCAAGGCAGATAGATTTTTTTTAAATGGCTGCATTGCATTCCAGTTTAAGGATAAAGTATAATTCATTCAGCCATTCCTCTAATGATGGCTATTTAGGTTTCCAATTTTCTGCCATTACTAACAGTGCTGCAAGGAACATTTGTAAGTATTTCTGTTGACTAGATTCCTGGAAGGATTCTAGCAGTGTCAAAGGGTATGGGAACATGTATTTTGTACACAGTTGATATTGTAAAGCAGTTGTGCTCTTGGGTCACTTACAATTATAGCATAAGTAATTTCTCATGTTATTAAATATTTTTGTAACTTTTAAAATTAAATGCATAATATTCGTTTTCTTAATAAAGTACTTTTCAAAGAATATATAGCTCCATAAATCTGTCTGAATTTCAGATCATCTCCTTAGGGCACATAACTGAAATGTATTTGCTGTCAAAAGGCGTGATACATATTATCAAATTGCTTTCAGGATATAGTGGGGTTTATCAAAAAGGAAATAGTTTATATCAATTATCACTCTTCTGGTAGTGTATTAGTTTGTGAACTGCATAGCACTGATTTACTGTTGCTGTTTAATTTCCATTATCTTGATGGGTGAAAAATAACGATTAGTTCTGATTTTAACTTGCTGGAAGATTGATTAAATTTGAACATTTCCCAGATTCCTCTCCTGTATCCTCCTATACCTGTATTCTCTCATACTTAATCTGTTATCAAGTCCCGCAGATTCCACTTTTTTTGGTATGTGTAGATACATCTTTTCTCCATTTTACTCCTGTTGCCTTAGGCGATTCCTTTAACATATATTTATGAGACAAGTTCTAACTAATCTCCCTAGTTCCACGTCGACCCCCTTCTGTTTGAGTGCCACGCTGTTGCCAGGGTGATCTGTCTGAAAGAGTTTTGGTGAAGTCACCCTACATACTCCCCGGTTTAAAAGTCTTAAAAGGCGCTTAGTGTTTGTATATCAAAGTCTTTGGGATCTGATCTATGCCTTGCCAGTCTTTTCACTTGCTTTTCCCTCTCCTATTTGTGCTTCATCATAATTAAGAAAAAAAAATGTTTATGGATCCCTGGGCAGATTAGTCTGTTTCATTTAACCATTTGGCCTCCAACCAATAGAACTGATCAACTAGTCCCTCTTTGATACTATGCTTACACTCCACTCAGAGGGTCATGGCAAGTATAATGTATATTTGCATTTACATCTTTAATAATGACATTCGGTGCTCCTGTAGGACCATAAGCCCATTCTGGGCTTATTGATTCTTGTATGCCAGAGCCGAATATTGGACATGGCAACTAAAAAATGTTTCTAAAATGAATGTGTGAATTCCCAATAATGTCTTTTTTTCATTTATCTCTGGAGCCCAAATATTTCCCTGATTTTATTGATTTGCATACATTTTTATATAATGAAGATATTATATAAAGAACTTACATAACCTGTGTTTTGTTTGTGTTTTAATTGTTGTTTAATCTTTTGATCTAGTGAAGTTTTTTATGTTTATATATTCAGATATAGCCATCTTTTATTTGTTGACATCTCCCACTGATTTGTTGCTGTTAATTTTTTTTTTTTTTTTTTTTTTTTTTTTGAGACGGAGTTTTGCTCTGGTCGCTGAGGCTGGAGTGCAGTGGCGTGATCTTGGCTCACCTCCACCTCCTGGGTACATAAAAGCGATTTTCCTGCCTCAGCCTCCCGAGTAGCTGGGATTACAGGCACCTGCCACCACGCCCAGCCAATTTTTTGTATTTTTAGTAGAGACGGGGTTTCACCATGTTGACCAGGCTGGTCTCGAACTGCTGACCTCAGGTGATACACCCACCTCAGCCTCCCAAAGTGCTGGGATTACAGGCGTGAGCCACCGCACCCGGCCGATTGCTGTTAATTTTTAATGGTATCTAACACGTAATAGGCATTGAATAAATAACTGCTAAAAAATGAATGAGTTAAAAATTTGGTGAACTCTCTGTTTATACAGACGTCTTACAGAAAAGCTGTCAGCATAATTGAATTTTCTATTAATAGTTTGCTTTTTTCTCTTACTATATCACGAGCATTTTTCCATGACAGTAGTCTTCTTTTTTTTTTTTTCAGCTACACCAAAATTGCATTGAGCCAAACTTGCCACCAAGAGCCCAACAATCACCATGATGCTGAGCACGGAAGGCAGGGAGGGGTTCGTGGTGAAGGTCAGGGGCCTACCCTGGTCCTGCTCAGCCGATGAAGTGATGCGCTTCTTCTCTGATTGCAAGATCCAAAATGGCACATCAGGTATTCGTTTCATCTACACCAGAGAAGGCAGACCAAGTGGTGAAGCATTTGTTGAACTTGAATCTGAAGAGGAAGTGAAATTGGCTTTGAAGAAGGACAGAGAAACCATGGGACACAGATACGTTGAAGTATTCAAGTCTAACAGTGTTGAAATGGATTGGGTGTTGAAGCATACAGGTCCGAATAGCCCTGATACTGCCAACGATGGCTTCGTCCGGCTTAGAGGACTCCCATTTGGCTGTAGCAAGGAAGAGATTGTTCAGTTCTTTTCAGGGTTGGAAATTGTGCCAAATGGGATGACACTGCCAGTGGACTTTCAGGGGCGAAGCACAGGGGAAGCCTTTGTGCAGTTTGCTTCACAGGAGATAGCTGAGAAGGCCTTAAAGAAACACAAGGAAAGAATAGGGCACAGGTACATTGAGATCTTCAAGAGTAGCCGAGCTGAAGTTCGAACCCACTATGATCCCCCTCGAAAGCTCATGGCTATGCAGCGGCCAGGTCCCTATGATAGGCCGGGGGCTGGCAGAGGGTATAATAGCATTGGCAGAGGAGCTGGGTTTGAAAGGATGAGGCGTGGTGCCTATGGTGGAGGGTATGGAGGCTATGATGACTATGGTGGCTATAATGATGGATATGGCTTTGGGTCTGATAGATTTGGAAGAGACCTCAATTACTGTTTTTCAGGAATGTCTGATCATAGATACGGAGATGGTGGGTCCAGTTTCCAGAGCACCACAGGGCACTGTGTACACATGAGGGGGTTACCTTACAGAGCCACTGAGAATGATATTTATAATTTCTTCTCACCTCTTAATCCCATGAGAGTACATATTGAAATTGGACCCGATGGCAGAGTTACCGGTGAGGCAGATGTTGAATTTGCTACTCATGAAGATGCTGTGGCAGCTATGGCAAAAGACAAAGCTAATATGCAACACAGATATGTGGAGCTCTTCTTAAATTCTACTGCAGGAACAAGTGGGGGTGCTTACGATCACAGCTATGTAGAACTTTTTTTGAATTCTACAGCAGGGGCAAGTGGTGGCGCTTATGGTAGCCAAATGATGGGAGGGATGGGCTTATCCAACCAGTCTAGTTATGGAGGTCCTGCTAGCCAGCAGCTGAGTGGTGGTTATGGAGGTGGTTATGGTGGTCAGAGCAGTATGAGTGGATATGACCAAGTTCTGCAGGAAAACTCCAGTGACTATCAGTCAAACCTTGCTTAGGTAGAGAAGGAGCACTAAATAGCTACTCCAGATATAAAAGCTGTACATTTGTGGGAGTTGAATAGAATGGGAGGGATGTTTAGTATATCCAGTATGATTGGTAAATGGGAAATATAATTGATTCTGATCACTCTTGGTCAGCTTCTCTTTCTTTATCTTTCTTTCTCCTTTTTTAAGAAAACGAGTTAAGTTTAACAGTTTTGCATTACAGGCTTGTGATTCATGCTTACTGTAAAGTGGAAGTTGAGATTATTTTAAAACTTCAAGCTCAGTAATTTTGAACACTGAAACATTCATCTAGGACATAATAACAAAGTTCAGTATTGACCATAACTGTTAAAACAATTTTTAGCTTTCCTCAAGTTAGTTATGTTGTAGGAGTGTACCTAAGCAGTAAGCGTATTTAGGTTAATGCAGTTTCACTTATGTTAAATGTTGCTCTTATACCACAAATACATTGAAAACTTCGGATGCATGTTGAGAAACATGCCTTTCTGTAAAACTCAAATATAGGAGCTGTGTCTACGATTCAAAGTGAAAACATTTGGCATGTTTGTTAATTCTAGCTTTTTGGTTTAATATCCTGTAAGGCACGTGAGTGTACACTTTTTTTTTTTTTAAGGATACGGGACAATTTTAAGATGTAATACCAATACTTTAGAAGTTTGGTCGTGTCGTTTGTATGAAAATCTGAGGCTTTGGTTTAAATCTTTCCTTGTATTGTGATTTCCATTTAGATGTATTGTACTAAGTGAAACTTGTTAAATAAATCTTCCTTTTAAAAACTGGAAAAAATCTTGAACTGATTGATTTTTATTATGTTCTGTCATATGGGCACACTGATTGACTTTACAATTCCCTCAAAGTTAAGATTTTTAATTTTAAAATTATAAATGATATTTAGCATCTTTATATGTTCATTGTTGCATATATCATTAATTATTTCTAAGATATATCCCTAGAAATGGGATTGCTGAGTCAAAGATATACTCATTTTTAAGGCTTCTGATTTGTGTTACCAGAAAGATTCTGGTACTTTATCTTTCTACTTGGAGTGTGTGTTTTATTTTCCCCCTTATACCCTCCTTATTGATGCACATTATTCTTTTTGAACTTTGCCAGTTTTTTAGTTGAGAAATGATATCTCATTGCTATTTTAATTTGTATTTTTTTGATTAATATTAAAGTTGTACATTCTTTTTTAAAAAAAACTTACCATGTCTACAGGACTATTGAGCTACTTTTGGAGACTGTACTTACCAAGATAGTATTCTCTAAAATCCAAAGAAGTGAAAGCAAATAAATAATCCTTTTTATTTCACCACAAACTAGAAGGCACGTTTGTATGTTTAAAAAGAAGTAGGCTTACAATTATGTGTTAAAAACAAAACATAAAAAAGAAGCAGGTTTATGTTATGGAAATAAATTGTCTCCTCCATGAATTCATTAGTAGATTCTCTATAAACACTCTCAGGTGTATTTTAGGGCATCTAAAGCTTATCTTAAACCAGCGGTTCTCAAACATTCATGTGCATCAGAATCATCTGCAGGGGTTGTTTAAACATTCATTTCTAGGCCCCATCCCTAGAGTTTCCAATTCAGTAGTTTTGGGATGTTGCTTGAGAATGTGCTGATGCTGCTGGTCTCAAGACCACGTTTTGAGACCCATCACAGTTCCCCAAACAGCAACTTTAAGGAGCAGCTTCCTTTATGATCCCTGATTGCCTCCCCTTTGTTCCCATAACAAGTAGTTTAAATTTTCTGTTAAAGTCCAAACCACATATTTACAATACCTCGCACCTCTTAATGAGGATTTTGAGCTGCTGTGGCATTGTGTGCTGATATCTTAGATTTCTGTCTGGATCACAGTGGTCATTAACAATTCCACCCCTCAATAACTTTAAGGCCCTGATGTCCCTCTTATCAGTACCAACTGTACCGTGAACTACAGATCTCTGTAGTTTCACTGACCCCTTGGGGACTGGATTGCTATACTTGGGCTGTTCAGGGCTTGGGGCCCAGAGAAATGAGATGGGAGGCAAATACCAAGTTGGTATTACCTGACTCCGTTTCATTCAGGAAATGAAAATCAATTCTAGAAAATCATTCAAGCTGAAGATGCAGTGAGACGTGATTGAGATTCTTTGATGACTTCTAATTTTTATCACAGCTTTCAGGAGAGCAAGAAATCCATTTTGACTCCTATCATGTTGAGCCAGTCCTTGCCCTTCAGGAAGCCTTTCTCAGAGGGTAAACAAGTAGGTGTTTTTGCCTTCCCAGGCTACTTAGTTAATTTTCCAGAAGTTTCTCTAAGTCTGAGCAAAGATTCTCAAGTTAGCCACTAGATGGCACCAAATCCCAGGAGACAATAGAGGGTTCTTTGTGATCTTAGATGTTCACTTACTCTTCTTCGCTGGCTAAGAAGACTCAGAAGGGCTCTGGGGAGCAAAGGAGAGAGAACCTGGAGAAGGTCAGCGGTCAGCACTAGAGGTGTGCAAAGGGACAGCAGTACAGCTGGTGTGCACACGCGTGCACACCCACCACCATTCGTGCTCCAACACTCACATCTAACACTACTACCCAGGAAAGTGATGGGAGGTCGAGTGGGCAGTCCACCCACAACACCCCCCAAACACTGAGTCAGAGGATTTATTTTCAACTGCGTGTGTGAGCTATTTGGCAGGATCAGGCAGAAAATTTGCAGCCACAGTTATCGTGGTCTAAGTATCCGATGGCTTGTGCCAGTGGTTCTCTGGGTGTGGTACCTGATCAGTAACAGCATGAACCTCCACCTTGTGAGATATGCAGATTCTTTTTGCCCCCCCGCCCCCCGCCTCGTCCCTTTCCCCCAAGGACTGAATCAGAAACTGGGTGTGGAGCCCAACAAGTTGTGTTTTGTTTTTTGTGTTTTTCTGAGACAGGGTCTCGCTCTTGCCCAGGCTGGAGTGCGGTGGTGCGATCTCAGCTCACTGCAGCCTTGAATTCCAGGCTCAAGTGATACTCCCACCTCAGCCTCTCGAGTAGCTGGGACTACAGGCGAGTGCCACCAAGCCCAGTTATTTTTTAAAATGATTTTTATAGAGACGGGATCTCACTATGTTGCCTAGGCTGGTCTCGAACTCCTAGGCTCAAGAGATCCTCCTGCCTTGGCCTCTCAAAGTGCTGGGATTACAGGTGTGAACCTCTGTCCAGCCAATAAGCTGTGTTTTAACAAGTGCTCAGGGTGGTTCTGCTGCAGGAAACTACTGGCTGATGGATACATGGATTCCATTATCCACCCATTCATTGATTCCTGCATTCACTCATCCAACCCTAAAGGAGGTAACCAAAACAGAGACAATCCCATGTGTAAGCATGACATATCTTCTCTGCCTTCTCTACCCAGCAAAATGATACGAAAATGCATTGCGAATATGTTTATAAATCAAGCTCCTTTTCCATCAGGTAGAATTCCTAGTGCTGTCAGCTAAAATGAAGATTTCTCCAAGATGGGCCTCCAGGGCTATTGCAAAACAGCTGCTGATGGAAGGAAATTCCACTTGCTGTGCCTTATACCAGGCTGGGAGTGTCACAAGAACCCTTTACAAGCTGCTCCCACAATGACCAAAACTGTCTTCTCATGAGTGCAAAGCAGGCATGCCCAAGGGGCCCAGGTTAGCATGGTGCAGGACTCCGCTGGGAAGGTGAGGGGTTATCGTCGCGGGGGAGTGTCGACTAACTGGGCTGGTGGTGCAGGGGTAAAATAATTTACCAAGACAGTTGGAGGTAAAGGCAGATTTATTAGAGAAAGTAGGAAAATACGTTTCGAGAAGGCAACGGGCAGCCTGCAAGAGAGGAGCCGACTGAAAAGAAACAAAGGCTTGCTGGAGATTTTATAGGATGGTTTTTGGGCTGATTGAGAAAACCAAGGCAGTAGGGAGCTAGCTTGCATTCTTCTGTTAGCTGGGGTGTTTGATAAATTGAGGCGTTTGATAGTGAGCAGGAAGTTTGTGAGTTATGTATGTTATCTGCGCAAGAAGCCACATGTCCTGGGCCATAAAGAAAAGCAGACCTATAGCTTATCTGATTCCTCTTTTTGTTTATATGTTCTGGACCATGAAGAAAGACAAACTTATAGCTTATTTGCTTTCTCCCTTTGCCTTCCCCTGCTCCAGCCAGCCTAACTCCTTTTTTCTAATTAGGATTCCACAGTTATGTTGTCCCTGTGCCTGCAGCCTGTGAATGGACGCCCCACCACCTCCGTCACAGCAGTGGTCAGCACAGATAAATGCACACAACACACATCGATCTGGCCCTCTGAGAAGAGAATGTTAGGCTTCTGAAAGAAGAGATAAATAGTGAGAGATAACATCTAAGAATCAAAATAATATATTCAGTAATTATTTTCTGAACCTATCCTAATGCTCTGACCGATACATTCTTTAGAACATCTACCCGTACATTCCAAGGACCCTTTTTCCACGGCCCTTTTTCTCCCTGTATCCCTCTTCCTGCTCCCCTTCTTTTGCACAGGGCATGTTTCACATATACAAGATGTTCTTACGTGTCATCCCACTTTAGAGATGAGGAAATTGAGTCTCAGGGAAGGCAAACATCAACTTTGTCTTGGGGAAAGGGCAGGAAGCTGGAAGGGAGGAGGAAATGAGCTCTGGCGAAGGAAAGAGGACATGGCTGGGATCCTTATGGGGTGGTGTACGAGTACCCGTGCCCCCCCCGATCTGTGGGCTGAGGGTGGCGGTGACTAGCGCTGGGACCAGCTCCTTCTCTCTCGCTCCCAAGCCCACAAGAATTCGGGGAGAAAGGGTGAGGTAGGGGGCTCCGGGAGAGCGGAGAGAGTTTGGAAAGAATCCATCCCTCCTTCTCCCCGGCGGCTTTCTCGAGACCCTCACACAGCGCCCCGCCCCGCCCCAGTACATTTCCTTTCAGGGAAAGGGACAGGGAAGAGGCTGTCGGGAAATGGCGGCCGCGGCCGGGCTGGGGCTTCAGCGGGAGGCAGCAGAGGGGAAGTGGTCAGCGTGGCGAATGACGGAAGGTGGCGAGGGAGAGGAAGAGGGGTCGGGTGTCCGCGGAGCTCCAAGAGGGAAGACAATCGCTTTGCCAAACACGGCAGGGCATCTGGAAAGGCCTGGGAACCTCACCCGCCCTCCCAGGCCCTTCGGGCTCTTTTCGGTCCCATTAGGAGGAGGGGGAGGGCGGCAGGTGGGACCGGGCACAGGCCTAGTCGTGCGACAGGAGAAGGGAAGGAAGGGCCGGCCCCAGCTGGGTCCTCCTTGCGTCTGGCCTGTGCCGGACGCCCCCGACTCCGAGTGATCTCGGGCCGGTCCCCGGGGGAGTCCAGCTTCTCGCGCCAGGGGAGTTCTCAGCCCCAGGGCAGTCCAGGGATTAGGCGGAAGGGGGCACGCAGCCACCTGGCCGGGGCAGGGGGAGCTGCGAGGAGCCTTTTTTTTTTTTTTTTTTCCTGCGCAGAGCCCCTTGCGTGACACACAGTAGGCGCTCAATACATGTTTATTTTCAGTTGAGTGTTGCTTCAGCTTTTATGGCTTGTGATAAATCCTTATCCTTCTGTTCTAGAAACTCGCATTGTCTACTGGATCAAGGACAGACAGCTCACCAACCGTGACAGCACCATACTGGAACTTCAAAAAGTTCTGAAAACATGTTGGTTCGTTTGTTGGAGTATTTTTCAACTTAAATTCCTTTTCCTTTTTTTTTTTTTTGCTCACTTTTTCCTCTGCAGAAAAACCTTAAAATGTTCTACCTTTTCCTTGAAACCTCCTCCCACTCCTTAGTTCACATTGACTTGTCTTTAAATGTTTTTGAGAAAATAATCAGAAATGCACAATTAGTGCTTGGTGGTTCTCAAATTATTTCACGCGTGGTAGTTTTGATTTTTGCTTTTCCAGTGAGGCTGTACCTTTCATCCTTAGGCAAATATGATGGCTTTCAAAAGCAGCTATGGGGTGGGAACTGGGAGTGGCTGCAAATGGGCATGGAGCGTCTTTTAGAGATAACGAAAATGTCCCAACTTAGATTGTGGTGATAGTTCGCACAACTCTATAAATTACTAAAAACTATTGAATTTGCACTTGAAAAGGGGGAGAACTTTATGAAATATAAATTATAACTCAAAGAAGCTCTTAAAATGCCTATGGAATAATAAGTAAAGAGTAGTGGGGATATGATCTATTTTGTGGGGAGACTAGCAGCAAAGTAAGACATAAAGATAAAGAAACATACACTGGCCTGAGGAAGTAACAAAGTCTCTTTGAGCAAACTTTGGACAGGCTCCTCTCAGCTTTCTTTTCAACTACACCTTGTCCTTGGGCCCTGTCCTCGGCCTGCCTAGCCCAGTTTTAGCAAGAGTCCTGCTGAGTAACTCCCTCACCCTTGATACCTGATCACCTTGTCCTGCCTTGAGCGAGAATCCTGTTTAGTCAGTTGAGCAAGAATCCCCCTACCCTTGATATCTCTCTCCCCTTAGGAATTTTCTTTCTACTGACTCCCTCACTCTGCTGCTTGACTGTAAATCCACACTTGTCCTAGTTGTCTTTGGATTGAGCTTAGTTCTATACTGAAGTCTCTTTTCCTCTATTATAATAGTACTCAAAATATGGCTTTACTGCTTTTGACTAGTATCTGGCTCTGTTTCCCATTGGCGGAAGGCACTCTCAGACAGTGCTTCTAGTAGTATATATTAGCATGACCTGCCAGGGTACAATTCTTTTTAAAAAGACCACCAATTGGCTGGATGCAGTGGCTCACGCCTGTAATCCCAGCACTCTGGGAGGCCGAGGCGGGTGGATCAGGTCAGGAGTTCGAGACGAGCCTGGCCAACATGGTGAAACCCCCATCTCTACTAGAAATACAAAAATTAGCTGGGCATGGTGGTGTGCGCCTGTAATCCCAGCTACTTGGGAGGCTGAGGCAGGAGAATCACTTGAATGCAGGAGGCGGAGGTTGCAATGAGCCAAGATTGTGCCACTGCACTCCAGCTTGGGTGACAGAGTGGGCCTCCGTCTCAAAAAAAAACAAAAACAAAAAAAAGACCACCAATTTATTGCCAGGCATTGTACTGGGTGCTGAGGAAATTTGAGGAAAAACACCTATTAAGTTCCTGTCCTCAAGGAGCTCATAGTACAGTGGGGAGCCAAGTAGCAAGCAAATAGCCATGCAAGTGTATAATTGCAATGAGGACAAGTATCATGAAAAGGAGGGTACATGGTGCAATGAGAGCCTATAAAATAGGGGTATTCGACTAGTCAAGGTGGTCAGGAATTGCTTCAAAGAAGCAGTTATTGAGCTGAGAGTTAAAGGAAGAATAGTGGCTAATTAGATTGGAGGTGAGAGTTGGAGGAGCTGGTTTGAGGCTATGTGTTCAGAGATGGCATGGTGAGTAAAAGAGACTGAATGAAAGTGGCTGGAGTTCAACAGGCAGTTGGGACAGCAGTGTGTTGGGTCAGGGCATGCAGGGCCTTACAAGCCATCTTAAGCCATTCAGTCTATATCCTAAGAGCCATTGGAAGCCCTGTGGGATGGGGAGAACGAATCAGATTTGTCTTTGAAAATATTGCCCTGGGGGCCAGGCACAGTGGCTCATGCCTGTAATCCCAGCACTTTGGGAGGCTGAGGCAGGTGGATCACCTGAGGTCGGGCATTCGAGACCAGCCTGGCCAACCAACATGGTGAAACCCCGTCTCTACTAAAAATACAAAAAGTTAGCCGGGCATGGTGGTGCATGCTTGTAATCCCAGCTACTCGGGAGGGTGAGGCAGGAGAATCGCTTGAACCCGGGAGGCAGAGGTTGTGGTGAGCTGAGATCGCGCCATTGCACACCAGCCTGGGCAACAAGAGCAAAACTCTGTCTCAAAAAAAAAAAAAAAAAAAAAGAAAGGAAAAGAAAATATTGCCCTGGCTACAGTGTGGATAAAGGATTGGGAAGGAGTCAGAATGTATGGAGAGTTTTATTAGAAGCCATTTCAACAATCTAGAGTAGAGGTAATAGTAGCTTGTACTACAATAGCCATGGTTTACATGGAGGGGATTGGTATATTTTAGGGTTTCTTAGGAGGTAAAATCTGCAGGACTTGGCAATGGATTGGAATTGGGAGGGAGGGAGTGTGATATTGTGAAGTACACATTTAGTCTTTAGTTTGTTTTGTGCTGCTATAACAATACCCGATAGTGGGTAATTTATAAACAGAAATTTATTGCCTTACAGTTCTGGAAGATAGGAAGTCTAAGGTTAAGGTGTGGGCAGGTTTGGTGTCTGGTGAGGCCATTCTCTTTTTCCAAGATGGTCCCTGCACACACTGTGTCCTCCAGAGGGGAGGAAGGCTAGATCATGACATGGCAGAAGACAGAAAGAAGGGCCAAGAGATAGAGCAAGAGGAGACCGATCTTGCCCTTTTATAATGGCATTAATCCCACCTGTGAGGGTAGAGCCCTCATGGCTTAATCACCTCTTAAAAGTCTCACCTCTTAATACTATTACTGCAACCGCCCAGTGGGTTCACCTTGCCTGCTGCCTAGACAGAGATTTATCAAGACAGGAGAGTTGAAATGAAGAAAGAGTAATTCACACACAGCCGGCTGTGCAGGAGACCAGAGTTTTGTTATTACTTAAATCAGTCTCCCAGAGCATTTGGGGGATCAGTTATTATTATTATTATTATTATTATTATTATTATTATTATTTGAGACAGAGTCTTGCTCTGTTGCCCAGGCTGGAGTGCAATGATGTGATTTCGGCTCACTGCAACCTCTGCCTCCCGGGTTCAAGCGATTCTCCTGCCTCAGCCTCCCGAGTAGCTGGGATTACAGGTGCCCGCCACTATGCCAGGCCAATTTTTGTATTTTTTAGTAGAGATGGGGTTTCACCATGTTGGCCAGGCTGGTCTCGAACTCCTGACTTCAGGTGATCCACCCGCCTCAGCCTCCCAAAGTGCTGGGATTACAGGCGTGAGCCACCGTGCCTGGCTGGGATCAGAGTTTTTAAAGATAACTTGGTGGGTAGGGGCTTGGGAAGTACGGAGTGCTGATCAGTCAGGTTGGAGATGGAATCATAGGGGGTCGAAGTGAGTCTTTCTTGCAGTTTTGTGTTCTGGGTGGGATGGCAGAACTGGTTGAGCCAGATTACAGGTCTGGGTGGTGTCAGCTGCTCCATCGAGTTCAGGGTCTGAAAAGTATCTCAGGCACTGATCTTAGGTTTCACAATAGTGATGTTATCCCCAGGAGCAATTTGGGGAGGTTCAGACTCTTGGAGCCAGAGGCTGCATGACCCCTAAACTGTAATTTCTAATCTTGTAGCTAATTTGTTAGTCCTGCACAGGCAGACTAGTCCCCAGGAAAGAAACGCCTATGATCAATTTTGTTTCAGAATCAAACCACAAACTGAATTCCTTCCCAAAGTTAGTTTGACCTATGCCCAGGAATGAACAAGGACAGCTTAAAGGTTAGAAGCAAGGTGGAGTCGGTTAGGTCTGATTTCTTTCACTGTCATAATTTCCTCAGTTATAATTTTGCAAAGGTGATTTCATTACAATGGCAATTAAATTTTTCATTTTTATTTTATTTATATATATATATTTTTGAGACGGAGTCTCACTATGTTGCCCAGATTGGAGTGCAGTGGCGCAATCTTGGCTCAGTGCAACCTCTACCTCCTGGGCTCAAGCGATTCTCCTGCCTCAGCCTCCCGAGTAGCTGGGATTACAGGCGCCCACCACCATGCCCAGCTAATCTTTGTATTTTTACTAGAGACAATGTTTCACCATGTTGGCCAGGCTGGTCTTGAACTCCTGACCTCAGGCGATCCACTGGCCTCGGCCCCCCAAAGTGCTGGGATTACAGGCGTGAGCCACCATGCCCATGGGGCAATTAAATTTTAACATGAGTTTTGGAGAAGACAAACATTCAAACCATGGTAGTCTTCATCCTCATTTTCGCGAATTACAGCTTTTAAAACCCTTAGAATCTCTGAGGTGATGAGAGTATCTTTTGCCCTGGGTGGTGGCTCACGCTTGTAATCCCAGCACTTTGGGAGGCCGAGGTGGGCGGATCACCAGGGGTCAGGAGTTTGAGACCAGCCTGACCAACATCGTGAAACCCCATCTCTACTAAGAATACACAATTAGCCGGGCATGGTGACACATGCCTGTAATCCCAGCTACTTGGGACGCTGAGGCAGGAGAATCGCTTGAACCTGGGAGGCGGAGGTTGCAGTGAGCTGAGATCACGCCATTGCACTCTAGCCTGGGCAACAAGAGTGAAACTCCGTCTCAAAAAAATAAAAATAAAAATAAAAATAAAAAAGTATCTTTTGCATGCTAATGAGATAACTGGTGGCTGAGGCTCCTAGGTAGATTTAGGACGGGGGCGCTGGTCAAGGCAGGATTAGAGAGTTGAGACTTTTTCACCACACCCCCAGCCTCTGGGGAAGGGAGAGGAGCTGAAGGTTAAATTGACTAGCAGTGGCCAATGATGTAATCAATCATGCCTACATAGTAAAGCCTCTATTTTATTTATTTTTTATTTTTATATTTTGAGATGGAGTCTCACTCTTGTTGCCCAGGCTGGAGTATAATGGCGTGATCTTGCCTCACTGCAACCTCCATCTCACGGGTTCAAGCGATTCTCCTGCCTCAGCCTCCCAAGTAGCTGGGATTACAGGCATGCACCACCACGCCTGGCAAATTTTGTATTTTTAGTAGAGACAGGGTTTTGCCATGTTGGTGGGGCTGGTCTCGAACTCCTGACCTTATGTGATCCACCCACCTCGGCCTCCCAAAGTGCTGGGATTACAGGCGTGAGCCACCGTGCCTGGCTGTAAAGTCTATAAAAACCCGAAAGAATTGGGTTTGGAGAGCTTCTGGATAGCGAACACATGGAGGTACCTAGAGGGTGCTGTGCTTGTAGGGGGCATGGAAGCTTGGTGCCCCTTATCCTGTACCTTGTCCTATGTGATTGTTCCATCTGGCTGTCCATCTATATGCTTTGTAATATCCTTTATAATAAACCTGTAAACATGTTTTTCAGAGTTCTGTGACCCTCTCTAGCAAATTAATCAAACCCAAGGGGAGGGTCATGGGAACCCTGATTTACAGTGGGTCAGTCAGAAGCATAGCTTACAACCTGGCATCTGAAGTGGAGAGCAGTCTTGTGAGCCTGAGCTCTCAAACTGTGGGATCTGACACTATCTCCAGGTAGGTAGTAACAGAACTGAATTCAATTAGAGGACATCCAGCTGGTGTCCACTGCAAAACTGATTGCTTGATGTATGGGAAAATTCTCCCATACATCTGGGGCTACAGAAGCATTCTATATTAAATAGAGAGTATAGGAAAATCCACATTTTGTTTACTCCCCCCTGTATCTTACAGTGAGAGTGAGCGGTCAAGGGTGACTTCTCAGTTTCTGGCTTGTACAACTGGATGTTTGGAGTAACAGCATTAAGAAGCAGGACCTTTAAGATCACATTGAATACTAAGTTCAGGTATGAGGACTGTGAGTTTAGTCTTAGACATACTGTGTTTGACGTGCCTTTGAGAACACCCAAGAGAATATAGGTAGTTGGATGGATGGATCTAGAGCTCAGAAGGGGCCTATATATTGGATATATAAATTGTGTGCTATATGGATATAGTTGATAATTCAAGCCATGTGTGGGGATAAGGTTGTCTAGGCCAAAGAGTATCAGAGTGAGAATGCAGGAGATCAAAGAAGGAGGCTTGAGAAACTCCAGTATTTCATGTGGAGTACAGGAGAGTCAGCCTGCAAAGGAGACTGGGAAACAGCAGCCAGGGAGGTTTAAAAGAAAGTTAGGAGGGACTTGTGTCATTGAAGCCAAAGAAAGAAACTGTTTCAAGATGTAGGGAATGGACTGTTAACAATGTCCATTGCTGCTCAGAGGTCAAATAAGATGTGGACTGGTAAATATGTGTTGCATTTAAGAATATGGAGGCATTGGTGTCCTGGATGGATCTATTTTCATGGAATGACGGGGCAGAAATCTAGAATGGAACAGATTGGAGTGTGGTTAGCAGAGAGAGGAAGGCACTTTTTTTTTTTTTTTTTGAGACGGAGTTTCACTCTTGTTGCCCAAGCTGGAGTGCAATGGTGCGATCTCGGCTCACTGCAACTTCCGCCTCCCGGGTTCAAGCAATTTTCCTGCCTCAGCCTCCCGAGTAGCTGGGATTACAGGCGCACACCACCATGCCCGACTAATTTTTTGTATTTTTAGTAGAAACGGGGTTTCACCATGTTAGCCAGGCTGGTCTTGAACTCCTTACCTCAGGTGATCCGCCTACCTCAGCCTCCCAAAGTGCTGGGATTACAGGTGTGAGGTACTGCGCCCAGCCGGTAGGCAAGTAATGGAAACAAAGAATATAGGCAGCTATTTGAAGCACTTTGGCTGTGAAGGGCATGGAAAAGTCAGGGTAGAAGCAGGAGCGAGACTACGGGTCAAGAGAGGCCTTTCAAATTATTTATTTATTTATTTTTTTGAGACAGGGTCTCACGCTGTTGCCCAGGCTGGAGTGCAGTGGCACAATCACAGCTCACTGCAGCCTTGATTTCTTGGGCTCAGGCGATTCTCCCACTTCAGTCTTCTGAGTAGCTGGGATTAGAGGTGCGCACACCACCACGCTGGGCTAATTTTTGCATTTTTTGTAGACATGGGGTCTTGCCATGTTACCCAGTCTGGTCTCGAATTCCAGGGCTCAAGCAATCTGCCTGCCTTAGCCTCCCAAAGTGCTGGGATTACAGTCTTGAGCTGCTGCACCCAGCCAAGGACTTTTTTTAATGGAGAAATTTTGTGGATGTGTAAAGTTTACAATTAAGGGTCTGTAGGGAGTGAGTGGTTAAAAATACAGCAGAGAGATGGGATAAATCATAGAGTACGTTTGCTAAGAGAGAGGAGCATCTGGAATCGAAAGCATAGGTGGAGGAATTAGTGTTCACTAAAAGGCAAGAGCATCTCTGTCTTAATTGAGGAACTAACTGCTGGTAGGATGTGTGCAGGTATAGTTGGTTTATGTTTGGTGTTAGGAAGATGAGAGACAACTTCCTTCTAAAGGCTCCCCCAACCCCGTTATTTTTTCTGTAAATGAGGGTGTGGTCATCTGCATGTAGAGATAATAAGGAGGAGGAGTTGGAAGGCTGAAGAGAATGGAGAAGGTTCAATGAGTTGTAAGGGTGAGAGCAGGTTGTAGGTTGACCAGAGAAAAATAGAAGGACTGCTGAGAAATGTTGATGGCTCACTTCTGGTTGTTGATGGTAAATTTACTATGAGCCAAGCTTTATTTTTTTCTAAGTGCTTCTCTAAGTGTTCTAGTGTTTTATTTAATCCCCAAAGCAGCTCTATGAGGTAGGTATTATTATTATCACCCCCTTGTCACAGATGGTAAAATGGAGGTACAGCAAAGTTGTGTCATTTGTTTAAGGACAAAGAGCTAGCTAGGTTTGGAGCCAGGTAGTCTGACTCCAAAGCCCATGATCTTAACCATCACTCTAAAATATATCCTAAAAATAGGTCCTGATCATACTTTTTCATTGATAAACATAGATCTGTATAATCACATTTAAGGACTACATTGTTGGTTTTATGCTTGATGGTCTGTCCAGTGACTTTTCCAGAAACTCTCTAGCTGCATTCTTGAGTCAATGCCAAATCTCAGAAAGGAGAGAGCTTATTTGAACCCTATGTTACAAGAGTTTTGATTTCCTTTCCTTCTAGTTTGTTGTATTTTCCAATTTTCTATAGAGAGTACATATAATTTTCATTTTGTGGGGAAAAATAAAGTTAACATCTCTAAAATAAAAAAGCCAGGCTAGGAAGGGAATAGAGGTCTAAGACTCAGTGTTTTTAAAATCTACTATAGCTAAACATGTTTACTTTGTGTCTTAGTTTATTTTGTGTTACTATAACAGAATATCTGAGACTGTGTAATTTATAAAGAAAAGAGGTTTATTTAGAGGTTTATTTAGTTTTGCAGGCTGGGAAGTTCAAGGGCATGGCCTCAGCTTCTGGTGAGAGCTTTCTCTCTCTCATTTTTTTTTTCAAGACAGAGTCTTGCTCTGTCGCCCAGGCTGGAGTGCAATGGTGCAATCTTGGCTCACTGCAACCTCCACCTCCCAGGTTCAAGCAATTCTCCTGCCTCAGCCTCCCACGTAGCTGGGACTACAGGTGCACGCCACTGTGTCTGGCTAATTTTTTTTGTAGTTTTAGTAGAGATGGGGTTACACCATGTTGGCCAGGCTGGTCTCGAACTCCTGATCACAGGTGATCCGCCTGCCTTGGCCTCCTAAAGTGCTGGGATTACAGGCATGAGCCACTGTGCCTGGCCGAGAGCTTTCTTGACACATCATAACATGGCAGAGAAGGTCAAAGGGGAAGTGAACACATGTGAAGAGGCAAAACCTTAGGGGCATCCTGGCTTTATAAAATCCTACTCTTGTGGGAACTAATTCATTCCTAAGGGAATGAATCCAGTTTTGAAAGAGGGAGAACTCACTCACTACCATGAGAATGGCACCAAGCCAATCATGAGGTATCTGCTCTCATGACCCAAACACCTTCCATTAGGCCCCACCTCCCAACATGCCACATTAGGGATCAAATTTCAACATGAGTTTTGGTGAGGACAAACTATATCCAAAGTATAGCATTCTATAATTCAACAACTCCATTCCTAGAAATTTCATTTCAAGAGAAATTAAAGCTTATGTGTATATAAAGACGTGTACACCGGTGTTCTTACCAATTTTATTTATAATTGCCCCAAACTGGAAACAGACAAATGTGCATAAACAAGTGAGTAGATAAACTGTGGTATATCCATACAAGGGAATACTATTTAGCAATAAAAAGGAATAAATCCTTCATATATACACCAACATGGACAAATCTCAAAATAATTATGCTGGGTGAAAGATGTCAGATTAAAAAAGAGAGTATATACTGTATTATTACATTTATATAGTATAGGAAATGCAAATTAATATACATTTTCAGTACTCAGATCAGTGGTTACCTCTGAAGGTGAGGATTAACTAGGAAGGGGCATGAAGGAATCTTATGAGGTGATGGAGGTGTTTTATATCTTGGTCTAGTTACACCAGTGTATACATATCAATTTCATTAAGCTGTGCATTTGAGATTTATGCATGTTACTCTGTGAATGTTGTATCTCAGTAAAAAGGTTAAGACAAAGTTTAGCTCCTTTTGTCAGTCTCCTTTCCCTTTCCTTTGACCCTTTCCTATATTTCTTTTTCTCTCCATCTCTCTCTGTTCTCTACTTTTTGTATCCATTTGAGAGAGAGTTGATGGCACATCAGGCACTCATGCTGACTCTACACTTAACCCTGCCAATTAAATGTTCACATCCCTTCAAATGTACAGTTTATTCAGGAAAGTAGGATTGAAGAAGTCTGTGGTTAAAGAATAGCTCTTAGGAGTGAACATTTCTTCCTTTTCCCTTGCACTTGAATTAGATACGTATCTTTGGGCCTTCACTTCTGTTTTGGTATTTCTTTTCCTTTTTTTTTTTTTTTTTTTTTGAGACAGAGCCTTTGTCACCCAGGCGGGAGTGCAGTGGTGTGATCACAGCTCACTGCAGCCTCAACCTTTCGGGCTCAGGCAATCCTCCTGTCTCAGCCTCCCGAGTGGCATGTGCCACCATGCCCGGCTAATTTTTTAAGTTATTTGTAGAGATGGGGTCTCCCTATGTTGCCCAGACTGGTCTCGAACTCCTGGGCTCAAGGAATCCTCCTGCCTCAGCCTCCCAAATTGCTGGAATCACAGGCATGAGCCGCTGTGCCCAGCTCTGTTGTGGTATTTCTTTAACAGCTGGCGTTATAGGAATCAGACAGACTTGCCTTTGAATCCCTGCTGCACCACTTGTTAGCTATTTGATCCTGATACAATGACTTATCTTCTATGATCCTCAGTTTTCTCATCCAGAGCATGGGTATAATAATGCCTACCTCCTAGATTGTCTTTTTTTTTTTTTTTTTTTTGAGGTGGAGTTTCGCTCTTGTCGTCCAGGCTGGAGTGCAATGACGTGATCTTGGCTCACTGCAACCTTAGTCTCCTGGGTTCAAGTGATTCTCCAACCTCAGCCTCCCGAGTAGCTGGGACTACAGGCATGCGCCACCATGCCTGGCTAATTTTTGTATTTTTAGTAGAGATGGGGTTTCACCATGTTGGCCAGGCTGGTCTCAAACTCCTGACCTCAGGTGATCTGCCCACCTCGGCCTCCCAAAGTGTTGGGATTACAGGTGTGAGCCACCGCGCCCAGCCAGGTGTCTTAAGAATTAAATGAGATAATATTGGTAAAGCACTTTGCCTGCCATCGAGAGGCCACTTAATTTCGGATGGCTTTCTTATTTCCCAAGACTGTGAACTTGTGACTTTTGACTCTTGGATGACATCTAGCCCTGCTCCATTAGACATTAAATAACTCTTTTTATTGTTACTAGTATAACAACTAGGGAGAGGACTTATACTTGCAATATGACTTTTAAATCTGTCCTTGGGCTCACATAACATGTTTCTTACCATATAAGAATGGAGAAGGCTTTTTTATTGGCTTCCACGACATTCCTGGGTGGTTGGTTTGAGACAGCTAGTTGTTGCTATCCTGTTACAGAGGTGAAGGCAGGAGAGGCATCTTGACTTCACCAAGATCTTATATCTTGTATGGTGATAGGTCTGGCACTGACAAATGTTCTATATCTTTCCTTGAGCAGATGTAATAAGACATTACAGACATCTGAGTAAATAAAAATAGGGTTATGGTTTTTCTTCCTACCCCAGACTCTACCAGATGACTCATTCCTACTACATAGAAATAACAGTGAATGTCAACCATAACACAGATGCCTATTTATTTCTCTCCTTACTGACTCATTTTTGAGAGCTTTTTAGCTAGTTGTGCTATTTAGTTGATCTCAAAGTTATCTTCTGCAGGGAAGTTTCGGTGGAAAGAACACTGATATTTGTTGAATGATTGCTCTGTGTCAAACATAGGGCTAGTTGTTTTTAAGGAGGTCTAATCAACTCTGAGGTAATAAACACTATTGGATTTTGGAGAATGAGAAAACTTGATTGTGGAAAACAGAACCAGTTTCTAGACCGCCACTCAGCTAATATGTGACAGAAGAAATATCCCTTATCCCCATCCATTGATTTTATTTCTTTTTGCTTCAGATTTAAAGAGCATGTGACAAATAGTCTAGCCTTTCTCTGTCTTAGCCCCATTGCAGTCACTGTTAACCAACTATCTTCTTGAAACCAAAATGACTCAGCCTAACCACAGAAGCAAATCAAACACTGATGGCCCATAATCTCCAGACAAGGCTTTAACCAAACCTCTGTCTATCCATCTATCCATTTGTTCATTCATTCAACAGATATTTGTTGAGCATTGACTCTTTGCTAGACATTGTGTGAGGGGTTGTTGTTGATGCTAGAGTAGAACTATTTATCTTCCACAAATGAGGCATGACCCTGCTAGGGACCTGTGTTACTAGCAAGCAGCTTTGAGGTCAGGGTAGGAAGTGAGGATAGAGTCTCAGAAGGAAGAAAATAAATATTTACAGAGTGTGGATTGTATCCAATTCATGGGATCCTGGGAAGTTCATTAACTGCCAGGAGGATTCCTAGTTCTCAGCTCTAGGCAGCAGCATCTTGGAAGGCTTCTCTGAAGGTGGACTCCGAAGGATCTAAGGCTCAGATGTTCCCCTTTCAGCTTCTGCCCTCCATTCCCTGCACTCCTAGGTCTTAGATGGTCATGCTTGTCTCTGTATCCAAAACCTACTTTTGGCACATTTTTATTTCCTCCCAAGCTGTAAGAACAGCTTGTTCACTTGGGAAGGTCATACTTCAAAGTGGAACTCTGCCATTTCAGAGGGGCTTTGAAGATACACAGTATACCTGGGGGAGTGAAGGAGTTGGGTGTCACTCCCCAGGATAAGGCAAACAAAAACAAGAACAGACACATATCACTATGACTTAGGTATGGATTAAAGATTAACTGCACCTTGCACAGAGGTGGCTCTCAATACGTTTTCTGCATTCCATCTTGAGCATCATTTTTTGGCTCTATTGTATTCTACACTTCCTTCCCAGAAGTTTACAGTGTTTCCTAATTCACTGATAAGCAGTTAAAAAATTGCCCCACATTTGGTATTACAAAAGTTTATGCACCACGTTTCTTTTTTTTTTGAGACAGAGTCTCGCTCTGTTGCCCAGGCTGGAGTGCAGTGGCACAATCTCGGCTCCCTGCAAGCTCTGCCTTCCGGGTTCATGCCATTCTCCTGCCTCAGCCTCCCGAGTAGCTGGGACTACAGGCACCCGCCACCATGCCCGGCTAATTTTTTGTATTTTTAATAGAGATGGGGTTTCATTGTGTTAGCCAGGATGGTCTTGATCTCCTGACCTTGTGATCTGCCCGCCTCAGCCTCCCAAAGTGCTGGGATTATAGGCGTGAGCCACCACGCCTGGCCTGCACCATGTTTCTTAAAGGCATATATAGTGATTGTTTTCTTTTCTAGTTTTGCTAATAGTGTATGTTTTGCTGATCATGTAGTAACAGTGTTTTCTTTATAAATTTATGAAAGTACAAAAAGATATATATGAAAACAAATGAGCCAGAGGAAATTACTATTGATATTCTGGCATATTTTCCTCCAGCTTTTCAACAAATCTTGAATATATAATCTTGAATTACTCTTTTAAAAATTGACATTATAACATACGCATTTTCCTGTTTTCATTTAAAAATTCCCATAAACATCTGTTTCAAGGTTTGCATATTCTCCCTTTTATGGCTGTAGGCAGGTTCACTGAATGACAACTTAGCCTTGAAGCCCTCTATGACCACTCTTGACCCTATATGTCTTGCCTCTGGAATGGACTGAAGCGAAGATGAGTCCCGTGTTCTCTATCCCTTAATAGTGGTTTCATGTGAGGGAGTTCTGCTTTGCTGGATAGGGTGAATCACATCCTCCAAGACACCAGCCTTCTAAAACATTTACCATATAGGGCTGGGCGCGGTGGCTCATGCCTGTAATCCCAGCACTTTGGGAGGCTGAGGCAGTAGGATCACGAAGTCAGGAGTTCAAGTCTAGTCTGACCAATATGGTGAAACCCCGTCTCTACTGGAAATACAGAAATTAGCCAGGTGTGGTAGTGCTCGCCTGTAGTCCTAGCTACTCGGGAGGCTGAGGCAGGAGAATCGCTTGAACCTGGGAGGCAGAGGTTGCAGTGAGCCGAGATCCTGCCCCTGCACTCCAGCCTGGCAACAGAGCGAGATTCTGTCTCAAAAAAAACCCCATGTATATACATATATACGTATATATACACATATATATGTATACATATATGTATATACACATATATACGTATATATATGTGTATATACACGTATATATGTATACATATATGTATATACACATATACACATGTATGTATACATATATATGTATATACGTGTATATATGTATACATATGTGTATATATACACGTATATATACACATATGTATACGTGTGTATATATACGTGTATATACACACACGTATACATACGTATATATATACGTGTATATATACACACATGTATACATATGTGTATATGTGTATATATACACACATGTATACATATATGTGTATATATACACATATGTATACATACACGTGTATATACACACATATGTATACATACACGTGTATATATACACATATGTATACATATATGTGTATACATACGCACGTATACACATGTATGTATACATATTTGTATATATACTCACATATACACATATGTATACATACATGTGTATATACACGCACACATACACATATATGTGCATATACGCACATATATACATATATGTACACATATGTATATATACACACATATATACATATATGTACACATGTACGTACACATATACATATATGTACCTATATGTACATATATACTTACATATAAACATATGTACATATATGTACATATATACTTACATATAAACATATGTACATATATGTACATATATACATACATATAAACATATATACCTGTATGTGTATATGTATACACACACACACACGTACTTAGGACAGTGTTGTGCAATAGGAAGGTCTTCATAAAAACATTTTTGGGAAAAGTACTTAATTTCTCTGAGTCTGAGTTTCCTCATCTGTCACATCTGTTTCCTCATCTGATCCATGTGGATTGCAGGTACAACAAGTCACTGGGTTGTTGTGGTGATTAAATGAGAAAATGTCTATAAATGAATCCCAGTGCTTGGCACATAGAATGTGCTCCATAAATGTCAGTCATTATTACTATTCCCTGATAAATGACGTAGTGTGGAGAAGTATCGATTGAGTACAGAAAACAGGACAGGGCTTGGAAGTGGTGATTAATGATGATGCAAAAAAAAATTATTCTCCTGCAAAACCTGCTTGCTTTATGCACATTTGGACTATTGGGGCAGAGACCATGGTGGGCCTGTGGGCTTTGAAACCACCTCAGAAAACATTTTGCCTTAGAACATTCTTTTCTATTTTTATTTTTAAAAAGAAGATATCTTGGGTGGTTATCCACTTTTTTTTTTTTTTCCGAGATGGGGTCTGGCTCTGTCGCCCAGGCTGGAGTGCAATGGCTTGATCTTGGCTCACTGCAACCTCTGTCCTCTGGGCTCAAGCAATCCTCCCACCTCAGCCTCCCAAGTAGCTGGGACCACAGGCACATGCCACCATGCCTGCCTGTTTTTTGTATTTTTAGTAGAGACGTGGGTCTCACCATGTTGCCCAGGCTGATCTTGAACTGCTGAGCTCAAGCGATCTGCCCACCTTGGCCTCTCAAATTGCTGGGATTACAGGTGTGAGCAATGTGCCTGGTTAGAGTATTCTTTTTTTTTTTTTTTTTGATATGGATCCTCATACTGTCGCCTAGGCTGGAGGGCAGTGGCATGATCTCTGCTCATTGCAACCTCCGCCGCCCAAGCGATTCTCCTGCCTCAGCCTCCCGAGTAGCTGGGATTAGGGGCATGTGCCACTATGCCTGGCTAATTTTTTGTATTTTTAGTAGAGACAGGGTTTCCCCATTTGGCCAGGCTGGTCTCGAACTCCTGACCTCGTGATCCGCCTGCCTCAGCCTCCCAAAGTGCTAGAATTATAGGCGTGAGCCACTGCGCCCGGCCATGGTCAGAGTATTCTTAAAAAACATCAAAATGAGTATAGGGTGGGAAGGGACTAACATTTTTTTTTATTCTATTCAATTTATTTATTTATTTATTTATTTTTTATTATACTTTAAGTTTTAGGGTACATGTGCACAACGTGCTGGTTAGTTACATATGTATACATGTGCCATGTTGGTGTGCTGCACCCATTAACTCATCATTTAACCTTAGGTATATCTCCTAATGCTATCCCTCCCCCCTCCCCTAACCCCACAACAGGCCCTGGTGTGTGATGTTCCCCTTCCTGTGTCCATGTGTTCTCATTGTTCAATTCCCATCTGTGAGTGAGAACATGCGGCGTTTGGTTTTTTGTCCTTGCGATAGTTTGCTGAGAATGATGGTTTCCAGCTTCATCCATGTCCCTACAAAGGATATGAACTCATCATTTTTTATGGCTGCATAGTATTCCATGGTGTATATGTGCCACATTTTCTTAATCCAGTCTATCATTGTTGGACATTTGGGTTGGTTCCAAGTCTTTGCTATTGTGAATAGTGCCACAGTAAACATACGTGTGCATGTGTCTGTATAGCAGCATGTTTTATAATCCTTTGGGTATATACCCAGTAATGGGATTGCTGGGTCAAATGGTATTTCTAGTTCTAGATCCCTGAGGAATCGCCACACTGACTTCCACAGTGGTTGAACTAGTTTACATTCCCACCAACAGTGTAAAAGTATTCCTATTTCTTCACATCCTCTCCAGCACCTGTTGTTTCCTGACTTTTTAATGATCACCATTCTAACTGGTGTGAGATGGTATCTCATTGTGGTTTTGATTTGCATTTCTCTGATGGCCAGTGATGATGAGCATTTTTTCATGTGTCTTTTGGCTGCATAAATGTCTTCTTTTGAGAAGTGTCTGTTCATATCCTTCGCCCACTTTTTGATGAGGTTGTTTGATTTTTTTCTTGTAAACTTGTTTGAGTTCATTGTAGATTCTGGATGTTAGCCCTTTGTCAGATGAGTAGATTGCAAAAATTTTCTCCCATTCTGTAGGTTGCCTGTTCACTCTGATGGTAGTTTTTTTTTTTTGCTGTGCAGAAGCTCTTTAGTTTAATTAGATCCCATTTGTCAATTTTGGCTTTTGTTGCCATTGCTTTTGGTGTTTTAGACATGAAGTCCTTGCCCATGCCTATGTCCTGAATGGTATTGCCTAGGTTTTCTTCTAGGGTTTTTATGGTTTTAGGTCTAACATGTAAGTCTTTAATCCATCTTGAATTAATTTTTGTGTAAGGTGTAAGGAAGGGATCCAGTTTCAGCTTTCTACATATGGCTAGCCAGTTTTCCCAGCACCATTTATTAAATAGGGAATCCTTTCCCCATTTCTTGTTTTTGTCAGGTTTGTCAAAGATCAGATAGTTGTAGATATGTGGCGTTATTTCTGAGGGTTCTGTTCTGTTCTATTGGTCTATATCTCTGTTTTGGTACCAGTACCATGCTGTTTTGGTTACTGTAGCCTTGTAGCATCGCTTGAAGTCAGGTAGCGTGATGCCTCCAGCTTTGTTCTTTTGGCTTAGGATTGACTTGGCAATGCAGGCTCTTTTTTGGTTCCATATGAACTTTAAAGTAGTTTTTTCCAATTCTGTGAAGAAAGTCATTGGTAGCTTGATGGGGATGGCATTGAATCTATAAATTACCTTGGGCAGTATGGCCATTTTCAGGATATTGATTCTTCCTACCCATGAGCATGGAATGTTCTTCCATTTGTTTGTATCCTCTTTTATTTCCTTGAGCAGTGGTTTGTAGTTCTCCTTTACGAGGTCCTTCACATCCCTTGTAAGTTGGATTCCTAGGTATTTTATTCTCTTTGAAGCAATTGTGAATGGGAGTTCACTCATGATTTGGCTCTCTGTTTGTCTGTTATTGGTGTATAAGAATGCTTGTGATTTTTGCACATTGATTTTGTATCCTGAGACTTTGCTGAAGTTGCCTGTCAGCTTAAGGAGATTTTGGGCTGAGATGATGGGGTTTTCTAGATATACAATCATGTCGTCCGCAAACAGGGACAATTTGACTTCCTCTTTTCCTAATTGAATACCCTTTATTTCCTTCTCCTGCCTAATTGCCTTGGCCAGAACTTCCAACACTATGTTGAATAGGAGTGGTGAGAGAGGGCATCCCTGTCTTGTGCCAGTTTTCAAAGGGAATGCTTCCAGTTTTTGCCTATTCAGTATGATATTGACTGTGGGTTTGCCATAGATAGCTCTTATTATTTTGAGATACGTCCCATCAATACCTAATTTATTGAGAGTTTTTAGCATGAAGGGTTGTTGAATTTTGTCAAAGGCCTTTTCTGCATCTATTAAGATAATCATGTGGTTTTTGTCCTTGGTTCTGTTTATATGCTCGATTACGTTTATTGATTTGCGTATGTTGAACCAGCCTTGCATCCCAGGGATGAAGCCCACTTGATCATGGTGGATAAGCTTTTTGATGTGCTGCTGGATTCAGTTTCCCAGTATTTTATTGAGAATTTTTGCATGGATGTTCATCAGGGATATTGGTCTAAAATTCTCTTTTTTTGTTGTGTCTCTGTCAGGCTTTGGTATCAAGATGATGCTGGCCTCATAAAATGAGTTAGGGAGGATTCCCTCTTTTTCTACTGATTGGAATAGTTTCAGAAGGAATGGTACCAGCTCCTCCTTGTACCTCTGGCAGAATTTGGCTGTGAATCCATCTGGTCCTGGACCTTTTTTGGTTGGTAAGCTATTAATTATTGCCTCAATTTCAGATCCTGTTATTGGTCTATTCAGAGATTCAACTCCTTCCTGGTTTAGTCTTGGGAGGGTGTATGTGTCGAGGAGTTTATCCATTTCTTCTAGATTTTCTAGTTTATTTGCGTAGAGGTGTTTATAGTATTCTATGCTGGTAATTTGTATTTCTGTGGGATCGGTGGTGATATCCCCTTTATCATTTTTTATTGCATCTATTTGATTCTTCTCTCTTTTTTTCTTTATTAGTCTTGCTAGCAGTCTATCAATTTTGTTGATCTTTTCAAAAAATCAGCTCCTGGATTCATTGATTTTTTTGAAGGGTTTTTGTGTCTCTATTTCCTTCAGTTCTGCTCTGATCTTAGTTATTTCTTGCCTTCTGCTAGCTTTTGAATGTGTTTGCTCTTGCTTCTCTAGTTCTTTTAATTGTGATGTTAGGGTGTCAATTTTAGATATTTCCTGCTTTCTCTTGTGGGAATTTCGTGCTATAAATTTCCCTCTACACACTGCTTTAAATGTGTCCCAGAGATGCTGATATGTTCTGTCTTTGTTCTCATTGGTTTCAAAGAACATCTTTATTTCTGCCTTCATTTCGTTATGTACCCAGTAGTCATTCAGGAGCAGGTTGTTTAGTTTCCAAGTAGTTGAGCGGTTTTGAGTGAGTTTCTTAATCCTGAGTTCTAGTTTGATTGCACTGTGGTCTGAGAGACAGACCACATTATAACAAACTTGTTATAATTTCTGTTCTTTTACATTTCCTGAGGAGTGCTTTACTTCCAAGTATGTGGTCAATTTTGGAATAGGTGTGGTGTGGTGCTGAAAAGAATGTATGTTCTGTTGATTTGGGGTGGAGGGTTCTGTAGATGTCTATTAGGTCTTCTTGGTGCACAGCTGAGTTCAATTCCTGTATATCCTTGTTAACTTTCTGTCTCGTTGATCTGTCTAATGTTGACAGTGGGGTGTTAAAGTCTCCCATTATCAGGCTGGGTGCGGTGGCTCACGCCTGTAATCCCAGCACTTTGGGAGGCTGAAGTGGGCGGATCACGAGGTCAGGAGATAGAGACCATCCTGGCTAACAGGGTGAAACCCAATCTCTACTAAAAAATAAAAATAATTAGCCAGGTATGGTGGTGGGCACCTGTAGTCCCAGCTACTTGGGAGGCTGAGGCAGGAGAATGGCGTGAACCCGGGAGGCAGAGCTTGCAGTGAGCCAAGATCGCGCCACTGCACTCCAGTCTGGGTGACAGAGCGAGATTCTGTTCCCCCCCCAAAAAAAGTCTCCCATTATATTGTGTGGGAGTCTAAGTCTCTTTATAGGTCTCTGAGGACTTGCTTTATGAATCTGGGTGCTCCTGTATTGGGTGCATATATATTTACGATAGTTAGCTCTTCTTGTTGAATTGATACCTTTACCATTATGTAATGGCCTTCTTTGTCTCTTTTGATCTTTGTTGGTTTAAAGTCTGTTTTATCAGAGACTAGGATTGCAACCCCTGCCTTTTTTTGTTTTCCATTTGCTTGGTAGATCTTCCTCCATCCCTTTATTTTGAGCCTATGTGTGTCTCTGCATGTGAGATGGGTTTCCTGAATACAGCACACTAATGGGTCTTGACTCTTTATCCAATTTGCCAGTCTGTATCTTTTAATTGGAGCATTTAGCCCATTTACATTTAAAGTTAATATGGTTATGTGTGAATTTAATCCTGTCATTATGATGTTAGCTGGTTATTTTGCTCGTTAGTTGATGCAGTTTCTTCCTAGCCTTGATAGTCTTTACAATTTGGCATGTTTTTGCAGTGGCTGGTACCGGTTGTTCCTTTCCATGTTTAGTGCTTCCTTCAGGAGTTCTTTTAGGGCAGGCCTAGTGGTGACAGAATCTCTCAGCATTTGCTTGTCTGTAAAGTATTTTATTTCTCCTTCAGTTATGAAGCTTAGTTTGGCTGGATATGAAATTCTGGGTTGAAAATTCTTTTCTTTAAGAATGTTGAATATTGGCCCCCACTCTCTTCTGGCTTGTAGAGTTTCTGCCGAGAGATCCGCTGTTAGTCTGATGGGCTTCCCTTTGTGGGTAACCCGCCCTTTCTCTCTGGCTGCCCTTAACATTTTTTCCTTCATTTCAACTTTGGTGAATCTGACAATTACAATTATGTGTCTTGGAGTTGCTCTTCTTGAGGAGTATCTTTGTGGCGTTCTCTGTATTTCCTGAATTTGAATGTTGGCCTGCCTTGCTAGATTGGGGAAATTCTCCTGGATAATATCCTGCAGAATGTTTTCCAACTTGGTTCCATTCTCCCCGTCACTTTCAGGTACACCAATCAGATGTAGATTTGGTCTTTTCACATAGTCCCATATTTCTTAGAGGCTTTGTTCGTTTCTTTGTATTCTTTTTTCTCTAAACTTCTCTTCTCGCTTCATTTCATTCATTTGACCTTCCATCACTGATACCCTTTCTTCCAGTTGATCGAATTGGCTACTGAGGCTTGTGCATTCGTCATGTAGTTCTCATGCCTTGGTTTTCAGCTCCATCAGGTCCTTTAAGGACTTCTCTGCATTGGTTATTCTAGTTAGCCATTCGTCTAATTTTTTTTCAAGGTTTTTAACTTCTTTGCCATGGGTTCAAACTTCCTCCTTTAGCTCGGAGTAGTTTGATCATCTGAAGCCTTCTCCTCTCAACTCGTCAAAGTCATTCTCCATCCAGCTTTGTTCCATTGCTGGTGAGGAGCTGTGTTCCTTTGGAGGAGGAGAGGCGCTCTGATTTTTAGAGTTTCCAGTTTTTCTGCTCTGTTTTTTCCCCATCTTTGTGGTTTTATCTACCTTTGGTCTTTGATGATGGTGACGTACAGATGGCGTTTTGGTGTGTATGTCCTTTCTGTTTGTTAGTTTTCCTTCTAACAGACAGGACCCTCAGCTTCAGGTCTGTTGGAGTTTGCTGGAGGTCCACTCCAGACCCTGTTTGCCTGGGTATCAGCAGCAGAGGCTGCAGAACAGCGGATATTGGTGAACAGCAAATGCTGCTGCCTGATCGTTCCTCTGGAAGTTTTATCTCAGAGGAGTACCCGGCCGTGTGAGGTGTCAGTCTGCCCCTGCTGGGGGGGTGCCTCCCAGTTAGGCTACTCGGGGACCAGGGACCCACTTGAGGAGGCAGTCTGTCAGTTCTCAGATCTCCAGCTGCGTGCTGGGAGAACCACTACTGTCTTTAAAGCTGCCAGGGACATTTAAGTCTGCAGAGGTTTTGGCTGCCTTTTGTTTGGCTATGTCCTGCCCCCAGAGGTGGAATCTACAGAGGCAGGCAGGCCTCCTTGAACTTTGGTGGGCTCCACCTAGTTGGAGCTTCCTGGCCGCTTTGTTTACCTACTCAAGCCTCAGCAATGGCAGGCGCCCCTCCCCCAGCCTCACTGCCACCTTGCAGTTTGATCTCAGACTGATGTGCTAGCAATTAGCGAGGCTCCGTGGGTGTAGGACCCTCCGAGCCAGGTGCGGGATATAATCTCCTGGTGTGCCATTTGCTAAGACCGTTGGAAAAGCGTAGTATTATGGTGGGAGTGACCCGATTTTCCAGGTGCCGTCTGTCACCCCTTTCTTTGACTAGGAAAGGGAATTCCCTGACCCCTTGTACTTCCCGGGTGAGGCGATGCCTTGCCCTGCTTTGGCTCATGCTCGGTGTGCTGCACCCACTGTCCTGCACCCACTTTCTGACACTCCTCAGTGAGATGAACCCGGTACCTCAGTTGGAAATGCAGAAATCACCTGTCTTCTGCGTCCCTCACGCTGGGAGCTGTAGACTGGAGCTGTTCCTATTCGGCCATCTTGGCTCCACCCCCCGGGACTAACATTTTTTGAATGCCTGCTATGTGCCTGATGCTGTAAAGTGCTTCCTCCATGGTTTCTAATTTAATGCTCTCAACAATATTGTGAGGTAGAGACATAATCCCAGCTTTACTGATAATGATGCTGAGCCTCAGACAGGCCCTGAAAGTCTTAGAAGTTCACATAACTGCTAAGAGGCAGAATTTCCATGCAAATCCCAGGAGTGCCTGGCTCCAAACCCACGATCCTCTTACTTCACCATGATGGTCCGCTTGCTGAATGGCTCAGCAAAGCAGCCAACTTACCATCTCCTTCACCTTGAAAAAGCCCTGATTCCATGAAAGGCAAAGAGGAGAGAGCCTGGAGAAGGTCAGTGGTCAGCACTAGAGGTGTGCCAAAGGACAGCAGTACCTGTCAGGAGAGCAGTACAGATGTGTGCATGCATGTACACACACATGCACACACATGTTAATATACATACATACACACACACACACACACCACCAGTGCTCTAACTCTCAAATCTAACACTACTACCCAGGAGTGTTTGTTGGGAGGTAGAGTAGGCAGGCCACCCACAACCGCCCCAAACACTGAGTCATTTTCAATTATGTGCGTGAACTAGTTGGCAAGATCAGTCAGAAAGTCTGCAGTCACAATAATCGTGGCCTAAGAGGGTCTCTACTGATGGCCTGTGCTAGTGGTTCTCAGCGTATTGTTCCTGGACCAGGAACATCAGTAGTACTTGGACCTTGTTAGAGGTGCAAATTCTTTGCTCTTCTCCCTACTCCCTGCATCCCAGACTAAATAAGAAACTCTGGGGGTAAAGCCCAATAAGTTGTGTTTTAACAAGTGCTCAGGGTGGTTCTGCTGCAGGGAATTACTGACTGATGGATGCATGGATTCCGTTATCCACCCATTCATTTATTCCTGCATTTTTTCATCCAACCCTAAAAGAGGTAACCAAAACAGAAACAATCCTATGTGTAAGCATGGTATATCTTCTCTGCTTCACCCAGCAAAGTGATATGAAAATGCATTGCAAATGTGTTTACAAATAAAGCTCCTTTCCCATCAGGGAGGATTCCTAGCGCTGTCAGCAAAAAAATGAAGAATGCTCCAAGATAGGCCTCGAGAGCTATTGTGAAACAGCTGCTGATGGAATGAAATCTGCTTGCTGTGCCTGATACCAGGCTGGGAGTGTCATAAGATCCTTTTCACAACTTGCTCCCACACTCAGTCTTGTCAGTGCAAAACAGGCATGTCCAAGGGGTCACCAGATTAGTACAGCACAAGACTCCACTGGGAAAGACCTTGGTGGATTCAGCAAATGAATGACTCCCTGGGAGTCAGACTCTCAGCCACACCCAAGACATGTCCTCCTCTTTTCTTATACACCTTCTTTATCCATGAGCACACCCAAACCCAACATCCTTGGTCCTGACCATGGGGGACTTTAGCTGCTGTGTAAAGCTCCTGAAACTCAAGGGTAGAAGAGATATGTTTTAAGAATACACAGGGTTTGCCTCAACCTTGACCAAAAGCAGGTCTGCCTGTTGGGAGGGCCCATCAGAGACAGCAACCCATCCTTGCCCCCAGTTTTCCACCCCTGTAAAGGCTTCCCAGACCTCTCTCTACCTCTATCATCCTGTCTCCAGGCCACTGTCCCCTGGCAAAGACACTGCTATGGTTTGGATGATGGTGACCCCTCCAAAATTTGTGTTGAAATATAATCCCCAATTGGCCGGGTGTGGTGGCTCATGCCTGTAATCCCAGCACTTTGGGAGGCTGAGGCGGGCGGATCACGAGGTCAGGAGATCGAGACCATCCTGGCTAACTCGGTGAAACTCTGTCTCTATTAAAATACAAAAAATCAGAAGGGCGTGGTGGCAGGCACCTATAGTTCCAGCTACTTTGGAGGCTGAGGCAGGAGAATGGCATGAACCCAGGAGGCAGAGCTTGCAGTGAGCCGAGATCGTGCCACTGCACTTCAGCCTGGGTGACAGAGTGAGACTCCGTCTCAAAAAAAAAAAAAAAAAAAAGAAATATAATCCCCAATTAAACAGTATTAAAAGGTGTAGCCTTTTGGAGGCCACATCTTTTAAGTCATGAGGGCTCTGCCCTCATAAATGGAATTAGCACCCTTATAACAAGGCTCAAGGTTGAAGGGAGCACTCTCTTGCCCTTCTGTCCCTTCCATCATGTGAAGACACAGTGCTCCTCCTCTCTGGACAATGCAGCAACAAGGTGCCATCTTGGAAGCAGAGGGCGGCCCTCATCAGACGCCAATCCTACCAGCACCATGATTTCGGACTTCACAGCCTCCAGAACTATGAGAAATAAGTTTTTATTCTTTATAAATTATGCAGTCTAAGTATTTTTGTTATTTAGTTTTTATTTCATAATCATAAACTTAACTGCAATACAGCTAGACATGGAAGGAATAAGGAAAATATGGAACCCAAAAAACTGCAGTGGGAGTACCCAGATTAGAGGATACTGTGAGCAAATGAGTTGGAGTGCTCTTCTGAGCTACAGAAGGAATGATCTGGTGGTTAAAACACAAGTCACATTTATTAGAGTTATCTACAGTCCGCAATAGTTCTTGTCGGTCTTGCCATTCCTGCTCCCAAAGTGCTCCATGGCTTCCACGATATTCATGCCCTGTTTCCCCTTGCCAAAGATCACATGGTTGCCATCCAACCACTCAATCTTGGCAGTGCAGATGAAAAACTAGGAACCATTTGCGTTGGGTCCAGCATTTTCCATGAACAAGATGCCAGGACCTGTATGCTTCAGGATGAAGTTCTCATCATCAAATTTCTCCCCATAGTTGGAATTGCCATCAACTATTAAGGCATGTGAAGTCACCACCCTGACACATAAACTCTGGGATAATTCTGTGAAAGCAGGAACCCTTATAACTAAATTATTTCTCTCCAGTGCTCAGAGCATGAAAATTTTCTGCTGTCTTTGGAACTTTGTCTACAAACAGTTAGAAGATGCAGCCCAAGGGCTCACCATGGGTGGCGATGTTGAAGAACATGGTGAGTTTGACTGTGGCTGGTGGCAGAGGTCTCTGTGTGTCAGCGGCATCTGCAAAGCAGCCCAATCTTAAGTATTTTGTTATAACAGCACATACAGACTAAGACAACTTCCTTGACCAAACTTTAATTGGGCTCATCTGAGCATTCTGCTTAACCAGGGCATGACCTTGGTCTGCCATTAGGCAAGAATCCTGCTAAGTTATTTTAGAGAGAATCTCCGCACCTTTTATATCTAATTACCTTTGATATCTGATCAAGTTTCTTATTCCCCACCCTTGATGTCTAAGTCCTTGGCTTCCCTCTACCAAGAATCCTATTAGACAATTTTAGCAAGAATCCCCCTACCCTTGATATCTCCTTTTGTTAATTCTCTATCCACTGACCTTTTCATTCTTCTCATTGGCAATACATCTATAGCTATCTTTGCTGAATTTGGAGTAAGTGCAATCTCTCTCCCCTCTTGTAATAGTCTTGAATAAAGTCTTCCTTACCATTTCAATAAGTGCCAGAATAATTTCTCTGTTATCTGCAGCTTTATTAAGGTATAAGTGACAAATAAATATTGTGTATATTGAAGGTATACGCTGTGATGATTTGATATATGTATACAGTGTGAAATATTTACCAGAATCAAGTTAATTACAACCTCATCACCTCACATAGTTGCCATTTTGTGTGTGTGTGTGTGGTAAAGGCACTTAAGATCTACTCTCTTAGCAAATTTCAAATATACAATAATTATTATTGACTATAATCACTATGACTACCAACAGAAGGACATACTGCTTGCCCTGGCTGTCTCCTTCCCCTTCCTCCAAGCTCTTGGAATAACATTGCTGTCAAAAAGTTGTGGGTAAAATGCAGATGTGTATATGTACACAGCTTTATTTGAGATTAAATTTAGGAGTTAAAATTTTAGAAAGTAAGACATGATGTATTTTAACCATAATAAGTAAGATCTTGAAATAAGAGGAAGGACACAAAAGATAACATTTCTACATCATTATCATTTGAAATATTACTATTCTTGGCATTCTCATGCCAAAGTATCTCCAACCCCAGCCAATGGTATATTTGCTATCCTGGATTTTCTGACATTATTTGTAGAGTACTGGGCTGGCAGTCAAAGCTCCCCCCACTATGGATAAAGACCACATTTTCAGTCCTGTTTTCCAGGAACTCTGTGCTCTTGGCAAATGGCACAATTTTCTGCTCCCTCAAAAGACTCCTTCATTTTTCCACAATGCTTTAGCATGCTAGGGTTGAATTTTCACAGGGCTTGGCCTTGGCACACACATGATGTCACCACATCCTCAGATCAAACCCATGAAAGAGCATTGGTACCCAGTTTTAGAGGAGAAGAAAACAAGTCTTGAGGAGAGTGTCTTGCCAGCCTTGTCTTTGTTAAAGAAACAGATTGCTGGAGATTAGAGAAGGGTGGAGGAATAAAGTTGTTTTGGTGTTAAATTACAAAATGAATATAAATCTTGAATACATGTTCAAGTTACATAAATGGTGTTTATTATTATGAAGTCTCGTTAGCAGCACTGGCATAAATTTGCCCCTCCAGCTCTATTTCCAGATTCCTTTCCCCTACCCCTATCTATTTTGTGGAGGGAGGATGTGAGGAGGGAAAAGAGGAGAGGGTGGGTATGTGGCGCCTACCCTGGGGAGGAGAGTTCTGTACTTGGGTGGTAGCTACAAAGTTGGATGTAGTTAAAGTGAGCCACCTTTCCCCATGCAGATTCCCTTGCTTGGCACGTAGTAGGCACAAACACATGTTTATTTCCAATTGACAGTTGTCTTTATTGATTGTGATTACATTTTTTCCTTCTGTTGCAGAAGACCTTACTGCTGATAGCACCATCTTCAAATTTGTGGAAGCTTATGTGAGTTGGATAGGAAAATTTCCTACATATAATGTTGGCTCTTCCATTTGTTTCTAATTTAGTATTTCTCAATTGATATTTTTTTTGTTGATTAGAAAAACAATTTTACTTCCTGCAGAATATACTGAAAATGTTTTTACTTCCTCTTTGAAACCACTTTTTATTTCTTCAGCCACCCTGATTTCTTGTCTCTTGGTTTTTTTTGAGCAGATTTTTAGTCCCTTTTTAATGGTCTCATAAGCAAGTGTGTTCATTTTGCTCATTCAATTTTACCTGTAAGCTATGCTAGGGCCTTCATAGAAGCTGACTGAGTAATACATGAAGAAGGATAGACATGTGGTATGTACTGTGGGCAGAATAAAACAAGGGGGCATAAAATGGCAACTTCCTACATTGCTTCCACTAGTATCTGTAGTGGTATATATCTGCCCTTTGAAGGGAGCAATTTGTTTGAAAGTCCCTTATGAGTTATCTGCTGTTGCATAACAACTTACCCCCGAACTTAGCTGCTTAAAATAATAATTTTTTATTATCTCACATATTTCTGAGTGTCAGGAATCTAGGAGTGGTTAAGTTGGGTGTTTTGGGCTTCAGGTCTCTCATGAGGTTGCAATTAAGAGGTTGGCTGAGGCCAGTTGTGGCAGCTCACACCTGTAATCCCAGCACTTTGGGATGCTGAGGCGGGTGGATCATGAGGTCAGAAGTTCAAGACCAGCCTGGCCAAGATGGTGAAACCCCATCTCTACTAAAACTACAAAAATTAGCCGGGCGTGGTGGCAGGCACCTATAATCCCAGCTACTTGTGAGGCTGAGGTAGAAGAATCGCTTGAACCCGGGCAGCAGAGGTTGCAGTGAGCCAAGATTGCGCCACTGCACTCCAGCCTAGGCGACAGAGTGAGACTCCGTCTCAAAAAAAAAAAAAAGTCAGCTGAAACTGAAGTCATTTGAAGGTTTCGGGTTAAAGGATCCACTTCCAAGACAGTTCACAGAGCTGTTTGCAAGATGCTTCAGTTCCTCATCATGTGGGTCTCTTTACAGGGCTGCTTGAGTGTACTCATGATATGGCTGCTGGCTTCCTCCAGAGGGAATGATCTGAAAGAGAGAGAGATAAAGGAGAAAGCTGTGATGTCTTTTATGATCTAGTCACACACTGTTGTTTTTGCCAGATTCTATTAGTTGGAAGCATGTCACTAAGTCCAACCCATACTTAAGGGGAAGGAAATTAGCATACACTTTTAGAGGGAATAATATCAAATAATTGTGGACATCTTTTTAAATCACCACAGTCCCCTTAATTTTACCTACCTATTACCTATTCATTCAACAAATATTTTCTGAACATGCCTACTTAGTGCTGGGTCCTATGCTAAATCCAAAGGATCCAGTGGTGAGAAAATAACAGTAAGAACATCGACTAAACCCTGACAAGGTTTCTCTTGATGTCTACAGACAGAGTGGGAGGTGAAGAGGTGGTCAGACAACAATCTGATAATGAAACAAACAAATGTGAAGAGAAGACGCTTAGATGATGTTGGCCCTGAATTGGAAAAGGCTGTCTGGGAGCTCGGCTGCCCACCCAGCATTCAGTGTCTGCTACCTCCTGTCTGTTATGCTTGTGTCTGGTTTTTTCAAGTTTTAATTTTTTTTTTAATTCTTAGTTTTTGTGGGTACATAGTAGGTGTATATATTTATGGGTTACATGAGATGTTTTGATACAGGCATGCAATATGTAATAATCACCTCATGGAGAATGGGGTACCCATCACATCAAGCATTTATCCTTTGTGTTACAAACGGTCCAGTTAGACTCTTTTAGTTATTATTAAAATGTACAATTAAATTATTTTTGACTATAGTCACCCTGTTGTGCTAGCAAATACTAGGTCTTATTCATTCTTTTTAACTATTTTATTGTACCTCTTAACCATTCCCACTTCCTCCCCACCACACACTATCCTTCCCAGCCTCTGGTAACCATCCTTCTACTCTATCTCCATGAGCTTAATTGTTTTAATTTTTAGCTCCCACAAATAAGTGAGAACATGCGATATTTGTTTTTCTGTGCGTGGCTTATTTCATTTAACATAATCACCTCCAGGTCCATCCATGTTGTTGCAAAAGACAGGATCTCATTCTTTTTATGGCTGAAGAGTACTCCATTGCGTATAAGTACCACATTTTCTTTATCCACTCATCTGTTGATGGACACTTAGGTTGCTTCCAAATCTTAGCTATTGTAAATAGCACTGCAATAAACATGGGAGTACAGATATATGTTCAATATACTGATTTTCTTTCTTTTGATTATGTGCCCAGAAGTGGGATTGCTAGATCGCATAGTAGCTCTGTTTTTACTTTTGTGAGGGAATCTCCAAACTATTCTCCATAGTGGTTGTACTAATTTACATTCCCACCAACAGTGTACAAGGGTTCCCTTTTCTCCACATCCTTGCCAGCATTTGTTATTGCCTGTCTTTTGGTTAAAAGCCAGTTTAACTGGGGTATAACTGGGGTAAGATGGTATCTCATTGTAGGTTTTTTGTTTTGTTTTGTTTTTTGTTCTTTTGAGATGAAGCCCCACTCTGTTGCCCAAGCTGGAGTGCAGTGGAGTGATCTTGGCTTGCTGCAACCTCCACCTCCCGGGTTCAAGCGATTCTCCTGCCTCAGCCTCCCAAGTAGCTGGGACTACAGGCACATGCCACCATGCCCGGCTAATTTTTGTATTTTTAGGAGAGACGGGGTTTCACTTTGTTGGCCAGGTTGGTCTTGAACTCCTGACCTCGTGATCTGCCCACCTTGGCCTCCCACCAAAGTGCTGGGATTACAGGCGAGAGCCACCGCGCCTGGCCGTTTTTTTCTTTTCTTTCCTTTTTTTTTTTTTTTTTTTTACAGAGTCTTGCTCTGTCACCCAGGCTGGAGTGCAGTGGTGCAATCTTGGCTCGCTGCAACCTCTGCCTCCCAGGTTCAAGCAATTCTTGTGCCTCACCCACGCAGCTGGGATTACAGGTGTTCACCATCACACTAGCTAATTTCTGTATTTTTAGTAGAGACGGGTTTTGCCATGTTGGCCAGGCTGGTCTGGAACTCCTGACCTCAAGCGATCTGCCCGCCTCAGCCTCCCAAAGTGCTGGGATTACAGGCGTGAGCCACCTCGCCTGGGTCAAATCACCATTATAACTTTCTTGTACTTTGATATTGGTACCTTCTCTAGGTTTCAGAAGTTCTCTGTTATTATCCCTTTGAATAAACTTTCTACCCCATCTCTTTTTCTACCTCCTCGTTAAGGTCAATAACAGATTTGCTCTTTTGAGACTATTTTCTAGATCCTGTAGTTGTGCTTCATTTATTTAAATTCTTTTTTCTTTTGTCTCCTCTGACTGTATTTTCAAATACCCTGTCTTCAAGCTCACTAATCCTTTCTTCTTCATCATCCATTCTGCTATTAAGGGACTCTGATGTATTCTTCAGTATGCCAATTGCATTTTTCAGCTCCAGAATTTCTGCTTGATTCTTTTAAATTATTTCCATTTCTTTGTTACATTTATCTGGTAGAATTCTGCATTCCTTCTCTGTGTTATCTTGAATTTCTTTGAATTTCCTCAATACAGCTATTTTGAATTCTCTGTCTAAAAGATAGCATGTCTCTTTTTCTCCAGAATTGGTGCCTGGTGCCTTATTTATTTTGTACGGTGAGGTCGTGTTTCCCTAGATGGTCTTGATGCTTGTGGATGTTCATCTGTGTCTGGGCATTGAAGAGCTAGGTATTTATTGTATTATTTACAGTCTGGGCTTATTTGTACCTATCTTTCTTGGGAAGGCTTTCCAGGTATTCAAAGGGACTTGGACGTTGTGATCTAAGCTGTATGCATTAGGAGGCACCCCAAGCCCAGTAACACTACGGTTCTTGCAGACCCATAGAGGTACTACCTTGGTGGTCTTGGATAAGATCTGGAAGAGTTCTCTGGATTACCCGGAAGAGACTCTTTTTCTCTTCCCTTTCTTTCTCTGAGACAAACAGAGTCTCTTTCTTTCTCTCTGTTTTTGTGCTGAGCCTCCTGGAGCTGGAGGTTAAGCGAGAAAAGTACACCTGTGGCCAGCACCACTGATAATTTTCTGGGTCAGACCTGAAGCCAGCACAGCACTGGGTCTTGCCCAAGGCCCTCTGTAACCACTACCTGGCTACCACCTATGTTTGCTCAAAGCCCTAGGGCTCTACAATCAATAGGTGGCAAAGCCAGTTAGGCTTGTGTCTTTCTTCCCTCCCCTTCCCACAGGCAGATAAGCCTCACTCCATGGTCACTGCCACCACAGGCCCATGGGGAAGTACTTCCAGATTACCATCAATGTTCACTTAAGGCCCAAGAGCTGTGCAGTCAGCTTGTAGTGAGTGCTTCCATGCCTGAGGCTCGTCCTTCAGGGCAGTGAACTCCCCTCTGGCCCAGGGCAGGTCTAGAAATGCTGTCCATGAGGCAAGGCCTGGAATCAGGGACCCCAAGAACCCACTTTGTGCTCTACTTCCAAGGACCAAGCTCATACCTAAGGTGCAAGAGAAAGTTCTCTTTACTTTTCCCTCCGCTTTTCTCAAACAGAAGCAGTTTTTCACCATAGCCACCAGAGTTGGCAATGTGCTGGGTCTCTCCTGAAACCAGCACATCTCAGAACCCAAGGCCCATAGTGTACTTTCTGGATATTGCTGCTGGTTATTCAGGGATCCAGGGCTCTTCAGTCAGCAGGTGATGGGTCCTGCCAGGACAGAGTCTTTCCCTTTAAGGGAGTGGGGTCCCTTTTGGCCCACAGTGTGTATAGAAATGTCATTTGGGAGCTAAGGCCTGGAATAGGGGCCTCACAACTCTGCCCAGCACCCTATCCTACTGTGTCTGAGCTGGTATCCAAGATGTAAGACAGTCTTCTTTACTCTTCCCTCTCCTCTACAGAAATGGAAGGAAGAGTCTCTTTTAAAGCTGTGAGCTGTCTGCCTGGGGTTGGAGGTGGGGTGGCATAAGCGTTCACTTAGCCTCCCTGGCTTGTGTCTCAATAGGTCATGTGACCCTCAGTCTTCTGGCTCTGGGCCCAGTTCAGCACTAGGACATGCCTAGGAATTGCAGTCCTTTTGGCCTAGACTGTCTTTCAAGTTTATTTAGGGCCCCAGAACACTTTAGCCTGTGGTGATAAGGCTTGTCAGAACTCAAGTTCTGACCACTGGGATGGGTAATTTCCCTCTGGCTAGGGATGGTCTAAATGCTCCCTCTGTGGGCAGGCATCAACTGAGTTCAGCCTGGTTTTGCTTTCTGCTATAACGGGGCATCACTGAGTTCAATGCTAAGTCTCATGATCACTGCATTCTCCTTCTCCCAAGCACATGAATTTTTTCTCCATGTCATGTGGCTGCTGCCAGGAGATGGGGGAAGGGTGCCATCAGCAATTCATGATGGTCTTTCCTACCCTCTTCAGTGCCTCTTTCAGGGATATGAAGTTAAAACCAGGTACTGTGAGTACTCACCTGATTTTTAGTTCTTTTGAAGGTGCTTTTTTGTGTAGTTGATAAATTTGGTGTTCCTGTTGGGGAGATGATCAGTGGAGCCTTCTATCCAGCCATCTTGCCCTGTCCTTCTCCATGTATGTATTTTGATAGGTGAAGACACAAGACCAAAATGTGCTTCCCAGAGAGCATGAATGAATACAATACTTACTCTGGACACTGATCTAGAAAGTCCAAAGAATGAAAGGAAATCCTACCAATTCATTTAAAAAGAATGTAATGTTTTTTCTCTCAACTCTATGTCAACGTAAAATAACCAAAAAGATCACAATCTAGTTTGGGAGTTTATTCAAGTGAAAAGGTTGAGGACAGCCTGCCCAGTAAGCACAGATTTCAAAGAATTCAAGTCAGTGTTCCAAAGAGTAGAAGTTCAAGATCGTTTATATAGATAAGGTTCAGGGAAGTTTAACAGAATTTCATTGTCTTTCTATGGAAGCCTTAATGTATAATTACAATGATACAATTGGTCAAGGTGGTCTTTTTCTTTTAGGAAAGGTATATTTAACATTCCACACCGAATATATAACTGTCATGGGGTACCTATTTGGGGGTGTTATCCGATCTGAGTTAGATGCAGGACAATAAAGGAGGCAGTTGGTCTATAACAAAGATCAGTGATTGGAAGGGGGAAGTCTAGTCTCTGATCTTTCCTAGTTATTTACAGAGCAAGAACAATGAGGAAGAGAGTTAATCTGTGATCTAAGAAGCAGAAGTTATAAATACGTGCTACATGACTCAGATCACAGTTACATCTCTCTTAAGTCTTTAAATGTCTTGAGGCTTCCAACTGCTTTTATATTTTATTTTCACAACTAGTCCCTTCAGAACAACTCATTATATCATGCAGAAATAGTATTAAGTTATCACACAATGTACAAAATATTATTTATTTTCCTTTTTGCTGTTAAATTTCCATAGGTTCTCCATGACATGGTTGGGCTGGTTTTTTTGGTTTGTTTGTTTTTGTTTTTGTTTTTGTTTTTGTTTTTTGAGACAGGGTTTCACTCTGTCGCCTAGGCTGGAGTGCAGTGGTGCAGTCTCAGCTCACCGCAATCTCTGTCTCCCAAGTTCAAGTGATTCTCCTTCCTCAGCCTCCTGAGTAGCTGGGATTATAGGCGCACACCACCACACCCGGCTAATTTTTGTATTTTTAGTAGAGATGGGGTTTCGCTATGTTGGCCAGGCTGGTCTCAAACTCCTGACCTTAAGGGATCTACCCACCTCGGCCTCCCAAAGTGCTGGAATTATAGATATGAGCCACCACGCCCAGCTGGGCTGTTTGTTTTATTATTATTATTATTATTATTTTCAGAAAGGAGGTAGTAGGGAGGGAGAAAACTTATATTGAATGAGCAATTACAACACACCGGTTACTTTATATAGGTTTTCTTATTTAATTCTCATTACCACCCTGAAAATAAAGTACTATTATCACCATTTTACAGATAAGGAGATGAACAGTTAGAACGGTTAGATAGTTTTTTTTAGGATCACTCAACTAGTGAGTGGAACAGGAAGGACTCAAATACAGACTTTGTTTAACTGTGGTGTTTATTATGGTGCTTCATTTTGAGATGGTGTGCTTTCAAGATTTAGGGTTACATTGATTTGAGCTTGCTAAGTCATAGAGTTCTTTTTTGATTAAATGCCAAAATGAATATAAATCTTTACCATATTTTCATGACACAAAAATAGTATTTGTTATTATGAAGGGCCACTAACATTAATACTCTGAGCTCCATGGCTCTAAGCCCCTAATTGCTCAGTTTCAGTAAATTTGATGTTCTATAGACCCATGCTTCTCAAACTGAAATGTGTAAACATATCACCTGGGGTATGTGGTTAAAATGCAGGCTCTTATCCAATAGGTCCCGAGTGGGGCCTAAGCTGCATGTCTAACAGGCTTTCACGTGGTGCTGATACTGCTTGTCTTCATATCATAGTTTGAGTAGCAAGACTGTGGAGTAGCAAGACTTAAATACTCTTGAAATTCCCGGGGTACTTCCAGCAGTCTAAGAATTTGTAGACACGGACAAGGATGGCTAGCTGTGCTAGAACTCTGAGGCTTCTGGTCACAGCTGTTTTACAGGGGTTCTCCTCTACACCAGAACTCTGCTTGTGGTACCACTTCTATCTCCTGTATATGAGTGGATTTGCTATGCCAAATCCACATAGCAGAGTGGAAATCTGCTATGCCAGGTATTACTGGATCTGCATGCTATTGCAGTCCCTTGATGTTAATTATAAGAGGATGATGAGCAATGGCAGCCTAGAAGAGGGTGAATCAGAGAGGCAAGTACGATAGGTATCTGGTGCTTGATAGGGAGGAGAGAGAGGGAGCCTGGACCATGAAGAGTTTTAGAAAGTTTAAACTTCCCTATATACCTCTGTAAGCCAGATGTTGAGTAAGGTTTTAGAGATATAGCGTCGTTACCCTCAAGAAAATTTCAGCCTGGAGGGGAAGACTGATGAGTAACCTACAGAACATAGTGATGGGTGTAAGTTTAGGGCATTATCAGAGCCTAGAGCAGAGCCATTTAACTCACACTTGGGATGGGGTGGGGAAGGAGCAGGGCAGTGGTGTGTTGGAAAATGTTTAACAATCAGTTCTCTGAAAAAAATAAAAGCTCTGATCTGTAGTGTTTGTTGACTTCCATGGTGTAAATACTTCCATCATGGCCAATTTCTTTTTTTTTTTTTATTTTTTTTTGAGATGGAGTCTCGCTCTGTCGCCCAGGCTGGAGTGCAGTGGTGTGATCTTGGCTCACTGCAAGCTCCGCCTCCTGGGTTCACACCATTCTCCTGCCTCAGCCTCCCGAGTAGCTGGGACTATAGGTGCCTGCCACCACGCCCAGCTATTTGTTTTTGTATTTTTTTTTTTTTCAGTAGAGATGGGGTTTCACCATGTTAGCCAGGATGGTCTCGATCTCCTGACCTCGTGATCCGCCCACCTCGGCCTCCCAAAGTGCTGGGATTACAGGCATGAGCCACTGCGCCTGGCTCATCATGGCCAATTTCAAGGTACTATCTTGATGTCACTGAACAAAGAATTGGGAAGAGATGTTCATAATTGGCTCTTGTAAGTCAGGCCAAGCTGACTCTAAGCACACCATTGAGGTAGTGAATCCTTCCCAAAGTAAATGTCTTTGTCAATTCGGGCTGTCATAACAAAGTACTATAGACTGGATGGCTTGTAAACAACAAGAGTTTATTCCTCACGTTTCTGGAGTCTAAGATCAGGGTGCCAGCATGGTTGGGCTCTGGTGAGGGCCCTCTTCCCAGGGTTGCAGACTTCTAACTTTTCACTGTACTCTCACATGGTAGAAAGAGGGCAAACTAGCTTTCTGGCCTCTTCTTATAAAGGCATTAATTCCATTCATGAGGGCTCCATGCTTATTACCTAATTACCTCTCAAAGTCCCCACCTCCTAATATTATCACACTGGGCATTGGGATTTCAACATATGGATTTTTTGAGGGAAGGAGGGACCCATTTAGACCATTGCAGTGGGAAAGAAGAGATTTGAAGGATAAGCAGAAGTTAGCCCATCAAATGTAGAGGACAAATGAGAGGATTCCAGGTAGAAGGATGGCAGGTGCAAATGACCCAAGGTAATAGGAAACATGGTGCTTTGGCAGTAAGTTATGAATTAGAGTGGAAGTGGACAGTCCTAAGTCTCCAAGTAGGCAAACATATAATTACAGAACACATTTAATTTTACTCTCTTTTCTGATCCCATTATTGCATTTGACAAATCATTTCCATCAAACTAGACCAATGCTGCATTTATGTCTGTGATGAGCTTAAATCTTAGTAAGGACATTAATTGAATCTATTTGTATTTTTTTTCAAGGTATTAAGCAAATCATCTTATTAGATACTCCACAAAGAGCATATTTGTAGTAAGTAATGACACAATTTTAGATTATTACCACTAAACTCTTTTAAAGATAATTTATAATCTACTTAAGAATTACACAGCTATCACAATGTGCATCTTAACAAAGGCACAAAAAGATAATGCTCCTCCATGGTTTATTATGATTTTGTGTATAAAAAGAAGATATATGAATACTTTTTTTCTCAACTTTTATTTTAGTTTCGGGGGTACATGTGCAGATTTGTCACATGGGTAATTGTATGTTGCTGAGGTTTGGTGTATAAATCATCTCACCACCCAGATTGTGAGCACAGTACTTGATAGGTAGTTTTTCAACCCTCGCCCCCCTCCAGCCTCCCGTCTAGTATTCCCCAGTGTCTGTTGTTTTCATCTTTATGTCCATGTGCACCCAATGTTTAGCTCCCACTTATAAGTCAGAATACGAGACATACGGTTTTCTGTTTCTGCATTAGTTTGCTTAGGATTATGGCCTCCAGCTGCATTGGTGTTGCTGCAAAGAACATGATCTCATTCTTTTTTTAATGGCTGTGTAGTATTCCATTGTGAATATGTACCACATTTTCTTTATCCAGTCCACCGTTGGTGGGCGGGTACCCGGGTTGATTCCATGTCTGCTATTGTGAATAGTGCTGCAATGAACATATGGGTGTGTGTGTCTTTTTGGTAGAACAATTTATTTTCCTTTGGATATATACTCAGTAATGGGGTGCTGAGTTAAATGGTCGTTCAACTCTAGTTCTTTGAGAAATCTTTAAAGTGTTCTCCATAGTGGCTGAACTAATTTACATTCCCACCAACAGTATATAAGTGTTCCCTTTTCTCTGCAGCCTCATCAACACCTGTTTTTCTTTTTTTTGCTTTTTAACAAAAGCCATTTTGACTGGTATGAGATGGTATTTTATTGTGGTTTTCATTTGCATTTCCCTGATGATTAGTGATGATGAGCACTTCTTCATCTATTTGCTGGCCTCATAGGTGTCTTCTTTTGAGAAGTATCGTTCATGTCCTTTGCCCATTTTTAATGGTGTTGTTTTTTGATTGTTGAATTTTAAAGTACTATAGATATGTACTTCTTTTTATTGTGGGCTTTTTCAAACCTACATAAAAATAGAGTGGTAATGAATTGCCATATTCTCACCAACCAACTTCAACAATTATAAACTCATAACTAATCTCATTTAATCCTTCTAAAGAGTTTGGACTTAAAAATCCATAACTTCAGTGTTATTATTATTCATCAAACAATTAACAATATTCCTTAACATTATTAAATCTTCATTTAGTGTTCTAATTTTCTTAATTGTCTAATTTTTCCTTTATAATTTGTTTAAAACAGGATTCAAAGTCCATATATTGTATTTTATTGACTTTTTAAAAGTTTCTCTTAATTTGTTGGTTCTCTGTGTATTTTTATTTTAAATAAAATATTTATTTTAAATAAAATTTTATTTTAAAATTATTTTATTTTACTTTGAGGTGGGGATTTGCTATGTTGTCCAGGCTGGTCTTGAACTTCTGGGTTCAAGTGATCCTTCTGCCTCAGCCTCCCAAGTAGCTGGGATTACAGGCATATGCTACTACACCCAGCTTTATTTTAAAATTATTTCAACTTCTTTGTTGAAGAAAACAGGTTAATTTAGCCTGTAAAATTTTCCACATTCTGGAATTTACTGACTGCATCCCTGTGGTATTGATTAACATATTATTTTGCTTCCTAGTTTCCTGTAAACTGGTAGATCTAGAGGCTTGTTCTGATTCAGGTTTGATTTTCTGGAAGGAATATTTCATAAATGTTATTTGTATTTCTTTCAAGAGGTACATACTATCTGACTGAAGCTCTCTTTTTTGTGATGTTAGTGGCCATCAATGGTCATAGCCTAGATTCATTATTTCCTTAGGGATTTGTAAGATGGTGATATTCAATTTCTGTAATTCCTTCTTCATTTATTGGTTAAAAAAAATGGCCTTGGTGCAGTGGCTCACGCCTGTATCCCCAACAGAGGCAGAGGTGGGCAGATCACCTGAGGCCAGGAGTTTGAGACCAGCCTGGCCAACATGGAGAAACCCCATCTCTACTAAAAATACAAAGTTAGCTGGGTGTGGTGGTGCATGCCTGTAATCCCAGCTACTCGGGAGGCTGAGGCAGAGAATCACTTGAACCTGGGAGGTGGAGGCTGCAGTGAGCCGAGATCGCGCCATTGCACTCCAGCCTGGGCAACAAAGCGAGACTGCATCTCAAAAACAAACAAACAAAACCCCCCAAACCCCCCTTTTTTTAGACGGAGTCTCACTCTGTTGCCCAGGCTGAAGTGCAGTGGCACCATCTTGGCTCACTGAAACCTCTGCCTTCTGGGTTCAAGTGATTCTGCTGCCTCAGCCTCCTGAGTAGCTGGGACTACAGGTGTGCACCACCATGCCCGGCTATTTTTTGTATTTTAGTAGAGACGGGGTTTCACCACGTTGGCCAGGCTGGTATCGAACTCCTGACCTCAGGTGATCCACCAGCTTCGGCCTCCCAAAGTGTTGGGATTACAGGCATGAGCCACTGTGCCTGGCCTAAAAAACCTTCTGTAAATGGAAAATTTCTCTCAATAACTGGTCACTGTGAGGGGCAATTTGGATTCCCTTAGCATCATCCTTCAAAGGTGGCCAATAAAGATTTTTTTTTTGATATTATTATGAATTCTTAGAGTTTTAACATATTCGATGTGTTTCGACTCATCAGTTCATTGCAGTTGTTATTTTTAATGATGCTCAAATTTGCTGTTGCAATCATTTTCAAGTTGGCTCCTGAATGCTTTTGACACAACCCCACTAGCCCTTGATAGCTTTCTTGCTTGGTAACTAGTAAAATAACATAAATAAGTAATTTGAAATATTTATGACATGTTAACTGCAAAATTGTGATTCTAAATTACCATTTCGTTATGCTTCATATAAAAGGAAATAAAAACTACCCTTGCATCCAACCTATGGAATGTTAAGTTGACACATAAGACAGTCAAAGCTTCCTTTAATTCAATATCCCCCCCCTTTTTTTTTTTTGAGACGGAGTGCAATGGCATGATCTCGACTCACTGCAACCTCTGCCTCCCGGGTTCAAGCAATTCTCGTGTCTCAGCCTCCCGAGTAGCTGTGATTACAGGTGCCCGCCCCCACGCTCGGCTAATTTTTGTGTTTTTAGTAGAGATGGGATTTTATCATGTTGGCCAGGCTGGTCTCGAACTCCTGAACTCAGGTGATCTGCCTGCCTTGGCCTCCCAAAGTGCTGGGATTACAGGCGTAAGCCACTGTGCCCGGCTCAATATCCTACTAATTTCTAGCTTTACTAGGCAGCTAGTGCATGATTTCCTCTTCTAAACAAAGCATTGATACTTATCTAAATAAAATAAAATAAAATTAAATTAAAATTAAAATGGAATGGGGTAGAATCTCTTCCTTCTTAAAAATGTGTTCCTGGAGCTACTAAAAAACTTGGATTTTCAAAGTCCTTGATAAAAACCATTCCCCTATATTGTAGAAGGGAAGTATTGGGACCCCTGATAATACTGGGTATAAGTATGCTATTCAGACTTGGCTTCTTTCCATCCTGCTGCATCAGAGGCTAGATTCACCTTTTATGTTTTCCCTTTCTTGCCGTCTTTAGTGTCTTGTTTAGCCACTCCAGTGAGTTTCCCTTTTGCCCTTCCTTTCCCTTATGTTTGTACTTTTTACTGAAGGTTTATCCTTTTACTTTGCCTTTTGTTTATGATTTAATTTTAACTTCTGCAGGAGCGGGTTTGAACGACTACCTTCAGATCTTCTCTTGGGCTCTTTATTTAGCACCTCTTTAGCTGAATTGACTTTCTTCTTATAAATCTTGGCAATGGCTGCAGTGGGGAGGGCAGGTGCCTGGGTGCCTGGGTGCCTGTGGGCCTTCATGAAGCTGGCCTACCTGTATATTTCATTTCTTGCTTATATTTCCAGATGCTATCTATAATAGCTATGTAGCTATAATAGCTATAATAGCTCTATGCAGTTTATATCAAAGTCTTCTCTTTATGTGAGAAAGAAAGCAGGGTAGGCCAGGACTAACATTTGGTGAAGTCCTTTTATGTGTCAGACATTCTTTGTTGATTTTCTCATTATGTTCTCTCTTAGAGTCACGTAAAAGGTAAAATAAGGAGGGCAAGAAAACACAATTTTTTAAAAAAGGAAATGGCATAGGGATTTTCTATTTTTTTCTCAGCCCCAGAAGGTAATTACTCTTACAATGCAGAAGTATCACCAGATACTATCTGCACAGGTTTTCCCATTTTTTCCTCACACCACTGTGGTAAAGCAGGGGGATCTGTCACCTCCACTGAGGAGACTGAGGCTCACAAGAGGTGATAACATATAAAACTCTATCAGTCATTTATGGAGTGGAGCAGAGGCTCTCAAAGTTCAGCATGCATCATCTGTAGGTGTATAAACACTAATTGCTGGGCCCTGCCCCTAGAGTTTCTGATTCAGACCATCTGGTTGAGACCCAAAGATATGCATTTCTAAGAAGTTCCCAGGTAATGCTGATGCTACTGCTCTAGGGACCACAGTCTGAGAACCACTGGTCTGGCTAATAGACAAACAAACAAATAAACAAAACAGCATTTATTCTTTACAAGGTACATAGAGAATTGCACTGAGCTGAGAGGATTGGTGGAAGTACATGGCCTGGAGTCAAAGCAAAGGGGTCAGAGTTTGCAGTGTACCTAGGCCCATGACCTGGGCCATTCACTCAGGCAGGGGGTGACACTATATCATTCTCCTAAAATGTAAGGGAACCAGTCACTGGTCCTTAGAACAGCTCATGTGGGCATTGGTGATTTCATCACATCTCTTACCCTGGGGAGCCTGGTGGGTGAGGGATTAAGCTCCAGGCTCCTGGGATCTCCCTTGATCTTAGCTATTCAAATTACTTATTATTAAATCCGTAATTCAGATCAGGGTATAGGAAGTTAGGAGATGTTAAGTAAATCAGGGAAACTGTCTTATAAATGCTTACTTAGTAGTGAAACCTGGAATTACTGTAAAGCTTTCCCCATGGTGTCTGGAATCCACCAGGGCTCTAAGTACTCCAATCTGTCTGGGTAACTGATGCTGGGCGGGGTATGGCTTAGTTTTTTAAAATAGTGAAATATATTACTTTTAAATTATATTATTACTGAAAAATTTAAAACACAGTATATGGCAAAAAATCAGTAAAGCTTGTCTAAAATGATGACAGCAAATATTTGCAAACTATTAATATATGTAGCTAATTCTTATGATATAGGAAACCTTCCCAGTAGCCAATATAAAGAGATGGACAAATGAGGTAAGCAGCCTCTAAGACGGTGATCTCAATGAGCCATGCCTCCTAGTGTTCATGCACTTGCATAATCCCTATCCTTGAGTGTGGGCTGGTAGTTAGGAGAGGCTTAAATAATGAAAACTGAAATTACTCTAAAGCTTTTCTGTTTGAAGCCTCCAGGGCTCTGAATGCTCTGATTTCCCTGGGTGCTGGCACTTGATGCTCTCCATGGTATTGCTCAATTTCTGTTATAATGAACTGTTTTATTTATTTATTTGTACAATATAACATAATATTTACCATTTTAATCATTTTAAAGTGTACAGCTCAGTGGCATTAAGTACTCTCACATTGTTGTGCAACCATCACCACTGTCCATCTCCAGAACTCTTCATTTTGAATAAAACTCTATACCCATTAAATGATAACTTCCTATTCTCTTTTTCCTTAGACTCTGGCAACCACCATCCTTTTCTCTGTATAAATTTGACTACTCTGGGTAGTTCATACAAGTGGAATCATACCACTTTTGTCCTTTTGTGTCTGGCTTCTTTCACTTAGCATAATGTTTTCAGAGTCAGCATGTAACAGACTTTCCTTCCTTTTTAAGGCTGAATAATATTCCATTGTATGGATATACTGTCTTTTGTTTATCCATTCATCCATTCGTGGACATTTGGTGGTTTCTACCTTTTGGCTATTGTGAGTAATGCTGCTGTGAGCATGGGTGTGCAAATATATGTTCAAGTCTCTGTTTCATTTCTTTTGGCTATATACCCAGAAGTGGAATTTCTGGATCATATGGTAATTCTATGCCTAATATTTTGAGGAACTGCCATACTATTTTCCACAGTGGCTGCACCATTTTATATTCCTACAAGCAATACACAAGGGTTCCAATTTCTCCACATCCTCACCAACACTTAACTATTTTCTCCCTCTCTTTTTTTTTAAATAATAGCCATCCTAATGGGTGTGATTTATTATTTATTTTTAAAACTAAACTTTATTTTGTAATAATTTTAAATTTACAAAGCTGTATAATTTTAATTAACATTATTGAAAAATTTAAAACACTGTGTATTGCAGAAAAAAAGGTAAAAGTTATGTGAAAAGTAGAGAGAATATTTGCAAACTAATGGGGCTTATATTTGTGATATGTTAGGCAGACTTACTGACCAACAGTGGGTCAATGATGTCAAAAGAAAATTCACTGAAAGAGCAATATTTATGTCAGTAAACATTGCTAATGAAATATCAATGAAAGTCAGAGATATATTAAGTGAAATAGGAAAATTGCAGAAGAATATGTTATGACTACAGTTTTGAAGAATATGTGTATTTTGTATATTTTATGTAAATATTTTTCTTTATATGTAGCTATACAGTAGTAAATTACGTGTACATAAACACATCTGGAGAACATGCACCTATTTTCAGTGAAAATCTTTGGGTCAGGGAGTGAGAGTCAGGCAGATGAAAGGATAAATTTAATTTACACATACACCTTTTTGGCTTGTTTGAAATTTTGTAATCAGGAACATTTATTAAGATAAAAATTTGTAGGCCGGCGCAGTGGCTCACGCCTGTAATTCCAGTACTTTGGGAGGCTGAAGCAGGCAGATCACAAGGTCAGGAGATCGAGACCATCCTGGCCAACATGGTGAAACTCTGTCTCAACTAAAAATACAAAAATTAGCTGGGCGTGGTGATGCGTGCCTGTAATCCCAGCTACTCCGGAGGCTGAGGCAGGAGAATCATTTGAACCAGGGAGTTGGAGGTTGCAGTGAGCCGAGATTGCACCACTGCACTCCAGCCTGGCGACAGAGTGAGACTCTGTCTCAAAAAAAAAAAAAAAAAGATAAAAATTTGTAAAGAGCAAAAATATATAACCCCCCCAAAAATTAGATACACATATATTATGTTTTGGAAATATGTGTACAGTATACTGGTTTCTTGGGAAAAGAGCAGATTAAAGCAACTGATTTGGTGATGTATCTACTTATGTGTGTGTTGCTATGTCTCAAACTTCTTCACCCCAAATAATCACACACTCACACATGCAGCTTTCCCTTCAGCTCAGGCTGGAAGTGGATGTCTAGTTTTAGGGCTTAGAGACCACAGAAAGTCCTATATTCAGAGGATTGCTGCCAGTGGGTGGTCATTCCAGAAAGATCTGGCCGGTGCCAATAAGTCCAAGCCTTTCCCTCCTTTCCTCCTTCCCTTGCAAAGCCCTCTGTCCTGACTTTCATAATTGCAACTCTGATTCTAATCACCAGGTGGCTCCATTCTGTCTCTCTTTCTCCATCAAGGTTGGCTGATGTCCACACTGCAGAGCACTCTCTGGAGAGAGGAGGTGGTTCAAGTCCTCAAATACCATACACCTATAATGACTTCCCGAATCAGGCCACTTTACATACAGCTGCTCAGAACGGTTTCCCTGAAGTTAGCTCTAATATTGTCACACAAACACCCTCAGAGGCAATCCACTACCCACCCAAGAGAACTATGCACTCTTTCCCAGCTGGCATGCAAGGCTCCTCATCCCATGGATCCAGACTACATTTCCAGCACTCTCTTGCAAGTGCTCTTGGCAAACTGTACCACTGCTCCTCTTTCAAGGGACTCTTGTCTTTTTTGTGTGCCTCTCCATTAGGTTAGGGGTCAATTTGCATAGACTTTGGCCCCTGCCCACACATGATAACATTAAATATTTAGATCAATCCTTTGAGGAGGGATTGTTATCCTCATTTTAAAGAAGTGGAAACTGAACCTCAGGGAAAGTGAGAACCAGTCTTGTCTTCGGGAAAGACACTGGGGTTATAGAAGTAAGAGACCCAGTGGTAGCTTGGTAGTGATAATGAACAGTATTATTTTGCTCTATAACAAAGAGGAATGGATAAAGTGCTTGCTACAATTAAGTGCCTACTATGTGTAGTATTAATTTTATTATTTATTTATTTATTTATTGAGAGGCGGTCTCACTGTGTCACCTAGGCTGAAGTGCAGAGTGGCGTGATCTTGCTTCACTGCAACCTCCGTCTCCCAGGCTCAAGTGATGGATCCTCCCACCTCAGCCACCCAAGTAGCTGGGAACACAGGTGTGCACCACCATGCCCGGCTAATTTTTTTTGGTATTTTTGGTAGAGATAAGGTTTCGCCATGTTGCCCCGGCTGGTCTCCAACTCCTGAGCTCGAGTGATCCACCTGCCTCGGCCTTCCAAAGTGCTGGGATTATAGGCGTGAGCCACCGCGCCCAGCCTATTTTTTCTAAGATTTAAATAATATGTGTTCAGGCTGGGTGCGGTGGCTCATGCCTGTAATCCCAGCAGTTTGAGAGGCAGAGGCGGGTGGATCACCTGAGGTCAGGAGTTCGAGACCAGCTTTGCCAACATGGTGAAGCCCCGTCTCGATGAAAAATACAAAAAAAATTAGCCAGGCGTGGTGGCGGGTGCCTGTAATCCCAGCTACTTGGGAGCCTGGGGCAGGAGAATCACTTGAACCTGGGAGGTGGAAGTTGCAGTGAGCTGAGATAGCGCCATTGCATTCCAGCTTGGGCAAAAAGAGTGAAACTCCGTCTCAAATAAGTAAATAAATAAATAAAATGTGTTCATTGTAGAACATTTAGAAAATATATTAAAACAGAGAGAGAATGGGAATGAACACCCACAATACCACAACTAGAACAGCCCATCCCTTTCTAGGATTTGCTAACATCAAGTGGTAGGTTCAAGAATGTCAAGTTATACCTATAAAATAAGTGAAGATAGGTCAAGAGAGGGTGAAAACGTTTCCAGGTTCCATCTTACTCTGACTCCAATATGCACAACTCCAATTTTACTGCATTGCTTCCCCTTTTAGATGATGGATTTCTAGATTTCTAGAGCTCAGGATATGGCTGTGTTACATTTGTTTGGAATGGTGCACATATATTATGAAATGATGCGTATATATGGGTACCAGTTTATGTATCTCTCTTGATGGAGATAAAATCCCTTTCTTTGTGCTAAAGGGCCAAGGTGTATGACCAACATCACTTGGTCTCCAAGGCAGTAATATATATAGAAAATCTCACAGGCTTTGGAATCACAGATGGAGTGCGGAATGCAGGCAAGGGATCTAATACTTATTTAGGAGTGTGCTATAGTCAGACAATGTAAAATTTATACTAGGCTTGAGTAATGTCTAGGATGTATTTTTTATTCTCTAAGGTAACCACTACATGAATAGTAATAGAATCTATAATTAACAAGATAATGGGGAAAATGGAATTATAAAAAACCATTATGCATTTCAAAAGAGGGCAAGAGAAAAGAGAAAAAGCAATATAAAACAGGAAGAACAAATACAAAGCAAAAAGTAAGATGGTAGATTTAAGCCCCAAAATACCAAATATACCATCTATATAATATATATTATAGGTAAGCAGCCTAAACATTCCAGTTAAAACACAAAATCAGAATGTATTAAAAAATAACTACATGTTGTCTATAAGAGATCCACTTTTAATATGAAGCCACAGAAGGCTAAAAGTAAAAAGATGGAAAAAGATATGCCATGCAAATATTAACAAAAAAGCTGATGTAGTTGTATTAATATCAGATAAAGTAGACTTTAAAGCAAGAAGTGGTAGTAAAGACAAAAAGGGACATTTCGTAATGATAAAAGAGTCAATTCAGCAGGAAGATCAAATAATTCTAAATTTGCATGCATCTAATAATACAGCTTTTAATAATATAACAACATTATGTTTGTGAGATTCATCCATTTGGTTACATGCGGCAGTAGTTTGTTCATTATTATTGCCGCATGGTGTTTCATTGTATAAACTTTTCTCAGTATTGGTAAAATAAGACAAAAATAAGTAAGACTAACAAATATTTGAATTGCACAAGTAATCTTAACATAACTGACAAATGTAGAACCCTGCACTCTAAAACTGCAGAATACAGTTTATTTTTAGGTACAAGGAGCATCTACAAAATTTCACTACATGAAAGGCATAAATTTAGTCTCAACAAACAGCAAAGGGTGAAATAACACAGTGTATATCCTTTAGCTATTGCAAAATTAAGCTACAACTTTAAAATTATTAAAATTATAAAATGTCTAGAAGAAAATATAATAGAAAATATTTGTGATCTTGTGTTTGGCAAACTTTTTTTGGTAGGACACAAATAGGACAAACCATAAACGGTGAATAAATAAACTGGATGTACCCAAATAAAGACTACTGCCCTTTCTAAGATGCTGTTAAGGAAATGAAAGCTGAACTATAGACAGGGATGAAATATTTGTAACTTAACAAAGCTAATAAAGGACTTTATCCAGAATATATAAAGAACTCTCACAATTCGATATTAAGAAAACAACAACTGAATTTTAAAAATACAGGTAAAAGATTAGAATATCTGCATCTGTTAGAGTGGCTTTAAAAATGACAAAACCAAGTGCATGTCAGAATTGGAGCAACTGGAACTCTCATATGATTCTAGTGGGAATGTAAAATGGTACAGCCACTTTGGAAAAGAGTTTTGTATAGAGTTAAACATACACTTCCCATGTGACTCAACAATCCCACTCCTCAGTATTTACCCAAGAGAAATAAAAACATAGGTCCACACAAAGACTTGCATGCAAATATTTATAGCAGCTTTCTTGGTAATTGGCCTAACCTAGAAACAACCCAAGTGTCCATCATCTGGTGAATAAATAAATTGTACTATACAATGGCATACTACTTAGCAATAAGAAGGACCAAGCAATTAATACAAGCAACAACATGAATGAAGCTCAAAAGCACTATGTTAAATGAATCTCAGACATAAAAAGTCTTGTTTCATTTATATGACATTCCGAGAAAAGCAAAAGTTATAGGACAGAAATCAGATCAGTGGTTTTTTGGGGGTGCTGAGGCTGAAGAGAGAGGGTTGACTATATGGTACAAGGGCACTTGGTGGGGTGATGAAAATATTCTGTATCTTGATCGTGGTGGTAGTTACATGACTACATACACTTGCCAGAACTCATAGAACTTTACACCCTAGAAGAACAAACTTTACTGTGTGTAAATTATACACCAATAAACCTGATTAAAGTGATCCCTTTTGCTAATTTGTAATTAATCTCTTTTGCTAATTTGCACAAAGCCATGTGCCAACTGGGTGGCATCTTCCTAGAGGAATCTCTTTTGTCTCATTTATGCAAAGGCAACAAATGAGATAGTAGTGGCCTTATCTTATTCCATATTGAATCCTTTTTATTTTTGTATTTTTAAAAATTTTGGTAAAATTATATATAGAGAAATACACAAATATTAAGAACATAATTAAAAAATACACTTGATTTTTAAAAGCCTATGATTTTTCTTTTGAGACAGGGTCTCGCTCTGTTGTCCAGGCTGGAGTGCTATGGTGTGATCTGGGCTCACTGCAACCTTCACTTCTCAGGTTCACGTGATTCTCGTGCCTCAGCCACCTGAGTAGCTGGGATTACAGGCATGCGCCACCATGCCCGGCTAATTTTTTGTATTTTAAGTAGAGATGGGGTTTCACCATGTTGGCCAGGATGGTCTCAAACTCCTGGCTTCAAGTGATCTGCCTGCCTTGGCCTCCCAAAATGCTGGGATTACAGGCATGATCCACCACACCTGGCCAAAACCTATGAATTTAAAAAAGGCTGGAAAGAAACCATCAAAGCATCTATCTCAAGGAGCTAGGAAAAAAATCCCAACCAAACAGATCAAACTGGGTTAAGCTGGTGATGATGATATAATTCCTCTTTTGTAAAGTTATGTTTTTCCCTCATGGCTATAGCACCTGATGATACAAGCATCCATCCATGATCCTTTTCTGAATCAATTATTTCATGGTGGGGGGGGGACGGTGTCATAAAATAATCTTTGAATTCTATCATTTTTCTATGTGTATTAGTTAACATTCTCCTAATCTAGAAGGAAGCACTTTCCCTCATTAACTGGGCTTTTTGGTTACCCAAAACATGGTTTCTGCTGGAAAGGCAAGTAACTGCCTAATTCTTCTCCTCTAATGAAACCATTGCTCCACTTAGTCATTGTTTTGTTGAGTCCAACAGATTTAGAAAATATAAGAACTTATGTTCCAGTTCAAACTGTTGCTTTGGGTGTTAGTTAAGATGAATTGGTTTGATTGGATAGTGCTAAATTTATAATTAATTTGAGGAAGAACATAATATGGAATAGTATGTACAATATGATCCTTGTGTTTAACCTATATATTCTCATATAGATACAGGCATATATGGGTAAAGTATATGGCATTTAGTTAAGTATATGGTAAATGTTGCATTTCAAGTTCTAATAGGGGAAAGGATCTCTTCAACAGATGCTCCTGGGAATCTGGGTATCCATATGAAAAAAAAAAATCAGAGTCCTATCTTATGCCACTTATTAAGTTCCAAATAGATTTTTAGAACTTAGAATAGTACTATATCAGTATAGGGGAGTATTTTTCTTTTCTTTTTTTTCTTTTTTTTTGAGACAGGGTCTCATTCTGTCGCCCAGGCTGGAGTGCAGTGGTGTGATCATGGCTCACTGCAGCCTCGGCCTTCCTGGGTCCAGGTGATCCTCCTGCCTCAGCCTCTCAAGTAGCTGGGACTATAGGCACGCGCCACCATGCCTGACTAATTTTTGTATTTTTTTGTGGAGAGGAGGTTTCACCATGTTGCCCAGGCTAGTCTCTAACTAGTCTCAAACGACCCACCCGCCTTGGCCTCCCAAAGTGCTGGGATTACAGGTGTGAGGCACCACGCCTGTCCTTAGGAGAGTATTTTTCTTTTCTTTTCTTTTCTTTTTTTTTTGAGATGGAGTCTCGCTCTGTCACCTAGGCTGGAGTGCAGTGGCACGATCTCGGCTCACTGCAAGCTCCACCTCCAGGGTTCACGCCATTCTCCTGCCTCAGCCTCTCAAGTAGCTGGGACTACAGGTGTCTGCCACCATGCCTGGCTAATTTTTTGTATTTTTAGTAGAGACGGGGTTTCACTGTGTTAGCCAAGATGTTCTCCATCTAGGAGAGTATTTTTCATAGGCTTCAGTTGGGGAAGAAAAAAGCCATAAATAAAAAGACTGATGCATTTAACTACATCAAAATGGAAAAACTTCAGTATATAGAAAGACAACACAGACAAGATTAAAACAAGCTACAGACTAGGAGAAAATATTTACAACATATAAAACAGAGAAACAAGTACTATCTATACTAAATACAGCCCTTCTGCAAAATCAGTAAGATAAAGGTAATATCTTTTGTGCCAGGAAAACAGGCAAAGCATGTGAACAGGCAATTTACAGAGCTACAAGTAACCAATAAACATGTGAACAGAGGCACAACCTCACTACTTAACAGAGAAATGTAATCTGCAACATTGTTATACCACTTATCAGTTATCCAATTGTCAAAATTTGCAAAGATAATTTTTGCAGCATTGTTTTTTATTGCTTAAAATTAAAGAAAACCTAAATGTCCATCAGTAGAGGAATGGCTAAATAAACCATACTATAGCCACACTATGGAATACAATACAACAGTTAAAAGGATCAACATTTATTGACAAGAAAAGAGCCCCAAGACATATTGTAGAATGAAAATATCAAGTTGTGAAACATATGTACCATTTGATACCCTCTAACAATATTTCTATAGGTACATATATATGCATGAAACTCATAGAAAAAGGTCTGGCATGATACACACCAAACTAATAAAGTGGCTTTCTCTGGAGAGGGAATTAAGGTATATTGAAGTATAATTTATATACAATATATCACACACATCTTAAATGTTCAATTTGAAGAGTTCTAACAATCATATAATCCCATGTTACCACCACACAAAACAAGATGTAGAATGTTTTCATCATCCCGAAAGGTCCTTTGTGCCTGTTTCTAGTCAATTTGAGGTAGAAGGTGGGACTCTACTCCAGGGGTGGAGCTCAGACACCAGACCAAATTGAGGACTAGCTAAAATAGGGACTGGGCTGAAGCAGGTTTCCATAAGACATGCCCACCCACCAGTGCACCATGTCAATTTACCATGGCCATGGCAACACCTGGAAGTTACCACCCCTTTTCTAGAAATTTCTGAATAACCTGTCCCTTAATTTGCGTATAATTAAAAGTGGGTATAGGTATGGCTGCAGAACTGCCCCAGAGCTGCTACTCTGGGCACACTGCCTATGGGTTAGCCCTGTTCCGCAAGTGTTCTGCTGCTGCTGTACACTGCCACATCAATAAAAGTTGCTGTCTAATGTCACCTGCTGGCCCTTGAATTCTTTTCTGGGAGAAGCCAAGAACTCTCCTGGGCTAAGCCTCAATTTTGGGGCTTGCCTGCCCAGTGTCAGATTCCCCTCTATTCCCCTGAACACCACTTTCTGATTTTTATCACCACGGATTAGTTTCGTTTGTTTTTACGTTTCACGTAATGGAATCCTGCAATACTCTTTTGTGTCTGGCTCTGTTCACTCAGCATACTGGCTTTTTTTTTTTTAACTTCTCCTTTTTGAGACAGAGTCTCACCCTGTCATCCAGGCTGGAGTGCAGTGGCACAATCTGGGCTCACTGCAACCTTCACCCCCTGGGTTCAAGTGATTCTTATGCCTCAGCCTCCCAATTAGCTGGGATTACAGGTGTGCGCCACCACACCCAGCTAATTTTTGTAATTTTATTAATAGTAGAGATGGGGTATCACCACATTGGCCAGGCTGGTCTCAAACTCCTGAGCTCAAGCAATCTACCTGCCTCAGCCTCCCAAAGTGCTGGGATTATAGGTGTGAGCTGCCGTGCTGGGCCAGCGTACTGTTTTTGAGATTTATTCATGTTGTTGCATATATCAGTACTTTAATACTTTTTATTGCTGAATAGTATTCTACTGTATATAGGTACAACAATTTATTTATCCATTCTCTTATTGTTTCTGAGTTTCAGCTATTATGAATAAAGCTGATATAAACATTCATGTACAAGTCTTTGTGTGGGCATGTTTTCATTTTTCTTGGTTAAATAATACTCAGAAGTGAACTTGTTGGGTTGTATGGTAAGCGAATGTTAAACTTTATAAGAACCTGAGAAAGATTTCTCCAAAGTGGCTGTACCATTTTACACCCCTGATGATAATATATTAGTATTCTGGTTTCTCCATGTTCTCACCAACATTTGGTGCTGTTAGTCTTTTGATTTCAGCCATTCTAGTGGAAGTGTGGTGGAATGTCATTGTGTTTTCTATTTGCATTTCTCTGATTACTGAAGATGTTGAGGACTAGATATCTACCATTGCAAAGCATCCATTCAAGTTTGTGCCCCCTTTTACAATGGATTTTTCTTTTTATTGTTGATTTGTAGGAGTTCTTTATATATTCTGGATGTAAGTCCTTTGTCAGCTACATGTACTATATGTATATTTTTCCAAGCCTGTACATTACCTATCCATTTTGTTAATAATGTCTATGGATGAACAAAACATAAATTTTGATAAAGCCCAACTTTCTCTTTTATTATTTCAACTTTCAATTTTCTCTTTTATTATTAATGCTTTTTATGCTCTAAGGCATCTTTGCCTTCCTCTAGGACATGAAGCTATTCCCCAATTTTTTATGCTAGAAACCTTATGGCTTTGGCTTCTACTTCTAGTATGCTAGGAACACGGAAGAGGTATTTGTCCCTCTGAAACAGGTTTTATGGAACAGGCTATCAGATTTAGAGAGAATGGATAATAGAAATTAAATGTCCATGTCTGATAGCTTTGAAGAGAGCAGTGGTTCTCCCAGCACGCAGCTGGAGATTTGAGAACGGGCAGACTGCCTCTTCAAGTGGGTCCCTGACCCCTGACCCTGGAGCAGCCTAACTAGGAGGCACCCCCCAGCAGGGGCACACTGACACCTCACACAGCAGGGTACTCCAACAGACCTGCAGCTGAGGGTCCTGTCTGTTAGAAGGAAAACTAACAAACAGAAAGGACATCCACACCAAAAACCCATCTGTACATCACCATCATCAAAGACCAAAAGTAGATAAAACCACAAAGGTGGGGAAAAAATAGAACAGAAAAACTGGAAACTCTAAAACGCAGAGCGCCTCTCCTCCTCCAAAGGAACGCAGTTCCTCACCAGCAACGGAACAAAGCTGGATGGAGAATGACTTTGACGAGCTGAGAGAAGAAGGCTTCAGACGATCAAATTACTCTGAGCTACGGGAGGACATTCAAACCAAAGGCAAAGAAGTTGAAAACTTTGAAAAAAATTTAGAAGAATGTATAACTAGAATAACCAATACAGAGAAGTGCTTAAAGGAGCTGATGGAGCTGAAAACCAAGGCTCGAGAACTACGTGAAGAATGCAGAAGCCTCAGGAGCCGATGCGATCAACTGGAAGAAAGGGTATCAGCAATGGAAGATGAAATGAATGAAATGAAGTGAGAAGGGAAGTTTAGAGAAAAAAGAATAAAAAGAAATGAGCAAAGCCTCCAAGAAATATGGGACTATGTGAAAAGACCAAATCTACGTCTGATTGGTGTACCTGAAAGTGATGGGGAGAATGGAACCAAGTTGGAAAACACTCTGCAGGATATTATCCAGGAGAACTTCCCCAATCTAGCAAGGCAGGCCAACATTCAGATTCAGGAAATACAGAGAACGCCACAAAGACACTCCTCGAGAAGAGCAACTCCAAGACACATAATTGTCAGATTCACCAAAGTTGAAATGAAGGAAAAAATGTTAAGGGCAGCCAGAGAGAAAGGTCGGGTTACCCTCAAAGGGAAGCCCATCAGACTAACAGCGGATCTCTCGGCAGAAACCCTACAAGCCAGAAGAGAGTGGGGGCCAATATTCAACATTCTTAAAGAAAAGAATTTTCAACCCAGAATTTCATATCCAGCCAAACTAAACTTCATAAGTGAAGGAGAAATAAAATACTTTACAGACAAGCAAATGCTGAGAGATTTTGTCACCACCAGGCCTGCCCTAAAAGAGCTCCTGAAGGAAGCGCTAAACATGGAAAGGAACAGCCGGTACCAGCCGCTGCAAAATCATGCCAAAATGTAAAGACCATTGAGACTAGGAAGAAACTGCATCAACTAACGAGCAAAATCACCAGCTAACATCATAATGACAGGATCAAATTCACACATAACAATATTAACTTTAAATGTAAATGGACTAAATGCTCCAATTAAAAGACACAGACTGGCAAATTGGATAAAGATTCAAGACCCGTCAGTGTGCTGTATTCAGGAAACCCATCTCACGTGCAGAGACACACATAGGCTCAAAATAAAGGGATGGAGGAAGATCTACCAAGCAAATGGAAAACAAAAAGAGGCAGGGGTTGCGATCCTAGTCTCTGATAAAACAGACTTTAAACCAACAAAGATCAAAAGAGACAAAGAAGGCCATTACTTAATGGTAAAGGGATCAATTCAACAAGAAGAGCTAACTATCCTAAATATATATGCACCCAATACAGGAGCACCCAGATACATAAAGCAAGTCCTGAGTGACCTACAAAGAGACTTAGACTCCCACACATTAATAATGGGAGACTTTAACACCCCACTGTCAACATTAGACAGATCAACGAGACAGAAAGTCAACAAGGATACCCAGGAATTGAACTCAGCTCTGCACCAAGCGGACCTAATAGACATCTACAGAACTCTCCACCCCAAATCAACAGAATATACATTTTTTTCAGCACCACACCACACCTATTCCAAAATTGACCACATACTTGGAAGTAAAGCTCTCCTCAGCAAATGTAAAAGAACAGAGATTATAACAAACTATTTTTCAGACCACAGTGCAATCAAACTAGAACTCAGGATTAAGAATCTCACTCAAAACCGCTCAACTACATGGAAACTGAACAACCTGCTCCTGAATGACTACTGGATACATAACGAAATGAAGGCAGAAATAAAGATGTTCTTTGAAACCAATGAGAACAAAGACACAACATACCAGAATCTCTGGGACGCATTCAAAGCAGTGTGTAAAGGGAAATTTATAGCACTAAATGCCCACAAGAGAAAGCAGGAAAGATCCAAAATTGACACCCTAACATCACAATTAAAAGAACTAGAAAAGCAAGAGCAAACACATTCAAAAGCTAGCAGAAGGCAAGAAATAACTAAAATCAGAGCAGAACTGAAGGAAATAGAGACACAAAAAACCCTTCAAAAAATTAATGAATCCAGGAGCTGGTTTTTTGAAAGGATCAACAAAATTGATAGACCGCTAGCAAGACTAATAAAGAAAAAAAGAGAGAAGAATCAAATAGACACAATAAAAAATGATAAAGGGGATATCACCACCGATCCCACAGAAATACAAACTACCATCAGAGAATACTACAAACACCTCTACGCAAATAAACTAGAAAATCTAGAAGAAATGGATAAATTCCTCGACACATACACTCTCCCAAGACTAAACCAGGAAGAAGTTGAATCTCTGAATAGACCAATAACAGGAGCTGAAATTGTGGCAATAATCAATAGTTTACCAACCAAAAAGAGTCCAGGACCAGATGGATTCACAGCCGAATTCTCTCAGAGGTACAAGGAGGAACTGGTACCATTCCTTCTGAAACTATTTCAATCAATAGAAAAAGAGGGAATCCTCCCTAACTCATTTTATGAGGCCAGCATCATTCTGATACCAAAGCCTGGCAGAGACACAACCAAAAAAGAGAATTTTAGACCAATATCCTTGATGAACATTGATGCAAAAATCCTCAATAAAATACTGGCAAACTGAATCCAGCAGCACATCAAAAAGCTTATCCACCATGATCAAGTGGGCTTCATTCCTGGGATGCAAGGCTGGTTCAATATACGCAAATCAATAAATGTAATCCAGCATATAAACAGAGCCAAAAACAAAAACCACATGATTATCTCAATAGATGCAGAAAAAGCCTTTGACAAAATTCAACAACCCTTCATGCTAAAAACTCTCAATAAATTAGGTATTGATGGGACGTATTTCAAAATAATAAGAGCTATCTATGACAAACCCACAGCCAATATCATACTGAATGGGCAAAAACTGGAAGCATTCCCTTTGAAAACTGGCAGAAGACAGGGATGCCCTCTCTCACCACTCCTATTCAACATAGTGTTGGAAGTTCTGGCCAGGGCAATTAGGCAGGAGAAGGAAGAAAAAAAAAAAAAAAAAGAAAAAGAAATTAGGACTGCTTGGTAGGTCCAGGCACGGTGGCTCATGCCTTTAATCCCAGAACTTTGGGTGGCCCAGGCAGGAGGATATCTTGAGCTCAGGAGTTCAAGACCAGCCTGTGCAGCATAGTGAAACCTCATCTCTATGAAAAATAATAATAAAAAAATAAGCTGCGTGTGGTGGTGCATGCCTGTAGTCCCAGCTACTCAGGAGGCTGAGGTGGGAGGATCCTTGAGCCCTGGGAGATCAAGGCTGCAGTGAACTGTGATTGCACCATTGCACTCCAGCCTAGGCAACAAGCAAGATCCTTTCTAAATAAATAAATAAAAGGACTTCTTTGTAGGTATCTGCAAAAGAAAAAAGCTATGAGGGCTGACAAAAGTTGGGGGGGTGTAATACAAATAGAATGCATAACCTCCAAACCACTATAGGTAAAATAAATTGATCTAACACAAAGCTGGCAGTGGGCGGCGGGGAGGGGTGTGCGGGGAAGGAACAAAAAAGCATGGTAAGCAGAAAATGCAAAAACAAATGGCATAAATAAATCCAAATATATTGTAATGACAATGTGAATTGGTTGTATTCACTTAAAAAGAGACAGTGACTCTCAGATTGTGTTAAAAATAAAAATATACCTCTGTACTGTATTAAATAAGATGGAAAAAGATAAACCAGGCAAAAACTAATAAAAAGAAAGCAGAAGCTGCATTATCAATATAAGACAGAGTAGAATTTCAGACTGAAAGGACTAAAGGACACAGAAGGACGCTTATTATTAAGTCTGGTTATATTACCTAGAAAATGTAACACAATCGTTTATGTAGTTAACTATAGCTTCAAAATATGCAATGCAAAATAGTATATATATATATATGGAAACATTGTTACATCTACAATCATAGTTGGGAGGCTTAGCACACCTTTTTCAATAATCCACAGATTAGCAAAAAGATAGAGGATTTAAATTTCACAATTGATGTGCTTTAACTAATCTCTCTAATATAAACAACTTTGTACACAACAGAAAATAACATTCTTTTCAAATGCACTTGGTTTTAAAAAGTGCCCAGGTATTAGAACATGCTTATTCAAGAGTTAAATCCCATCAATTTCTTTTTTAAAAAAGTGGAAAGAGTACTCATAGGGGTCATATTTATTATTCATAATTTATTTATTTAGCAAATATTTATTGAGTGCTTACTATGTTCCAGGCCCTGTTTCAGGTACTGGAAATGTAGCAAATAAGAAGCAATGTCTCAGTTCCCAAGGAGCTTACATCCTAGATAGAAGAATCAAATAATACATAAGTAAATGAATAAGTGATAAGTCCTGTAATGATTTCACATTGCATACCTGTATCAAAACATTTCATGTACCCCATAAATATATACATTTACTATGTACCCACAAAATTAAAAATAAAAAAATTTAAAAAAGGAAAGAAAGTCAAACTCAATGATGCCATAGAAGCTGCAGGGATATTTTTAATTGCACAATTAAGAAATACCTTGAAGAGAAGGTGACACAATATAATGAAATAAAATTAGACATTAATGCAGTCCCCACACCGAATCCAAAATTTAAGAAAAAAAAGCATCTTCTAAATGACTCTGGGTTAAAGAAGAAATAAAAATCATGACTTCAAATTATGTAGATGAGAATGGAAATAAACCCACCAGATGTAAAACCTGGGATGAGGTTAGAGTTATTAAAGAGGGTCATTTATACACTCACTTACATATTCAAAAATAAGGAAGACTTAAGATAAATGAACTAGACATTTAACTCAAGAATGTAGAAAAAGAACAGTAAATTGAATCTTAAGGAAATAGAAGGAAGGAAAAATAAAGATAAGAAAAAAAGAAAGCAAGAAGAAAAAAATCACAATACAATTGATTGATACAAGTTATTTGAGAAAATTTTTTTGGCAATTCTGATCAAAGAAAAAAGAAGAGACAATAAACAACATTGGGAATTATAATTAAAGATATAAAAGGCAATAGGAAAAATATAAGAAAATACAAGTCAGAATTTTATAACACTCAAATTGAAATTTCAGACAAAATGGATCATATATTAATAAAATACAACTAATCAAAACTGGCTCAAGAAGTAGAAAACTTGAATAGAACAATAAAGAGATAAAAATTTTACTTCAGGCCGGGCATGGTGGCTCACGCCTGTAACCCCAGCACTTTGGGAGGCCGAGGTGGGTGGATCACTTGAAGTCAAGAGTTTGAGGCCAGCCTGGCCAACATGGTGAAACCTCATCTCTACTAAAAATACAAAAATTAGCCCGACATGGTGGCACGCACCTGTAGTCCCAGCTACTCAGGTAGCCGAGGCATGAAAATCACGTGAACGGAGGTTGCAGTGAGCCAAAATCGTGCCACTGTACTCCAGCCTGGGTGACAGAGCGAGACTCTGTCTCAAAAAAAAAAAAAAAAAAAAAAAAAAAAAAAAAAATCTTACTGCTTAAAAACAAACAACAAAAGGAAAGAAAGACAATTACTGTGCTCAGACTATTATTTTTAGAAAAGTTCTTCCCCAAGCCTTTAAGGAATGGAAAAATTCTCTTGTTATATAAACTAATTCCAGAACACAGAAAACTTCCTAACGCATTTCATAAGGCTAGTATAATTATATTATGCATTTCATAAGGCTAGTATAATTATAATACCAAAAACTGAAAAAGGATGGTACACAGAAAAAGAAAACTATAAACGGATCTCATCTACAAAAATGTAAAACCAGATATTAGCAAATTGAAATCCAGCAGTTTATTAAAAAAAATTGTCACTACCGTGTGAGGTTTATTGCAAGAATTCAAAGGTGGTCCAATATTTAAACATTTTTATTGTAATCTACTATATTAAAATCATTAAAATATGATAATCTCAATAGGAACCATAAAATTTTTTGTTCAAATTAAACATCCATTCCTGATAACAACTCCTGGCATTCTAGGAATAGAAGTTTCCTTAACTTGGCAAAGGATTTGTGTAGGAGATGCATAGAAATATTGTACTTAATGATGAAACGTGAAAAGCATTCCTGTTATATTCAGGAGCTAGACTCTGACTATAAGGATGTCTGTTATCACCTTTACTATTCAACATTACTCTGGACTTCTTGTTACATATAATAAGATGAAAAGATAACATGAATAGTATAAAGTATCAGAAAGGAAAAATATTAAACTGTCATTTACAGACAATATAAATGTCTTTTGAGAAAATCAGAGAAAATCAACTGACAAACTTTTATAACTAATAATACAAATTCATTAGGGTGGCCTGATACAAGGTCAACATTCAGAAATTGTAGCTTTGCTTTGCACCAGCAATACACAAATGGAAAATGGATAAGAAGCTTCTATGTTAGAATAGAGGGAAGATACCATTTCACCAGATCTCTCCTAATATTCAACAAAATGCAGAAAAAACAAAACAGCAGAAGAATGGAGATGATCATCAGCAACCAAAGAAAGGGGCACATTCCAATGACGTAAACTTCAAAATATCTCAGCCAAGTAAAGAAACAGGAGATTCCAGAACTGGGCATTGTGGTGCAGGGTAACCAGGCTCTTCCATTCCTCAGAAGCCATATAAGATACAGGAAGCACAAGACAAAGAATCTAAACAAGAAAAAAGCGTACCACAAAGAACAGAAGGAAATTTCCAAGTACTTTAAGCTATAGAACAACTTAATAAGAATATGAACTTAATAAAACAAGAATGCAAAGATGAGATGTGAAAACAGCAGAATTAGGTAAAAAGGAAGATTGCAAACTAAAGAACCCATTAGGACAAAACAACATTATAGAATAAATTATAAATAGAGTGAAATAGAAACATGTGGCTAAAAATTGAATTATGGACAGAGGAAGGGCTTCAGATAATTACATTGACGGGAAATGAAAAAGAAGAAATTAAATGAAATAACTATATGTACATATATATGTATATACATACACACACACATATATATATTCTTAAGAAAGAATAAAATGTTTAGATCTAAATAGCATAACATGTCCTGGGAAGTTTGATTGTCATTTGAAAGTTCGTTATTTCACAGTGCTAGAATCTGAGATGATATTTTATCTTATTCTGTGTACTTTATTGCATTGCATTGCTTCTTTATAATGAGCATGCATCATTTTTATAAAAATAGTGAAATCATTTTTCTAAAAAATGTAGAGAGAATATAATGTACAAAAAGCCACATTCACAATATTAACAAAAACTATGAAATATTGGGGAATACAGCTAATAAGAAATGTATAAAATCTATAAAGAAAACCACACACACACACACACACACACACACACACACACACACACACACACACACGAAAAATGACAATTTTCCTGAAGAGCACAAAAGAGGATGTGAATAAATTTTAAAAATACTACATGACCCTGGGTGAAAATACTTTATTACTAAGATTTTAATTATTCCTTAAGTTGATCTATAAATTCCTTTTTTTTTTTTTTGAGACAGAGTCTTACTCTGTTGCCCAGGCTGGAGTGCAGTGGCACAGTCTGGGCTCACTGCAACTTCCACCTCCAGGGTTCAAGCGATTTTCATGCCTCAGCCTCCCGAGTAGCTTGGACTACAGGTGTGCGCCACCACCCCTGGCTAATTTTTGTATTTTTAGTAAAGACGAGGTTTCACGATGTTGGTCAGGCTGGTCTTGAACTCCTGACCTCAAGTGATCCACCTGCCGTGACCTCCTAAAGTGCTGGGATTACAGGCATGACCCACCACACCCAGCTTAATCTATAAATTGGATGCAATCCTAATGAAAAGTCCAACAAGATTTTTTAAAAATGAAACTTGGAACTTCACTTGAAATGCCCAAGGATATCCAAAAATAGTTGGAAAAAGCAGGGCAATGAAGGATTTGTCTTCCCCGACACCAAAACTTGCTACAAAACGACACCATGTAAAAGTGTGATATTGAGGCAGTTTATAACTATATATATTATCAGTGAAACAGAAAAGTCAATCGATGAAACAGATCTGAGTATAAATGAGAATTTAACATATGGTTAAGTTAGCTCTTTAAATTTATTGGGGAATAATGGACTATTATATGAATGGTGCTAGGATTTGGAGACACACACACACACACACACACACACACACACACACACACACACACACACACATATATATGCAATGACCCAGAAGCCATACAAGAAAAGGTTAATGTTTTGACCACATCATAATGTAAAAATTCTGGAGTTAGGTGCCATGGCTCCAGAATCCAAAGTGCTGGGATTATAGCCCTGGCTCATGCCTGTAATCCCAGCACTTTGGGAGGTCTGGGTGGGAGGATCTTTTGAGACCAGGAGTTTGAGACCAGCCTGGGGAATATAGTGAGACCCTGTCTCTACAAAACATAAAAATTAGCTGGGCGTGGTGCCATGCATTTGTAGTCCTAGCTACTCAGGAGACTGAGGCAGGAAGATCGCTTAAGCCCAGGGGTTCAAGGCAGCAGTGAGCTATGATCACGCCACTGCAGTCCAGCCTGGGCGACACAGCGAAACCCTGTCTAAAAAAGTAAAAATTCTGAATATCAAAAATACCATAAAATTAAGATGTTAGTGATAGATTGAGAAAATATATGTACAACCTATATAACAGAAAAATAACTAATATACAGAAATGTGTAAAGAACTACAAACCATTTAAAAAATACAGCTGAATAGGAAAATACTCAAAGGATATTAACTAATACTCAGAGAAGAAATGCAAATGGATGTTAAGCATGTGAAATTATGCTCAAGATAATAGATATTTAGGAAAATGTGAATTAAAAGGACAATCTTGCCAGGTGCAGTAGCTCACACCTGTGTGATCCCAGCATTTTGGGAGGCCGAGGTGGGTGGATTGCTTGAGCTCAGGAGTTCGAAACCAACCTGGGCAACATGGCAAAAACCCGTCTATACCAAAAGTACAAAAATTAGCTGGGCGTGGTGGCATGCGCCTGTAGTCCCAGCTACTGGGGAAGCTGAGATGGGAGGATCACCTGAGCTCAGGAAGGTCGAGGCTGCAGTGAGCTGTGATTACATCACTGCACTCCAGCCTGGGCAACAGAGTGAGAACCTATCTCAAAACAAAACAAAAAAAAGGACAATCTTTTGTTGACTCTTATATTGGCAATAATTACTAATACAGACGGTCCCCAATTTATGACAATTCAACCTATGATTTTTTTACTTTAATTGGTGGTGCAAAAGCAATACACATTCAGTAAAATCTGTACTTCAAGTACTCATACAACCATCCTGTTTTTCTTTCAATGTAGTATTCAATAAATTATGTGAGATATTCAACACTTTATTATAAAATAGGCTTTGCATTAGATGATTTTGCCGAACTGTCAGCTAATGTGAGTGTTCCGAGCATTTTTAAGGTAGGCTAGGCTATGATGTTTGGTAGGTTGGATGTATTAAATGCATTTTAGATTTATGGTATTTTCAACCTATAAGTTTATTTGAACATGACCCCATTATAAGTTGAGAAACATTTGTACACAGTGTGCATGAGAGTGTGGGGAAATAGATCCTGTCTTATGTTTGATGGGGGTATAAATTGGCCAAGCCTTTTTGGAGGACAGTTTGGTGGTATATCCATTAACTATATAAAATCTCACATCCTTCTTTTGGCAATATCAAATGTATAAAATCTCATACATTTAAGCAAATAATTATATTTATAGTAGAATATCCTAAAGAAATTCTTCTACCTGTTGGCAAAGCTTTATGTGCCAGACTGTTCATTGTAACCTTGCTTTATTAGCTCCGGATCCAGAACTCATAATATGCAGCAGTTAAAAAGAATGAAGCAGCTTTAAATGTACTGGTATGTAGAGCTCTTTGAGACATAATTTTAAATGAAAAAAAAGCAAGTTGCAAAACAGTATGTTAATTATGATCCTGGCCAGGCGTGGTGGCTCACACCTGTAATCCCAGCACTTTGAGAGGCCCAGGTGGTTGGATCACTTGAGGCCAGGAGTTTGAGACCAGCCTAGCCAACATGGTGAAACCCAGTCTCTACTAAAAATACAAACATTAGCTGGGCATGGTGGTGCGCACCTGTAATCCCAGCTACTAGGGAGGCTGAGGCATGAGAATCGCTTGAACCCGAGAGGTGGAGGTTGCGGTGAGCCAAGATCGCACCACTGCACTCCAGCCTGAGTGAAAGAGCAAGACTCCATATAAAAAAAAATCTCATTTATATATTTTAATAAGACATGTATGTGTATATCATGTATACAAAAGGTTAATACACCAAACTTAAAATGGAGAGGTAACTGTGATTTGGGTGAGGATAGGGGAGTGAAAGTGGTACTAGTGCTTTTTCTGGGTTTGACTATTCTTTTCTTTTCTTTTCTTTTCAGAGACAGGGTTTCACGCCATTGCCGGTCTGGAGAGCAGTGGTGCAATCATAGTTCACTGTAACCTTGAATTCCTAAGCTCAAACAATCTTCTTGCCAAGTAGCCTCCCAAGTAGCTAGGACCACAGGCATGCACCACTAAGCCCAGCTATTTTTTTTTTTTAATAGACAGGTTTCCCTATGTCGGGAAACCTATGTAGGGTGGTCTCAAACTCTTGGCCTCAAGTAATGCTCTTGCCTCAGACTCCCAAAGTATTGGGATTATAGGCGTGAGCCATCACACTTGGCCTTGGGTTTGAATTTTATACTAGAATTGTACTCTTGTGGGATTTGTATGTAAAGTAAACAGCAAATATTAAAACACCCCAATTATCTTTCCACTGGGATACACAGAGCTAACTCCATCAGCCACATTGTATAAATATAACATGAGTTATTTAATCTCTCCCCTATCAATAGCCATTTTATGTTGCGTCAGGCTTTTTTTTTTTTTTTTTTTTTTTTTGACAGAGTCTCACTCTGTCAGCCAGACTGGAGTGCAGTGGCGTGATCTAGGCTCACTGCAACCTCCATCCCTTGGGTTCAAGCCATTCTCCTGACTCAGCCTTGCAAGTAGCTGGGGTTATAAGCGCCTGCCACTGCGCCCGGCTAATTTTTGTATTTTTAATAGAAACGGGGTTTCACCACGTTGGCCAGGCTGGTCTTGAACTCCTGACCTCGTGATCCACCTGCTTCGGCCTCCCAAAGTGCTGGGATTACAGGTGTGAGCCACCGTGCCCGGCTGCGTCAGTTTTTTCAAACCTTACAAGCATTGCGAAAAAAAAAAATTCTAGTAAATATATCTTTGTGAAACTGTGTAGGCATATAGGTTGGCTAAATTCCAAGGAATAGAATTATTGGGTCAAAGAATTTGTGAAATATTATAGTTATCATTTAATAGAGTTTGCCAAATTGCCCTATATAAAAAGCTTGCATCAATATCTGCCTCCAACAGAGTAGAGGAGTGCCCATTTCTTGACAAACCAGTCAACAATATTATCAAGTTTCTAAACTTTGAGAAAATCATACTTGAAACATGGTAAGGCATAGTTGCTTTGATTTGCATTTCTTTGTTTGAGCATCTTTTCATATGTTTATTAGTAATCTATTTCTTTTCTGTGAACAAATCTGTTCATGTCTTTTGGCACATTTTTCTATTGGGTTGTTTATCATTTTACTAATGATCTGTAAGAGCTTTTAGATTATTACAAGTTAGCCTTTTGACAGTCAATGTTTATGGTTTTTTTTTTTTACTTTACCAAAGTTTAAAATTTGTATGCAATTAATTTATCAATATTTTCCTTTGGTGGAGAAAGTAAGTTCGTCACTTTCAATTGAGTTCTGAAAAGCCATTAGTAAGATTGTAAGGCACTAGGACTTCCTTTCTTGGCTCCTGAAAGGGCCTCCTCCACACAGGGGCCCCTCACAGTGGAGCCCCTCCCTCTGGGGTGTCCTATTTCAATGTTCTAAGAAAGAGGCTGCCTGGAGGGTCTATATTTGGAGTATGACTCCTCAGCGGGGACAGGTGGATGCGTGGGGACTAACTTCTGCATATTTGGTCCCTGAGTTTTGGGATTATTCTGAGGGGCTTGTATGGGAGGTGCAGTGAAGTTGTAACACAAGGCAGGACATGAAAAAACTTCTTTTTCTTGGCAATTGCTTGGGATCCTGTACATTGCCCTTCCACTTGTGAGGGAAAAAAATAATGACACGGACATCAGGTGTGTTGCAGTGATTCACAGTCATCCACAGACCCTCACCACCATCTCCACTGGAAAATATTGAACACTCGCCACTGCTAGGGTAGTATGTAGTACATGAATGGCAGACACCGGCGAGATCTCAAGTGTTACGACGGATGAAAATTCCACCTGTTAAGTCTCCTTTCCATCCAAGCTCTAGCAGTTGGTTGTTCCATGGGTGTGGTGAGGCTGATCTGATTACATGCTTATGTAAAATCCAAATAAAGCCCCTTGAATGGAAAACAGGTTAATTTGGGAAGTCACTAGTAAAGCAGGTTAATTTGGTAAGTCACTAGTAAAGCACTAGGCTCATCAGGAGTTGGGTCTTAAATATATCCTCTAGAAGTCTTCTCTGAAGAAGGTCTTAGACACCTGAAAAAAGATGCTGAGTTCAGCCAGAACTTCAAAAGTTACAAATCACCTGTGTAAAATTGTCAATATTAGAAAACGAAATGTCTTTCCAAAGATTAACTTATAGATCATATTGAATACGTGCTGGTTTTGTTTAGGACAATTTTGTATTTAAAATGTCAAGAATTACTAGTCAATTTTGAAAGCTGTAAAATAGTTTGCAGTAACAGAAGACATTTTAAAATGTGGCACAAAATAATGTAAACAAAAGAATGAGTCTTTTGTTATTTTTACACCCTGAATATTTTTTGTGTCAAATGAAAATGGCTATACTGTATTTTCTGATTACAATATTAGAAAAGAATGTCATATTAAAAGAAAAAAAAGGAACACGAAAAAGAAAATTAAAGCTCTACTTGCACCTTCTGCTTTCCTTCCTGATACCCCCTTCCACAGCCCATTTGGTGCAGGCATTGTACTTAGAGAGGGCAGGTCGTGTAGGGGGCGGGTGGGGAGTGCTGGTCTTATAGTCTAAGAGAGAAATAAGTGATTACTCAAAGAAGAAACATAAAAGGCCACAGCCAAGGGCCGGGAGTGGGTAGGGGGATGCAGACCCTCCCCTGTAACTGAAGATGGGTAAACTCCAACCACAAGGCGATGATGCCACTTGTGGGCCCTCAGATTGGAGAGGACGGAGATGAGTGACAACGCGTGCGCACTGGGGCACCGAGCACAGACCAGAGAACGGGGATGTCTGTGCGTGCGGAGTGGAGGAGGGGGGAGTTCCTGGTGACTGGCCGCCGGCCCTTGGTGGGTGGTAGGGGGTGCTGGGGAGGAGGGCGAGCTCGGCGGTGACGCGCGGTCCTCACGTGACCCGGAGCTGCAGAGCTACGCAGCCTTCGTTGCAGTCGTCACTCGCATCTGGCTACCAGCTCCCCGCTGCCCTGCGCTCGGCGGGCTGGCATCGGGCCCGGGGAAAGCGGAGCAGGTAAGGGCCCTGGGGCCCGCGCGCCCTGGCCAGGCCGGCAGAAGCTCACTGACCCCGGCAGCGGTTACGGGGCTTGAGGGGGCGGTGGTCTATGCTGCCTCAAGTTCGAGGAGCCTTTGCCTCTGATTCTCCCTAGCCCCCTTGCCCCCGCCTACATCTGTGCAGGCGAACCGTGGGCTTTGATTTGTGGGGAGATTGTCTCTGCCAGAGGGAAATACAGAGATTGAGATGCCCATCGCTCTAATCACTGGCCACACATGTCCGCTCGCTTCCTGCTCAATTTAGTGGAAGGGATGCGCCACGGTGGCGTTTGCAGAGAAAATGGTGGGCCTTAGAGACTGGACGGTGGGGTTGGTAAGGGTGGTGTCTCAGACTGTGGGGAGGGACGTTTGATAACCAGGTTCCTGAACCCGGAAAGGCGAGTATTGGGATCTATGTCCTGGGCTCTAGACCAACACTAAGTGGTTTTACTCTCTCCTGTCTGTCGGACAGTAGTTCGGTGTAGCACTGTTTGCGGCGAGGAGAAAGGAAGGAGAGGAGAAAACTGCACTGGATCAAGGAGGTTAGTGTGAGTACAGACACTATCTAAACCATTGGAGTTCCATATGAATTCTATGACAGGAACTTAGGTGCGGCTGTCTGAATGGGATGTGGGGTGGGGCTAGCTTGGGGACTTTCCCTAAACTGCATTTTACTTACCAAGCTTAGGACTTTTAAATTGTATGTTGAAGACCAATGAAGACAGCAAACTTTTCTACAGATGCTTTTATTTGCATTTCAGATAATATTGAGAAAAAGATAAATTATATTAAAGAATATTATTATTATTATTATTTTTTAGATAGCCTTTGGTGGGGAAGGATAGTGATTTTGTAGAAGCAAAAGGCTTCCCCTATAGCTTTTCTCTTCTGCTGGAGACTCCTAGAGATAGGTTGAAAGGGACGTGGACAGCAGTAGGTTGTGGTTCTAGAGTATGGGATCTGGGGTCTCCCATCTCTCCTGCCATCCTTCAGTTTTCCAGATCCCTCTACCTACCTGACCATCTTGGTGAAGGAAATGGTGGGCTTTTGGGGAAATCCCTAGAACCCTACAGGTGGTTTTAAAATAATTTGCCTTGTTGGGCCTAGTAGCTCTTGCCTGTAATCCCAGCACTTTGAGAGACCCAAGCAAGAGGATTGCTTGAGCTCAGGTGTTCAAGACCAGCCTGGGCAACATAGCGAGACTTCATCTCTACATATAATTTAAAAATTAGCTGGGTATGGTGGCACAGTCTGTAGTTCCTGCTACTTGGGAGGCTGAGGTGGGAGGATCTTTTGAGCCTGGGAGGTCGAGACTGTGGTGAGCCATGATCTTGCCACTGCAATCCAGCCTGGGTGACAGAGTGGGGCTCTGTCTCAAAATAAATAAAAAATAAAATAAATAAAATAAAATAAAATAAAATAAAATAACGTGCCTCTGTCTGTTGCCTTTTACTTTTCCTGCCTCCCTTTTCCATCCTTCCCATTTCAGTGCTGGGGAAGCCCCAGGCTTTTTTTTTTTTTTTTTTCTGCCAGCAAATGGGTCTCTAAATCCAGGCAGGCAGGTACAGGGACCTATGTCTTAGATGGTAAGTGTCACAAGTACTTAACATCCACTCTCTTCTTTTTCTCCATCTGTTCCAAGGTCTTCCCATAGGCCTGCAGTAGGGCTGTTTACCATTGGAAGCAAGGGAAAGAGGAGGAGATCAATCTAGAAGCATGGAGGTTGGTGTGAAGTGGGGGTAGTCTCTGGGGATGACAAGAGAGGGTGGGCATAGGAGGTGGGTGAGATTTAAGAGGGTCTCAGTGGAGTGCTGGATTGCCACAGTGCTGCCATGCCTCCTGTGGATTTCAGTGCAGGAAATGATAGGAATATGGGGGTAAGGGTGGGCTGGAGTATGACTGGGGGAAGACTTGATGGGGGGACCATGAGATGGTACACATTAGTATATAGAACCTGGGCTCTGGCGAGGCAGACATTGGGGTCAGGGATCAGGTTGCTTGTCTGTTCTACCAGGGACTCGGTTTCCATTACCTACTGTTTGTTTACTTGTCCATAGATCTGCCTGCATGTCTGCTGCAGGGCTTAAGATCACTGGAAGCAAAGAAACAAAGAGGAGATTGCTCCTGATCAGTATAGACTGGTAAGAGTGTGGGGACTGCCTGGGTAGACCTCTAGAGTGGGTTGGTGGAGACCAGTGTGCATCCAGTAAGGACCAGTGACCAGTCTGGAGGATGAGGATCCTCAGTCTCTCCTTTTCCAGCCACCTTTCCCACCATCCCTGTCATTTACTCCATACCCTCACCTTAATTCTGGTACAGGGAAAAGAGTGTGACAGTGTCTTAGGGAGTGGGGTGGACTGAGAAACGTAGAAAGGTAGTTTGCTAATAATATGTCTGTCCCATCAAGAACAAACTCTCTACTCCCATCTGTCCCTCCATCTGTCTGTCTGTCTCTAGGTCCAGAGATCTCATGAATTTATGTATCTACTTTAGGGTGTACTGCCAAGAGAAGCAAGAGGAGAGGAGGGAACTGCCTCGGATCATTACAGGTTGGTATGAGGGTGGGGCCCTGTAGACAGGTGACCAGAGTAGGTCCAGTAGAAATCAAAGTCTGGGACTTCTTGGTTGCTCCCATTTATCGTCAGACCTCCTACCATCCTTTCCACTGTTCATTTGGTGTATAGAAATGTGTATAGAAGTATCTTGGAAGAAAATTATTGGGCATTGGGGAAGGTGGAGAGAAGATGAAATAAGAGGAATGGAGAGGCTGCTAATCATCCTCTCTTCCACCAAGCACATGGTTCTACCATTTTCTGTTCCTCTGTGTATCTATCTGTATGATGCAACAAAATCAGAAGAGAAATTTTAGTCCATTTCCTTCCTCCACTTCTAGGTCCACCTCCAGAGGCAGCTGTAGTGGCCTTTGAGTGGCTGAAGACCAGCACCCTCACAGGCCTACACCCACAACTACCACTCTCTTTACCCCAGCCCGAGTGCGCTCTACCATACCTTGTTCGTGCTTTTAGCAGGGGTGATTACATGGGCCGCATTCAGGAAGTGGGCTGGGTGACTGCAGGACTGGTGATCTGGGCTGGCACCTGCTACTACATTTACAAATTTACCAAGGGAAGAGCCCAGAGTGTGAGGACTCTTGCCAGAAATGGATCCACAGTTAAGATGGAGACTGTGGTTGGGGTACAGAGCCAGACCTTGGCCATAAATGAAGCAGAGATTAAGACTAAACCCCAAGTCGAGATTGGAGCAGAAACTGGAGCAAGAAGTGGGCCTAGGGCTGAAGTAGAGACCAAGGCCACTGCTATAGCCATACACAGAGCCAACTCTCAGGCCAAGGCAATGGTTGGGGCAGAGCCAGAGACTCAATCTGAGTCCAAAGTGGTGGCTGGAACACTGGTCATGACAGAGGCAGTGACTCTGACTGAGGTCAAGGCCAAAGCCAGGGAAGTGGCCATGAAAGAAGCAGTGACCCAAACTGATGCTGAGGCTGGCAAAATAGTTAAGAAAGAAGCAGTGACACAGACCAAGGCTAAAGCTTGGGCGCTGGTTGCCAAGACAGAGGCCAAGAGAGAAGCAATGACCCAGACCAAAGCTGAAACTCATATATTGGCTGAAAAAGAGACAGAGATTAACAGAGTAATGGTTACACAGAGTGAGACCTTGGCAGTACCCAGGGAAGTGGCCAAGATGGGGGCCACGAACAAGACTGGAATTGTGGATGAAACCAAGACAAGAGCTCTGGAAGAGACTGTGAGTGTGGCTAAGACTCAGTCTGAGGCCAGGCCTGGTGCCACAGTTGATGCTAGGGGAAATCCCAATGGCATGTCCAGGGAGGTGGCTGGAGTGGACATGAAGTCCTGTGCACAGTCTCAGGCTGTGACCAAGATCCAGGGTGATGACATGCCTGGTACTGGGGTTGAGGACATGGGGAATTGTAAAACCATGTCTAGGGCAGAGTCTGGGGCAGACACGAGGGCTTCTGCTCAGCCTCAAATTTTTGCCAAAACCCAGACTGAGGCCATTCCTGGGGCAAAGATTGATGCCGGGGGTAACACCAATGCCATGTGTAAGGTGGGGGCAGGGGCAGATGTGAGAGCTTGTATACAACCTCAGACTGTGGCCAAGAAACAGGCTGAGGTGACGTCTGGTGCCAGGGTTGATGGTAGGGGAAATACCAATGTCATATCTAAGGCAATAACTGGAGCTGACATGAGAGCTGCTGCTCAGCCTCAAGCTGTTGCCAGTACTCACGCTGAGGCCATGTCTGATGCTAAGGTTAAGAACAGAGGCAATCCCAATGCCATGACTAAAGCAGGGGCCAAGGCAAACTTGAGGGCCAATTCCCAGGTTGAGGCCTTGCCTGATGCCAGGGATAAGAGCAGAGGCAATCCCAATGTTATGGCTAAGGTGGGGGATGGGACAGACATGTTGTCCTGTACACAGCCTCAGCTTGTGGCCAGTGTTCAGGCTGATACCTTGTCTGATGGCAAAATTAAGGTCAGGGGCAATGTCAATACCATGCCTAAGGAAGGAGCTGGGGTGGATATGAAGGCTCAAGGTATGGCCCAGAGCCAGGGTGAAGCCTTACCTAATACTAGAGGTAAGGCTAGGGGCAAAGCCAAAGCCAAGTGTAAGACAGGGCCTGGGATGGACATGAAAACCTGTACACAACCTCAGGCTGGGGTCAAGACCCCAGCTGAGGCCTTGCTTGATTCCAGGGTTGATGGTAGGGGCAATCCTAATGCCACTTCTAAAGCCGGGACTAAGGCAGACCAGAGGGTCTGTGGTCAGCCCCTGGTTGTGGCCAATCCCCAGGGTGAGGCCTTGCCTGGTGCCAAGAATAAAGTCAAGGGCAATCCCCATACTGTGCTTAAGGTGGGGGCTGGAGAAGGTACAACAGACTCTGCCCAGCCTGAGGCAGTGGTCAGTTTCCAGGGTGAGGCCTTGCTTGGCACCAAGAATAAAGTTAAGGGTAATCCCAATGTTGTGCTTAAGGCAGAAGTTGGGGAAGGTGCAATGGGCACTGCCCAGCTTCAGATTATGGCCAGTTCCAAGGGTGAGGCCTTGCTTGATTCTAAGAATAAGGTCAAGGGTAATTCCAATGCTGTGTCTAAGGCAGGGGCTGGGACAGATACAACAGGCTCTGTCCAGCCCCAGATTGTGGCCAATTCCCAGGGTGAGGTCTTGCCTGGTGCCAAGAATAAGATCAGAGGCAATCCCACTACTGTGCCTAATTCAGGGGTTGGGCCATATACAACAGACTCTGCCCGGCTCCAGGCTGTGGCCAATTCTCAGGGTGAGGTCTTGCCTGGTGCCAAAAATAAGGTCAAGGCCAATCTTAATGCTGTGTCTAAGGCAGAAGCTGGGATGGGTGCAACAGGCTCTGTCCAGCCCCAGGCTGTGGCTAATTCCCATTGTGAGACCTTGCCTGGTGCCAAGAATAAGGTCAGGGGAAATTGGAATGCTGTGTCTAAGGCAGGGGCTGGGATGGATACAAGGGGCTCTGCCCAGCCCCAGGCTGTGGCCAATTCCCAGGGTGAAGTCTTGCCTGGTGCCAAGAATAAGGTCAAGGGCAATCCCAATGTCGTGTCTAAGGCAGGGGCCAGAGAAGATACAGTGGGCTCTACCCAGCCTCAGGTTTTGGCCAGCTCCCAGCGTGAGACCTTGCCTGGTGCCAGGAATAAGGTCAAGGGCAATTCCAATGTTGTGTCTAAGGCAGGGGCCAGAGAAGATACAATGGGCTCTGCCCAGCCTCAGGTTGTGGCCAACTCCCAGCGTGAGACCTTGCCTGGTGCCAGGAATAAGGTCAAGGGCAATTCCAATGCTATTTCTAAGGCAGAGGCTGGGGCAGGCATAATGGGCTCTGTCCAGGTCCAGGTTGTGGCCAGTTTTCAGGGTGAGGTCTTGCCTGGGGCCAAAAATAAGGTCAGGGGCAATTCCAATGCTGTGCCTAAGGCAGAGGCTGGGGCAGATACAGTGGGCTCTGCCCAGCCCCAAGCTGTCGCTAATTCCCAGAGTGAGACCTTGCTTGGTGCCAGGAATAAGGTCAAGGGCAATACCATTGCTGTGCCTAAAGCAGGGACTGGGGCAGGCACAAGGCACTCTGCCCAGCCTCAGATTGTGGCCGGTTCCCAGGGTGAGACCTTGCCTGGGGCAAGGGACAAGTCTATGTCCACTTCTGAGGCAGAAGCCACAGCAGAAGATGAGGCCTATGCAAAGCCTGAGGCTGAGGCCATGCCCACTTCTGAGAGTGAGGGTGGGTCAGGCACTCAAGCCTGCAGAAAGACTCAGCCTAACATCCATGACTACTACTGGAATGGGATTGGTGTTGAAGACTGGATTGCTGCTGAGCGGTGGATCAAATTTAGGTTTCAGACCATGGATGGAGACTGGGAAAATAGCGTGTCCTGGGCTGATGATGAGAATGAAGCCAGTATTGGGTCCTGGAGTGGGGCTAGTGATAAGGCTGGGATTATTCGGTCTTGGGCTGTGGCTTGTGATGAGACCAGTGTTAAGTCCTGGGCTGGGGCCAGGGCTGAGAATGTGGTTGGTATTGGGACTTGGGCTAGAGCTGGGGAGCAGGCCAGTGGAGGGCTCTGGGCTGGGGGTCAGACTAGTGAGGGGACCTGGGCTGGGGACAAGGCCAGTGGAGGAGCCTGGACTGGGGCTGAGAACCAGGCCAGTGGGGGGTCTTGGGCTCTCGCTGGGAATCAGGCCATTGGAGAGCTTTGGGCTGCGGGTCAGGCCAGTGATGGGTCCTGGCCTGGGGGACAGGCCAGTGGGGTGTCCTGGGTTGGGGAAGAGGCCATTGGAGGGTCCTGGACTGGGGCTGAGAACCAAGCCAGTGAAGGGTCTTGGGCTGGAGCTGGGGCTGGGAATATGAGTAGTGTTTCATACTGGGCTGGGGTTGTGGATCAGGCCGGTGGAGGGTCCTGGGCTGGGACTAGTGATCAATCTGGTGGTGGGTCCAAGCCTAGATTTGAGGATCAAGCCAGTGGAGAAGGGTCCTGGGCTGGGGCTGGTGGCCAGGCTAGTGGAGGGTCAATGTTGGGGCCTGAGGACCAGTCCAGTGGAAGGTCTTGGGCTGACACTGCAGACCAAGCCAGTGGAGGGTCTAGGCTGGGCCACGTAGATCAGTCCAGTGGTGGGGCCTGGGCTGGGACACTTGATCAGTCTGGTGGTGGGTCCAAGCCTAGATTTGAAAATCAGACCACAGAAGAAGGGTCTTGGGCTGGGGCTGGTGGCCAGGCTGGTGGAGGGTCCAAGGTGGGGCCTGAAGACCAGTCCAGTGGAAGGTCATGGGCTAACTCTGGGGACCAAATCAGTGGAGGATTCTTAGTTGGGATTGTGGACCAGGCCAATGGAGGGTCCTGGACTGGGGCTGGGCATCCAGCTAGTGTTGGGCCAAAGCCTATATTTGAGGATCAGGTCAGTGGCAGAGGGTCCTGGGCTGATGCCAGGGAGCAGGTTGTTGGAGATTCTAGGCTGGGGCTTAGGGACCAGTCTAGTGGAGATTCCTGGGCTGGCACTGGGGACCAGGCCAGTGGATGGTTCTGTGTTTGCCCTGGGAGTCAGACGAATGGAGGGTCTTGGGGTGGGGCTAGTGGCCAGGATGTTGGAGGGTCTAGGCCAGGGCCCACGAACCAGTCCAGTGCTGGGTCCTGGGATAGCCCTGGGAGTCAGGTCAGTGGAAGCTGCTGGACTGGGGCTGGGGCTGTGGATCAGGCTGGTGGTTGTTCCAAACCTGGATTTGAGGATCAGGCCATTGGAGGGGGGTTCTGGCCTGGTGCTGGGGACCAGACTGGTGGAGGCTCCAGGCCAGGGTCTGAGGATCAGTCCAGTGGAATAGGTTCCTGGGGTGTGGCTGGTGGCCAGGTCCTTGGGGGAGCTAGGCCGGGGCCTGCAGACCAGTCCAGTGGTGGGTCCTGGGCTGGCACTGGGAATCAGTCCAGTGGAAGGTCCTGGATTGGGCCTGGGGATCAGGCTGTTGACTGTTCCAAGCCTGAATTTGAGGATCAGGCTTGTGGAGGAGGCTCCTGGGCTGGTGCTGGGAGCCAAGCCAGTGGAGAATCCTGGGCTGGATCTAGGCCTGGGAATGAGGCCATTGGAGGATCTAGGATGGGATCTGAGGACCAGGCCACTGGAGGATCCTGGGCTAGATCTGAGGACCAGGCCAGTGGAAGGTTCCAGGTCAGTTTTGAGGTGGAGGCCAATGAAGGATTCTGGTTTGGGCCTGGAGCTGAGGCCGTTATAGGGTCTTGGTGCTGGACAGAGGAAAAAGCTGATATTGTGTCCAGGCCTGATGATAAAGATGAGGCCACTACTGCATCCAGATCAGGGGCTGGGGAAGAGGCCATGATTTGTTCTAGGATTGAGGCTGAGAACAAGGCTAGTAGTGGCTCCTGGATTAGATCTGAGGAGGTGGCTTATATGGGCTCCTGTGTAGGGGCTGAGGCTGGGGCTGGGGCTGAGGCTGGGGCTGGGGCTGAGGCTGGGGCTGGGGCTGGGGCTGAGGCTGGGGCTGAGGCTGGGGCTGGGGCTGGGGCTGGGCCTGGGACTGAGTCTGGGGCTGGGATTTGGTCCTGGGATGGAGATGCAACCACTGTAGAGTCTAGGCTTGGGGCTGGGGAAGAGGCTGGTGTAGAGTCCTGGACCTTGGCTAGGAATGTGGGAGAGGATGAGCTAAGTAGAGAGTCCAGCCCTGATATTGAGGAGATCAGTTTAAGGTCTTTGTTTTGGGCTGAGAGTGAGAACAGTAATACGTTCAGATCTAAGAGTGGGAAAGATGCCAGTTTTGAGTCTGGAGCTGGGGATAACACCAGCATCAAGGATAAGTTTGAGGCTGCTGGTGGAGTTGATATAGGGTCTTGGTTCTGTGCTGGTAATGAAAACACAAGTGAGGACAAATCTGCACCTAAGGCTAAAGCCAAAAAGTCATCTGAGTCAAGAGGCATATATCCGTACATGGTCCCTGGGGCAGGAATGGGGTCATGGGATGGAGCCATGATCTGGTCGGAAACTAAGTTTGCACACCAAAGTGAGGCCAGCTTCCCAGTTGAAGATGAGTCCAGAAAACAAACCAGGACTGGGGAAAAAACTCGGCCCTGGTCTTGCCGCTGTAAACACGAAGCTAATATGGATCCACGAGATCTTGAAAAACTCATTTGCATGATTGAGATGACTGAAGATCCTTCTGTTCATGAAATAGCCAATAATGCTTTATATAACAGTGCTGATTATTCTTATTCTCATGAAGTTGTTCGTAATGTAGGTGGAATTTCAGTTATTGAAAGCTTGCTCAATAATCCCTACCCCAGTGTTAGGCAGAAGGCTTTAAATGCACTGAATAATATCTCAGTGGCTGCTGAAAACCATAGGAAGGTTAAAACTTACTTAAACCAAGTATGTGAAGACACTGTCACCTATCCCTTGAATTCAAATGTGCAGTTGGCTGGACTAAGGTTGATAAGGCATCTGACTATTACCAGTGAATATCAGCATATGGTTACAAATTATATTTCAGAATTTCTTCGTTTGTTAACGGTGGGAAGTGGAGAAACTAAAGACCATGTTTTGGGAATGCTTTTGAATTTCTCTAAAAATCCATCTATGACAAAAGACTTGCTCATTGCCAATGCACCAACATCACTGATTAACATTTTTAGCAAGAAAGAGACAAAGGAGAATATTCTTAATGCTCTTTCACTATTTGAAAATATAAATTACCATTTTAAAAGAAGAGCAAAAGCATTTACCCAGGACAAATTCAGTAAAAATTCCCTTTATTTCCTATTCCAACGACCTAAAGCATGTGCCAAGAAACTTCGAGCCTTAGCAGCAGAATGCAATGACCCTGAGGTGAAAGAGAGAGTTGAGCTATTAATAAGTAAACTCTGATTGGCTGTATGTTCCCAAACAAATTTGAGTAATATTTTGGTTTTGCACTCTGGAAGTAATGCACATTGTAAATTGCATTATAACTTTGAAACTGATGTTACCTATGATGGTCTATAGCTGGACCATTTTATGAACACCAAATGAATTCAAGCTTGTACTAAAAATACATGTGTTGATTTTTATCTTGTCTGGATTGAGATATTTTTAGTATGCTTCATGAGCAGAAACTGAATGGATTCTTCATAAGTAAGGTAATCTTTGGTCCTTTGTGTGGACTTATGTTTATACATTTAAGACTATTTTTATGTCATCAATAAAGTTGTGTGTTTTAAGCAGCAGAAAAAAGTCATTGTCCTTGTCCTTGAGTTTATGATCTGTTTGGAAAGGCAAGATATATGGAAACAAAAAGATAGCAATAAAACTGGGAGCTTCCAATCATGGCCAGATGCCTCCTATCAGTGTTTAGAGGCGGCAGAAACTGCTGCAGGCAACAGTGCTCAAGGAAAGTTTTACAAAGGAGGGGGACCCTTAGGTAAGCTGGGCTTCAAGGATACAAAAGGATCAGAAGGGCACTCAAGATGGAAGGAGTGATGGGAAAAAAGGCATGGAGATGGGAATCCTTCTCCAGAGAGAAATGCTGGCCTGCTTGAAGTGCAAAGTGTAGGGAGGGTAGTGACGAGAGAGAGAGAGAGTCAGGCAGTAGAGGTGAGTCCTGTTCGTGGAGCACCCCTAACTGCTAAACTGGGGTGTCTGAATATTACTACATCCACCCCTGGGAGACATCAAGGCCTTTTGTGACCGGAGGAATGACAAGACGAAAGGAAAATGATATGGTAGATTTATGTGCAGCAGGAGTCCAAGCTGGGGCGGGGATAGGAGTGGTGACTGGAGATTGGAAAAACAGGAAGCTACCACAAGTTACTCCAGGCATGAGATAATAAAGGTTTGAAATTTTACTGGAGGCCATGGGAATGGTAAGGAGAGGATGGACGTGAGAGGCCCTTTGAACCAATAAGTGCTGAGATGTATTCTGGAGACATACAGAGAGGACCAATTTTATTTTAGGGTCCTTGGGGCATTTGACAGAAAAGTGTCCTCTTTGCCAATTCTGGTATCCATGTAAGTAAACAGTTACAACTTTGAAATAATAAGAAAGTATACTAGAAGAAAGAAGTTTTAGTGCTTGTATCAGATTTCCTTTATAAGGTTGGTTAAGGTGGGGCCTTTATGGAACCATAGAGAGTGTTGTTGGGATACACATAGAAGATCTACCTCTCTCCCACCCCATAGTGAGGGTGAGGGTGTCGGGGGAGGAGCACTCTTAAACTGCTGGTGGGAGTATACACTGGTACAAGGTCCATTGGAATATATGCATATCCTTTGACCCTGTAATTCCACTTGTAGAAATGTATCTTTAGGAAATAACACGTAATTGGCTTGTAGGAAGCTGTGCATCTTCAAACTGTTTTGAAGGGTGAAAAGTTGTAAACGACCCAAGTATCTCAAGATAGGCAGTTGGCTAAGCAAATTGATGTATGTCTACACATTTAAATATTATGCCGCTATTGAAAATGTTGATGGACATCTACATGTGCTTACATTAGAAATTCAGCATATAATCTTAAGTGGGAAAAATAGGCTGTAAAAGCACATGCCATACATTTAATGAAGAAAAAGTATATATCTAAATTATCTTGCTACATACTCTGAGAATATTAATAGTTTTCTGTGGGTGTTAGACTGATGGGTGATTTCATTTGTTGTTTTTTCTCTTTCTTTTTTTTTTTGTTTTAAGACGGAGTCTCCCTCTGTCGCCCAGGCTGGAGTACAATGGCACGGTCTGGGCTCACTGCAACCTCTGCCTCCTGGGTTCAAGCGATTCTCCTGCCTCAGCCTCCCGAGTAGCTGGGATTACAGGCGCCTGCCACCACACCTGGCTTTTTTTTTTGTATTTTTAGTAGAGACGGGGTTTCACCATGTTGGCCAGACTGGTCTTGAACTCCTGACCTCAGGTGATCTGCCCGCCTCGGCCTCCCAAAGTGCTGGGATTACAGGCGTGAGCCACCACGCCCGGCCTCATTTGTTTTTACTCATCTCTATTTATGATATTTATATAAGAAGTGGAATTTTATGCATAATTTACCAACAAGGAAGAAGATGGATTCATATTAGGCAGGCCTGGTCAGTAGTATTTGAGGGACCTGGAGCAAAAGTATAAATGGAGGCTCACATATTTATGCCTACATATTTGGAAAGTATAACTTAAAATTTTAAATAAATATTATTTGTAAAGCAATAAGTGTTTTAAAATTTAAATCATATTAGGTATTTAAAAAATAAAACCATTCTCAATACTAGCATTCGATGGCCACCAACTTACTCTACTGTAAAAAAATAATGTCACACTTGTAGTGGATTCTACCATCTGCTGCCCTGATTCCCCTTCAGGAATGAAAAGCTTATTATTTTAATTGCCAGGAGTGCGGCAAGTAGACAGTCCTCAGCTGTCAGCCCTCTTCAGGAATTTCCTCAGCTGAAGAAAGCCACCTCCCCCAAGGTTACACCCCCTACCTGGGGGTATTTCACATCCAATTACTGATGGATATGGCCTTCTTGCCCCAAATTGGGACAGCTTAACTCCTCCCTCTGTCCAATCCTGCTTCCTTCTTTTCCCTTCCACAGGTGTTGATCCCAAGAGCATTCCCTAGTAAAAACGCTTCATGCTGAACTCTATCTCTGGGCCTGCTTCCTGGGAAGCCAACCTGCAACAGTTGGTACAAGAAGTGGTTCGAGAAAGCAAACACTGTGATGAAATTTTGGAGATGAATCACCTGCTACCCAGCTGTCAATGAAGACTCCATCATTGGTGGTAGGTGGAGTAGATAGGCCTCTGGAATAAGGTAGCAGAGGAATTGTTAAAATTTTCAATGGTGGTTAACTGGGTTGGCATACTGGTAAAATGGGACACATTAACTGGTGCCATGTATCAGACCTTTGAGAAATATGGGATATATTAAATATAAGGAAGGCCAGAAAATTGGGCGGCTGTTGCTAAGCAGATTGAGCTCTGGAAAAGAATAACAAAAAGCTGAATTAAATTAATCAACAATTGAAAGCTATGTTTGAAAGTCAGATGGCTTTATTCATAACATATAAAGAGGCTCTCATCTTTTCCAGGTAGAAGGTGGAGAAATCTGAGGAGTAGACTCAGGATTTGTTAAAAGCAAGCTTCAAAGAAAGTTAAAATTCTAACCAAGACAAGTCTTCTATGCCGAGTTATGTGCCATGGTTAAGAAGGAATGGGACTCTGACACTTGGAATGGGGGACATCTGGATTGATGTCCCTAAAAATCTTATATCCCCAGATTCCCCTGAGCCCCTTGAGAAGTGTCCTACTCCTCCCTATTAAGGGCTGGCACTCCATCTTGCTTCAATATATGGAATCCTTTCCCCTGTAAGATAACCTGGGTTTTCCTCAGAATCTGCCCGCACCTCCTATCCTGGCCACTGGGCCTATAACTAGGGTTAAGCCACGCATAATCTAGCTGGTGATGTGCTGGGTGTAATAAGGAAAGAAAGAGAATACACCAACAAAGAGTTTCGGGACATAACCTAGCCAGCATATACTAGAAGGTGCTGAGGGAGTAAGTATGGCATCAAATTCTAAGGAGCTTGATCAGGAGGGCTGGAATATAAACTGGAATATGGGAGAATTAATCAATTTGAAAGTGCTTTCCCAGAATACAGGATTTAATACCCTGGAGAAAACCACAGGAAATGACACGAACTCATTACTGCGATGGCTCCTCGAAGTATGGAAAAAGCCATGGCGTACATAAAGTGAGGTGTAAATGCCAGAGTTGCCATAGAAGATGGCGGGAAAAGGGATCAAAGACTCAGAGAGGTGAGAATTATATAATAAACCTATTATGTAAGGCCAGAAAACCCTCCAGAAGATTATATTCTACAGGAGGATCCAAAGGACAAACCATTTACCAAAGCTATAAGAAATATTCTGGTGAGAGGGACATCAGCATCACTGAGAAGTTCAGTAGTGGATCTCTTTTGCATGCCAGGGCTCAGAGTAGGAGAGGATCTTATGGAACAAGGATCACTGATAGAAATGATGATGCCTCTGAAACAATAGAGGCAAGATAGTTGCACTTAACTGTCAGAAGTTAGGCGGATGTAAATACCACAATGCACTGCAGGGTCAGAGTGGCAGGTGGGGAGGCCTGACCTGCAGAGAGCTATGGAGATGGTTAACAGAACACAGTACCCCTAGTGGGTAGATGGTTAAGAGACAGTTAATAGGACATGGACAGTCAATACAACATAATGTCCTGGGGGGAAATAGGCAGCCAACAATCTGCACTCTATACAATCAAAAGAAATGAAAGGTGTTCACAGGTTTGAGGGAGGTTGCCTCAATAAAAAGTCATAATTACTTATCCAGCTTCTAGTCTCAAGTCAGCTTTTGATCCACAATACATGGTTTGAAAGAAAGGCCGAGTGCCCAGGAAGAAGGACCCTACAACGCATGTGTAGTAATGATTTCTCTGGTCCTTCCATTTACTCAGGTAACTGTGTACCAAGGAAAGAGAAATACTCGAACATTTTGAGAACAGATGGACACTGGTTCTGAGTTGATATTGACACCCAGAGACCTAAAGTGTCTTAATTGTCCCCCTTATTAGAATGGGGGCACATGGGAGCCAAGTATTAAGGGGGATCCTGGCCTAGGTAGGGTTCACAGTGGGCCCACTGAGTTCACAGACCCACTCAGTGGTTATGTTTTTGATCTCTGAATGTATAATTGGAATAGACATAGTTGGTTAGTTGGTACAAGCCCTATAGTAGTTCTTTGGCCTGTGGAGTCAGAGCTATTTGTAGATGAGAAGGCCAAGTGGAAGCTTCTGAAACTGCCCTCACCTTCCCTGGCCAAGATAGTAAATGAAAACATATGGCATCTGTGGAGTGGAGGATGGCAGAAATTATTGCCGCCTTTGAAGACCTAGAGAATGAAGAGGTGTGGTCTCCATCATATCTTCGTTTAATTCACCAGTTTAATCCCCTGCAAAATGTGGACAGAGCCTAGATGACACTAGACTACTGAAAACTCAGCCAAGTAGTAAGACAATTGCAATGGCATACCAGACATGATATCTTTGCTACAGCAGAAAGCATGGCCTTAAGTACCTAGTTTTTAGCTATTGATTTAGAAAATGTGTTTTTTTCCCTATCTGTATCATAATGGAAAGTTCATATTCACACAGAATGGATAACAGTATGCATACACAGTTTTTCCTCAGTGCTCTACTAACTATCATGTCCTCTGTCATAATATAGTCTGAAGAGGTCTGGACCACTCGAACATCCTTCAGAATATAGTACTAGTCCACAATGTCTGTGACATCATGCTAATTGGACCAAAATAAGTAGGAAGGGGCCAGCACATTGGAGGCCTTAGTAAGGCACATGCACTATGGAGAATGGGAGATGAACCCTACAAAGATCCAGGCGGTTGGCCACATTAAGTATAATTTTTAGGGGTTGAATGGCCTGGGGAATGCTAGAATATCCTCTCAAAGGGAAGGACAAATTAAGGTATTTTTTACCTTCTTCACAGAGAATTTTCTGGAAGTGCACTGCCTGGTAGGCCTCTTTGGGTTCTGGAAATATCACATTTCACACCTGGAATTACTGTTTCACCCCATATACTGGGTGACACAAAAAGTGCCAGCTTTGAGGAGAACTATAGCAGAACAAGGCCCTATAGCAGGTCCAGGATGCATTTTTAGGCAGTCCTGCCACTTGATGCATACAAGAGACAGTCCTTATGGTACTGATTCAGGTGAACTCCAAAAGTGGGGCTTAGCCCGGGAGGGTTCTTGGCTTCACTCAGGAAAGAATTCAAGAGCAAGCTGACGGTAAAAGAAGGCAAGTTTATTAGAGCAATAGTGTATAGCAAAATGGCTGCTCCATGGACAGACCAGGGCTGTCTCATAGGCAAAGGAGCCCTGAGTAGCAGTGTGCAGCAAAGTTGCTGCTCCACAGGCAAAGCAGCCTGGAGCAGCAGTAGCAGCAGCAGCAGCAGCAATATATAGCAACAGTAGCATTCTGGAGCAGCAGAGGGAGCAGTAGCAGCAGTTCTGCTGGCTAGCTATATTTATACCCACTCATAATTATATGCTAATGAAGGAATGGGTTTTTGGAATTTTCTAGAAAAGGAGTGGAAAGTTCCTAGAACCATATAAGGCAACTTCTAGGTCATTGCCATGGCACATTGCCATGGCATTTGTAAACTGTCATGGCACTGGTTGGAGTGTCTTTAATAATGAGCAGTGAGGACAACCAGAGGTTGCTTTTTTCATCATCTCCTGGTGTCTTTACTGCATCCTGTTTTTGATGAGCAGGGCCATTACCAGTGCTTGGAAAACAAGTCCTGCTGATGTCCTATCTCAGTATTAGAGGTATCTGTGTTGGAAAAAGATGCCATGTGGAGTTTTTGGAAGTCCCTATGGGAAAGGCCCTATGGGAAGCCCCTATGGGGAAATCGCAACTTAGCTAGGGTTGTGGAGCAAAGCCATGTCATATGAATGGAAAATTATATACCTTTTAAGAACAGCTCCTGACATGCTACTACATCCTGGTAGAGATGAAATGCCTGACTATAGAACATCTAGTGGCCATGCAGCCAGAACTGCTTCATGAGCTGAGTTCTGTCAGATCCACCAAGGTATAAGGTTGAGTAGCCCCGGCAATGAGATGGAAGTTTCTTTTTTGTTTCTCTTTTTGAGACAGGGTCTTGCTCTGTCACCCAGGCTGGAGTGCAGTGGCACGATCATGGCTCACTGCAGCCTTGACCTCCTGGCTCAAGTATCCTCCCACCTCAGCCTCCTGAGTAGTAGGAATATAGTCACACACCATCATACCTCGCTAATCTTTTAATTTTTTTGTAGAGCTTAGGCTCCACTATGTTGCTCAGGCTGGTCTCAAACTCCTGGGCTTGAGGGCCTTTCCTGCCTTGGTCTCCCAAAGTGCTGGGATTAGAGGCATGAGCCACTGTGTCCAGCCAAGATGGAAGTTTTATATATGGGATCAAGCACAAGCAGGACTGGAGGGCATAAGCAGTTGCACAATCAGGTAGAGCAGATCCTCTATGATAGCCACCACTGTTGCACTAGTACCTTTCCTTATCTATAGCTATGACCTTACACCAGATCCTATGTGACACAGGCATTCAAGTGTTCTTTATTTTTTTTTTATTTTTATTTTTTTCTTCTTCTTTAGGACAATTTGCTTAATTTATTGCCTTGGAATTTTTTTTCTCTTTTTTTAATTATACTTTTAGGGTACATGTGCACAATGTGCAGGTTAGTTACATATGTATACATGTGCCATGCTGGTGTGCTGCACCCATTAACTCGTCATTTAACATTAGGTATAACTCCTAATGCTATCCCTCCCCCCTCCCCCCACCCCACAACAGGCCCTGGTGTGTGATGTTCCCCTTCCTGTGTCCATGTGTTCTCATTGTTCAATTCCCACCTATGAGTGAGAACATGCAGTGTTTGGTTTTTTGTCCTTGTGATAGTATGCTGAGAATGATGGTTTCCAGCTTCATCCATGTCCCTATAAAGGACATGAATTCATCCTTTTTTATGGCTGCATAGTATTCCATGGTGTATATGTGCCACATTTTCTTAATCCAGTCTATCATTGTTGGACTTTTGGGTTGGTTCCAAGTCTTTGCTATTGTGAATAGTGTTGCAATAAACATACATGTGCATGTGTCTTTATAGCAGCATGATTTATAATCCTTTGGGTATATACGCAGTAATGGGATTGCTGGGTCAAATGGTATTTCTAGTTCTAGATCCCTGAGGAATCGCCACACTGACTTCCACAATGGTTGAACTAGTTTACAGTCCCACCAACAGTGTAAAAGTGTTCCTATTTCTCTACATCCTCTCCAGCACCTGTTGTTTCCTTACTTTTTAATGATCACCATTCTAACTGGTGTGAGATGGTATCTCATTGTGGTTTTGATTTGCATTTCTCTGATGGCCAGTGGTGATGAGCATTTTTTCATGTGTCTTTTGCCTGCATAAATGTCTTCTTTTGAGAAGTGTCTGTTCATATCCTTCGCCCACTTTTTGATGGGGCTGTTTGTTTTTTTCTTGTAAATTTATTTGAGTTCATTGTAGATTCTGGATATTAGCCCTTTGTCAGATGAGTAGATTGCAAAAATTTTCTCCCATTCTGTAGGTTGCCTGTTCACTCTGATGGTAGTTTCTTTTGCTGTGCAGAAGCTCTTTAGTTGAATTAGATCCCATTTGTCAATTTTGGCTTTTGTTGCCATTGCTTTTGGTGTTTTAGACATGAAGTCCTTGCCCATGCCTATGTCCTGAATGGTAATGCCTAGGTTTTCTTCTAGGGTTTTTATGGTTTTAGGTCTAATATTTAAGTCTTTAATCCATCTTGAATTAATTTTTGTATAAGGTGTAAGGAAGGGATCCAGTTTCAGCTTTCTACATATGGCTAGCCAGTTTTCCCAGCACCATTTATTAAATAGGGAATCCTTTCCCCATTTCTTGTTTTTGTCATGTTTGTCAAAGATCAGATGGTTGTAGATATGTGGCATTATTTCTGAGGGCTCTGTTCTATTCCATTGGTCTATATCTCTGTTTTGGTACCAGTACCATGCTGTTTTGGTTACTGTAGCCTTGTAGTATAGTTTGAAGTCAGGTAGCCTGATGCCTCCAGCTTTGTTCTTTTGGCTTAGGATTGACTTGGCAATGCGGGCTCTTTTTTGGTTCCATATGAACTTTAAAGTAGTTTTTCCCAATTCTGTGAAGAAAGTCATTGGTAGCTTGATGGGGATGGCATTGAATCTATAAATTACCTTGGGCAGTATGGCCATTTTCACGATATTGATTCTTCCTACCCAAGTGTTCTTTAATAAGTTTGTGTGTGTGTGTGTGTGTGAGAGAGAGAAGGAGGGAGAGATTCTAGACCCCAGACCCTTCAAAACATGGGACTTAGGGGGGCCTTCTGGCTCAGTCCTAAGAGCCCTCCTGCCTAGTTATGAGGCTAGGGTAGCAGTGGACAACATTTCTAAATGTTTTGGAGAGATAGCTGGTCTTATAGTCAGTTCTGGGTCTGACTCTGGCCCCGGGTCCCCAGATTCTTACTCTAGTGTTGTTGTAGTAGTAGACTTAGGGCTTAGAGGCTGGTTTAAGATTTTGAGTACAGTGGGTTTGCTGGGTCATGCACATATAAGAAATCATATAACACCACTTTTCAAAGGTGAAAATGCAATCCTTCTTCTTGGGCAAAAAGGTCCATTTCTGAAAATCATATGAACTGATTGGTCCTTGAGGCAGTTTAGTGTAGGGGAAAGAATATAATCTGGAGTGAGGAATGAATGGGGAGGGATATTAACATTTCTCTTCCCCTTTTATTTTTCAGACATAAAGGAGAAGATTTGGGAGAGGGAGAGGATTAATCCTGATTTGAACTCTTCGAATTTGAAGTGCTTATGTACTATGATTTGAATATGGTTTATCCCCATCCAAAGTCATGTTGAGGATGGGTTCCCAATGTGACAGTGTTGGGAGGTGGTACCCTTAAGAGGCATTTGTGTCATGGGGAATCTCTCCTGATGAGGGTATGAATGCAGTCTCTTTGGAGTGGGAGAGTTCTTGTGCTCATGGGACTGGATTAGTTACTGTGAGGAGGTTGGTTGTTATAAAGTGAGTCTGCCTCTTGTGCTTGGTGTCTTTTGCGTGTACCTGTTTCCCCTTTTGTTTCTTTGCCATGTTTTGATGCCCTCAAAAGAAGTTGTCGGATGTGACTGCCCAGTCTTGAACTTCCCAGCCCTCAAAACTGTGAGTTAAATAAAACGTTTCTTTATAAATGTCTAAGTCTTAGGCATTCTCTTATAGCAACACACAACAAACTAAGACACTGTGGGACTTCCAAGTGGAGAAGCTCAGTATTGATTTGAGAGGTATGGGTCTAGAGCTCAGAATAAATGTCTGGGCTGAATATACATATTACAGATGATAACAGAAGAGTAAGTCAGGTAGCCTCAGTGAAGAGTACAGATGGAAAAACTGAGGACAGAACACTGAGGAAGCCTAGTACATGTGGGGCTTTGGCAGAGAATAGCGCAGAATTGAAACCGAGGGTACAGCCTTCCAGCAGTATTATCATGCATGTCCTTGTACATCCTTCTTTTTTCTTTAAAAAATTGTGATAAAATATACATAACATTTACCATCTTCACCATTTTTAGGTGTACAGTTCAGTGACATTAAATACATTCACATTGTTGTGCAACCATTACCACCATTCATCTCCAGAACTGTTTCCTTTTCTTTTATTTTTTGAGATGGATTTTCGCTCTTATTGCCCAGGCTGAAGTGCAATGGCACAATCATGGCTCACTGCAACCCCCACCTCCTGGGTTCAAGCGATTCTACTGCCTCAGCCTCCCAAGTAGCTGGGATTACAGGCACCTGTCATCACTCCCGGCTAATTTTTTGTATTTTTCATAGAGACGGGGTTTCACCATATTGGCCAGGCTGGTCTCGAACTCCTGACCTCAGGTGATCCACCCACCTTGGCCTCCCAAAGTGCTGGGATTACAGGTGAGAGCCACCACGCCCCGCCCAGAACTGTTTTCATCTCCCAAACTGAAATGTTTACCCATTAAACAGTAACTCCTCCCACTGCTCCCTCAGCCCCTGCAAAGTGCTATTCTACTTTCTATTTCTATGAATTTAACTACTCAAGGTGCCTCATTTTAGTGGAACCATATATGATTTGTCCTTTTGTGACTTAGCATAATATTCTTCTATTAGTCTACTTGGGCCGCTACAACAAAATACCACAGACTGGGTGGCTCACAAACAGCAGAAACTTATTTGCTGGAGGCTAAGGAGTCCAAGATCAAAATGCCAAAAGTTTCTGGTAAGGGCTTTTTTCATGGCTTGTCAATGGCTGCTTTCTCACTGTGTCCTCATGTGGCCTTTCCTTGGTGCGTTGAGAGAGAGAGAGAAAGAGAGAGAGAGACACTTTCTGATGTCTCTTCTTATAAGGATACTAATCCTACAAAATCAGAACCCCACCCTTATGATTTCATTTAACCTCAATTACTTCCTTAGAGGTCCTATTTCCAAATACAGCCACATTGAAAGTTAGGGCTTTAACATGTGAATTTTGCGGGGACACAACCATTCAGTCCATAATGGTTCTCAAGCTTCCAGTTCTTTACACAGAATTGGAGTACTCTATGTTCAATTTCAGAACCTGGTTTTTAAAATGTAATTTTCATAGTTATAGGGTACCATAACAATTACAGAAATCCTACAGAACCTTCCTTCATCCTTCCCCACCCCAGATTTCTGCTTCCAAATTAATTTCAATTTCCTTTTAAAATTACTTTTAATTCCAGATTACTTACAATTCTCTTAACTATTTCTTCTGATATTGCCTTTATATTTTTTATTAACTATTTTATTTCTTGATTTTTAAATTTTATGTATCAGCTGGGACTTCCTACAGTGGAAGGATTCAGTTGTCTTATACCTCCCATCCTATACACAACCATACTTCTCCCATATTCTCCCAATATATTGTTGTTGTTGTATCACTATATTATGTTCAATCAATATTCAGTGTTTACATTATGTCTATGTAAGGATTTTTCACAATTGAGACATTAGAAGGAGAGGCAGGTAAGTGCATGGACTCTGCCACTAGACAGCCTGGCTTCAAATCCTGAATTTGTCATGTAATAGCTACATGATCTTGAACAAATCTCTTCCACTCTCTGTCTCACTTTCCCCATATTTAAAATGGGAAATGGCATATCTCATAAGATTTCTATGAGGATTAAAAGATTAAGCACTCAGAGTCATACTTGGTACATAGTAATTGGCATCTATTATATATTATTGTTGTCCATTATATAAATTTTTTCCCTAGAGTTCATGGATCCTTCTGTATTCCTGCTCCATTTTGGAAGATTACCCTTCAGGCCTAATGTACAGCTATTGTCCTAGAAACTCCCTTGTCATCATAGTGGAATTTTCTTAGTCTCTTTTTCATGTTGGATCTTGCTTTCCCTACATCCTATGGCTTAATCTTTCTTGATTTATGACCTCATTTTGACAAAGTAAATCTAGGTTTATGAGAAAGAGTGTATAGTATATAAATACCTTGAGATTTTGCCTGTCTGAAAATGCCTGTATTCTACCCTTACACTTGACTGGTAATTATTGGATATAAAATTCTAGGTTTAGGTCATTTCCCTCAGAATTTTAAAAATTTACTTTTCAAATCAAAGCTGTATATGCATATAGTTTAAAAATCCAATACAGTCATGCACTGCATAACAACATCAATGATGGACAGCATATACAATGGTGGTCCCATAAGATTATAATGAAGCTGAAAAATTCCTATCAGCTAGTGATGTCGTAGCCATTGTAATGTCGCAGCACAACACATTACCTTTTCTATGTTTAAATGTTTAGATATGTAAATACCATTGTGTAACAATTGCTAACAGTATTCAGTACAGTAACACGCTGTTCAGGTCTATAGCCTAGAAGCAATAGTTTATACCATATAGCCCAGGTAGGTAGTAGGCTATATCATCTAGGTTTGTGTAAATATACTCTGTAATGTTCACACAATGACTGTATCACCGAACAATGCATTTCTCAGAACGTATCTTCATTGTTAAGCAATGCATGAGTATAATCATACAAGGCTAATGTATTAGTCCTCTTGAGCTTCCATAACAAAATTCCACAGGTTGGGTGGATTAAACAACAAAAATTTATTTTCTCATAGTTATGCAGGCTAGAATTCCAAGATCAAGACGCAGTCAGCATTAGTTTCTGGTGTAGCCTCTCTTCCTGGCTCGTATATGGCCACCTTCTTGTTGTGTCGTCACATGGCCTTTTCTCTGTGTGGGCGTGGAGATAGAGAGAGATCTTTGTTGTCTCTTCTTATAAGGACACCAATCCTATCAGATTAGGGCTCTATTCTTAGTACCCAATTTAACCATAATTACCTCCTTAAAGGCTCTATCTCTGAGTACAGTCACATTAAGGGTTTAGGGCTTCAATATATAAATTTTGGGGGACATGATTCAGTATATAACAGCTTACTATGAAAAACAGCAATATCCTTGTATCGCAACACTATTTTCTACACCCAGAAGCAATAAATTTCAACTCTTTTAATGTATTATTTTGGTATTATCTACCTATGTCAAAATAACATACTTATATTGTTTCTTGATTTTTGAGTTTTAAGTCACTGACTTCCCACTATGGGAGATGAGTTTAGCTCTTCTTTTATACTCACCCCTGCTTATTGTAATCATACATTTCTACATTTCTTATACCCTGCCCTCTCAATTGCTTTATTCTTATTTTAGTTATATTGACAGTATTATGTTGACTATGTACTTGTTATTGACAGTTGAGTTACATAGTATATTAGGATTATTTTTTCCTGTCCTGCACAACTTTTTATTTTCTCTAGATTTAATTTCTTCCCCCCTCTCTTTTTCTATGTATTTATCACCAATTTATTTCCAAAATATACTCCCAATTATGTAAATATTCTTCCATTATGTTTAAATAAATTAGGTATTCCAACAATTTCATTTTCTGGACAAAGTTTCTCTTGGGAATCTTTGGACCTGCTTTAAACTAGACTGGTTGCACTCTAGGCATGCAACACAACTTTTATTTTGGGATTTCTTTTCACAATAATCTTGGTGACTTTCCTTGCTCACTATTGTGTTAGATTCACTGTTTCCTGGATCTCACATCTCCCTCTTTCTTGGTTTATGCTCTCTTTTGGCAGAACAGAACATATCTTCCAGTAGCTTCCTGAGAAAGTGTATATGCAAAGCACACTTCTGAGATCTTTCAGGTTTGAAAGTCATTTTTCTTTTTTTTTAATCAAAAAATTTTATGTAAGCAAACAGCATACAGTATTAAAGGAAAAATATTTAATATATTCAAGAATCACATCATGACAAATGATACAAATTTGTGAAATATCATTTCTTCCTCTTTTTGTATTTTTTTGTAGATGGTTTTGCCACATTGCCCAGGATGGCCTTGAACTCCTGGGCTCAAGTGATCCACTTGCCTTGGCCCCCCAAAGTGCTGGGATTACAGGTATGAGACACTGAGCACTTTTCTATTTTAACTAAACTTGCCATCTTTTCCCCTGTGCTTTTCTGTTACTGTCCCCTCCTGTTTTCCTACTACATTGACAGGTTATCTTGAAAATGTCATTTTTCTACTCCAATACTTGATTGATAGCTTGGCTGGAGATGGAATTTTGAACTGGAAATTCTCTAAGAATTTTGAGGACATTGTTTCATTGTATTTTAGCTTCCAGTGTTGCTGTTGAGAAGTCAGATGTTACTCCAGTTCTTTTTTATATATTTACTTTTTCACTAGGTAATACATTCACATGGTTCAAATTAATAATAAAAAATGCAGTGAAAAACCTTCCTCCAACCAACATTCTTCTTCCACTCAGTTCCCCTTTTCCGAAAACAGATAACTATTGTTATTAGTTTCTTTTTCATACTTCCAGGATTTCATCTTGCATATGTAAGGAAACATAAATGTAAATATTCTTATTTTACCCCTTTTATAAATGATGAAATATAGAATATATATACGCATATATTCACACACTTGCTGTCCTGCACTTTGCTTTTTTTAGGTTGTTTATTTGCTTGTTTTACTTAACAATATATCACGGAAGTCTTTCCACATGAGTACATAATTTACTCACATTTTACAGCTGCATAATCTCCCTTTGTGTGAATGTACCAATTTTATTTAGAAAGCTCTCTTCCAATGAATATTTTGATTATTTCCAGTCACTCCAATGACAAACATTGCTTCAGTAAATAATCTCCAGTCTTCTGCCAGGGTCGGGGAGTGATAGTCACTGAGGTACTTGGAGTGGAAGGGTGAGGGTCTGTTTTTGAAACATTTAACCAAGCCTCCTATTTTTGGTCTTATTTTCACCCTTGCTTATTACAGAATACTATTCTCTGAGGTTGGGGGTTATGTGATGTAAGTTATATTACTTCTCACCTTTCTCTACTTTAGGGATAGGATGCAGCTATCTCAAATCTAATAAGTTGATTGCAATGTGCCCATCTGTACTCCAGCTTCTAAAATTGTGTTACTGTTGTCTCCTATCCTTTTCTTTTTTTATTGTACCTTTAAATATCTTTACTGTAATTTTAATGGGATTTTTAGGAAGAAATAAAGTCTAATGCTAAGTTCATCCCCAAATATTTTATTGGGAGTTCATGCCTTAGAATTTTGAAATTATCCTTCTGAAATCGTTTAGTTGTGTGTGGTTTGAGAAGCCTAATGCTCTTCTATTTCTTGTCCATTATACATGACATTTTTTTCCTCTCTGAAAATGTTTAGGTTCTTCTTTTCATCCTTAATATTTTGAAACTTATCAATAATATGATTTTTTAATTTTGTAGGTTGCTATGAAAAGAAAAATCATGATATTAAGTAAGTCTATTTTTATTCATTTTGATAGGAACTTAATGGGCTGTTTCAATCTAGTGACACATATTTTGCATTAGTTCTTTAATGATTTTTTGATTTCTTGTATTAGCACTTTGATTGTTTCTTCTTACCATTTTTCTGTTCTTTCGTTATGGAACTTGTACTATTTCTGTTTTACCTCCCATATGATAATTTTATTATCTTTTTCCTATTTTAAAAAATCTCTTTCTTATTGTGTTCTACATTTGGGGATTTTTTCCCCTACTCTTTTGATCTTCTATTGATACATGGAGCTTTTCCTGACCTCTGATTGTTTCTTTTAAAATAGAATTCTGCACGTGTCTCATGGATATTATATATTCTTATCTATTTATGGATATTATAGATTTTTATGGCTTTCTTCTGTTTCATGTATTGTCTATTTTACTCTCAGCTTCCTTTTTATGGCCTTTTGTCTTGGTCTCACCAAAACAATGTTAGTCCTCTAACAAACATATATTTATCTTTAAGAATGAGCCCCTCCATAGGGTTAGGAGGGATCCAGTTATATCATTGTGGCACACACAAATGCCAGTTTTCATAGATACTTTTTTTTTTTCTGAGCATTCTGTTGCCCACACTGGAGTGTAGTGGCGTGATCATAGTTTGCTGTAACTTTGAAATCTTGGGCTCAAGTGACCCTCCCACCTCAACCTCTGTAGGTACTTTTTATTAGGCTAATTAGTTTACATGGAGAGGAATCCTCCAATCTCCTTCCTTGGGCTTATAAGCACAGTTGACAGTGCTCAGGAGGCTGAGCGAGGGAAAGGACCTTGAGTGGGGAGAATGTCTCACCTTTCAATATGCAAACTCTCACTTAATTATTCCTTTTTTTTTTTAGTACAACTTATTATACCCACCTTAGCTGCACTCATAAGTTCAGACCTTTTCTGGTTTAACTTCTCCAGAAAGTAAACCATCTGTTTTCTGAGAGAACTCACCTAGTATAGGGGCTGGAGGAGAAGATCTTGGGGTCTAACTGCCCCTTATTAAAAATTTCAACTAATGGGCTGGGTGCGGCCGCTCACGCCTGTAATCCCAGCACTTCGGGAGGCTGAGGTGGATGGATCACTTGAGGTCAGGAGTTTGAGACCAGCCTGGCCAGCATGGCGAAACCTCATCTCTACTAAAAATACAAAAATTAGCCTGGTGTGGTGGCAGGCGCCTGTAATCTCAGGCTGAGGCAGGAGAATGGCTTGAACCCGGGAGGCAGAGGTTGCAGTGAGCTGTGATTGCGCCACTGCACTCCAGCCTGGGTGACAGAGCAAGACTCTATCTCAAGAAAAAAAGAAAACAAAAATTTCAACTAATCCTTTTGTTCTTAGTCCAATGAGGACCCTTCAGCAGTTAACTGGTGCCTCAAATTCCTGAGCTTCTGTACTGCTCTGTGGAGTGAATCACATACTCCTAACTCATCATCATCATTCATGGGAGATTGGAGTTTCCGCTTTTCCTGTTTTTCTAGGTCATTCAATGTTTATCCACTGATCTTCCAATATTTTGTTAATATATTCCATGAACTATTATTTCTTCTCCATTTCTGTTTGTATTTCTGATTATTTTAATGAGATTTCAAGATGGACTTGAGATAAATGCATATGTTGTATTCTGTATTAGGACTCTCTAGAGAAATAGAACCAATAGGGGAATATATGTGTGTATACATACATATATATACACACATATATATATACACATATATATACATATATACACATATATACACATATATATACACATATATATATGTGTATATATGTGTATATATGTATATATATGTAGAGAGAGAGAGAGAGAGAAGAGAGAGAGAGAGATTCATTTTTAAGGAGTTGGCTCACATAATGGGAACTGACAAGCCTGAAATTTTTAGGGCATGCTGGCAGGCTGAAAAGTTAGGTAAGAGTTGATGTTGTGATCTTGATTCTGAAATCCGTAGGGCATGTTGCAGGCTAGAAAGTCAAGTAGGATTTCTATGTCTTGAGGCAGAAGTCCTTCTTCTCCAGGAAGCCTCAAGTTTTGCTCTTAAGGTCTTCAGCTGATTTGGTGAGACCTATCCAGACAATGAAAAACAATCCATTGTGTCAATAGATTATAAATGTGAATCACATCTACAAAATGCCTTCACAGAAACATCTAGACTAGTTTTTAAACAAACAACTGGACATCACAACCTAGCCAACTTTACACATAGTATTAACCATCACAGTCTACCTTGGCACCCATACACATCTCCTTAAACCATACGTAATCTCTAAATATAGACAATAACAAAGCAATACCTCCACTTATCATGATACAGATATCCTGTGTTCAACTGAAAATGCACCAACCTTTTCCCCAGAAGAGGACGCAAAGTCCTTGGGCAATGTTTACACTTCTCCTTGATATCCTGTAACTTAAATGCTATGATGTAAAGCTAATACATATTTTGTTATATGACAAGGGAATAAGATATTTGCTATATACACACACAAAGATGTTTGCTATATACACACAAACAAACATAATGAAATGAGGAAAAAATACACATGACAATTACAGTCCTCATTTCTACAATTGGTTATGTGGTCATAGCTGGTTTTTATAACTATTTTCTTTCACTATCCATTCCATATTCCCTCTGCTCTCAGCAAGTACTCCAGCTGGTCATGGTTCTTTGCTAGGTCAGGTGACCTACACCTTCATTCCTGAAGAGTTTGGGTCTTTATTAGTCCTGCTTGAATTGAGTGATTGTAGCTTTCCATTGACTTTAATCACAGGGCATGGAAACACTAAGGGGTATTAGTACCAGTACTAATACTAGTGGATATTAGTACTAGTATTAGTACTAAGGGATACTAGTGCATGGTAGCACTAAGCCCTAAGGGATATCCTATATTCCAGACAAGCTGTTCCTTACTTCCATTGTGGAATAGACTCACATTTCCCCCTTGTTAATCAAGACCAATAACCCCAGCTAGTACAGCAAATCTGTTCATTGCCTGTTTATTCATAGGCATGAGAAGCCCAAAGTGGCCTGGTGGCAGTCTTAACTTCAATGGAATCATTGTTGAGTTTCCTACTGGAAGCATTTCTCCCTTTGAAACTAAGATCTTCAGACCAGCAGAGCATAAGATCATGGAGGCAGGAAGCAAAAATTTTGGTAGTGAAACACTAGGGGTGATAGAGAGTGATGCCACTCCCATTTCCACCCCTTGATTCCTGGGCCCATGAAACCTGGCTATGAAAAAAATAGCACCATATATTGGATTGCTGATGTAGATCACATAAAACTTCCTGGAGAACATTACTCCTATAGAGAGTTGCCTGTAAGAAATTGTTACCTACCTCATGCTGTAACTGAGTCTTCAAAAGGCCATTCTGTTAAGTCAGCTGCTTCAGGATAATAGGGAACATGGTTTAATACCAGTAATTCCATGACCATGCACCTATTGTTGCACTTCACTTGCTGTGAAGTAAGTTTCTTACGAGAAGCAACGCTGTGTGGAATACCATATAGTGAATAAAGTATTCTGTACATCCATGGATGACAGTTTTGGCAGAAGCATTGCAACCAGGGAAGGCAAATCCATATCCAGAGTGTCTGTTCCAATAAGAAAAAAATGATGCCCCTTCCATGATGGTAGTGGTCCAACATAATCAACCTGCCTCCAGGTAGCTAGTTAATTTCCCTGGGGAATGTTTCCATAATGGAGGACTCAGTTTTGGTCTTTAATGCTAGCAGGGTTAATCTCCTTAGACAGGGATGGAAGGGCTGTCTTTACTGGCAAAGAAGAATCAGTTGAATTTAGGGGTTTAAATTCCTTAACGAAGGTCCCCAGCTTCATCAGGTTCTACCCATATGTTCTCATTTAAACTTTCAGAATCCAATTCCCTCCTAATCAATGCTCTCACTTTAACATCAGACACCCTGAGAGTTGGGAATTCAATTTACATTGTAATTCAGCCACTTGCAGACATAGAAACTTCCAGGTCATTTATACAGTACTTGTGTTGGGAATTTGAAGCCCTGAGCTCATCCCTTTCTTCTGCAACTTTATCCAGCACGATTAACAGCAACCAACTAATCTCATCTTACTTGTTAGTTTGACAAAAAATGTCCTCAGGTATAAAATACATGTTTGGTCACTCAGAACCTTGACTCTTCCAAGTATGTGATTAGGAGTATCCAGTGATGATATTTTGTGTATTTTTTTCTTTTCTGTTTTCTTTTCTCCTCCCTTCCTTCCTCCCTTTCTTTCTTTCCTTTCCTTTTCTTTCTTTCTTTCTTTCTTTCTTTCTTTCTTTCTTTTTCTTTCTTTCCCTCCCTCCCTCCCTCCCTCTCTTCCTTCCTTCCTTCCTTCCTTCCTTCCTTCCTTCCTTCCTTCCTTCCTTCCTCCCTCCCTCCCTCCCTCCCTCCCTCTCTCTCTTTCTTTCTCTCTCTCTTTCCCTCTTTCTCTCTTTATCTCTTTCTCTCTTTATTTCTTTGACAAAGTCTCACTCTGTTGCCCAGGGTGGAGTGTAGTGGTGCAATCTTGGCTCACTGCTACCTCCGCCTCCTAGGTTCAAGAGATTCTCGTGCCTCAGCTTCCTGAGCAGCTGGGATTACAGCCAGCTGCCACCACACCCAGCTAATTTTTTTGGTATTTTTAGTAGAGATGGGGTTTTGCTATGTTGGTCAATCTGGTCTTGAACTCCTGGCCTCAAGTGATTCTCCCACCTTAGCCTCCCAGAGTCTTGGGATTACAGGCGTGAGCCACTGTGCATGGCCATGTTTTGTGTATTTCTACTGCCTCATCATGCCATTGACTATCCGTGTTCTCTTTACCACTGGAAACAGAGTTATTAGTATCTTTAAATCTAATCAGATTAGAGAACTAATTCTAAAACCACAGAATTCACAGTTAAGATTCTTTATAGAAATAATATAAAAATAAAAAGTACAGAGAATTAGAACAGTGCAGTAAGGATGATTTAAGTTTAAAATTTTAAATTAATGCTGTTTGTTGAGATAACAGTTATATTTTAAATTAGAAGTATGGGCCAGATGATGGGACATAGCTTCTCGGAAAAAAATATATCCACATTCTTATTTGCAAAATCAGAAAGCTCATTTATCTTTCTGAATCACTTGTCAAGGATAAATTGGCAAGTCAATACTTGAAAAAAAATTTGGTTGTCATCAGAGCAGAAAATGAAGAGTCATTCCATGTCTAATTAATAACTTTATAAACAGCGGATTTCTAAAAAGTGGGCCCCTCTTTTCTCCCCACTAACATTATAAAATTATAAGTGTATCTTAATTGGAAGAAACATTCTTCAATAAACAAAGTAAGGCATTGTTATCAATAAAATAATAAAAATTGGGGCCTGATCCACAAAATGTCTTTTTCTCTTATTACCCCCTAGCTAAAGAACGTTCAATTCCTCAACTGTAGTTATATCTGCATCCAAATCTCTAACAAATGTGTCGTGTTATTAGAGCTTCAGTTGTATTATAATACGGTAATTTTGGAGTCCTAATAAAGGAAAAGGAGTCAGGCTGGCGGGAGCAGGAGAAAGCAAGAAGAGAAAGCAGATAATCTATAAGCCTGTCTTTCTTCATGGTCCAGGACACACACCCCTCCTGCGCAGATAACTCACAATCTTCTTGTGTCCAGCTATTACCAAACCCTCGTCTGATAGAAAAATGCAAGTTAGCTCACTGCAGCCTTGGCATTATCAGTACTGCACGCAGCCCTCTCCAGCACAAGCACCGTCCTAAAAAATCGCCAGCAAGCCTTTGTCTTTTTGCAGTCAGCTCCTCTCTTCCTGATTTGCTTGTTGCTTTCTTGCAGCATATTTTCATACTTTCTCTAATAAATTTACCTTTATTTACCTACAACTGTCTTCATAAATTCTTTTTACTGCTCATGCCACCAGCCTGGATAGTTGATACCCGTGGCAGTAATCTTGTATTTGACTAATTGGTTTTGGTCAAGGCTTCACATAAAAAATTATTTCTTCACTTAATTTTCTTTCACTTTTAACACAAGTTAGAAATTACATCTTTACCTAAATGAGTGATTCATATTCAAAGGCAACCTAATATGTAGTGTCTGTTTTACTGAATGTTGAGATTTAAACAATGAGGCTTCTGTTCAGTAAGTTGTATTCTGATTTAGAAATTTTACATATATTTGAAAGGAAAATATGGGCTAAATAAATAATATTGCTGTGGAAATTATCTATTTAGATTTAGAATAACTGTACCAACAATAGTTATTACTTTTCTTTTTCTTTTTCTTATTGAGATAGAGTCTCACTGTGTCACCTGGGGTGGAGTGCAGTGGTGGAATCACTGTTCACTGCAGCCTTGACCTCCTGGTCTCAAGTGATTCTCCTGCCTCAGCCTCCTCAGTAGCTGGGACTACAGGTGCATGCCACTATGCTGAGCTAATTCTTTTTTTGTACTTCTGCCTCCCAAAGTGCTGGGACTGCAAGGGTGAGCCACCACACTTGGCCTGATTATTACATTTACTTTTGTATTTTGAAGTACACTGAGATAGTTGAAAAGTAACAGACCTTTTAAGACAGTATCAAAGATGTGAAACAAAAAACAAACACCTCATCAGAAGTACAGAAGAACCTAATGGATATGACTGAAGGTGGAATTTGTTATTTGGGAGATTTAATCATGGAATTCTTCCTAAATTAAAAAGAGATGGAAATTATAAAAGAAAGATTGAGTGACATAGAAATTAAATCCAGTAGATCTAATATCTACTCAAGGTTTGTAAAAAAAAACAAACAAAGAAATAATAGAAAGAAATTTCCTGAAAGTCTGGGTCCTCTAGATTTAAATGCCCCACCAAATGCTGAGTAAGAAAAATTTCAGAGCACACATAAGAATAGTTAGACAGATCTTAAGCACATAAAACATATAAAATCCTACATGCTTCCAGAGGGAGAAAAAAGGTAATTTTTAAAGAGAAAATTAAAATGTAATTGGATTTTTTTACCCAAAAAAGTTTATGTTAGAATGTAATGGAGCAATGTCTCTAAAATTCTGAAGGAAAAAGATCATGAACCTAGAAGTCTGTACACAACCAATTAATCATTTGTAGTAGTAATATTCTGTAAAGTTTAATGCAATTGTTTGTAAAGAATTCCTAAAATTATAGTGACATACTATAATAACAGAGTAAAAAATAGAGAAATAAAACTGAAGTTCAAGGTAATGTGAACACATTTGGAAGCAGAGTTAGGATATAATTGAAAGCATATTAAAGGTCGTATCTTACTTGAGATTGAGTGCAGTTATAGATAGTGGTTAAATGGTGACATTAGTAGGAAATACATTTATATACATTTGGTAAAATTTTCACTTGTAGTCAATAGCAGACTAGCATTAAAATGTAGAATTTTCAAGTGACTAGAGGGAAAAATTTGTCAGAAAAGAAAAACTAAAAGGAGCAATACGAAATCATGATTAATAGAAAGCATAAATATAAGATGGCAGGAATAAAACCAAAAAGAAGTAATCACAATTAACATGGATGGTTAAATTCCCTTATTAAAATACAAGGATATCCAGGTTGGACTAAATAGCCAACAATATAATCTTTTCAAGATACACATCAAAAACAAACACACAAAGATTGAAAATAAAAAGATTTAAAAAACCCAGGTAAATGTGAATTAAAAAATCAGAATTGCTAAGATTAATATCAGATAAGTTAAATTCGAAGCTTAGCTGGTAAGCTTTGAATATCAGAGCTTATCAGAGCTTAAAATAACTATCTTATTTTATATCTATATATTTTATTTTATATTTATAAATGGTGTGATCCGCCAAGAATATACAAGAAACTTTATCAAACAGCATAGCATTGAAATATATAAATTAAAATTATTAGAAATATAGCAGAAGCCCTATTATCCAATGAAATTTGGACTGGTAGCTCATCAGTTAATTGAAAAATAATTGAGACATTGGAGAAAATAATAAAATATATATTAGGCATTTTAACTTAAAATACACAAATTCTCTTTCACTTGGCTGCCTTTGATATAGAACCAACAACTTAACTTTGAGTATAAATCTTCTGGTTAGAGTTTCACATCATTTTCCTTGTATAAGCCACATCCATGATGTATCAGCTATAATTTTCAGTTCTGTTAACTATAAGTACAATGTTTTATAGCAAATCTCCAAAACTTGTTTATCTTGTATCACTAAAATTTTATATCCATTGAACAGCAACTCCCCATTTCCCCCTACACCCAGCTCCTAGCAACCACCATTCTATTCTCTGTTTCTGAGTTTAACTATTTTAGATACCTCATATAAGTGGAATCCTACAGTATTTGCCCTTCTGTGACTGGCTTATTTCATTTAGCATGTCTTTCAGTTTCATCCATATTGTCACATAGGCACAAGGGCAGAATTTCTTTCTTTTTAAAGACTGAATAACACTCCATTATATGTATATTCCACATTTTCTTTCTCCATTCATCTTTTGGTGGACATTTAGATTGTTTTCTATCTTGACTACTGTGAATAATGCTGCAATAAACATGAGACTGCAGATATCTCTCTGAGATTCTGATTTCAATACTTCTAGATATATATACAGAAGTAGAATTGCTGGATCATATGGTAGTTCTATTTTAGTTTTTTGAGGAACCTCCATACTGATTTTCATAATGGCTGCACCACTTTACATTCCCATCAACAGTGTGCAAGGGTTCCAGTTTCTCCACATCCTCATCAACACTGGTTATCTTTTTTTTTTGATAATAGACATTCTAACAGGTGTGAGGTGATATCTCATTGTGGTTTTGATTTGCATTTCCCTAATGATTAGTGATGTTGAGCATTTTTTTATATACCTGTTGGCCATTTGTATGTCTTTTTTGAAGAAATGTCCATTCAAGTCGTTTGCTTATTTTAAAATCAAGTTATTTGGTTTTCTCCTATTGAGTTTTAGAAGTTACTTATATATTTTGGAGATTAACCCTTATCAGATATATGCATGATGCTATTTTAAACAGAATTATTTTCCTAATTTTATTTTTTGATTGCTTGTGTATAGAATTATAACTGATTTTTGTATATTAATTAATCTTGCATCCTGCAACCTTTCTTTAAAACTGTTCATATACAAGGTTATGTTATCTGCAAATAGACATCATATTTTTTCCTTTCCAATCAGGATGCATTTTATTTCTTTTTCTTATCCAATTACCCTGGCTAGGACCTCCACTAAAATGGTGAATAAAAGTGGTAAGAGCAGATATCCTTGTCTTGTTCCTGATTTTCACCATTGAATACGTTATCTGTGGGTTTTTCATAGACATCTTTTATCAAATGGAGGAAGTTCTCTTCCCTTCCTAGTTTATCAAGCATTTTTTATTATGAGGAGTGTTTAATTTTGTCAAATGCTTTTTCTGTGTCTATTGAAATGATCATGTGTTATTTCTCCTTTACTTTTTAAATCTGGCATATTACGTTGATTGATTTTCAGATGTTAACCTGACTTTACATTCCTGGGGTAAATCCTTCTTGGTCGTGATGTATAATTATTTTTATGTGTGCAAGTATTGTGTTGAGAATGTTTTTGTCTGTATTTATAAGTTATATTGGTTAGAGTGGTTTTCCTTTCCTGTGACGCCTTTATCTGATTTTGGTATCTGGGTAATACTGGCCTTACAGGATGAGTTTTGAAGTGTTCTCTTTAAGTTTTTGGAAGAATTTGTGAAATATTCATATTAATTTTTCTTTAAACATTTGGTAGCATTTACCAGTGAAGCCGTTTGGTCCTGGAATTTTCTTTATGAGGTTTTTTTTTAAAAAAATTATTACTAATTAAATGTCTTTTTTTTTTTTTTTGAGATGGAGTTTCGCTTTTGTTGCCCAGGCTGATTGGAGTGCAATGATGAAGTCTTGGCTCACCACAGTCTCCACCTCCCGGGTTGAAGCGATCCTCCTTCCTCAGCCTCCCGAGTAGCTGGGATTACAGATGCCTGCCACCATGCCTGGCTAATTTTCATATTTTTAGTAGAGACAGGGTTTCACCATATTGGCCAGGCTAGTCTCAAACTCCTGACCTCAGGTGATCTGCCCACCTCAGCCTCTCAAAGTGCTTGGATTACAGGCATGAGCCACTGTGCCCAGCCTAAATCTCTTTACTAAATTGGTCAATTTTTATTTTGTATTTCTTCTTTAGTCAGTTTTGGTAATTTTCAGTTTTAGGTATTTGTCCAATTTCATATATGATATCTAATTTGTTGGCATACGATTTTTCATAGTATTCCTTATAACACTTCATTTTGTAAGGCTGGTAGTAATTTCCCTGTTTCATTCTTTATCCTAGTAATTTGGGATCTCTCTCTTTTTCTTGGTCAATCTAGCCTAAGGTCTGTCAATTTTGTTGATCTTTTTAAAGAGCCAGACTTTGGTTCTATTGGTTTTCTCTATTATTTTTCTATTCTGTTTCATTTGTCTCCTCTCTAATACTTCTTTCTGCTTGACTTAAGTTTATTTTTCTCTTCTTTTCACAGTATCTTTAGGTTAGGTTCTTGATTTGAGACCTTTTGGTATTTATAGCTATATTTTTCTCTGTAAGCACTGTTTCAGCTGTACCTCATAAGTTTTGGTATGTTGTATCTTTGTTTTCATTCAGCTCAAAATATTTTCTAACTTATTTTGTTTGACTCATTGGTGACATAGGCATATGTTTAATTTGCACATATGTGTGCATCAACCCCTATTTTTTGTTGTTGATTCTTAATTTCATTATGGTCAAAGAACATTCTTCATATGATTTCAATCCTTTTAAATTTATTGAGACTCTTAAAATCTAATATGTGCTTTATCCTGAAGAATGTTCCATGTGTCCTTGAGAAGAATATGTATTTTTCTGTTGTTTAGTGAAGTGTTCTATAGATGTCTGCCACTTCTTGTTGATTTAAAGTGGTGTTGAAGTCTTATATTTCCTTGTTGATCTTTTATCTAGTTGTTCTATCCATTGTTAGAAGTGGAGTATTGAATTATTCAATTATTATTATTGAATTGTATATTTTTCCAATTCTGTCTACTTTTGCTTTATGTATTTTGGGGATTTGTCATGAAGTACATATATGTTTATAATTGTTATATCTTTTTGACCTTTTCATCATTTTAAATTATCCTTCTTTGCCTCTAATAAAAATGCTTGTCTTAAGGTATAATTTTTCTGGTATTAGTAAAGCCCTCCAGGTCCCTTTTGGCAACTGTTTGCATGGTATATCTTTTTCTGTCCTACTTTCAACTTGTTTGTGTCTTTGAATCTGAAGTGTGTCTCTTATAGACAGCATATGGTTGGATCACACGTTTTAAATTAATTCTGTCAATCTCTGCCTTTACATTAGAGTGTTTAATCCATTTATATTAATGCAATTACTTATAGATTGGGATTCACATATGCCATTTTACTATTTGTTTTCTATATGTCTCATATCTTTTTTGTTCTATTCTTCTATTACTGCTTCTTTTGTGTTAAATAGGAGTTTCCTAGTGTACCATTTTCATTCCTTTGCCATTCCATTTACTATATTTTAGAATTTATTTTCTTAGAGGTTGCCCTTGGAGTTACAATTAATATCTTAACATAAAAATCAAGTTCATATCAATGTCAACTTAATTTCAAATCTTTGCTCTTAATAACTTCATAACCTCCTCACTCCTTTGCATCGTTATTGTCATACAAATTACATTTTTATACATTGTATGAACATCAACACAGATTTATACATATAGCTTTATAAAGTCTTGTAAGTTAGATAGGAGAAAAGACAGAATTATAACAAAATTCATTTATATTGTATTTTATATTTACCTATGTCATTGTTGTTGCATGTATTGGCAGAACAGCCAGGGAAGGAGACCATCAATAACAACCCTTCTGGGATCACATACAATTCGGGGAGTTAGGAAGGCTATGTACATATATGAAGCTACGTTCACTTAGGAGAAATCAGAGAAGGATGGAGCAGGCTTGAAAGAATTCCTCAAGCCACACACAGACCTATAAACATAGGGCAAAAGCACCAGTGGCACAGGGACTTAAACACAACTTCTGAGCAAATACTGACTCAACCATAGGCTACTCTGACCCAGGGGCAAATCCTAGAAATCCAGGATGAAAAATAAAATCAGTATCATCCCTGGAAGTCTAGAAGAATGTGTGTATGCCCAAGGCTATGCCCTTGAAGGAGCAATCACAGAAGGATCCTCCAAGGTACTAGTGGCTGAATGAGGTGGTGGATAGGGGACAAGGAAATATGTAAATTCACTGAACTATGAGAGCCATCTCCAAGCCATCCACATATCCAATGGCAAAGGATAAAAATCTAATTGGCTAAAGGATGCTTAAGCACAACCTTTAACTAATAAATAGCTTATGCCAAGCTACGGTCAAAACCTAAGTAGCCAGGCTAAAAGATAAAAATAAAGAAAAAATATCTGAGCAGGGACACCAGAGTTGCACATGTTGGGGGAAATAGACTTCACAGAATTAGTTCAGCCAAGCCAACAAACAAACCCATGACCAAGCAAACAACAACAATCTCCAGGGTGTGGGCAGGTGGTTCAGTATTCAGGGTTTCTATAATATATTATCTAACATGTCCAGCTTTCAACAAAAAATTACAACACATGCAGCAACAACTACATAGGTAAATACAAGACAATATAAATGAATTTTGTAATAACTCTGTTTTTTTCTCCTACTTACTTGACTTTATAAAGCAACATGTATAAATTTGTGTTGATGTTCATACAGTGTATAAATATAAATTATTGTCTACCAAGATCTTCACTGTTTTAAAAAATGCCTGCAGGCATAGCTTTTTTTTTTCCCCCTTTTCCAAGTTAAGTCAGTACCCTCAAGCAGAGCTGCAGAGTCCTTTATCCTTATGTCCTGCCTTTCCTCCTGGGAAGAATCCCTGAACCACTGCACCAGAGCTGGAGCCAGGGACCTGCTTTTATCTGAGTGATGCCCCTGCTCTGTGAGATAGTTCTAGGAAGGGGTGGCAGCTCCTGGTCCTCTTGGATTGCCCATTTTGGAGTAGAAAATATATTTGAGGAAATAATTGTCAAAATTTTCCAGATTTGTTGAAAGATATAAATTTATAAATTCAAGAAGTTTCATGAATTCCAAATGGAATAATCTCAAAGAAAACCACCTCTAGGCACATCTTATTGAACTGCTGAAAATGAAAAGTAAAGAAAAAATTTTAGACTGATCATTCCAAGATGGCCAAATAGGAACAGCTCCGGTCTACAGCTTCCAGTGTGATCGTTGCAGAAGACGGGTGATTTCTGCATTTCCAACTGAGGTACCTGGTTTAACTCACTGGGACTGGTTGGACAGTGGGTGCAGCCCATGGAGGGTGAGCTGAAGCAGGGCGGGGCATCGCCTCACCTGGGAAGTGCAAGGGGTCGGGGATTTCCCTTTCCTAGCCAAGGGAAGCAATGACAGATGGTACCTGGAAAATCGGGACACTCCCGCCCTAATACTGCACTTTTCCAATGGTCTTAGCAAACGGCACACCAGGAGATTATATCCTGCACCTGGCTCGGCGGGTCCCATGCCCATGGAGCCTTGCTTACTGCTAGTGCAGCAGTCCGAGAGCAACTAGGCTGGGGGAGGGGCATCTGCCATTGCTGAGGCTTGAGTAGGTAAACAAAGCAGCCAGGAAGCTTGAACTGGGTGGAGCCCACCACAGCTCAACGAGACCTGCCTGACTCTGTAGAATCCACCTCTGGGGGCAGGGCATAGCCTAACAAAAGGCAGCAGAAACTTCTGCAGACTTAAACGTCCCTGTCTGACAGTTTTGAAGTGTGCCATGGTTCTCCCAGCATGTAGTTTAGGCTCTGAGAATGGACAGACTGCCTCCTCAAGTGGGTCCCTGACTCCCGTGTAGCCTAACTGGGAGACACCTCCCAGTAGGGGCCGACTGACACCTCATACAGCCAGATGCCTATCTGAGACACAACTTCCAGAGGAAGGATCAGGCAACAACATTTGCTGTTCTGCAATATTTGCTGTTCTGCCACCTCTGTTGGGGATACCCAGGCAAACAGGGTCTGGAGTGGACCTCCAGCAAACTCCAACAGACCTGCAGCTAAGGGTCCTGACTGTTAGAAGGAAAACTAACAAACAGGAATAGCATCAACATCAACAAAAAGGACATCCACACCAAAACTCCAAATGTAGGTCACCGTCATCAAAGACCAAAGGTAGAGAAAACCACAAAGATGGGGAGAAACCAGAGCAGAAAAGCTGAAAATTCTAAAAACCAGAGCGCCTCTTCTCCTCCAAAGGATCGCAGCTCCTCACTAGCAATGGAATGAAGCGGGATGGAGAATGACTTTGACAAGTTGACAAAAGTAGGCTTCAGAAGATTGGTAATAACAAACTTCTCTGAGCTAAAGGAGGATGTTCAAACCCATTGCAAGGAAGCTAAAAACCTTGAAAAAAGATTAGACGAATGGCTAACTAGAATAAACTGTGTAGAGAAGATCTTAGGTGACCTAATGGAGCTGAAAACCATGTCACAAGAACTACATGACGTATGTACAAGCTTCAGTAGCCGATTCAATCAAGTGGAAGAAAGGGTACCGATTCAACCAAGTGGAAGAAAGGGTATCAGTGATTGAAGATCAAATGAATGAAATGAAGTGAGAAGAGAAGTTCAGAGAAAAAAGAGTAAAAAGAAATGAAAAAAGCCTCAAAGAAATATGGGACTATGTGAAAAGACCAAATCTGTGTTTGATTGATGAGAGAATGGAACCAAGTTCGAAAACACTCTTCAGGATATTATCCAGGAGAATTTCCCCAACCTAGCAAGGCAGGCCAACATTCAAATTCAGGAAATACAGAGAACACCACAAAGATACTCCTCAAGAAGAGCAACCCCAAGACACATAATTGTCAGATTCACCAAGGTTGAAATGAAGGAAAAAATGTTAAGGGCAGCCAGAGAGAAAGGTCGGGTTACCCACAAAGGGAAGCTCATCAGACTAACAGGGGATCTCTCAGCAGAAATTCTACAAGCCAGAAGAGAGTGGGGGCCAATATTCAACATTCTTAAAGAAAAGAATTTTCAACCCCAAATTTCATATCCAGCCAAACTAAGCTTCGTAAGTGAAGGAGAAATAAAATCCTTTACAGACAAGCAAATGCTGAGAGATTTTGTCACCACCAGGCCTGCCTTACAAGAGCTCCTGATGGAAGCACTAAACATGGAAAGGAACAACCGGTACCAGCCACTGCAAAAACATGCCAAATTGTAAAGACCATTGATGCTAGGAAGGAACTGCATCAACTAATGAGCAAAATAACCAGCTAACGTCATAATGACAGGATCAAATTCACACATAACAATATTAACCTTAAATGTAAATGGGCTAAATGCCCCAATTAAAAGACACAGACTGGCAAATTGGATAAAGAGTCAAGAACCATCAGTGTGCTGTATTCAGGAAACCCATCTCACGTGCAGAGACACACGTAGGCTCAAAATAAAGGGATGGATGAAGATCTACCAAGCAAATGGAAAACAGAAAAAAGCAGGGGTTGCAATCCTAGTCTCTGATAAAACAGACTTTAAGCCAACAAAGATCAAAAGACAAAGAAGGCCATTACATAATGGTGAAGGGATCAATTCAACAAGAAGAGCTAACTATCCTAAATATATATGCACCCAATACAGGAGCACCCAGATTAGTAAAGCAAGTCCTTAGAGACCTACAAAGAGACTTAGACTCACACACAATAATAATGGGAGACTTTAACACCCCACTGTCAACATTAGATAGATCAATGAGACAGAAGGTTAAGAAGGATATCCAGGACTTGAACTCAGCTCTGCACCAAGCGGACCTAATAGACATCTACAGAACTCTCCATCCCAAATCAATAGAATATACATTCTTCTCAGCACCACATCGCACTTATTCCAAAACTGACCACATAATTGGAAGTAAAGCACTCCTCAGCAAATGTAAAAGAACAGAAATCATAACAAGCTGTCTCTCAGATCACAGTGCAATGAAACTAGAACTCAGGATTAAGAAACTCACTAAAAACTGCACAACTACATGGAAACTGAACAACCTTCTCCTGAATGACTACTGGGTAAATAACGAAATGAAGGCAGAAATAAAGATGTTCTTTGAAACCAATGAGAACAAAGACACAACATACCAGAATCTCTGGGACGCATTTAAGCAGTGTGTAGAGTGAAATTTATAGCACTAAATGCCCACAAGAGAAAGCAGGAAAGATCTAAAATCGACACCCTAACATCACACTTAAAGAACTAGAGAAGCAAAAGCAAACAAATTCAAAAGCTAGCAGAAGGCAAGAAATAACTAAAATCAGAGCAGAAATGAAGGAAATAGAGACACAAAAAACATTTAAAAAAATCAATGAATCCAGGGGCTGGTTTTTTGAAAAGATCAACAAAATTGATAGACTGCTAGCAAGACTAATAAAGAAGAAAAGAGAGAAGAATCAAATAGATGCAATAAAAAATGATAAAGGGGATATCACCACCGATCCCACAGAAATACAAACTATCATCAGAGAATACTATAAACACCTCTATGCAAATAAACTAGAAAATCTAGGAGAAGTGGATAAATTCCTCGACACATACACCCTTCCAAGACTAAACCAGGAAGAAGTCAAATCTCTGAATAGACCAAAAACAGGCTCTGAAATTGAGGCAATAATTAATAGCCTACCAACCAAAAAAAGTCCAGGACCAGACGGATTCACAGCCGAATTCTACCAGAGGTACAAGGAGGAACTGGTACCATTCCTTCTGAAACTATTCCAATCAATAGAAAAAGAGGGAATCTTCCCTAACTCATTTTATGAGGCCAACCTCATCCTGATAACAAAGCCTGGCAGAGACACACACACAAAAAAGAGAATTTTATACCAATATCCCTGATGAACATCCATGCAAATATCCTCAATAAAATACTGGCAAACAGAATCCAGCAGCACATCAAAAAGCTTATCCACCATGATCAAGTTGGCTTCATCCCTGGGATGCAAGCCTGGTTCAACATATGCAAATCAATAAACGTAATCCATCACATAAACAGAACCAAAGACAAAAACCACATGATTATCTTAATAGATGCAGAAAAGGCCTTCGATAAAATTCAACAGTGTTTCATGCTAAAAACTCTCAATAAACTAGGTATTGATGGGATGTATATCAAAATAATAAGAGCTATTTATGATAAAGCCACAGCCAATGTCATACTGAATGGCAAAAACTGGAAGCATTCCCTTTGAAAACTGGCACAAGACAGGGATGCCCTCTCTCACCACTCCTATTCAACATAGTGTTGGAAATTAAGGCCAGGGCAATCAGGCAGGAGAAAGAAATAAAGTGTATTCAATTAGGAAAAGAGGAAGTCAAATTGTCCCTGTTCACAGATGACATGATTGTATATTTAGAAAACCCCATCATCTCAGCCCAAAATCTCCTTAAGCTGATAAGCAACTTCAGCAAAGTCTCAGGATACAAAATCAATGTGCAAAAATCATAAGCATTCCTATACACCAATAACAGACAAACAGAGAGCCAAATCATGAGTGAACTCCCATTCACAATTGCTTCAAAGAGGATAAAATACCTAGGAATCCAACTTACAAGGGCTGTGAAGGACCTCTTCAAGGAGAACGACAGACCACTGCTCAACGAGATAAAAAAGGACACAAACAAATGGAAGTACTTTCCAAGCTCATGGATGGGAAGAATCAATATCTTCAAAATGGCCATACTGCCCAAGGTAACTTATAGATTCAGTGCCATCCCCATCAAGCTACCAATGACTTTCTTCACAGAACTGGAAAAAAATACTTTAAAGTTAATATGGAACCAAAAAAGAGCCCGTATTGCCAAGACAATCCTAATCAAAAAGAACAAAGCTGGAGGTATCACGCTACCTGACTTCAAACTATACTACAAGGCTACAGTAACCAAAACAGCATGGTACTCGTACCAAAACAGAGATATAGACCAATGGAACAGAACAGAGCCCTCAGAGATAATAACACACACATACAACCATCTGATCTTTGACAAACCTGACAAAACAAGCAATGGGGAAAGGATTCCCTATTTAATAAATGGTGCTGGGAAAACTGGCTAGCCATATGTAGAAAGCTGAAACTGGATCCCTTCCTTACATCTTATACAAAAATTAATTCAAGATGGATTAAAGACTTAAATATTAGACCTAAAACCATAAAAACCCTAGAAGAAAACCTAGGCAATACCATTCAGGACGTAGGCATAGTCAAGGACTTCATGTCTAAAACACCAAAAGCAATGGCAACAAAAGCCAAAATTGACAAATGGGATCCAATTAAACTAAAGAGCTTCTGCACAGCAAAAGAAACTACCATCAGAGTGAACAGGCAACCTACAGAATGGGAGAAAATTTTTGCAATCTACTCATCTGACAAAGGGCTAATATTCAGAATCTACGAAGAACTTAAACAAATTTACAAGAAAAAATCAAACCACCCCACCAAAAAGTGGGCAAAGTATATGAACAGACACTTCTCAAAAGAAGACATTTATGCAGCCAACAGACACATGAAAAAATGCTCATCATCAATGGTCATCAGAGAAATGCAAATCAAAAGCACAATGAGATACCATCTCACACTAGTTAGAATGGCAATCATTAAAAAGTCAGGAAACAACAGGTGCTGGAGAGGATGTGGAGAAATAGCAACACTTTTACACTGTTGGTGGGAGTGTAAACTAGTTCAACCATTGTGGAAGACAGTGTGGCGGTTCCTCAGGGATCTAGTACTAGAAATACCATTTGACCCAGCGATCCCATTACTGGGTATATACCAAAAGGATTATAAATCATGCTATTATAAAGACACATGCACACGTATTTTTATTGCGGTACTATTCACAATAGCAAAGACTTGAAACCAACACAAGTGTCCATCAATGATAGACTGGATAAAGAAAATGTGATACATATACCCCATGGAAGACTATGCAGCCATAAAAAAGGATTAGTTCATGTCCTTTGTAGAGACATGGATGAAGCTGGAAACCATCATTCTGAGCAAATTATCACAAGGACAGAAAACCAAACACCACATGTTCTCACTCATAGGTGGGAATTGAACAATGAGAACACTTGGACACACGGCGGGGAACATCACACACCGGAGCCTTCCGTGGGGTTGGAGGATGGGGAAGGGATAGCATTAGGAGAAATACCTAATGTAAATGATGAATTAATGGGTGCAGCAAACCAACATGGCACATGTATAGATATGTAACAAACCTGCACGTTGTGCACATGTACCCTAAAACTTAAAGTATAATAAAAAAATAAAAAATAAAAATAAAAAAGTGGTATATAAAAAAAAGAAAAAAATTTTAAGGTAGTTAGAGGAAAATAACTCATTTCTTCTAGGGGAACAATAATTTGAATGACTGTGATTTTCTTATCACAATGAAGGCCAGAAAACAGTGGAACATCTTTAAAGTGTTGAAAGAAAAGAATTGCCAACCCATAAATCTATGTCCAGCAAAAATATCCTTCAAAAATGAAGACAACATGAAAATATTCTCAGATGAAGGATAGCAAACATAATTTGTTGCCAGTAGACATGCTGTACCAGAAATGTTAAAGGAAGCTCTTCAGACTAAAGGAAAATGATACCAGAGGGAAACTTGAACCTCAGGAATGGAGAAGCAATAGAAATGATAAATATCTGAGTAAATAGAAAATACTTTTTTCCTCTTTTGTTCTTTAAAAATAGCTGTTACACTAGTTTCCTACTGCTATAACAAATTGTATAAAATGTTACCACACACTCAATTGCTTAAAACAAGACAAATTTATTATCATACAGTTCTAGAGGTCAGAAGACTAAAATGGGTTGAAAGGGCTGTGTTACCACTGGATGCTCTAGTGGAGAATCTATTTCCTTGCATTGTCCAGCTTCTACAGGCGGCCTGAATTCCACTGTTTCACTGCCTGATTCTATTGTCACATCTTTTTCTGACTCATCTGCTTCCTTCCTTCCTTTACAAGGACGCTGTGATTACACTGGGCCCACCCAGATAGAACTGGATAATCTTCCTATCTCAATATTCTTAACATAATCACATCTGCAAAGTCCCTTTTGCTATATGAGGTAACATATTCACAGGTTCCAATATGTAGACATCTTTGAGGAGCCATTATTCTTCCCACAACAACAATTGTCAAGGATTCAATAATTCTTATACAATTTAAAGTGTTCTAGAGCTTAGGAAAATGTAGAAATTTACCTAATTCTTTCTCTAAGGCTAACATAATGCTTATGTCCAAACAAAGAAGAATAGAAGTAAAAAAGTAAACATGAGAGGTCAGTCTAACTTAGAACTATAGATGTAAATATCCAAAATAGAATAGTAGTAAATTCAAGCTAGTACTGTGGCAAAATAATAGAATAGTGCAAATAGTCATATTTTTATGTCTATGTTATCTTTGCTAGATTTTAGCATCGATATTATGGAAGCTATGCCTGGACTCAACAACACGAACTTCTACTCACCAAGGCTGATCTTGTACTAATACTAAGTGCCCAACCTGACAACAGAGAAGATGATGAGCCTTTATAAGACACCATTCCTTAGGGGCATCAGCCAGTCCCATGGTGTTAGGATTATTACATGGGACACCTTTCATCATCATGAAAACAGAAACTTTTCCTCATGGAAATGAATATGTATTTTAGACACACATTTACCTTCTTTGCTGACAATGATTCTGTCATCACCATCTCCATGGACTTCCAGAATGCCTTAATCATCATCAGAGTATCCTACACAAAGTTGTCTCTGACCAAGGAACTCATTTAATGGTAAGTGAAGTGCACATCCAAAGATTCACTAGTCTTTACTACTTACTTTACCATGCAGAAGCAGCTTGCCTTACACAAAAATAAATAACTTACTGGAAGCTTAGTTATGGGATCAGCTGTTCCTGGGAGTACTGTACGACAAGATTGCAATAGATGCTTTAACAGAGCCACCCATATATGGTGCTTTTTTTCCCCATAGTGAGGTTACACAGGACTAGGAATAAAGAAGTCATGAAAGCAGTGGCCCTTTTCACTATTGCACCAGTTAACCTACTGAAGAAGTATGTGATTCTTTTTTTCTGTCTCCACAACCTTGGGCTCTTAGGTATATCAGGGATGAATGCTTTCACCAGGGAATAAAGCCATGGTTCCATTATATTAAAAGCTGAGACTACATTCTGGCCATTTTTGTCCTCTCGTGCCACTGAACTGACAGGCAGGGAAAGGGGCTGCTATAGTGGCTAGAGGGATTGAGCCCAATTACTAAGGGGAAATAAGGTTGCTGATATACAAACAGGGAGAGCAATGCTCAGAGCCCAGGGATACTCACTGGGGCACCTCCTAGTACTGCTTTGCCTAATAGTCCTGGGAAGTGGGAAAGTGCAGAAATTCAATAAATACAGGATTGAAGATTAGGGTCACTACATCAGGGAAATAATTTTGACCAGGTTTCTGTAAGGGGAATATGAAATGGGTGGTAGAAGAATGAAGTTGATTATTGACTTTGGCCTCATGATCAGCTTCAGTGGGAAACTGTAACAGCTATGCACATCTTTGTTAATTTATTTTTCTCTTCCTTTCCTCTGATTATATGAAAAATACTTGAGATAATTGTTATAAATCAGGTTTCAGGTGGGCGAATATGATTGAATTAGCATTATCCCGTGACAGTACGGTGGCTGATGGGATTTTTTTTGTCCCTGCCTCCCTGTTGGGAGAATAGAATAACAAGAATAGATGCTGAATGTGAAAGGAGTGGGCCATGGTGGTTAGTCTTTATTTTCCCACACATCCTGATTCATTTCCTGTCCTTCTCTGTCTTGTTCTATGCCCTGGGCGGCTGATCCTTAGGGACTGCATCCCCCAGACTCCATTTGTAATTGACTTCTGCTTGGGTTTGGTCAATGGAATGCCCTGGCACAGCTTTGGAGGGAAGAAGAGAGAAGACAATGTATTTCTTCACTGCTCCCACTCTGATTTGGGCTATGTTTTATTGGCAGGGACTGCATCCCTTCAAGATTTTAGCTTCTTCCAGAAGTCCCCTCCTCCATGACTCTAGCTCTCACTAGGCTCCAGAAATACTATTTCTTCCTCTTGCCCTCTTAGGCCTAGGGTAACAGCTACCTGCTATTGCTAACCTCTGGGTGCCACAAAATTGCTTGTTGGGTCTCATAATCTTGCATATACCTCTGTAAGTAGTCCCTACATTAAAGTCCCTTGAACCATCTGATTTAGATTTTTTTACTGGCTAGGACTCTGACTGAGGTGCTGGTGTGAGGCCTAGAATTACTGCAGCTATTTTGATACCATTAGAATGCACAGTCAAGGATAAAGCTTTCATGTAAGGAAGGGTATAGCAGAGAAAATTATAGAAAAATGAAGCAGAATCTTAATCAAATTGTACTTAAAGTCAGATAACTTCTGGATGCAACTCACTGAAGTAAGAATAGGTGGATATTTCTTAAATATGACAAAAATATATACATTTCTAACAAGAAGCCTTTCATGTTTAAGGGATAAACACTAGAAGCATTTCCATTAAAATTAGGAAAAAGACAAGAATGCCAGTTATTTCCACAATTATTTAACATTGTTCTAGAAGTACTAGTTAATGCAGTCAACCAAGAGAAAGAAATGTAATATTGATATTGGAAAGGAAGGGGCAGGCAAGATTATCATTACCACAAATGAAGCAAATCTAAGAGAATCAACTAAAGACTACTTGAAACCTTTGGAACTCCATAAAAAGGCTGGTTATGAAATCAATAGAATAAAAACTGATCACTTTCATATATAAAAACAACAAACAAAATGTAAAATAAGAAAAAAAATCTAAATTACAATAGCCATGGGAAAAGATAAGCTCCTTTTGAATAAACTTAACAAAAAAATCTGTAAGACATATCCATTCATTCAGTAAATATGGATTGATAACCTACAGTGTGCCAGGCAATGTTCTAGGAGTTATTTTTATTTAAAAAATTTAGAAACTGCTGAGAAAAATAAAGACAAATAAGTAGAAAAACTGGGTTGTTGGATAGAAAGATATTCCTGTAAAGATGCCAATTATCACTCAGTTAACTTATAAATTATGTGCAACACAAATTGAAATTAAAAACGGTAGTTTTTAGGGGACTATAACAAAATAACAGATTTTAGTCTCTAAATAAATACATGTGAACAGGCAGGTAATGATAAAAAAGATGAGTTATGAGAGACCTTACCCTTCAGATATTGAAACATATTATGAAGATACTATAGTTAAAACAGTTTGTTATTTAAGAAGAAAGAAAAGATAACAGATTAAAAGAATATAATAAAGAATAAAGAAATAGATACAAACATATGTGGATGTTTAGATTATGATAATTATGGTAAAGATGGCACTTTATTTTTTATTTTTTGGGTATTATACATTTAATTTAAAGACTTCGAAGTAAAAAAAAAAGGTACAGAAATACAGATTACATTGTGATGACCCCAGTAGTATTCTACATGACAAAAATAAAAACAGATTTAAGTAAATGTATCGGCACTGAACAAGCATTTACTTAACATCCAATCCAGGCTGCATATGCACAAAATGATCTGACCACATGCTTATGCAAAGTAGTTTTTCTTAGAACGCCAAAATTCCAACCATTCTGACTGTCCGCTGCGCATTCCCCTGTTGAGTATTTTGAGCGAACTTCTATAGAATATAAAAACAATTGGCATGGCACTTAAAGACTGCAAAAAACAGAACACAATTAAAAACATTTATAATGCATTTCTGTATAAAATATACACCATAAAGACCACCCTGAATAATGGTTAAAACCTCATCATAGAAAAATGCTCATCATTTTGCACATTATTGATAGAAACTACTGAGAGGTTTTCTTGGGGGGCTGGTGGGAAGGTAGACACCCAACTTAAAGATTCATTCAAAATTTGCTTTAAATTGTGGGTAATAACTCACTGCTTACCCCTCTCAAAATGTTTTATCATGAATACTCTAATATTTAACCACAGGACAAACATAAAGAATAACCTGAAGAAGGTGTTTCTCAAAGTGAAGTTGAAGGCTCCAAAAGAAGTCTAAGGTGGGCCCACTAGTGTGCATTTTAAACAAACTTCCTAGGTGATTATTTCACATTCCAAAATCTGAGAACTAATGCCCTGTGGGAAACAGCACCACTTAAAAGCAAGGCCATAACATATTTCTGACATGAGATACAGAATTCTAAGTTTATGATTTGAAGTGAATACTGCTTTTTGTTTTAAAACAAGTTTCAGATGTTAAGAGAAACATATTAAATAAACATGTGCATGTATATAAACATTTTCCTTTGAGGTTTTCATTGCTTTCAGACTTATGTTATTTGAAGGAAAGAGAGTACACAGCTAGAAACTTTGGAAAAATGACATTTCCAATGAAATGTAGCATCCACCCCTCCAAAAAAAGATAATTTATTAAATGCCTACAAATTTTGAAACATTTGAAATTTAAACTAGGACACTTTCCTAAAATTAAGTTTTACTAAGATTAAAAAACTTTAAGTAATTTAGATGATCATGGTTACTTTTTAAGTCCCTTTTCATTAAAAAATATTTAAAATAAACAACAGAAGGATGCTATATTTGGCACCCCCTTAAATAAACTGCTAAACACTAATATTAATAAAAAATAATCCAAGGAACTCTGCCTCTGAAATGTATTCTACTATGTGTTACATGTGTTATCCAGTTAATAAAAACTCACTGAAAGAGCTGATACTGTGACGTGTGTGAGTGTATGTGTGTGTCCTGAACATTTATTCATGCCTACTTGATTTTTCTGATTTCACTAAAGACTCTATAAACAGGGTCCAATCATATAGATAATGTGGTTTAGGGGGAGAAATGAGCATAATTAAGATACCCTACTTAAAAATAAATAATTTTCCTGTATACTAAATTGTAAGGAAAAAATATTATACATTCTGCCTCCACTGAATACATGGAATGCTTTTACAAGTTTGATAACAATAATGAGTGCCTCATTTGAATCAAGTCACAAAAGCAACTGTGGGGATTCACTCTCCAATAGGAAATAAAAATATTACCACTGTACTTTGCTGTATCTATTTTAAATTTCTGTTTTTTTCCTTTCTATATACTGAGTAATCTTCCATTCAACTGCATCCTTGGTCTTTTGCAGTATATATATTAACATTGCAGTTAAAGTTTCCAATAAATGGATAGGCTCAGGAGCTACCCCGTTAATATACTTAAAAAGAAAAATCACTTGTGCCAGTTTTGCAAAAATAGTTAATGATTTGCAATCTGATTCATAATAAAAAGTGTCTGTTTTTTAACTCAAGAAGAATTTCCCAATTTGGTTTTTGTTTTGTTGTTTTGTTTGAGACCGTGTCTCACTCACTGTTGCCCAGGCTGGAGTAATCTTGGCTCTCTGGAAACTCCATCTCCTGGGTTCAAGTGATTCTCCTGCTTCAGCCTCCCGAGTAGCTGGGATTACAGGTATGCGCCACCATGCCCAGCTAATTTTTGTATTTTTAGTAGAGACAGGATTTCACCATGTTGGTCAGGCCGATCTCGAACTCCTGACCTCAAGTGATCTGCCCGCCTCAGCCTCCCAAAGTACTGGAATTACAGGCGTTGAGTCACTGCACCCAGCTGCATTTCCCAATTTTAAGCAAGCAGCATCTTCTATTACCAATTTAGTAACTGCTGCCTTAAAAAATCGATAATTTATTTATCCAAGGCAATAAAATTTACACCCGAATTTTTAAACATAAAGAACTCCAAAACTAATAGGTAATATAAAAAGTTGTTGCATTTTATATTAATCTTTTATTTCAAAATTAAACCCTGAAGTGATTTAACACAGAATGACAAAAATTATGGGAGGTTTATGATGTAATCCCACTATGTGCCTTAATGCAACTGATACTTTTTAAATGCAGTGGTTTTCTTTGTTTTTTTTTTAAACAAAAAAGATAACTTCATTACTCATCTGTAGGCCTTTTAAAAACTGAAAAACCAGTTCAACTAAATTTTGACATGATTGTCTGGAAGCTAGTATTAATTTATTTTTCATAGTAAAAAAGATGTAATAATTGATTCATGTAGTCTACGAGAGAAGATACTGGGTGTTTTTTTGTAGGTGGCAAATATAAAATGGTTAATTGTATCCAGGCTGGCAGCAAGTTTATCCATGCATTAAATGGCAACATGAGTAGAATACATGGTTGAAAAATGAGGATCGGACACATTCTTCTGCAGACATCAAAAGAGGATTGATATACTCAAAACCTTCAAATTCAGACTGATCAATCTTTCTCACAATGTCATCGACATCTGGAGTGAGCTAGACAGGTTCATTAGTAAACTGAGAATCAAAGTTGTCCAAACCAAATTCCCCAGAAATATTTGGTTTAAAGGGAGATACCACCTGTTTTTGCTCCATCATATCCCAATCAACATTTTGGAAGAACGGGTGTCCCTGAATATCAGCAAATCCTGTTTGAGGATGACAACCCAGTCGTTTCTTAGGGTCCTTGTTAAGAAAACTCTTCAGAACACTTGCAGCTTTTCCAGACAGAGAACGTGGTATGTGAATTTGTTTTTCCACAATAACTTGGAAGAGAGAATCCTCTGTGTTCTGGTCAGGGTTATCGGAGCTCCCAACAGTATCAAATGGAGTCCTTCCTGCCATCGTCTCAAACATTAGCACTCCAAGAGCCCACCAGTCAACACTGAAACCATAATCTCCTCCTCTTAAAATTTCAGGAGCAATGTAATTAGGAGTACCACAGAAAGTGCTGGTTGTATCTCCTGGCCGTAATCCTTCCTTAACACATGCCGTAGTCAGTGAGTTTAATGTGGCCTTCAGAGTCCAGTAATACATTGTCCAGTTTCAAATCTCTATAAATTATCCCTCACTCATGAAGATAATTGAATGCTAGACTGATTTCTGCAGAGTAAAATCTGGCATGTTCTTCAGGAAGTTTTCTTTGTCGCTGCATATGAAACATTAGGTCTCCTCCATTTACATACTCTATAACAAAGAACAATCTGCTTTCTGTCTGAAAGCAAGACTGCAGCCCAACAAGGAAAGGATGATTGGATGCCTGCTCAAACACATGTTTCTCTGTCTGCACCCAATCAATATCCTCATCATCATTAACAAGCTCTTTTTTCACAACTTTCATTGCATAAATACGATCTGTTTTTTTTTTTTTTTTAATGGAACCAACAGTACTTTGGCTTAACTTCCTCTTCCTATTACCTGGAGCAAATCAAAATCCTGAAGACCTAGACTGGATGAAGCTTTGCCACTTTCTCTGGTGTTCATTGCCTCTTTTTCTTCACCAACTTGATCCAAACTCTCATGACTTGAAGGATTATATGGAATTACTGTCTGTGCATGGTCAGAATGCATGGATGACTGATCCATGGGCATCATTGGTTCCAGTGGCAAAGAATGCCGCCCACATTCAATTGTGAGGAGTTTATGGCACTTCTTATGAACCAAGAGTTTGCAGTTGATACACTTATATCCTTGGCATCCAAGTCCCCATATTCAGTCTGTGCAGATGGCACAGTCAGCACGCCTGTTGAAGCACTTGGCTTGAAAAGTGTGTCCATTGGCACAATAAAGCTTTCTCCAGTGGCGTGCACCTCTACGGTAGATGGATTTATCTTCTCTTGGACAAGGCATCCCGGGACGTTCTGGTACACAAGGGAACACATGAATCAAGAGTTCAGAGTCCTTGTTTAGCTCATAAAGTGTAAAGGCTTCTTCTAACTCCAACTGAGATGATACTGTACACGGGTCTCCTTCCTCGTCTATCCATTTCATGGTGAAGAGCTGTTCGTTGTCAAAAGAACATGTCTCGAACCACATTGTAAAGGCCCTCAAAGGAGACAGAAGGTTCAAAATGTGTTATCATGATATCCCCGCGGTAGTAGGCTTTCACCCAGACCTGGTGGGAATGGTCCCCACTGCAGCCGCCTGCAACCCTGTGGGACATGGTGCTGCTGTCCCTCTGGGTCGGCATCTCCTCACTCCCCCGCCTCAACGCTGGAGGCCGGGGGTGCGGGGAGGGGGCTTCGGACGCCGTGGGAGACCCCGCCGCCCGCGCCTGTCGGAGAACCGCGGCCATCCGCCCACCTACCTGCCCACCTCACCCGCAACGCCGACCCAAGGGTCGCCTCGCCCAAGCAGCCCAAAGATGGCACGTTAAATCAGTGAGCTAAAGAGGGGATTATTTGATAATTAGCATTAGGACAATTTGCTAGCCATTTGGAAGAAAATAATTCCGTATGGACCAAAAATTTAAATATAAAAGGAAACATAAAAATTAGAAGAAAATACAGATCTCCCTAAGCAGGACACAAACCTCAAAAATGTAAAGAAAAAAGGTGGTAAATTTTACACATCTACAACCATCTGATCCTTGACAAACCTGAGAAAAACAAGCAATGGGGAAAGGATCCCCTATTTAATAAATGGTGCTGGGAAAACTGGCTAGCCATATGTAGAAAGCTGAAACTGGATCCCTTCCTTACACCTTATACAAAAATCAATTCAAGATGGATTAAAGACTTACATGTTAGATCTAAAACCATGAAAACCCTAGAAGAAAACCTAGGCAATACCATTCAGGACATAGGCATGGGCAAGGACTTCATGTCTAAAACGCCAAAAGCAATGGTAACAGAAGCCAAAATTGACAAATGGGATCTCATTAAACTAAAGGGCTTCCGCACAGCAAAAGAAACTACCATCAGAGTGAAGAGGCAACCTACAGAATGGGAGAAAATTTTTGCAATCTACTTATCTGACAAAGGGCTAATATCCAGAATCAACAAAGAACTTAAACAAATTTACAAGAAAAAACCAAACAACCCCATCAAAAAGTGGGCAAAGGATATGAACAGACACTTCTCAAAAGAAGACATTTATGCAGCCAAAAGACACATGAAAAAATGCTCATCATCACTGGCCATCAGAGAAATGCAAATCAAAAGCACAATGAGATACCATCTCACACCAGTTAGAATGGCGATCATTAAAAAGTCAGGAAACAACAGGTGCTAGAGAGGATGTGGAGAAATAGGAACACTTTTACACTGTTGGTGGGACTATAAACTAGTTCAACCATTGTGGAAGACAGTGTGGCGATTCCTCAAGGATCTAGAACTAGAAATACCATTTGCCCCAGCCATCCCATTACTGGGTATATACCCAAAGGACTATAAATCATGCTGCTATAAAGACACATGCACATGTATTTTTACTGCGGCACTATTCACAATAGCAAAGACTTGGAACCAACCCAAATGTCCATCAATGATAGACTGGATTAAGAAAATGTGGCACATATACACCATGGAATACTATGCAGCCATAAAAAATGATGAGTTCATGTCCTCTGTGGGGACATGGATGAAGCTGGAAACCATCATTCTGAGCAAATTATCACAAGGACAGAAAACCAAACACCGCATATTCTTACTCATAGGTGGGAATTGAACAATGAGAACACTTGGACACTGGAAGGGGAACATCACACACAGGGGCCTGTCGTCGGGTGGGGGGAGGGGGAGGGGTAGCATTAGGAGATATACCTAATGTAGGAGGGAGGAGCCAAGATGGCCGAATAGGAACAGCTCGGGTCTACAGCTCCCAGCGTGAGCGATGCAGAAGACGGGTGATTTCTGCATTTCCATCTGAGCTTTGAAGAGAGCAGTGGTTCTCCCAGTACGCAGCTGGAGATCTGAGAACGGGCAGACTGCCTCCTCAAGTGGGTCCCTGACCCCTGACCCCTGAGCAGCCTAACTGGGAGGCACCCCCCAGCAGGGGCACACTGACACCTCACACGGCAGGGTACTCCAACAGACCTGCAGCTGAGGCTCCTGTCTGTTAGAAGGAAAACTAACAAACAGAAAGGACATCCACACCAAAAACCCATCTGTACATCACCATCATCAAAGACCAAAAGTAGATAAAACCACAAAGATGGGGAAGAAACAGAACAGAAAAACTGGAAACTCTAAAAAGCAGAGCGCCTCTCCTTCTCCAAAGGAACGCAGTTCCTCACCAGCAACAGAACAAAGCTGGATGGAGAATGACTTTGACGAGCTGAGAGAAGAAGGCTTCGGACGATCAAATTACTCTGAGCTACGGGAGGACATTCAAACCAAAGGCAAAGAAGTTGAAAACTTTGAAAAAAATTTAGAAGAATGTATAACTAGAATAACCAATACAGAGAAGTGCTTAAAGGAGCTGATGGAGCTGAAAACCAAGGTTCGAGAACTACGTGAAGAATGCAGAAGCCTCAGGAGCCGATGCAATCAACTGGAAGAAAGGGTATCAGCAATGGAAGATGAAATGAATGAAATGAAGTGAGAAGGGAAGTTTAGAGAAAAAAGAATAAAAAGAAACGAGCAAAGCCTCCAAGAAATATGGGACTATGTGAAAAGACCAAATCTACGTCTGATTGGTGTACCTGAAAGTGATGGGGAGAATGGAATCAAGTTGGAAAACACTCTGCAGGATATTATCCAGGAGAACTTCCCCAATCTAGCAAGGCAGGCCAACATTCAGATTCAGGAAATACAGAGAACGCCACAAAGATACTCCTCGAGAAGAGCAACTCCAAGACACATAATTGTCAGATTCACCAAAGTTGAAATGAAGGAAAAAATGTTAAGGGCAGCCAGAGAGAAAGGTCGGGTTACCCTCAAAGGGAAGCCCATCAGACTAACAGCGAATCTCTCGGCAGAAACCCTACAAGCCAGAAGAGAGTAGGGGCCAATATTCGACATTCTTAAAGAAAAGAATTTTCAACCCAGAATTTCATATCCAGCCAAACTAAGCTTCATAAGTTAAGGAGAAATAAAATACTTTACAGACAAGCAAATGCTGAGAGATTTTGTCACCACCAGGCCTGCCCTAAAAGAGCTCCTGAAGGAAGCGCTAAACATGGAAAGGAACATCCGGTACCAGCCGCTGCAAAATCATGCCAAAATGTAAAGACCATTGAGACTAGGAAGAAACTGCATCAACTAACGAGCAAAATCACCAGCTAACATCATAATGACAGGATCAAATTCACACATAACAATATTAACTTTAAATGTAAATGGACTAAATGCTCCAATTAAAAGACACAGACTGGCAAATTGGATAAAGAGTCAAGACCCATCAGTGCGCTGTATTCAGGAAACCCATCTCACATGCAGAGACACACATAGGCTCAAAATAAAAGGATGGAGGAAGATCTACCAAGCAAATGGGAAACAAAAAAAGGCAGGGGTTGCAATCCTAGTCTCTGATAAAACAGACTTTAAACCAACAAAGATCAAAAGAGACAAAGAAGGCCATTACTTAATGGTAAAGGGATCAATTCAACAAGAAGAGCTAACTATCCTAAATATATATGCACCCAATTCAGGAGCACCCAGATTCATAAAGCAAGTCCTAAGTGACCTACAAAGAGACTTAGACTCCCACACATTAATAATGGGAGACTTTAACACCCTACTGTCAACATTAGACAGATCAACGAGACAGAAAGTCAACAAGGATACCCAGGAATTGAACTCAGCTCTGCACAAAGTGGACCTAATAGACAACTACAGAACTCTCCACCCCAAATCAACAGAATATACATTCTTTTCAGCACCACACCACACCTATTCAAAAATTGACCACATACTTGGAAGTAAAGCACTCCTCAGCAAATGTAAAAGAACAGAAATTATAACAAACTATCTCTCAGACCACAGTGCAATCAAACTAGAACTCAGGATTAAGAATCTCACTCAAAACCGCTCAACTACATGGAAACTGAACAACCTGCTCCTGGATGACTACTGGGTACATAACGAAATGAAGGCAGAAATAAAGATGTTCTTTGAAACCAGTGAGAACAAAGGCACAACATACCAGAATCTCTGGGACACATACAAAGCAGTGTGTAGAGGGAAATTTATAGCACTAAATGCCCACAAGAGAAAGCAGGAAAGATCCAAAATTGACACTTTAACATCACAATTAAAAGAACTAGAAAAGCAAGAGCAAACACATTCAAAAGCTAGCAGAAGGCAAGAAATAACTAAAATCAGAGCAGAACTGAAGGAAATAGAGACACAAAAAACCCTTCAAAAAATTAATGAATCCAGGAGCTGGTTTTTTGAAAGGATCAACAAAATAGATAGACCGCTAGCAAGACTAATAAAGAAAAACAGAGAGAAGAATCAAATAGATGCAATAAAAAATGATAAAGGGGATATCACCACCGATCCCACAGAAATACAAACTACCATCAGAGAATACTACAAACACCTCTACGCAAATAAACTAGAAAATCTAGAAGAAATGGATAAATTCCTCGACACATACACTCTCCCAAGACTAAACCAGGAAGAAGTGGAATCTCTGAATAGACCAATAACAGGATCTGAATTTGTGGCAATAATCAATAGCTTACCAACCAAAAAGAGTCCAGGACCAGATGGATTCACAGCCGAATTCTGCCAGAGGTACAAGGAGGAACTGGTACCATTCCTTCTGAAACTATTTCAATCAATAGAAAAAGAGGGAATCCTCCCTAACTCATTTTATGAGGCCAGCATCATTCTGATACCAAAGCCAGGCAGAGACACAACCAAAAAAGAGAATTTTAGACCAATATCCTTGATGAACATTGATGCAAAAATCCTCAGTAAAATACTGGCAAAACGAATCCAGCAGCACATCAAAAAGCTTATCCACCATGATCAAGTGGGCTTCATCCCTGGGATGCAAGGCTGGTTCAATATACACAAATCAATAAATGTAATCCAGCATATAAACAGAGCCAAAGACAAAAACCACATGATTATCTCAATAGATGCAGAAAAGGCCTTTGACAAAATTCAACAACCCTTCATGCTAAAAACTCTCAATAAATTAGGTATTGATGGGACATATTTCAAAATAATAGGAGCTATCTATGACGAACCCACAGCCAATATCATACTGAATGGGCAAAAACTGGAAGCATTCCCTTTGAAAACTGGCACAAGACAGGGATGCCCTCTCTCACCACTCCTACTCAACATAGTGTTGGAAGTTCTGGCCAGGGCAATTAGGCAGGAGAAGGAAATAAAAGGTATTCAATTAGGAAAAGAGGAAGTCAAATTGTCCCTGTTTGCAGACGACATGATTGTATATCTAGAAAACCCCATTGTCTCAGCCCAAAATCTCCTTAAGCTAATAAGCAACTTCAGCAAAGTCTCAGGATACAAAATCAATGTACAAAAATCACAAGCATTCTTATACACCAACAACAGACAAACAGAGAGCCAAATCATGAGTGAACTCCCATTCACAATTGCTTCAAAGAGAATAAAATACCTGGGAATCCAACTTACAAGGGATGTGAAGGACCTCTTCAAGGAGAACTACAAACCACTGCTCAAGGAAATAAAAGAAGATACAAACAAATGGAAGAACATTCCATGCTCATGGGTAGGAAGAATCAATATTGTGAAAATGGCCATACTGCCCAAGGTAATTTACAGATTCAATGCCATCCCCATCAAGCTACCAATGCCTTTCTTCATAGAATTGGAAAAAACTACTTTAAAGTTCACATGGAACCAAAAAAGCGCCTGCATTGCCAAGTCAATCCTAAGCCAAAAGAACAAAGCTGGAGGCATCACACTACCTGACTTCAAACTATACTACAAGGCTACAGTAACGAAAACAGCATGGTACTGGTACCAAAACAGAGATATAGATCAATGGAACAGAACAGAGCCCTCAGAAATAATGCCGCATATCTACAACTATCTGATCTTTGACAAAGCTGAGAAAAACAAGCAATGGGGAAAGGATTCCCTATTTAATAAATGGTGCTGGGAAAACTGGCTAGCCATATGTAGAAAGCTGAAACTGGATCCCTTCCTTACACCTTATACAAAAATCAATTCAAAATGGGTTAAAGACTTAAACGTTAGACCTAAAACCATAAAAACCCTAGAAGAAAACCTAGGCATTACCATTCAGGACATAGGCATGGGCAAGGACTTCATGTCTAAAACACCAAAAGCAATGGCAACAAAAGCCAAAATTGACAAATGGGATCTAATTAAACTAAAGAGCTTCTGCACAGCAAAGGAAACTACCATCAGAGTGAACAGGCAACCTATAGAATGGGAGAAAATTTTCGCAACGTACTCATCTGACAAAGGGCTAATATCCAGAATCTACAATGAACTCAAATAAATTTACAAGAAAAAAACAAACAACCCCACCAAAAAGTGGGTGAAGGACATGAACAGACACTTCTCAAAAGAAGACATTTATGCAGCCAAAAAACACATGAAAAAATGCTCACCATCACTGGCCATCAGAGAAATGCAAATCAAAACCACAATGAGATACCATCTCACACCAGTTAGAATGGTGATCATTAAAAAGTCAGGAAACAACAGGTGCTGGAGAGGATGTGGAGAAATAGGAACACTTTTACACTGTTGGTGGGACTGTAAACTAGTTCAACCATTGTGGAAGTCAGTGTTGCGATTCCTCAGGGATCTAGAACTAGAAATACCATTTGCCCCAGCCATCCCATTACTGGGTATATACCCAAAGGACTATAAATCATGCTGCTATAAAGACACATGCACACGTATGTTTATTGCAGCATTATTCACAATAGCAAAGACTTGGAACCAATCCAAATGTCCAACAATTATAGACTGGATTAAGAAAATGTGGCACATATATACCATGGAATACTATGCAGCCATAAAAAATGATGAGTTCATGTCCTTTGTGGGGACATGGATGAAATTGGAAATCATCATTCTCAGTAAACTATCGCAAGAACAAAAAACCAAACACCGCATATTCTCACTCATAGGTGGGAATTGAACAATGAGAACACATGGACACAGGAAGGGGAACATCACACTCTGGGGACTGTTGTGGGGTGGGGGGAGGGGGGAGGGATAGTATTGGGAGATATACCTAATGCTAGTTGACGAGTTAGTGGGTGCAGCGCACCAGCATGGCACATGTATACATATGTAACTAACCTGCACAATGTGCACATGTACCTTAAAACTTAAAGTATAATAATAATAAAAAAAGGAGATATACCTAATGTAAATGACGAGTTAATAGGTGCAGCACACCAACATGGCGCATGTATACATATGTAACAAACCTGCACGTTGTGCACATGTACCCTAGAACTTAAAGTATAATAAAAAAAAGAAAAAAAGTTGGTAAATTTTGTACTGTAAATATAAAAAATTCTATATAGAAGTCCAAAAAATTATAAATCGGGAAAATATTTATAACACTTATTGAAGTCAAAAGACTCATTTGCTTAATTTGCAGAAAGTTCTTATGTATTAGTAAGAAACAGATGAACAACTTAGTAAAAAAATGAGGAAAGACAGTACACAGAAAGATAAATACAGATGCTTAACAAACCTCTAAGAAGATGTTTAATCTCACTTATAATTAAATAAATTAATTATTTGGAGCACAACATAGAATGCATATATATATATCTATCTATCGATCGACCTATATATATATATAAATTTAAGAGGTGAAAGTTGGCAGCATGGGTAAAATTTAAAATGAACACCCATTTTGACACAATTATTTTACTTTTAGGAATTTATCTTGAGGAAATAATATCATAGTTGCCAAAATATATATAGACAGAAGTCTTCACTGTGGCATCTTTGTAATAGATAAAGATTAGGAAGAGGCTAAGTATCCATCAGTAAAAGATTGGTTAAATTCTGGTAAATCCACGCTTCAGAATATTAGTGTGTCTGCTAAAAAGATTCACATGATATATCAGGTGAAAAAAATAGTTATGCAGAATAATATGCATAGTATAATCCCAAATTATTTTAGAAAGATATATGTGTACACACACACATAATGTATCTACATATATTTTTTAGTAATATATGTGAAACAACAACAAAACCTGGAAAGAGTCACCTGAAAAATTAACAGTGGTTTTCATAGGATTTATCCTAGGATTGAAGTAGATTGGTTATCACAGTAGTTATCAGAGGGGTGGGGAAGTTGAGATTTTTTATTTTCTGTTCCCCTCTTTTCCTAGTTACCACCTGCTTTTCTTCATCTCAGCTGAAAACTTCACTCTCTCTGCCCCAGCAAGGAAACTTTCCCTGATCCTCAGACTATGCCCCTTTTTTAAAAACGATATTAACAGAGGTTTTTTCCTTTACAGTATTTTTCTCTCTCTCTGTGTGTGTGTGTGTGTGTGTGTGTGTGTGTGTGTGTGTGTGTGTATGCGCTCATTTTATTAAGGTCTTATTTCCACCACGAGAGAAGAGTCTGTGTTGTTTTTGCTCACCAATACATTCCCCATAAGCTCAGCACTTGTGGCCGCTCTCCCTATTTCCTCTCCTTCCCAGTATTATGATATGGACAATTTAATTTTCCTCAGTCTTATATAAAGGGTTATAAAAGTGCACCTTTAGGCATCCCCCAAATCATCCATACACAGATGAAGAAGAACACATGAAAAACAAACAGCAAATGTCAGGTTGCACTAAACAATGAAATACTAAGGACACTCCCATTTTCTTCAAGAATAAGATCTGGAGGCCCTCAATCACCATTATCATTCAAACTAGTTCTGCAGGTTCTGGTCAATGGAATACATGCAGAAAATAAAAGAATAAAGAATATAAATACTGGAAAAGAAGAAATGAAAAATCATCATTTGCAGATATTATGCATGCATACCTGGAAAAACCAAAAGTATCGATGAAAAAACTATTAGAAATAATAAGAATGGTCACTAAAGATAAATATATCATAATTAATTACTTTACCTGAGACAAACAATAACCAGGTAGAATGTGTAATCATAATGGGAATGTCATTCATATAAACAAAACACAAACATAATAAGAAATGAGTATAAAGAAACATCACATTTATTGAAAATCTCAAAAGTTGGCATGGATAGAAAGACTCCATTTTTAAAGATGTAAATTCTCCAATTAAAGTGCAGATTTATTGCAAGTACTGCAGTAAATGTCAATTGTTTTGTTTTGCATATTGTTCAACTTGGAACTTGACACATCCACATACATATACTGTATATTTGCAGGAAGAAAGGTCGATATCATTGAAAGTGCTTGGTGGTAGAATAGGCATTGCAGGGCAGTTTTGCATTCTACTCTACAGATTTCTGCACTTAAAAAAATAAGTATATAACTAGAGACAGAGAAGAGGGGAGAGGAATAGACTTTCTTTTTCTTTTTCTTTTTTTTTTTGAGATGGAGTCTTGCTCTGTTGCCCAGGCTGGAGTGCAATGGCACAATCTCAACTCACTGCAACCTATGCCTCCTGGGTTCAAGCAATTCTCCTTCCTCAGCCTCCCAAGTAGCTGGGACTACAGGTTCGTGCCACCATTCCCGGCTAATTTTTGTATTTTTAATAAAGATGGCGTTTTACCATGCTGGCCAGGCTGGTCTCGAACTCCTGACCTCAAGTGATCTGCCAGCTTCAGCCTCCCACAGTGCTGGGAAGGAGTAGATTTTCTATTGAGGGGATATATAGCTTTTTTTCAGGAAAGTATTAATAGTTCTTAGTTATTTTTTAAAAGTCATACATGCCTGTGAGAATCTGATGAAAGCTATGGCTCCTTTCTCCACGAAAATGAATATACGTATGACCACAATTGCAGGTGGTCCACAAGGTTGTCCGTGTGAGAATGCCTACTCTGGGTTAATCCATGGGGATTGTTCCTTAGGCATACATTTGGCTGAGCGGGCACCAAGGTGGATATGGACTGGCAGGCAGTAACTCTGCAACAAGATTAGGTTCTCTTTTTAAGGAAGCCAGAGGCAAGAAGCCCAGCGGGCTGCACCTCTCAGGTCAGGTGGTGGCAGCACACAGTATTAGGAGCAATGCTCACTCAGGCACCATGAATAAGGGCAGAGGGGTAGGTAGGAACAGAAAGCCCTTCGATGCATTGCTGTTACCTCTGTGGGAATTTGGGGAAGGAAGGGAAGGAGCCAAAGGTATTTACTCTGATTGGTCACCTGAGTAAACGTGGCATTTACCACCTTGGTCACTCATCTATATATATTTTTGGAGTGAACAATAGATGGGTGCCTGAATACAGGGGATGAGAGGCTATGGAATGTGGAAGGGTGGGAGGGCAGCACCTTCTTCCGCTCTTGACAGGGCAGGAAGGATTAGAACATCGCTGCATCCCTCACACCCTCAGGTGCCTCAGCCTTGGTAGACTGGAATTCAATTCAGAGGCAGGTGATCAGAGTAGCCATCAAATCACAAGAGGTTCATATAACAGTCGGTCAAGACTTTGGGACGTTAAATACATGCTTTTCTTTAATTTAATAAGACAGGGTTGTGTTGCTTTAACTTATCAAATTGCAAGTTGATTCAAAAATAGAAAAAGTAAGGAATTATTTGTGTAAAATGGCCAAGATTAGACAACTGGTCGTCTCTTTGTGGAGTAATTCATAGATCATGTAAAAAAAATCCATTTTTTTTAAGAGATAGAGGCTTGCTCTCTGTCACCCAGGCTGGAGTGCAGTGGTGACATCATAGCTCACTGCAGCCTTAAACTCCTGGGCTCCAGCAATCCACCCACCTCAGCCCACTTTTCAATTTTAAAATGAGTTATTTTGTTTTAAAAGCTACTAATTGGCTGTAACCAGTAGAAATATTTTCCTACTGTTACAAATAAAATAACGAAATTAATGAGGCCTTTTGGGTTTTCTCTCCCGTTTAAACTCTCCACTCAAAGGAAAATAGCATCATTTTATTTTCTCAATATAAAAGTAATGCGTTACTGATTTAAAAACAAATGAGCAGAAAAGTTTAAATAAGACACTCCCACGATCTATCTCCTTTTCTAACATCTTGCTCCACATTTTACAGGGGTGCAGAAGAAATAGGACATTCATGACTTGTGATGGGGGGAGGTATAGAGAGAGACAGTTGGACTGGGACTAGAGAAGATAAAAAATTATTCCTCGAAGAGGAAGAAAAGGCCAACGGACACGGGAGCAGATACAGCCTCTCCCTGTAAACCAAAGAAAGGCAAATTCACCACAAAGAGAAGCTACTTCTAGTCTCCGGGGTTGGCAAAGAGGAAAATGAGTGACAGGACCTGATGTGTCAGGGAAGGAAGGGGAGGGCCGGCTTCTGCGGCGCTGCTGATGGGAGTGGTAATTGGGGTCCTGATCTCATGGTTGACGTGGCCCTCACGTGAGCTGGAGCCGACGCGTGCAGACGTCCTTCTAATCCTAGTCTTCGTTTGGTCCGGTTGCACTCTTCCTATAGCCCAGAGGGCGAGAGGGCCTGTGGCCTGGGGGAAGGAGGACGAGGTTCTGCCTGGATCCCAGCAGGTTTGTGTGTGGATGGGCGTTGCCAGGGGATCCCTGCGGCGCGGGCAGTGAACCGTGGAGGCCGAAGGGGGAGCACAGTTCACTTTCTCCAAACCCTTGCAGTATCCCTTGCCCTTTCTAGAACAAAAATGGTAGACCTTGGGGCCGGATTCCAGGGGCGACCCCAGACTCGGGCGTCGTGGGACCTTTAACATCCAGGGCCTTGAATCAGGGAGGGCGGATATTCGGATTCATGTCCTGTGTGCTGGCCCATCTACCAAGCCAGAATCTTGGGGCTGTGCGTCTGACAGTCATACCCCTTTTCTTTCAGTAGGACGCTGTGCCATTTGGGAACAAAGGAATAGTCTGCCTGGAATCCCTGCAGGTCAGTGTAAAGCTGGAGCTGTCCCGCGGCGCCCAGAAGGACTGGGATGACTGAGGTCCTTGCCTTAACTTGGGCCCTTTACCGACTCTCAAGCAATCTTCCTGCCATTTTTTTTTTCTTCAGTAAAAGAGGATGTAACAGTGGCTGCAGGAAAAGTGCTTGTGATTGCGGGTAGGGTGCGTTGGGGAGAGGAATAGAAGAGATCGGTTGGTTTTGTTTTTCTCCTCGGATTTTCCATATCCCCCCTCGCCCCGCCCCGCTTCCAGTGGTTTGAAAGGGGTGTGGTTTTGCTGGGAAAATGGCCGACCGCTGGGGCTGCGGGAGGGAGTGAGGGCCGGGGGCGGGGACGGGGGTAGGGGAACACTACCAAGCGACAGGGCTGGTGTCAGCGGAGTCCAGAGAAGTGAGGGTAGGGTGAGAAACAAAAAGGTAAAATCCATTGACAGCCAGGACCCTGAATTAGGAGAAGTGGATATTGGGACTCCCCGAAGTGCTTTTCTGTCCGCTGAGCCTTCAGTTTCTGCCTTGTTGCCTGTGTCTGCAGATCTTGGGGCCGGAGGCCAGTCCAACCCTTGGAGCAGGAAGAAACGCAAAGTTGTCAAGAACCAAGTAGGTCATAATAAGGGTGATGGCATTATTTGGGGGTGGAGCATGGTGGCGACTGCAACTCGAATGGGCCCGTGGACCCCTTCCATATCCCCCTCCTTCCCTCTTATCTACACCATTTCGGAGCTTGCAAAAGAAATTGTTCTGCAAGTACAAGACAGGGAAGAAAATAGCTGAGAAGGGGTGGGCGTCAAGAGAGTCCAGGGGTTGGGAGGACGTTACTCCAAATTACTGTTTGGGGTACAGGGTCCTTGGTGTTGGTCCGTCGACCAAGCACTCACTTCTGAAGTTTGTCAGTCTTGAAGGTTTAGTGGAAGCGGAAACCGAGGTGAGGGAGGTAAGAAATTGCTCCGGAGCAGAGGTAGTTGGTATAATGACACGGGGTGGGGGGGGGGGGCGGCGGTGTCCTGGTACATTTGAGATGGAGGAGTTGGCGGAGGCAAGGGCGGAGTTGGAGACCTTTAGGCATTTCACGCCAGTACGGCTTTTAGATATTCTCACTTCATTTTGTTACAAGGAAAATGTTAACGATGAAAATGTGTGGCGACATCTTCGGAGGATGCCAATGATGGGAGTAGGGGTGGAGGTGGAATGGAGGGTTAGAGGAATCATCGAAGGAGGAAGAGGGAGGGAGATAATGAATTCCAAAGCCGCAGCTCTGTGAGGAGAGGAGGGTAACCGAAGGCGGGAAACATTGGGCAAGGCAGTTGTAAAGGGCTAGGAATTCAGAAGAGGGATGTGTGCCCCGTCCCGGGTGAGATCTATATGTACCCAGAGCTCTCAGTACCCCTCTCCCCGCGCCCTTGGTCTGCAGGTTTGCACGAAGCAGTGCACTTGGAAGCAAGAAAGAGAAGGAAAAAAAACTGCCTGGACCTCTGTGGGTGCATGTGAGGGCGCCACTGTTCACAGGACATCTGGAAGGGCAGGGGTGGCAGGGAACTTTAACGTTCTAGGGTGGGGTGGTGGAACGTGAGGTTGGAGAGTCTTTAAGCGGGGAAAATTTCCAAACTTAGCTTCCGGGTGGAAGAAAGGAATCAGTGATCTAGATATCAAGCCCCGAGTCTCTGCCAGTATCTCTGTATTTTTGTACGTTTGTTTGTTTTGTTGTTGTTTCAGTCTGTTTGCGTTCAAAGACACAAAAAGGAGCCTGAAATCTGAAATGCATCCTTTATTCCTAGGTCGAGCTGCCTCAGAGCCGGCCCGCAGTAGCTGCAGACTCCGCCCGCGACGTGTGCGCGCTTCTCTGGGCCAGAGCGAGCCTGTTTTGTGCTCGGGTTAAGAGATTTGTCCCAGCTATACCATGGGCCGCACTCGGGAAGCTGGCTGCGTGGCCGCTGGTGTGGTTATCGGGGCTGGTGCCTGCTACTGTGTATACAGACTGGCTTGGGGAAGAGACGAGAACGAGAAAATCTGGGACGAAGACGAGGAGTCTACGGACACCTCAGAGATTGGGGTTGAGACTGTGAAAGGAGCTAAAACTAACGCTGGGGCAGGGTCTGGGGCCAAACTTCAGGGTGATTCAGAGGTCAAGCCTGAGGTGAGTTTGGGACTCGAGGATTGTCCGGGTGTAAAAGAGAAGGCCCATTCAGGATCCCACAGCGGAGGTGGCCTAGAGGCCAAGGCCAAGGCCCTTTTCAACACGCTGAAGGAACAGGCAAGTGCAAAGGCAGGCAAAGGGGCTAGGGTGGGTACCATCTCTGGGAACAGGACCCTTGCACCGAGTTTACCCTGCCCAGGAGGCAGGGGTGGAGGCTGCCACCCCACCAGGAGTGGATCTAGGGCCGGGGGCAGGGCAAGTGGAAAATCCAAGGGAAAGGCCCGAAGTAAGAGCACCAGGGCTCCAGCTACAACATGGCCTGTCCGGAGAGGCAAGTTCAACTTTCCTTATAAAATTGATGATATTCTGAGTGCTCCCGACCTCCAAAAGGTCCTCAACATCCTGGAGCGAACAAATGATCCTTTTATTCAAGAAGTAGCCTTGGTCACTCTGGGTAACAATGCAGCATATTCATTTAACCAGAATGCCATACGTGAATTGGGTGGTGTCCCAATTATTGCAAAACTGATAAAAACAAAAGACCCCATAATTAGGGAAAAGACTTACAATGCCCTTAATAACTTGAGTGTGAACGCAGAAAATCAGGGCAAGATTAAGACGTACATCAGTCAAGTGTGTGATGACACCATGGTCTGTCGCTTGGACTCAGCTGTGCAGATGGCTGGGCTAAGACTGTTAACCAACATGACTGTGACTAATCATTACCAACATTTGCTTTCCTATTCTTTTCCAGACTTTTTTGCTTTGTTATTCCTGGGAAATCACTTCACCAAGATACAGATTATGAAACTAATTATAAACTTTACTGAAAATCCAGCCATGACAAGAGAGCTGGTCAGTTGTAAAGTACCATCAGAATTGATTTCCCTCTTTAATAAAGAATGGGATAGAGAGATTCTTCTTAATATCCTTACCCTATTTGAGAATATAAATGACAACATAAAAAATGAAGGGCTCGCATCATCCAGGAAAGAATTCAGCAGAAGTTCACTTTTTTTCTTATTCAAAGAGTCTGGAGTTTGTGTTAAGAAAATCAAAGCACTAGCAAATCACAATGATCTGGTGGTGAAAGTAAAAGTCCTGAAAGTATTAACCAAACTCTAATTTGGAGTCTGTCCCAAACAATATTGAGATATTTGCAGTTGGTACGATGTGATTTGTAAATTCTTTGTTTTTCATTGTGCGTATATGGTAAAGAGATCTTTTCAGCTGCTATTTTGGAATAATGACTATCATATATCATAACAGTGACTGATGTTGGTTGTAATGGTTGGGTTTAGGATGAACCATTTTAAGGATGCCAAATGAAATATTAGTATTTGTACACAGAAAGAATTTATTGATTTGATCTTATTACCTAGATTGAGATTTTTTAATCTTTCCTCTACCTAAACTGACAATGAATTGGTTATACATCATGCATAAGCTACACTTTTATATTAGTTTATATTTGTTATTCTAAGACTTGTGTTTCATCAATAAAGTTGTGTTTTAAGCAGCAGAAAAAAAAAAGACGTTGTCCTTGTCCTTGTCCTTGAGTTTATGATCTGTTTGGAAAGGTAAGATATATGGAAACTAAAACAAAGAGATATTAACAAAACCGGGAGACCATCAGTGCTTAGAGGCAGCAGAAACAGCTGCAGGCCACAGTGCTCAAGGAAAGTTTTGCAGAGGAGAACTCTTAAGTAAGCTGGGTGTGAAGGATAGGATACAAAAAGTCAGAAGGGCACTCAAGATGGGAGGAGGGATGAGAAGAAAGGCATGGAGGTGGGAATCCTTCTCCAGAGAGAAGTGCTGGCCTGCTGGAATGGAAATGTAGGGAGGGGAGTGACGAGAGAGAGTCAGGCAGTAGAGGTAAGTCCTGTTCGTGGAGCACCCCTAACTGCTAAACTGGGGTGTCTGAATATTATTGCATCCACCCCTGGGAGACATCAAGGCCTTTTGTGACCAGAGGAATGACAAGATGAAAGGAAAACGATATGGTAGATTTATGTGCAGCATGAGTCCAAGCTGGGGTGGGGATAGGAGTGGTGACTGGAGATTGGAAAAACAGGAAGCTACACAACTTAGTCCAGACATGAGATAATAAAGGTGTGAAATTTTACTGGTGGCCATGGGAATGGTAAAGAGAGGATGGAAATGAGAGATCTTTTGAACCAAAAAGTGCTTAAATGTATTCTGGAGACATACAAAGAGGACCAATTTTATTTTGGGTCCTGGGGCATTTGACAGGAAAATGTCCTCTTAGCCAGTTCTGGTATCTATGTAAGTAAACATTTACAACTTTGAAATAACAAGAAAGCATAAGTTTTAGTGCTTGTATCAGATTTCCTTTATAAGGTTGATTAATGATTAAGGTGGGGCCTTTATGGAACCATAGAGAGTGTTGTTGGGATACACATAGAAGATCTACCTCGCTCCTACGCCGTAGTGAGGGTGAGGGTGTCAGGGGAGGAGCACTCTCAAACTGCTGGTGGGAGTATACACTGGTACAAGGTCCATTGGAATATATGCACATCCTTTAACCCTGTAATTCCACTTATAGAAATGTATCTTTAGGAAATAATCACATAATTGGCTTGTAGGAAGCTATGCATCTTTAAACTGATTGAAGGGTGAAAAGTTGTAAATGACCCAAGTATCTCAAGATAGGCAGTTAGCTAAATAAATTAATGTATGTCCACACATTTAAATATTATGCAGCTATTGAAAATGTTGGTGGACATCTACAGTTACCTATATTAGAAATTCAGCATATAGTTTTTTTTAAAAAATTAATTTTTAATTTTTGTGGGTACATAATAGGTGTATATATTTATGAATTACATGAGATATTCTGATACAGGCATGCAATGTGTAATCATCACATCAGGGTTAATGGGGTATCGATCACCTCAAGCATTTATCCTTTGTGTTGCAAACAATCCAGTTGTACTCTTTTAGCTTTTTTACAATGTACAATTAAATTATTATTGACTATAGTCACCCTGTTGTGCTATCGAATACTAGATCTTATTCATTATTTCTAACTATTTAGTTTTATTTATTTATTTATTTTTAATTTTTATTTTACTTTAAGTTCCGGGATACATGTGCAGAACGTGCAGGTTTGTTACATAGGTGTACGTGTGCCATGGTGATTTGCTGCACCTATTAACCCGTCATCTAGGTTCCTTCTCCTCGCCCCCTACCCCCCAACAGGCCCTGGCATGTGTTGTTCCCCTCTCTGTGTCCATGTGTCCTCATTGTTCAACTCCCACTTACGAGTGAGAACATACGGTGTTTGGTTTTTTGTTCCTGTGTTAGTTTGCTGAGGATGATGGATTCCAACTTCATCCATGTCCCTGCAAATGACATGATCTCATTACTTTTTATGGCTGCATAGTATTCCATGGTGTATATGTACCACATTTTCTTTATCCAGTCTATCATTGATGGGCATTTGGGTTGGTTCCATGTCTTTGCTATTGTAAATAGTGCTGCAATAAACATGCATGCATGTGTCCTTATAGTAGAATGATTTATAATCGTTTGGGTATGTACCCAGTAACAGGATTGCTGGGTCAAAAGGTATTTCTGGTTCTAGATCCTTGAGGAATCACCACACTGTCTTCCACAATGGTTGAACTAATTTACATTCTCACCAACCGTGTAAAAGTGTTCCTATTTCTCCACAGCCTTGCCAGAATCTATTGGTTCTTGACTTTTTAATAATAGCCATTCTGACTAGTGTGAGGTGGTATCTCATTGTGGTTTTGATTTGCATTTCTCTAATGATCAGTGATGTTGAGCCTTTTTTCATGTTTGTTGGCCACATAAATATCTCCTTTTGAGAAGTGTCTGTTCATATACTTTGCCCACTTTTTGATGGTGTCCTTTGTTTTTTTCTTGTAAATTTGTGTAAGTTCCTTGTAGGTTTTGGATATTAGACCATTGTCAGATGAGTAGATTGCAAAAATTTTCTCCCATTCTGTAGTCTAACCATTTTTTGTACCCATTAAGCATTCCCACTTCCCCTCAGTCCCCCACTACCCTTCCCAGCCTCTGGTAACCATCATTCTACTCTCTTATGAGTTCAATTGTTTGAATTTTTAGCTCCCACAAATAAGAGAGAACATCAGCATATAATCTTAAGTGGGAAAAGTAGGCTGTAAAATCACATGCCACACTTTTTATGAAGAAAACATATCTAAATTATCTCTGCATAAACTCTGCTGCATACTCCGAGAATGTTATTAGTTCTCTATGGGTGATTTTATCGACTTTTTACTCATAAAATTAAGATATATCTGCATATTTAAATATTCTGCAGCCATTGAAAATATTGATTGACATCTACGTTTATTTACATGGAAAAAGTGCAGCATATAATCTTAAATGGAAAAGGTGGTTACATGACTGTAAACACAGTATATCCCATTTTTGAGAAGTGTCAAGCTTTGTATGCATTGAAACTTCTGAAAGGCTATATACCCAAATGAGAAAAGTAGTTATTTATTGGTAAAATGATACTGTATTAATTTAATATTTATTCTTTTTTTCTTATCTATGTTTTGTTATCTATAATAGATGTTGAGTTGTGTAATTGTTGGGAAAGAAAAATGTCGAATTCAGGTAAGGTTGGAAATTAAGGAGATGATAGAATGGGCAGAGTTTATATGGATATTTTTGGAACACATACTGAGTGGAAAATATTTACACCAAAAAGGGAGATGCATTAAAATGATAGATGTATTGTGAAGATGTGGATAATGTCACATTGGAGTAATGTATGTAAAATGCTAAAATAGTGTTGGAACATAGCAGTTAATTACTGAAAGTGAACACCCCTAGTTTCCAAAAAGACAGAGTTGAAAATTTTTGGTTTACCTTTTTTTTCTAAGGTGTCATTCTACCATACACAAGTGGCATTTGATAAATAAACTGTTAAAATAATTTTTCTTAGGAGTAGGGTCTTTGTTCTCTTTTAAGAATTGAGAATGCTTCCTTGTAGTGATCTTGTCAATTTCTACAACATTTCTGATGTCTCAGTGATGTTACTGTGGTTTAGACATGAAGCCTAAGTCAATGTTTCTCAAAGTAGTATTGGTGGAATATCAGGAATGCGTGTACCTGTTTTTAGGTTTCACAAGTTCCCTAGAAATGTCTTTTAAATGTTGTTTGCAGGTCACTGATAATTTAAAGAAATTCATTATAAATATATTCTGTATTTTAACGTGTTACCCAGTGATTTTGGAGCCAAATTTTGGGTTTATATTAACTATTGTCATGGTATTAAGCAGCACTATTGTATTCATTGATCATAAGATAGACTTGTTTAGTATCTCCAAAATTATGATGCACTTACAATTGATGACACCTTAGCATCGTGTCATAGTTTAATTAGAAGTATTTTTCTTAATTTTAATTTAATTAATTAATAATTTATTTATTTATTTATTTATTTTTGAGACAGAGTTTTGCTCTTGTTGCCCAGGCTGGAGTGCAATGGCGCGATCTTGGCTTACTGCAACCTCTGCCTCCCGGGTTCAAGCAATTCTCCTGCCTCAGCCTCCTGAGTAGCTGGGATTACAGGCGCCCGCCATCATGCCCAGCTAATTTTTTGTATTTTTAGTAGAGATGGGGTTTCATCATGTTGGCCAGGCTGGTCTTGAACTCCTGACCTCAGATGATCTGCCTGCCTTGGCCTCCCAAAGTGCTGGGATTACAGGCGTGAGCCACTGTGCCTGGCCTACTTTTCCTTCTTAGTGGTATACAAAATAATTATGCAGGCCGAGGTGGGCAGATCACCTGAGGTCAGGAGTTCGAGACCAGCCTGGCCAACGTGGTGAAATCCCGTCTCTACTAAAAATACAAAAATTAGCTGGGTGTGGTGGCATGCGCCTGTAATCCCAGCTACTCGGGAGGCTGAGACAGGAGAATTGCTTCAACCTGGGAGACGGAGGTTGTGGTGAGCTGAGATTGCACTACTGCACTCCAGCCTGGGTGACAGAGTAAGACTCCATCTCAAAAATAAATAAATAAATAAATAATAAATAAAATAAGAATAAAATAATTATGTATTTAATAATCAGAGGCATCATAGATTAATGAAATTCTTTTTCTAGTCAATGAGAAAAATGTAAAGATGTACTTAATATGCAACAGATGTATTTGCTCTATAATACATAAGTTTGTACTTACAGAGATTTTGCAGGAGTTTGAGTAAGGAAACTGGCAGAGGGTTGAGATTGTATCATCGGGCTCTCCCTAATGAAGGAATGTTGAAATTAAGAGAGTTCGTGTTGTCATCGGTACCATGTTCATGTTACAGATTGTGATTTAGGGCTGCCAAAGCAACATTATCAATCTCATGAAATTATATGTTATTTACATTTCTTTGGCTTTATAGCTTGGCTTATTTTTAATTTGTGAAGTTGCTTTGTTTTATACTTTGTGTGAAAGCTGTAAATAAACAAAGACTAATAGAATATAAAATTTTTTCCAAAAAGTATGCTATCTGTCTGGAAAAGATAAGTGTTCACAATAGATGTCTACTTGTAATATACCTGATTGTGTATAATATAAACATTTTTAAATAAAACATTAAAATGTGTGTACAAAATTCTTGAAGCATTTGTTTTTGGTTTTAGGTATGTAAATTTTTAAGTAACATCATAATAAAAATAATTTCAAACAATGATAGGGGCCTTTGAGGAGTTTTCTCCTTTTTAGAATAATATTACTCAAGTTTTATAAGCAATGCAATTATGTCAAAGACATGCATATTATAGAAGAAAAGAGGTGGGTCGCACCTAATATTTATCAGACACTGCTTGGTGCTTCACATAATTTTTCTCTCCACTCAATTCCTTCAACAGCCCTGTCAAATAAGTACTATTATACCTTTATTGCAGAAGAAATAAGACTTGGAGAAGTTAGGTAAAATTTCCAAGATCACTCAGTTAGTAAAATGCAGGGCTAATGGCCTTCCAAACGTGAGTAATTGGTTGCTTTAAAATCACTTCATATGGAGACAAACACCTGTATAATGCCTCCTTAGGTACTCAACACAAAACCACCTCTTGATGAAGATGAAGAAGGATATGAGATTCTTCTTGTTGAGCCCATAACTTTATAGATACCCACACAGCAAGATGTAGAGGAAACAGCAAAGTCTCAGGAATTGCCAATAGGTGAGACTCGGTTGAGGAACAGATAAACTACTATTTATATTGCTGCTTCTGTGTGACAGGATGAGCAGTTTGGGTATGGGGCAAATAATAATTTCTGTACTGATACATTGAACTTGAGATGTGGAATGACTTTTACACCTGAAGTGAAAATGAGGCTAACTTGAGCAGTAAAAAACCCCAGTGAGGCAGTTACAGGCCTGACTAGCATCCATCTGCTCCTTTCCCCTTTCCCTTGTTCCTTCTCATTCTTTTTTCCACTTCCTCCCTCCTACTTGTCTTTATTTCCTCCTTCTGGGAGGTCATTGGTGGTAGCCTCTCTGGGCTTCTCTGAGCCTTCAATTCCCATGACGCCATGCCATGTACCAGTGGGCATTCAATTCAGAATAACAACTGTTGTTGCTTTGGTCATAAGGTGATTCTGGGTGTGACTGGAAGCCAGGAATTTTTGGAACCTTTGTTGAACAGAACAGAGACTGAGAAGGAACTAGTCTTAGCTTGGCATGGCCACATGTGCACTGCATGAATTTTTGATGTCCTGCATTTGGTCTTAGACTGAATAACCCGGAGTCTGGGAAAGGTGGTAATAGATGTGTGACTGCCTGGTATAGGCAGCCAGGTCACATGTTGATGTCCCAATGTTTTCACATGGGAGGCTGTCACTCTCAATCCTTTTGGGAAGGGCAGAGTTCTAGGATTGTGGCTAATCGTGGCAGCCCATTGGGGCAGGGAGGAGGCAGTGTCCTCTACTTTAGAGAGGATGGCAGCTCCTGGGAAACCAAGGAAACTAGAAACTCAGAGGATGTCCTGCTATTTTGCTTTTGTTCTCATTTAACAGTTTTAGGACTATAACTGACTCTATCCCAGTTAAAATGTGATCAAAGGTGATTTTACAAAAGTCAAGTTTTTGGCAGGGCTTGGTGGCTCAAGCCTGTAATCCCAGCACCTTGGGAGTCTGAGACGGGAAGATCGCTTGAGCCCAGCAGTTCGAGACTAGTCTGGGGAACATGGTGAAAGCCCCCTCTCTACAAAAAATACGAAAATTAGCTGGGTGTGTTGGCATGTGCCTGTAGTCCCAACACCCCAGGAGACTGAGGTGGGAGGATCACTTGTGCCTGGGAAGGTTGAGGCTGCACTGAGCTGTGATCATGCCACTGCGCTCCAGCTTGGGCAACAGAGTGAGACCCTGTCTCAAAAAAAAAAAAAAAGTAGATATTTGTCCTGTTATAAATTGTCAATCAATATACATAATATTTCAAGATTTGTCTTGTTAAAAATTGTCAACCAATATACATAATATTTCAAGGCTCAGGAAATGTGTTTTTTCTTTAATTCACATTTTACTTGTCTTGTTTCAGAAGACATTCCAAGTGTATGTTTAGCAAATTGATGTGGTTCGGGCAAAATTTATGTTTATGGCTGTCGTCATTAATTTCTCTGCTAAGTTCCCTTGAAAATGGTTTTTTAAATAATGATTCATACTGTTTTCAATGCTAGCTTTTTACATTAATTTTGCATCACATCCTAGGATGAAGGTTTTCTCTGGTTTCTGTCTTTAAGCCATGGCTCTTCCTGCAACTACCTGACGAGTTCTTCCTGCTGGCTGTACAAATAAAATGAATCCATGGCATTGCAGTAAAAAGAGTTTAATTGACACGAGGCCAGCCATGGCACACCGGAGACAGAGTTATTACTTAAATCGATCTCCCCCCAAATTCAGAGACTGGGGTTTTTAAAGGATAAGTTGGTGGATAAAAGGTCAAGGAGTGGGGAATGTTGATCGGTCGGGTTGGAGATGAAATCATTGGAGTCAAAGCTGTTCTCTTGTGCTGAGTCAGTTCCTGGGTGGGGGCCACAAGACCAGATGAGCCAGTTTATTGATCTGGGTGGTGCCAGCTGATCCATTGAGTGCAGGGTCTGAAAAATATCTGGAGCACCAATTCTTGGTTTTACAATAGTGATGTCATCTGTAGGAAAAATTGGGGAGGTTTAGAATCCTGTGGCCTCTAGCTGCATGACTCCTAAGCCATATATATATATTTTTAGACGGTGTCTTGCTCTGTCACCCAGGCTGGAGTGCAATGGCGTGATCTTGGCTCACTGGTACGTCCGCCTCCCAGGTTCAAGCAATTCTCCTTCCTCACTTTCCTGAGTAGCTGGGACTACAGACGCGTGCAACCATGCCCAGCTAAGTTTTGTATTTTTAGTAGAGACGGGGTTTTGACATGTTGGCCAGGCTGGTCTCGAACTGTTGACCTCAGGTGATCACCTGCCTTAGCCTCCCAAAGTGCTGGGATTACATGTGCGAGCCACCCCACCTGGCCCTAAGTCATAATTTCTAATCTTGTGGCTAATTTCTTAGTCTTACAAAGGCAGTCTGGTCCTCAAACAGCCCTTTCTCGACATAAAGAAAGGGCGTTTGTTTTTGGAAAGGACTGTTATTATCTTTATTTCAAAGTTAAGCTATAAACTAAGTTCCTCCCAAAGTTAGTTCAGCTTATACCCAGGAATGAACAAGGACAGCTTGGAGGTTAGAAGCAAGATGGAGTCGATTAGGTCAGATCTCTTTCGCTGTCATAATTTTCTCAGTCATAATTTTTGCACAGGGGGTTTCATTCCTCGCCTTTAAGCCAGAGCTGTCTCACCACCATCCTGGGGGCCCTGGTCTGCTCTGCCCTAAGGCTGTGGTATTAGCAGGAAAGGGAATATTTACGTATCAGAGTAGCATAGCTTCATGCTTGACCCTCTCCATTGGGGCCCTCTCAGGCATTGTACTAAGGGCCTGGGCAATGTGTGTGTTTGGGGATAGACAGGAGAGGAGGGAGAAGGGAGGAAGGAGTGAAGAAAGCCTTATCAGAGGGGTACTTTTATCCTGATAGGGTCATGAAAATGTAATTCACTTCACCATTAAGAATGGGCTAAGTGTCAGTCTCTGGCCCTGTTGACCATCAATATTTTAAAAAGTGAAAGAGTAGGTGTGATACTAGCATCTTAGTTTTGGCATAAAGCCACTTCATTTATTGAGGATTTTTAAGTTTGCAGAGGACATGACATACTGTCAAATGGAGTAGAATTCCCTTTTGAAAATAAAAAAAAAATTCAGAATGATAATTTACATTACTGTAAAAAAATATAATTATCAAGCAGACCAGATCCTTAGTGTTTGCTGCTCAGAACATTCTCTCCCTAAGAACAATCTACATCAGAAACCACACTATCATTTACTTATTTATTTAATGCTCAGGAAACTTAACCAACTTAACTAGAGGTTGGCGTCAAAGTTGGAGAACCTTGTGATTCTCTAATTCATTTAGCTTTGTTCATGTTTTTTCCTTTATAGGTGATTACCTACTTGTGATCAAATCTTACATATTTTCCCTTTATGGCTTCTAGGTTTTTGGTCATGCTGAGGAAGCTCTAGGTTATAAAATAGACTGATATTCCCTTCAAGCATTTTATATACACATTTTAACATTTTGTTTAAATTTTTCTTCTATTATACACAATCATGTATATTACAAATAGACATCTATTCTCAACACTTATCTTTTCCCAGATAGATAGCATACTTCTTGGAAGACATATTATATTCTATTAGTCTTTGGTTATTTACAAAGTATTATTCTTTTCTATAAATAGGATCTTTATTTTTATGGTTGCTACTTTGGAGGCATGGTGCACTGAGTTACTAGCTACTATTGGTGAAGTCCTATACTGCAGAACTTGTTTTATTAAAAATAGAATTAATGGTCTGGGTGGTTTCTTAGCTCAGGACTAGAAAACAGAGCCTGGGGCAAAAGTTTACCTGGTGACACTGCTGGGATGTGCAATACAAGTGAGGGGAAAAGGGAAGTGAGGCAAGGAAAGATAGAAAGCAAATATGAGGGGGTGAGTTACTCATCTGGACATAACTTGTCAACAAAGACACAGCTGATTATTTTACCTCATGTGATGTCTTCAGTAAGTACATATAAAATTACTGCATTTAAGAACAGTTTATCTAAGTGGGAGAAATAAAAAAGATTTTTTCTGTCAGCTCTTTTGAGTAGCCAGATTTCCATTGATCAAAGTTAGCTCCATGGGACATTAATTCCCCTGTATTTCTATGCATCTAGTCTGTCTAGTTTGCAGCTGTAATATTCTCTCCTTGTTAGGTGACACTATGTTAGGTGACTTCAAGCTGTGGCTGGAACACCAGTGGCAGTGGCAGTGGCCTAGGCTCTAAGAATGTAGAAACAGCATGAATCATTGCTGCTTCCTCTGGTCAGGAAGTAAGGAAGTTGATCAGGGTTCAGGATAGGGAATTGGGGCCAAGTGAGTCTAGGATGGCACATAAGTTAGGAAAGGTTTTGACACTAATTGTGTCACAAGTCCATTATGAAAGACCCTAAAACACCATTGAGTAGGCTACAATATACTTTGGGCTATTAAAATTCTTCAGTTTTACAATTTGTAAAAGGTGGTCTGGACCAAAAAAATTCTGAGTCAGCAATTAAAGTACTCATAATATCTTCTGTCTCTGGATACATGACAATGAATGAGCTAATCAGTGTGTCTGAGCATTTTTCAGTCTGCTGGCTAATCTTGTTCTTCAAGTTACATATTATCTGTGCCTTGCAGCCAAAGGATGAGACTTCCCAGAAACACAAAACATGCTATTAGATCTTAGAGACATGAGTAATACTAATCAAGACATCTTTGCAGGCACTTGCAAGAGAAAGTGACATTCCACCTGACAAAGTGGGTAAGATATAAATATAACTTTAAAAAAGGTATTGAGTACAAATAGAGAAAATAACACAAGGGATAAAATGAAATAAGTGAGGCTGGGTACAGTGGCTCACACCTGTAATCCCAGTACTTTGGGAGTCTGAGGCAGGTAAATTGCTTGAGCCCAGGAGTTGGAGACCAGCCTGGGGAACATGATGAAACCTCATCTCTACCCAAAAAGCCCCACAAAAACTGAGGTGGGAGGATCACCTGAGACTTGGGAGGTCAGGGCTGCTGTGATGGCACCACTGCACTTCAGCCTGGGCAACAGAGTGAGACCTCATCTCAAAAAAAAAAAAAAAAAATTAAACAAGTGTAAGAAGGACATTGGAATTAGATGATTTAATTCTCATTGTAGCAATTGATTAATTTGTAATTTTTTGCCATACTTCTGGATTATATTTGTTATTATATTTAAAATTTTTCATGTACATTCATTGGTGGGATTAATGTACCATCATCAAGTATCTTTCTCATCATGAAGTTTTGATATTAAGGTTGTATGGCTTCATTTTTCACTATGTAATGGTGTCTTTTGATAAAGAGAAATTTATCAATATTTTCCTTCATTTTATTTTATTCTTTTAAAGAAACTTTCTCCTACTATAACGTCATGAAGATTATCTACGTTATCTTCTAGAAGCTTTATAATTTTGCCTTTCACATTTAGATTTATAATTCACCTAGAATTTATTTTTGTATGTGATGTGAGGTAAGGGTCAAGATTCAATTTCCCCACATATGGATATCCAATTGACCCAGCACCATTTCTCAAGAAGACCGTTCTTTCCTCCACTACACTACAGTGTCACCTTTGTAATAAGTTATGTTGCTATATATGTATGAATCTATCTCGGGACTTTCTATTCTTTCAATTGGTCTTTTTTTTAATCCGTGCACTGGTGTTCTTGTACCTTGTCATAATTACTGTAGCTTTATTGTAAAACTTGATATTTGCTAATATAAATCCTCTTTATTGTTATTTTCCAACATTATTTTGGTTATTCTTGGTATTTCTACATTTATATATAGATTTAAAAAATAAGCTTGCCAAATTACACAGACATACACACACACACACACACACACACACACACACACACACACTCTTGGGATTTTGTTTGGAACTGCACTGAATCTACAGACCAATTTGGTGAGAATTAACATATTTCACATTTATAATATTGAGTTTCTCATTCCATTAATATAGTTTACTACTCTTTTTTTGTTCTTTAATTTCTTTCAATAATGTATTGTAGTTTTCAGATTCAGACTTGCATATACTTTGTTAGGATAATTCTTAAGATTTTGTGGCTTCTCAATGCTATTCTAAATGGCCTGGATTTTAAAAGTTCATTTTCCTATTGTTTGCTACTGGTATATAGGACTACAACTGATTTTAAAAAATAGATTGACACAAGGGATTGCTGGCAAGATGGCAGAATAGGAACAGTTCTGGTCTGCAGCTCCCAGCAAGATCGATGCAGAAGGTGGGTGATTTCTGTATTTCCAACTGAGGTACCCGGTTCATCTCACTGGGACTGGTTGGACAGTGGGTGCAGCCCATGGAAGGCGAGCTGAAGCAGGGTGGGGCATTGCCTCACGTGGGAAGCACAAGGGGTCAGGGAATTTTCTCCCTTACCCAAGGGAAGCTGTGAGGGACTGTGACTGAGGAACCGTGCACTCCGGCCCAGATACTGTGCCTTTTTCATGGTCTTCGCAACCCACAGACCAGGAGATTTCCTCCAGTGCCTACCCCACCAGGGCCCTGGGTTTCAAGCACAAAACTGGGCAGCCGTTTGGGCAGACATCAAACTAGCTGCAGGAGTTTTTTTTTTTTCCATACCCCAGTGGCACCTGGAACACCAGCAAGTCAGAACCGTTCACTCCCCTGGAAAGGGGGCTGAAGCCAGGGAGCCAAATGGTATGGCTCGTTGGGTCCCACCCCCATAGAGCCCAGCAAACTAAGATCCACTGGCTTGAAATTCTTGCTGCCAGCACAGCAGCAGTCTGGGATCGACCTGGGGTGCTTGAGCTCGGTAGGGGGAGGGGAGTCCGCCATTGCTGAGGCTTGAGTAGGCGATTTTACCCTCACAGTGTATACAAAGCCGCCAGGAAGTTCAAACTTGGCGGAGCTCACTGCAGCTCAGCAAGGCTGCTGTGGCCAGACTGACAGATTTCTCCTCTTTGGGCAGGGCATCTCCGAAATAAAAGGCAGCAGCCCCAGTCAGGGACTTACAGATAAAAACCCATCTCCCTGGGACAGAGCACCTGGGGGAAGGGGCAGCTGTTAGGCGCAGCTTCAGCAGACTTAAACGTCCCTGCCTGACAGCTCTAAAGAGAGCAGTGGACCTCCCAGCACAGCGTTCGAGCTCTGCTAAGGGTCAGACTGCTTCCTCAAGTGGGTCCCTGATCCCCGTGTATCCTGACTGGGAGACACCTCCCAGTAGGGGCCGACAGACCTCATACAGGAGAGCTCTGGCTGATATCTGGTAGGTGCCCCTCTGGGACAAAGCTTCCAGAGGAAAGAACAGGCAGCAATATTTGCTGTTCTGCAGCTTCCGCTGGTGATACCCAGGCAAACAGGATCTGGAGTGGACCTCCAGCAAACTTCAGCAGACCTGCAGCAGAGGGACCTGATTGTTAGAAGGAAAACTAACAGAAAGGAATAGCACACCCACTCAGGGACCCCATCCATAGGTCACAAACATCAAAGACCAAAGGTAGATAAATCCACAAAAATGGGGAGAAACCAGCGCAAAAAGGCTGAAAATTCCAAAAACAAGAATGCTTCTTTTCCTCCAAAGGATCACAACTCCTCGCCAGCAAGGGAACAAAACTGGATGGAGAATGAGTTTGATGAATTGACAGAAGTAGGCTTCAAAATGTGGGTAATAACAAACTCCTCCGAGCTAAAGGAGCATGTTCTAACCCAATGCAAGGAAGCTAAGAACCTTGAAAAAAGGTTAGATGAATTGCTAACTAGAATAAACAGTTTAGAGAAGAACATAAATGACCTGATGGAGCTGAAAAACACAGCATGGGAACTTCGTGAAGTATACACCAGTACCAATATCTGAATCAATCAAGCGGAAAGGATATCAGAAATTGAAGATCAACTTAATGAAATAAAGTGAGAAGACAAGATTAGAGAAAAGAGAATAAAAAGGAACGAACAAAGCCTCCAAGAAATATGGGACTATGTGAAAAGATAAAATCTACGTTTGATTGGTGGTGTACCTGAAAGTGATGGGGAAAATGGAACCAAGTTGGAAAACACTCTTCAGGATATTATCTGGGGGAACTTCCCCAACCTAGTGACAGGCCAACATTCAAATTCAGGAAATACAGAGAACACCACAAAGATACTCCTTGAGAAGAGCAACCCCAAGACACACAATTGTCAGATTCACCAAGGTTGAAATGAAGGAAAAAAGGTTAACGGCAGCCAGAGAGAAAGGCCAGGTTACCTACAAAGGGGAGCCCATCAGACTAACAGCAGATCTCTCTGCAGAAAACCTACAAGCCAGAAGAGAGTGGGGGCCAATATTCAACATTCTTAAAGGAAATAATTTTCAACCCAGAATTTGATATCCAGCCAAACTAAGCTTCATAAGGAAAGGAGAAATAAAATACTTTACAGACAAGCAAATGCTGAGAGATTTTCTCACCACCAAGCCTGCCTTACCAAGCTCCTGAAGGAAGCACTAAACGTGGAAAGGAACAACTGGTACCAGCCACTGCAAAAACATACCAAATTGTAAAGACCATTTATATTATGAAGAAATTGCATCAACTAATGGGCAAAATAACCAGCTAGCATCATAACGACAGGATCAAATTCACACATAACAATATTAAACTTAAATGTAAAAGGGCTAAATGCCTCAATTAAAAGGCACAGACTGGCAAATTGGATAGAGTCAAGACCCAGCAGTGTGCTGTATTCAGCAGACCTATCTCATGTGCAAAGACACACATAGGCTCAAAATAAAGGGATGGAGGAATATTTACCAAGCAAATGGAAAGAAAAAAAGCAGGACTTGCAATCCTAATCTCTGATAAAACAGACTTTAAACAAACAAAGATCAAAAGAGACAAAAAGGGCATTACATGATGGTAAAAGGATCAATTCAACAAGAAGAGCTAACTATCTAAAATATATATGCACCCAATACAGGAGCACCCAGATTCATAAAGCAAGTTCTTAGAGACCTACAAAGAGACTTAGACTCCCACACAATAATAGTGGGAGACTTTAACACCCCACTCTCAATATTAGACAGATCAACAAGACAGAAAATTAACTAGGATATTCAGGACTTGAACTCAGCTCTGGACAAAGCAGACCTAATAGACATCTACAGAACTCTCCACCCCAAATCAACAGACTATACATTCTTCCCAGCACGTCATCACACTTATTCTAAAATTGACAACATAATTGGAAGTAAAACACTCCTCAGCAAATGCAAAAGAACGGAAATCAAAACAAACAGTCTCCCAGACCACAGTGCAAGCAAATTAGAACTCAGGATTAAGAAACTCACTAAAAACTGCACGACTACACAGAAACTGAACAACCTGCTCCTGAATGACTGCTGGGTAAATAACGACATGAAGGCAGAAATAAAGATGTTCTTTGAAACCAATGAGAACAAAGACACAACGTACCACAATCTCTGGGACACATTTAAAGCAGTGTGTAGAGGGAAATTTATAGCACTAAATGCCCAAAAGAGAAAGCAGGAAAGATCTAAAACTGACACCCTAACATCAAAATTAAAAGAACTAGAGAAGCAACAGCAAACAAATTCAAAAGCTAGCAGAAGACAAGAAATAACTAAGATCAGAACAGAACCGAAGGAGATAGAGACACAAAAAACCCTTCAAAAAATCAATGAATCCAGGAGCTGGATTTTTGAAAAGATCAACAAAATAGACCACTAGCAAGACTAATAAAGAAAAAAGAGAGAAGAATCAAATAGACAAAATAAAAAACGATATAGGGGATATCACCACTGATCCCACAGAAATACAAACTACCATCAAAGAATACTATAAACACCTCTATGCAAATAAACTAGAAAATCTAGAAGAATTGGATACATTCCTGGACACATACACCCTCCCAAGACTAAACCAGGAAGATGTCAATTCCCTGAATAGACCGATAACGTTCTGAAGTTGAGGTGATAATTAATAGTCTACCAACCAAAAAAAGTCCAGGACCAGAGGGATTTACACCCGAATTCTACCAGAGGTACAAAGAGGAGCTGGTACCATTCCTTCTGAAACTATTTCAAACAATAGAAAAATAGGGAATCCTCCCTAACTCATTTTATGAGGCCAGCATAATGCCGATACCAAAACCCGGCAGAGACAAAACAGAAAAAGAAAATTTCAGGCCAATATCCCTGATCAACATTGATGCAAAAATCCTCAATAAAATACTGGCAAACCAAATCCAGCAGCACATCAAAAAGCTTATCCACCACGATCAAGTTGGCTTCATCCCTGGGATGCAAGCCTGGTTCAACATATGCAATTCAATAAACGTAATCCATCACATAAACAGAACCAATGACAAAAACCACATGATTATCTCAATAGATGCAGAAAAGGCCTTTGACAAAATTCAACACCGCTTCGTGCTAAAATGAAGCTAGGAACCATCATTCTCAGTAAACTAACACAAGAAACAAAAACCAAACACCGCATGTTCTCACTCATAAGTGGGAGTTGAACAATTAGAACACATGGACCCAGGGAGGGGAACATCACACACCAGGGCCTGTTGGGGTTGGGGAGCTAGGGGAGGGATAGCATTAGGAGAAATACCTAATGATGGGTGCAGCAAAGCACTATGGCATATGTATACCAATGTAACAAAACTACATGGTCTGCACATGTACCCCAGAACTTAATATATATACATATACATATATATATGTATATACACACACACACACATATATACACACACTCATATATATATAATAAATATATAATAAATATATAATAAATAAATAAACAACAGGCTGGGCAGAGTGGCTCACACCAGTGCCTCATCCTCCCAGCAGTTTAGAAAGCTGAGGCTAGAGGATTGCTTGAGCCCAGGAGTTCGAGACCAGCCTGGGCAACATAACAAGACTTTGTCTCTACAAAACAAATAATCATAATAAATAAAAATTAAAAACTAAATTTTGAAAATATATATTGACATTGCGTTAAATGTCCTCATTTAAGTAATTTGTTAATTTTAATAGTTTATAGATTATTTTGGATTTTCTATATATGCAATCATTTTGTGCATGAATTATGATTTTCTTCCCTTTCCAATTCATATACCTTTCATTTCTTTTTCTTCTCTTATTGCACAGTTTAACATCTCCAGTACGGTGATGAATAAAAGTGATGACAGTGGCCATTCTTTCCTTATTACTGATCTTAACTGGAAAGTTCCCAATATTTCAACATTAACTATGATAAGTGTTTTTATATTGCTTATCATATTAAGGAAGCTCTCTTTTATTCCTGGTTTGCTAAGAATTTTAAATCATAATGGAGATTGAGTTTTATCACATACCTTTTCTGCATTTGTTGAGATGATTATATTGTTTTTTCCTCTATTATGCTAATGTAGCAAATTACATTGATTGATTTTCAAGTGTTAATCCAATCTTGCCTTTATACAAAAACTCAGCTTGATCATCATATATTATCTATGATGTATATCATAGATTTTATTTGCTCTTATTTTGTTTGAAATTTTTGTATCTATAGTCATAAGAGAGATTGGCCTGCAATTTTATTTTCTTCCCTTCCCAATTCATATATCTTGCATTTCTTTTTCTTCTCTTATTGCACAGTTTAACATCACCATAATAAATGCCTTATGGTGATGAATAAAAGTGACGACAGTGGCCATTCTTTCCTTATTACTGATCTTAACTGGAAAGCTCTCAATATTATCATATCTATGCTGGGATCATAAAACAAGGTAGGTGGTGTGATGGTTCCTTTAATGTGTCAATCTGGCTAGTCCGTGGTACCCATATAGTTGGTCAAATACCTGTCTGGATATTGCTGTGAAGTTGTATTGTATTGTATTTTTTTATTTTAATTTTTTTTTGAGACGGAGTCTCATTCTCAACCAGGCTGCAGTGCAGTGGTGTGATCTTGGCTCGCTGCAACTCTGCCTCCCAGATTCAAATGATTCTCCTACCTCAGCCTCCAGAGTAGGTGGGACTACAAGTGTGTGCCACCACGCCTGGCTAATTTTTGTATTTTTGGTAGAAACGAGGTTTTGCCATGTTGGCCAGGCTGGTCTCGAACTCCTGACCTCAAGTGATCCACCTGCGTCGGCCTCCCAAAGTGCTAGGATTACAGGCGTGAGCCACTGTGCCTGGCTGTGAAGTTAAATTTTAGATGAGCTTATAATTTAAATCAGTAGACATTGAGTAAAGGAGATTCTCCATAATGTGGCTGGACTTCATTCAATCAATTGAAGGCCTTAAGAGAAAATAAACAGAGGTCCTCCAAGGAAGAGTGAGTTCTGCCTCCAGACTACATCAACTTTCTTTCTGTAGCCTAATTGCTCTGGCTAGGATTTCCAGTACTATGTCAAAAAGATATTGGGGTGGGCATGCTTGAGTTGTTCACGATCTTAGAGGACAAACTTTCAACTTTTATCCTTGAGTATGTTAGCTGTGGGCTTGTCATATGTGAGCTTTGTTATGTTGAAGTAATTCCTTCTATACCTAATTTGTTGAGAGCTTTTATCATGGAAGAATGCAAAATTTTGTCAAATGATTTTTCTGCACCTATTGAGATGATATGTGGTTTCTGTCCTTCATTTTGTTAATGTGGTGTATTACATTGATTGATTGGTATATGTTAAATCATCTTTTCAACCTTGGGATAAATCCCACTCAGTCATGATGAATGATCTTTTCAATGCTGTTTCATAAATCCTGTAAGCTTTCTTCATTTCTTATCATTTAAAGAGATTATTTCTCTTATGACTGTATATTTTCAAATAACTTGTCTTCAAGTTCACAGATTTATTCTTTTCCTTAATCAATTCCTGTGTTAATGCTCACCATTGCATTTTTCATTTCACTCATTGTATTTTTCCAGCTCCAGAATCTGTTTTTTTTTTTTAAATAATTTCATTCTCTTTGTTAAATTTATTGTTTTGGTTGTTTAGTGTTTTCCTGAATTTGTTGAATTGTTTCTTTGTAATTTCTTGAAATACTGAGCTTCCTTAAAACAATTATTTTGAGTTCTTTGTTAGGCAGTTCATAAACTCCTATTTCTTTAGGTTCAGTTACTAGTGCTTTTTCTTGGTGGCAAGATTGTTCTTGATCCCTATGACCATGTGTTGGTGTCTGTGCATTTAAAGAAACAGGGAGTCATTCCAGTCTTTGGAGACTTGCTTTGTCTGGTAGAGCTCTTCACTAGTCTGCCTGTTCAGAGATTCTAAGCAGACTTGCTGCTGGAGTCATTAGGCAGGCTGGCCTGTGTGAACCCATGGGGTTGGATCTGGAGCCTGGATCCACTGGCTTGGACCTGTTGATTGTGTCCTTTGTGGTGGGCATGAAACCTGTATCCATGCAGCCTGAAGCTTGGGTTCATAGAGGCTCACCTCATGCTCTGGCAGTTCTGGAGCCTGCTTCTGCAGAGATGAGCCTAAGTCCTGGGTCCACTGGGGCTGGTCTTCAGGAGTGGTCTTGGATTATTAGTCTGATGGGACCAAACTGGCACCAGGGTCTACTGGGGTATAGTCACAGGGCCTGGCATTGGCAGGTCTGGAGCCTGTGTCTCCCAGTGTCAGCCTACTGTCTGAGGCCAGGGGTGCTGACTTGGTCTTGGGGCAGGCCTGAAGCCTTGGGCTATGTGGGCCAATCTGGTTCTGGGCTGCCCTGGATCCTGAAGCACAGAAAGTTTGGCTTGATGGCTAAGACTGCAGGGGCTGGCCTGATGGCTGGGGTGGGCCTGAAGCCTGGAACTGTGGGGGCCAGCCCAGTGCTGGGGGTAGCCTGGGACACAGGGCCATTCGGGCTGGCATGGCCCTAGGGAAGGAATGGAGACTGAGTCTGTGGGGGCTGGCCTTGCGCTGGGCCAGCCCCAAAGCCCAGGGCTTCTGAGGCTGAACTAGAGCTGGGGCTGGTCTAAAGTCTAGGGCTACTGTGTTTGGCCTGGTGGTGGGGCAGCCTAAAGACCAAATCTGTCAGGCAAGCCTGGAGATGGGCTGTGGGTGACTGCCTGGTGCTGAGTTTTACTAGAGAAGGCCCCGTGTTGAGGCCCAAATGAAGAGTATCTGTCTCCATGCTGTGCTACCTGGGGGTTAGGAAACAGGTGGCATGAATAATTGAAAACTATCCTTCCTACCCACTTTAGCGCATTTTTTATTTCAGTGCTTCACCAAGGTGCTATAATCTCTCACTTGGTTTCGTTATTGCTTGTGAAAGTATTTTCACATTTGGATAGTTGGATAGAAAAAGCTTATTCTGCCATCCTGATGACATTTATTAGGGTGTCTTTTTAAAAATATTATTACTGATTCAATCTCTTTTTTTGTTACAGGCCTATTTTCTATAGAAAGTAGATTTTCCTTTTTGTTGTTATTTATTTACTTATTTATTTATTTTAGCTTTGCTGCTTAAGAAGAAAACATATTTAAAAAAATAACTTTGGATTGGGAGGAGTCTTTACAGGCAAAACACAAAATTCAGAAGCTAAAAAGAAAATGTTGCTGGGCGCGGTGGCTCACGCCTGTAATCCCAGCACTTTGGAGGCCGAGGTGGGTGGATCACGAGGTCAGGAGTTTGAGACAAGCCTGGCCAATATGGTGAAACCCCGTCTTTACTAAAAAATACAAAAATTAGCCCGGCATCGTGGCGCATGCCTGTAGTCTCAGCTACTCGGGAGGCTGAGGCCAGAGAATCGCTGGAACCCGGGAGACGGAGCTTGCAGTGAGCCGGGATCGTGCCACTGTACTCCAGCCTGGGCGACAGAACGAGATTCTATCTCAAAAAAGAAAAAAAAAAAGAAAAGAAAAAAGAAAAAAGAAAATGTTATTAGGCTGCATAGTTAGCAAAAAATTCTATATAAAACTTGTTTTTCAAGTTTTAATTTAGATTTTGGGGTACATGTGCAGGTTTGTTATAATGGTATATTGTGTGATGCTCAAGTTTGGGATATGATTGAACCTGTCACCCAAGTAGTGAGTATAGTACCCAATAGATAGTTTTTCAACCCTTCCCCTCTCCCTACTTCTCCCCTCTTTTAGTTTGTGGAGTTTATTGTTCCCATCTTTATGTCTATGTGTATCCAAAGATTAGCTACCACTTATAAGTAAAAACATGTGGTATTTGGTTTTCTGGTTCTGTGTTAGTTTGCTTAGGATAATGGCCTCTAGCTGCAACCATGTTACTGCAAAGAATATTATTTCATTCTTTTTCATGGCTGTGTAGTATTCTATGGTGTATACATGCCACATTTTATTTATCCAATTCACTGTTGATGGGCACCTGGGTTGATTCCATGTCTTTGCTGTTGTGAATAGTGCTGTGATGAACATATGAATGCATGTGTCTTTTTGGTAGGATTATTTATTTTCTTTTGGGTATTTACCCAAAAGATTGGGATTGCTGGGTTGAATGGTAGTTCTATCTTCAGTTCTTTGTGAAATCTCCAAACTGCTTTCTAGAATGGCTGAACTAATTTACAATCCCATCAACAGCATATAAGCACTCTCTTTTCTCCACAGCCCTGCCAACATCTGTTATTTTTTTACTTTTTAATGATAGCCATTCTGACTGGTGGGTGTGAGATGGTATCTCATTGTAGTTTTAATTTGCATTTCTTTGATGATTAGTGATGATGAGCATTTTTCATGTTTACTGGCTACTTGCATGTCTTCTTTTGAGAAGTGTCTGTTCATGTCCTTTGTCCACTTCTTAAATATTTTCTTTTTTTGCTTAATGATTTAAATTCCTTATAGATTCTGGATATTAGACCTTTGTCAGAAGCATAGTTTGCAAATATTTTCTCCCAATCTGAAGATTGTCTGTTTATTCTGTTGACAGTTTTTCTCGCTGTACAGAAGCTCCTTAGTTTAATTAGGTCCTCCTTGTCAATTTTTGTTTTTGGTGTAATTGCTTTTGAGGATTTAGCCATGAATTCTTTGCCAAGGTTGATGTCAAGAAGGGCATTTCTTAGATTTTCTCCTAGGATTTTTATAGTTGGAGGCCTTAGATTTAAGTCTGTAATTCATCTTGAGTTAATTTTTTATATGGCGATAGGTAGTGATCAAATTTCATTCTTCTGCATATGGCTAGCTATCTCAACATTATTTATTGAAAAGGGAGTCCTTTCTCCATTGCTTACTTTTGTTGACTTTGTCAAAGATCAGATGGCTGTAGGTGTGCAGCTTTGTTTCTGGGTTCTCTATTCTGTCCCATTAGTCTATGTGTCTATTTGTGTACCAATACCATGCTGTTTGCTTACTGTAGCATCGTAGTATAGTTTGAAGTTAGGTAATGTGATACCTCTGGCTTTATTCTTTTTGCTTAGAATTGCTTTTGGCTATTTGGGCTCTTTTCTGGTTTTATATGAAATTTAGAATAGTTTTTTTTTTAATTCTGTGATAAAATGACATAGTTTCATAGGAATACCATTGAATTTATAGATTGTTTTAGGCAGTATGACCATTTTAACGATATTGATTGTTTCAATTCATGAGTGTGGAATGTTTCCTCATTCGTTTGTGTCATTTCTGATTTCCTTTGATAGTCTTTTGTGGTTCTCCTTGTAGAGATCTTCCATCTCCTTGATTAGATGTATCCCTAGGTATTTTATTTTTTGTGGCTATTGAAAATTGTAACACATTCTTGCTTTGATTCTTAGCTCGAATGTTGTTGTATAGAAATGTTACTGATTTTTTTTGTGTTTTTTTAAAAATATAGTTTCTTATCATGTCCTTTTATTTATTTATGTATTTATTTTTATTTTTATTATACTTTAAGTTTTAGGGTACATGTGCACAATGTGCAGGTTTGTTACATATGTATACATGTGCCATGTTGGTGTGCTGCACCCATTAACTCGTCATTTAACATTAGGTATATCTCCTGATGCTATCCTTCCCCCCTCCCCCCTCCCCACAACAGGCCCTGGTTTGTGATATTCCCCTTCCTGTGTCCATGTGTTCTCATTGTTCAATTCCCACCTATGAGTGAGAACATACGGTGTTTGGTTTTTTGTTCTTGCGATAGTTTGCTGAGAATGATGGTTTCCAGCTTCATCCATGTCCCCACAAAGGACATGAACTCATCCTTTTTTATGGCTGCATAGTATTCCATGGTGTATATGTGCCACATTTTCTTAATCCAGTCTATCATTGTTGGACATTTGGCTTGGTTCCAAGTCTTTGCTATTGTGAATAGTGCCACAGTAAACACACGTGTGCATGTATCTTTATAGCAGCATGATTTATAATCCTTTGGGTATATACCCAGTAATGGGATGGCTGGGTCAAATGGTATTTCATACATTGATTTTGTATGCTGAAACTTTACTGAAGTCATTTTTTCAGTTCTAGGAGTTTTTTTGGCAGAGTCTTTAGAGTGTTCTAGCTATAGAATCATATCATTAGTGAAGAGTTTCACTTCTTTTTTTTCCTATTTGGATGTCTTCTATTTCTTTTCCTTGCCTGATTGTTCTTCTAGAACTTCTAGTACTATGTTAAATAAGAATGGTGAGAGTGGACATCCTTGTCTTGTTCGAGTTCTCAAGGTGAGTGCTTTCAACTTTTGCCCATTCAATGTGATGTTGGCTGTGGGTTTGTCATAAATGGCCTTTATTATTTTGAGGTATGTTCCTTTGATGCCTAGTTTGTTGAGGGCTTCTATCATAAAATGATGTTGGATTTTACTAAAAGCTTTTCCCACATCTATTGAGATGATCATATGGTTTTTGTTTTTAATTCTCTTTATGTGGTGAATCACATTTATTGATTTGTGTATGTTGAACAAACCTTATACCCCAGGAATTGAGCCTACTTGATCCTGGTTAATTTTCTTTTTGATGTGTTGCTAGATTCAGTTTGCTAGTATTTTGCTGAGGATTTTTTCATCTATGTTCATCAGGGATATTAGCCTGTCATTTTCTTTTTTCATTCTGTCTTTGCCAGCTTTGGTACCAGGATGATACTGGCTTTGTAGAATGAGTTATGGAGGAGTCCCTCCTCCTTAATTTTCAGGAATAGTTTTAGTAGGATTGGTACTAGTTCCTCCTTGTACATCTGATAGAATATGGCTGTGAATCCATCTGGTCCAGGACTTTTTTGGCAGTAGTTTTTTTTTTTAATGACTGATTCAATTTCAGAACTCATTATTGATATGTTCAGGGTTTCAATTTCTTCCTGGTTCAAACTTGATGGGTTGTGTTTCCAGTAGTGTATCCATTCCCTCTGGATTTTCTAGTTCGTGTGCATAGAGGTTTTCATAATAGTCTCTGAGGATGTTTTGTTTTTTTTTTGGTGGGATTGGTTGTAATGTCATTTCTGATTGTGCTTATTTAGTTCTTCTCTTTTTTCTCTGTTAATGTAGCTAGGAGTCTATCAATCTTGTTTATCCTTTCAAAAAACTTTTGATTTCATTGATATTTTGTATGGATTTTTGGATCTCAATTTCATTCAGTTCTGCTCGGATTTTAGTTATTCTTTTCTTCTGCTAGCTCTGGGGTTGATTTGTTCTTGTTCTTCTAGTTCCTCTAGGAGGGATGTTAGAATATTAATTTGATATTGTTTCTGGCTTTTTGATGTAGATATTTAGTGTTATAAACTTTTCTCTTAACATGGCTTTTGCTATATTCCCAAGATTTTGGTATGTTTTGTCTCTGTTTTTATTAATTTTAAATAAACTTTAGATTTCTGCCTTAATTTTCTTGTTTACCCAAAAATCATTCAGGAGCAAGTTGTTTACTTTCCATGTAATTGTGTGGTTTTGAGAGATCTTCTAGTATTGATTTCTATTTTTATTTCAATGTGTTCTGAGAGCACAGTTGATATGATTTTTATTTTTTTTGAATTTGTTAACACTTGCTTTATGGTGGAGCAGGTGGTCCATCTTAGAGTATGTTCTGTATGCAGATGAGAAGAATGTATATCTGATGATTGTTGGGTGGAGTATTCTGTGAATGTCTATCAAATATACTTGGTCAAGTGTCAAATTTCAGTCCAGGATTTCATTGTTAGTTTTCTGTCTTGATCTGCCTAACACTGCCAGTGGAGTATTGAAGTCTCCCCCATTATTGAGTGACAGCCTGTCTTTTTGTTAGTCTAGAATTACTTGTTTTATGAATCTGGGCGTGTCAGTGTTGGATGCGCATATATTTAGGATAGTTAAGTCTTCTTGTTGAATTGAACCCTTTATCATTATATAATGCCGTTTTTGGTCCTTTTTGACTGCTGTTGATTTAATGTCTGTTTCATCTAACTTTATTATTGTTTTATATAGTAAAAAATTGTTTACATCTGCATAAATATTTACCTTTCCTTTGCACTTTTCTTCCTATTTTCTAGGAAGATAAATTTTTATTCTGCCTGAAGAACAACATTTAGTATTTCTTCTCTCATGAGTTTGCTAGTGATAATTTTTTGTTTTTGTTTTTTACCTTAGAATGTCTTTATTTTATATTCACTGTTGATATTGCCTATGAGCATATAAATCTAAGTTGGCAGTAATTTTCTTTCACCTCTTTAAAGATATCCTTCCATTGTATGGATTCCATTTTCTCTTGTTTGAGTAGTCATCTCTCAAAGAAGAGAAGTCCAATTGTTGCTCTTTGGAAGTTAATCTGAGGATTTTGTTTTATGGCTGATTTTTTTTAAATTTTATTTTATTATTATTATACTTTAAGTTTTAGGGAACATGTGCCCAATGTGCAGGTTAGTTACATATGTATACATGTGCCATGCTGGTGTGCTGCACCCATTAACTCGTCATTTAGCATCAGGTATATCTCATAAAGCTATCCCTCCCCCCTCCCCTAACCCCACAACAGTTCCAAGAGTGTGATGTTCCCCTTCCTGTGTCCATGTGTTCTCATTGTTCAATTCCCACCTATGAGTGAGAACATGCGGTGTTTGGTTTTTTGTTCTTGCGATAGTTTACTGAGAATGATGATTTCCAATTTCATCCATGTCCCTACAAAGGACATGAACTCATCATTTTTTGTGGCTGCATAGTATTCCATGGTGTATATGTGCCACATTTTCTTAATCTAGTCTATCATTGTTGGACATTTGGGTTGGTTCCAAGTCTTTGCTATTGTGAATAGTGCCGTGATAAACATACGTGTGCATGTGTCTTTATGGCAGCATGATTTATAGTCCTTTGGGTATATACCCAGTAATGGAATGGCTGGGTCAAATGGTATTTCTAGTTCTAGATCCCTGAGGAATCGCCACACTGACTTCCACAATGGTTGAACTAGTTTACAGTCCCACCAACAGTGTAAAAGTGTTCCTATTTCTCCACATCCTCTCCAGCACCTGTTGTTTCCTGACTTTTTAATGATTGCCATTCTAACTGGTGTGAGATGGTATCTCATTGTGGTTTTGATTTACATTTCTCTGATGGCCAGTGATGATGAGCATTTTTTCATGTGTTTTTTGGCTGCATAAATGTCTTCTTTTGTGAAGTGTCCGTTCATGTCCTTTGCCCACTTTTTGATGGGGTTGTTTGTTTTTTTCTTGTACATTTGTTTGAGTTCATTGTAGATTCTGGATATTAGCCCTCTGTCAGATGAGTACGTTGTGAAAATGTTCTCCCATTTTGTAGGTTGCCTGTTCACTCTCATGGTAGTTTCTTTTGCTGTGCAGAAGCTCTTTAGTTTAATTAGATCCCATTTGTCAATTTTGGCTTTTGTTGCCATTGCTTTTGGTGTTTTAGACATGAAGTCCTTGCCCATGCCTATGTCCTGAATGGTAATGCCTAGGTTTTCTTCTGGGGTTTTTGTGGTTTTAGGTCTAACGTTTAAGTCTTTAATCCATCTTGAATTAATTTTTGTACAAGGTGTAAGGAAGGGATCCAGTTTCACTTTCTACATATGGCTAGCCAGTTTTCCCAGCACCATTTATTAAATAGGGAATCCTTTCCTCATTGCTTGTTTTTCTCAGGTTTGTCAAAGATCAGATAGTTGTAGATATGCAGCGTTATTTCTCAGGGCTCTGTTCTGTTCCATTGATCTATATCTCTGTTTTGGTACCAGTACCATGCTGTTTTCGTTACTGTAGCCTTGTAGTATAGTTTGAAGTCAGGTAGTGTGATGCCTCCAGCTTTGTTCTTTTGGCTTAGGATTGACTTGGTAATGCAGGCTCTTTTTTGGTTCCATATGAACTTTAAAGTAGTTTTTTCCAATTCTGTGAAGAAAGTCATTGGTAGCTTGATGGGGATGGCATTGAATCTATAAATTACCTTGGGCAGTATGGCCATTTTCACAATATTGATTCTTCCTACCCATGAGCATGGAATGTTCTTCCATTTGTTTGTATCCTCTTTTATTTCCTTGAGCAGTGGTTTGTAGTTCTCCTTGAAGAGGTCCTTCACATCCCTTGTAAGTTGGATTCCTAGGTATTTTATTCTCTTTGAAGCAATTGTGAATGGGAGTTCACTCATGATTTGGCTCTCTGTCTGTTATTGGTGTATAAGAATGCTTGTGATTTTTGCACATTGATTTTGTATCCTGAGACTGCTGAAGTTGCTTCTCAGCTTAAGGAGATTTTGGGCTGAGACAATGGGGTTTTCTAGATATACAATCATGTCATCTGCAAACAGGGACAATTTGACTTCCTCTTTTCCCAATTGAATACCCTTTATTTCCTTCTCCTGCCTGATTGCCCTGGCCAGATCTTCCAACACTATGTTGAATAGGAGTGGTTAGAGAGGGCATCCCTGTCCTGTGTCAGTTTTCAAAGGGAATGCTTCCAGTTTTTGCCCATTCAGTATGATATTGACTGTGGGTTTGTCATAGATAGCTCTTATTATTTTGAGATATGTCCCATCAATACCTAATTTATTGAGAGTTTTTAGCATGAAGCGTTGTTGAATTTTGTCAAAGGACTTTTCTGCATCTATTGAGATAATCATGTGGTTTTTGTCTTTGGTTCTGTTTATATGCTGGATTACATTTATTGATTTGTGTATATTGAACCAGCCTTGCATCCCAGGGGTGAAGCCCACTTGATCATCGTGGATAAGCTTTTTGATGTGCTGCTGGATTCAGTTTGCCAGTATTTTACTGAGGATTTTTGCATCAATGTTCATCAAGGATATTGGTCTAAAATTCTCTTTTTTGGTTGTGTCTCTGCCAGGCTTTGGTATCAGGATGATGCTGTCCTCATAAAATGAGCTAGGGAGGATTCCCTCTTTTTCTATTGATTGAAATAGTTTCAGAAGGAATGGTACTAGTTCCTCCTTCTACCTCTGGTAGAATTCGGCTGTGAATCCATCTGGTCCAGGACCTTTTTTGGTTAGTAAGCTATTGATTATTGCCACAATTTCAGCTCCTGTTATTGGTCTATTCAGAGATTCAACTTCTTCCTGGTTTAGTCTTGGGAGGGTGTATGTGTTGAGGAATTTATCCATTTCTTCTAGATTTTCTAGTTTATTTGCGTAGAGGTGTTTGTAGTATTCTCTGATGGTAGTTTGTATTTCTGTGGGATCGGTGGTGATATCCCCTTTATCATTTTTTATTGCATCTATTTGATTCTTCTCTCTTTTCTTCTTTATTAGTCTTGCTAGCGGTCTATCAATTTTGTTGATCCTTTCAAAAAACCAGCTCCTGGATTCATTAATTTTTTGAAGGGTTTTTTTCTGTCTCTGTTTCCTTCAGTTCTGCTCTGATTTTAGTTATTTCTTGCCTTCTGCTAGCTTTTGAATGTGTTTGCTCTTGCTTTTCTAGTTCTTTTAATTGTGATGTTAGGGTGTCAATTTTGGATCTTTCCTGCTTTCTCTTGTGGGCATTTAGTGCTATAAATTTCCCTGTACACACTGCTTTGAATGTGTCCCAGAGATTCTGGTATGTTGTGTCTTTGTTCTCGTTGGTTTCAGAGAACATCTTTATTTCTGCCTTCATTTCGTTATGTACCCAGTAGTCATTCAGGAGCAGGTTGTTCAGTTTCCATGTAGTTGAGCGGTTTTGAGTGAGTTTCTTAATCCTGAGTTCTAGTTTGATTGCACTGTGGTCTGAGAGACAGTTTGTTATAATCTCTGTTCTTTTACATTTGCTGAGGAGAGCTTTGCTTCCAACTATGTGGTCAATTTTGGAATATGTGTGGTGTGGTGCTGAAAAGAATGTATATCCTGTTGATTTGGGGTGGAGAGTTCTGTAGATGTCTATTAGGTCCACTTGGTGCAGAACTGAGTTCAATTCCTGGGTATCCTTGTTAACTTTCTGTCTCGTTGATCTGTCTAATGTTGACAGTAGGCTGTTAAATTCTCCCATTATTATTGTGTGTGAGTCTAAGTCTCTTTGTAGGTCTCTAAGGACTTGCTTTATGAATCTGGGTGCTCCTGTGATGGGTGCTTATATATTCAGGATAGTTAGCTCTTCTTGTTGAATTGATCCCTTTACCATTATGTAATGGCCTTCTTTGTCTCTTTTGATCTTTGTTGGTTTAAAGTCTGTTTTATCAGAGACTAGGATTGCAACCCCTGCCTTTTTTTGTTTCCCATTTGCTTGGTAGATCTTCCTGCATCCTTTTATTTTGAGCCTATGTGTGTCTCTGCCCATGAGATGGGTTTCCTGAATACAGCACAGTGATGGGTCTTGACTCTTTATCCAATTTGCCAGTCTGTGTCTTTTAATTGGAGCATTTAGTCCATTTACATTTAAAGTTAATATTGTTATGTGTGAATTTGATCCTGTCATTATGATGTTAGCTGATTATTTTGCTCGTTAGTTGATGCAGTTTCTTCCTAGCCTTGATGGTCTTTACAATTTGGCATGATTTTGCAGTGGCTGTTACCAGTTGTTCCTTTCCATGTTTAGCGCTTCCTTCAGGAGCTCTTTTAGGTCAGGCCTGGTGGTGACAAAATCTCTCAGCATTTGCTTGTCTGTAAAGTATTTTATTTCTCCTTCACTTTTGAAGCTTAGTTCGGCTGGATATGACATTCTGGGTTGAAAATTCTTTTCTTTAAGAATGTTGAATATTGGCCTCCACTCTCTTCTGGCTTGTAGAGTTTCTGCTGAGAGATCTGCTGTTAGTCTGATGGGCTTCCCTTTGTGGGTAACCCGACCTTTCTCTCTGGCTGCCCTTAATATTTTTTCCTTCATTTCAACTTTGGTGAATCTGACAATTGTGTGTCTTGGAGTTGCTCTTCTCGAGGAGTATCTTTGTGGCGTTCTCTGTATTTCCTGAATCTGAATGTTGGCCCACCTTGCTAGATTGGGGAAGTTCTCCTGGATAGTATCCTGCAGAATGTTTTCCAACTTGGTTCCATTCTCCCCATCACTTTCAGGTACACCAATCAGACGTAGATTTGGTCTTTTCACATAGTCCCATATTTCTTGGAGGCTTTGTTCATTTCTTTTTATTTTTTTTTCTCTAAACTTCCCTTCTCACTTCATTTCATTCATTTCATCCTCCATCACTGATACCCTTTCTTCCAGTTGATCGCATCGGCTCCTGAGGCTTCTGCATTCTTCACGTAGTTCTTGAGCCTTGGCTTTCAGCTCCATCAGCTCCTTTAAGCACTGCTCTGTATTGGTTATTCTAGTTATACATTCGTCTAAATTTTTTTTCAAAGTTTTCAACTTCTTTGCCTTTGGTTTGAATTTCCTCCTATAGCTCGGAGTAGTTTGATCGTCTGAAGCCTTCTTCTCTCAACTCATCAAAGTCATTCTCTGTCCAGCTTTGTTCCATTGCTGGTGAGGAGCTGCGTTCCTTTGGAGGAGGAGAGGCGCTCTGCTTTTTAGAGTTTCCAGTTTTTCTGCTCTGTTTTTTCCCCATCTTTGTGGTTTTATCTACTTTTGGTCTTTGATGATGGTGATGTACAGATGGGTTTTTGGTGTGGATGTCCTTTCTGTTTGTTAGTTTTCCTTCTAACAGACAGGACTCTGAGCTTCAGGTCTGTTGGAGTTTGCTTGAGGTCCACTCCAGACCCTGTTTGCCTGGGTACCAGCAGCGGTGGCTGCAGAACAGTGGATTTTCGTGGACCGCAAATGCTGCTGTCTGATCTTTCCTCTGGAAGTTTTGTCTCAGAGGAGTACCCGGCTGTGTGAGGTGTCAGTCTGGCCCTACTGGGGGATGCCTCCCAGTTAGGCTGCTCGGGGGTCACGGGTCAGGAACCCACTTGAGGAGGCAGTCTGCCCGTTCTCAGATCTCCGGCTGCATGCTTGGAGAACCACTGCTCTCTTCACAGCTGTCAGACAGGGACATTTAAGTCTGCAGAGGTTACCGCTGTCTTTTTGTTTGTCTGTGCCCTGCCCCCAGAGGTGGAGCCTACAGAGGCAGGCAGGCCTCCTTGAGCTGTGGTGGGTTCCACCCAGTTCGAGCTTCTTGGCTGCTTTGTTTACCTAAGGAAGTCTGGGCAATGGTGGGCGCCCCTCCCCCAGCCTTGCTGCCGCCTTGCAGTTTGATCTCAGACTGCTCTGCTAGCAATCAGCGAGACTCCGTGGGCGTAGGACCCTCCGAGCCAGGTGCGGGATATAATCTCCTGGTGTGCCATTTTTAAAGCCCATTGGAAAAGTGCAGTATTGGGGTGGGAGTGACCCGATTTTCCAGGTGCCATCTGTCACCCCTTTCTTTGACTAGGAAAGGGAACTCCCTGACCCCTTGCGCTTCCTGAGTGAGACAATGCCTCGCCCTGCTTCGGCTCACGCATGGTGCACTGCACCCACTGTCCTGCACCCACTGTCTGGCACTCCCTAGTGAGATGAACCCGGTACCTCAGATGGAAATGCAGAAATCACCCGTCTTCTGCGTTGCTCACGCTGGGAGCTGTAGACCAGAGCTGTTCCTATTCGGCCATCTTGACTCCATCCTCGTGCCTATTTTTAAAGCCTGTAGATTTTTATCCAACAGGCCATTCTTTTTCTATGGCTGATTTTAACATATACTCTTTGTTTTTGTTTTTTAGCAGCTTTTCTATAATGTGCATAAGTGTGATTTAAAAAATGTATCTTGGTTGACGTTTGAAGGGTTTCTTCAATCTGTGACTTTATGTTTTAGACAGTTGATGAAGTTCTCAGCCATTATTTCTTTAGGTATTACATCTGCCTGATTCAACAACAGAATCTCAAGTCTTCCTGAAGTTCAACAACACATATTTGTTAAACCTTCTCTCTGTATTCTCTTACTCTTAAATTTTCATCCTTTTGTAATTCTATGATTCATTCTGGGTGGTTTCTTCTAATCTACCTTTCCGTTCGATACTTTTCTCTTCATCTATGTATACTCTGCTGTTAAATCCATTCATCCATTCATTTAGTTATTAATTTAGATTATTCTATTTTTTCAGTTCTAGCATTTTCATTTTATGTTTTTTATAGTTTTCTTTATCTGCAGAAATTCTTGATATTGTGTTTTATTTCCTTAGGCAGAGTAAGTATATTTATTTTAACTCTATGTTGGATAAGTCTAATATCTGAGGCCCCAGTGGTTCTTTTTCTATGGTCTGTCATTTCTGATGACTTTTGTTAATTTTGTCTTATCTTCTTCTGCACTTGGTGTGTGCTAGATATTGTATTTTGCAAAACTTCAGAAATAATTTGAGGCTGATATTATCTCTCTCTAAAGAGGATTTGTATTTGTGTCTGCTAGGCATGTAGGAGCATTAGCACTTTGGAAGTAAGTTCCATGATTGAAATTATTCAAAGTTGAACTGAAGTACTTGTGAGAGTCTGTCTACCTTTGGTTCACCCTGACTCTGAGGTGCAGCTCTTTCAGTGTCACAACCCAGGGACATTCAAGTTCACCAGGCACACTTCTTGGCAAGATTTCAATTCCAATCTCTGCTTCCCTAGCCTCTAGAGGCTATCTAAACTTCTGCATAGCCTCTCAACACTCCTCTTAACAACTGCATATGCTCTACTGGGAAAGGTGGCCCTGACATTAGGCTCAACTTGCCCCACTCACTCCTATTCTGAACCAGTTATTCTTCACTATCTTGTTAGTCCTCCAATGCCTTCAGAAAACCTTTAAAAAATATGCTTTGTCTAGTTTCCCTAGAAGATCAGGAGGATTGGTTTCATTACCTTTCTTTTTGTAACTTTTATTTTAAGTTTAGGTGTGCAAGTGCAGATTGTTACATAGGTAAACTTGTGTTATGGGGGTTTGTTGTATAGATTATTTCATCACCCAGGCATTAATCCCAAAACCAGTTAGTTATTTTTCCTGATCCTCTCCTTCCTCTGACCTTCCACCCTCAGAATGTCCCCAGTATGTTGTTCCCCCATGTGTCCATAGGTTCTCATAATTTAGCTCCACTTATAAGTGAGAACATGCGGTATTTGGTTATACCACATTTTCTTTATTCAGTCTACCATTGATGGGTGTTTAGATTGACTCCATGTCTTTGCTATCGTGAATAGTGCTGCAAGAAATTATTGCATGCATGTGTCTTTATAATATAATGATTTCTATTCCTTTGGGTATATACACAATAACAGAATTGGTGGTATTTCTATCTTCAGGTCTTTGAGAAATCACCACACTGTTTTCCACAGTGGCTGAACTAATTTACACACCCACCAACAGTGTATAAGTGTTCGTTTTTCTCCACAACATTGCTAGTATCTGTTATTTTTTGACTTTTTAATAATAGCCATTCTGACTGGTGTGAGATGGCATCTCGTTGTGGTTTTAATTTGCATTTCTCTAATGATCAGTGATGTTGAGGTTTTTTTCATATGCTTGTTGTCTTCATGTATGTCTTCTTTTAAGAAGTGTCTGTACATGTCCTTTGCCCACTTTTTACAGGGTTATTTTGTTGTTGTTGTTGTTGTTGTAAATTTAAGTTCCTTGTAGTCTCTGTTTATTAGAACTTTGTCGGATTGATAGATTGCAAAAATTTTCTCCCATTCTGTAGGTTGTCTGTTTACTCTCTTGATAGTTTCTTTTCCTGTGCAGAAGCTCTTTAGTTTAATTAGATCCCATTTGTCAATTTTTGCTTTTGTTGTCATTGCTTTTGGCATCTTTATCATGAAATCTTTGCCCGTACCTATGTCCTGAATGGTATTGCCTAGGTTGTATTTCAGGGTTTTTAGTAGTTTTGAGTCTTACATTTAAGTCTTTAATGCATCTTGCATTAACTTTTGTATATGGTGTAAAGAAGGGATCCAGTTTCAGTCTTCTGCGTATGGCTAGCCAGTTATTCCAACATCACTTATCAGATAGGGAATCCTTTCTTCATTGCTTGTCAGGTTTGTCAAAGATCAGATGGTTGTAGGTGTGTGCTCTTATTTTTGGGTTCTCTATTCTGTTCCATTGGTCTATGTGTCTGTTTTTGTACCAGCACCATGCTGTTTTGGTTACTGTAGCCTTGTAGTATAGTTTGAAGTCAGGTAGCGTGATGACTGTAGCTTTGTTCTTTTTGCTCAGGATTGCCTTGACTCTTCAGGTTTTTGGTTCCATATGATTTTTAAAATAGTTTTCTCTAGTTCTGTGAAGAATATCAATGGTAGTTTAATAAGAATAGCATTGAATCTATAAATTGCTTGGGCAGTATGGCCATTTTAACAATATTGATTTTTCCTATTCATGAGCATGGAATGTTTTCCACTTGTTTGTGTCATCTCTGATTTCTTTGAGCAGTGGTTTGTAGTTCTCCATTCTCCTTGTAGAGATCTTTTACCTCCCTAGTTAGCTGTATTCCTGGGTATTTCATTCTTTTCATGGCAATTGTGAATGGGAGTTCATTCCTGATTTGGCTGTTGGCTTGACTGTTTTTGGTGTATACGAATGCTATTGATTTTTGCACATTGATTTTGTATCCTAAAATTTTGCTGAAGTTGTTTATCAGATCAAGGAGATTTTGGGCTGAAGCTATGGGGTTTTCTAGATATAGAATCATGTCATCTACAAACAGGGATAGTTTGACTTCCTCTCTTCCTATTTGCATGCCCTTTATTTCTTTCCCTTGCCTGGTTTCTCTGGCCAGGGCTTTCGATACTATGTTGAATAGCAGGGGCGAGAGAGGGCATCCTAGTCTTGTGCCACTTTTCAAGGGGAATGCTTCCAGCTTTTGTCCATAGATATTGGCTATAGGTTTGTCATAGATGGCTCTAATTATTTTGAGGTATGTTCCTTCAATACCTAGTTTATTGAGGGTTTTTAACTTGAATGGATGTTGGATTTTATTGAAAGGCTTTTCTGCCTGTATTGAGATAATCATTTGTTTCTTGTCCTTAGTTCTGTTTATGTGATGAATCACAGTTACTAATTTGTGTATACTGAACCCACATTACATCCCAGGAATAAAGCCTACTTGATTGTGGTGGATAGATTTTTGATGTGCTGCTGGATTCAGTTTGCCAGTATTTTGTTGAGGAGTTTTGCATCAATGTTTATCAAGGATATTGGCCTGAACATCCAAAAAGAAAAAAAATGCAAAAGGGTGTTTTTTGTGTGTGTGTGTGTCTGCCAGATTTCAGTATCAGGATGATGGTGGCCTCCCAGAATGAATTAGGGAGAAGTCTCTCTTCCTTAATTTTTTGGAATAGTTTTAGTAGGAATGGTACCAGCTCTTCTTTGTACATACTGTAGAATTCAGCTGTGAGTCTGTCTGGTCCTGGGCCTTTTTTGGTTGGTAGGCTCATTATTGGTCTGTTCAGGGATTCAGTTTCTTCCTGGTTCAGTCTTGGAAGGGTGTATGTGTCCAGAAATATTCCCATTTCTTCCATATTTTCTAGTTTTTGTGCACAGAGGTGTTCATAGTATTCTCTGATGATTGTTTATATTTCTGTGGGGTCAATGGTAATATCCTCTTTGTTGTTTCTGATTATGTTTATTTGAATATTCTCTCTTTTCTTCTTTATTAGTCTAGCTAGCAGTCTATGTATTTTTTTAAGTTTTTCAAAAAACCAGCTCCTGGATTTGTTGATCTTTTGAATTTTTTTTTGTGTGTGTGTCTCTATGTCCTTCAGTTCAGTTCTGATTTTAGTTATTTCTTGTCTTTTGCTAGGTTTGGGATTTGTTTGCTCTTGGTTCTCTAGTTCTTTTAGTTGTGATGTTAGGTTGTTAATTTGAGATCTTCCTATCTTTTTGATGTGGGCATTTAGTGCTATAAATTTCCTTCTTAACACTGCCTTAGCTGTGTCCCAGAGATTCTGGTACATTGTCTTTTTGTTCTCATTAGTGTCAAAGAACTTCTTGATTTCTACCTTAATTTCGTGATTTACCCAAAAGTCACTCAGGAGCAGGTTATTCAGTTTCCATGTAATTGTATAGTTCTGAGTGAATTTCTTAGGCTTGATTTCTAATTTGATTGTGCTGTGGTCCAAGAGGCTGTTTGTTATAATTTCAGTTCTTTTGCATTTGTTGAGGAGTGTTTTACTTACAACTATGTGATCAATCTTAGAGTAAGTGCCATGTGGTGATGAGAAAAATGTATATTCTATTGTTTCTGGGTAGAGAGTTCTATAGATATCTATCAGGTCCATTTGATCCAGTGCTGAGTTCAGGTCCTGAATATCTTTGTTAATTTTCTGTCCTGATGATCTAATATTGTCAATGGGGTGTTAGAGTCTCCCATTATTATTGTGTGGGAGTCTGTCTCTTTGAAGGTCTCTAAGAACTTGCTTTATGAATCTGAGTGCTCCTGTGTTGGGTGCATATATATTTACGATAGTTAGATCCTCTTGTTGACTTGAACCTTGTACCATTATGTATTGCCCTTCTTTGTTTTTTTTTCTTAACCTTTGTTGGTTTAAAATCTAGAAACTAGAATTGCAATCCCTGCCTTTTTCTGTTTTCCATTTGCTTAGTATATTTTCCTCTATTCCTTTATTTTGAGCTTATGAGTGTCATTACATGTGAGATGGGACTCTTGAAGACAGCATGCTGTTGGGTCTTGCTTTTTTATCCAGCTCGCCACTCTGTGAAGTGGGGCATTCAGCCCATTTCCCTTCAAGGTTACTAGTGATATGTGTGGATTTGATCCTGCCATTGTGCTATTATACGGTTATTTTGCAGACTTATTTATGTGGTTGCTTTATAGTGTCACTAGTCTGTGTGCTTCATTGTGTTTTTGTAGTTGCTGGTAATGGTCTTTCCTTTCCATATTTAGTGCTTCCTTCAGGAGCTCTTGTAAGGCAGGTCTGGTTGTAACAAATTCCCTCAGCATTTGCTTGTCTGAAAAGGATCTTATTTCTCCTTTGCTTATGAAGCTTAGTTTGGATGTATGTTAAATTTTGGGTTGGAATTTCTTTTCTTTAAGAATTCTAAATATTGGCCCCCAATCTCTTCTGGCTTGTAGGGTTTTGGCTGAGAGGTCTGCTGTTAATATGATGGGCTTCTCTTTGTAGGTGACCTGGCCTTTCTCACCAGCTGCCTTTAACATTTTTGTCTTTCATTTCAACCTTGGAGAATCAGATGATTATGTGTCTTGTGGATGATCTTCTCATGGAGTATCTTACTGGGGTTCTGTGCATTTCCTGAATTTGAACGTTGGCCTTTCTAGCTAGGTTGAGGATGTTCTCATGGATGATATCCTGAAATATCTTTTCCAAGTTGGTTCTATTCTCCCCACCTCTTTCAGGCAGGCCAATCAGTTGTAGATTCAGCCTCTTTACGTAATCCCATATTTCTCAGATGTTTTGTTCATTCTTTTTCATTCTTTTTTTTCCTCTATTCTTGTCTGCCTGTCTTATTTCTGCAAGGCAGTCTTCAAGCTCTGAGATTCTTTCCTCTGCTTGGTCTATTCTGCTATTAATACTTGTGATTGGATTATGAAATTCTTGTAGTGTGTTTTTCACCGCTATCAGGTTGGTTATGTTCTTTTCTATACTGCCTATTTTTTTTTTTCTGTCGGGTTCTGCAATTTTTTTTTGTTTGTTTTTTGATGGAGTTTCACTCTTGTTGCCCAGGCTGGAGGGCAATGGTGAAATCTCAGCTCACTGCAACCTCTGCCTCCCAGGTTCAAGAGATTCTCCTGCCTCAGCCTTCCAAGTAGCTGGGATTGCAGGCATGTGCCACCACACCCAGATAATTTTTGGTATTTAGTTGAGACAGGGTTTCACTATGTTGGTGAGGCTAGTCACGAACTCCTGACCTCACGTGAACCACCCGCCTCTGCCTCCCTAAGTGCTGGGATTACAGACGTGAGCAACAGTGCCTGGCCCTTTTTTTTTTTTTTTTTTTGAGACAGTGTCTTGCTCTGTTGCCAAGGCTGGAGTGCAGTGGCATGGTCTCAGCTCACTGCAAACTCCACTTCCTGGATTCAAGTGATTCTCCTGCCTCAGCCTCCTGAGTAGCTGGGACTACAGGTGCACACCATCATGCCCAGCTAATTTTTGTATTTTTAGTAGAGACAGGGTTTTGCTGTGTTGGCCAGGCTGGTCTTAACTCCTGACCTCAAGTCATCCACCTGCCTCAGCCTCCCAAAGTGCTGGGATCACAGGCATGAGCCACCACACTCAGCCATCTCCTGCAATGTTTTACCATGATTTTTAGCTTCCTTGCATTGGGTTACAACATACAGCTTTAGCTCAGTGAACTTCATTCTTATCCATATTCTGAATTCTACTTCTGTCATTTCAGCCATCTCAGCCTCAACCTGTTTCCTCACCCTTGCTGGATAGGTGATGTGGTCATTTGGAGGAAAGAAGGCATGCTGGCTTTTTGAGTTTTCAGCCTTCTTGCATTGATTCCTTCTTGTCTTTGTGGGCTTATCTGCCTTCAATCTTTGAGATTTCTGACTTTTGGATTTTTTTTCTTTTAACAGTCTGGCCACTTTTCTGTAGGGCTGCTGCAGTATGCTGGGGGCCCACTCCAGTCCCTAGTCACCTCAGATTTTCCAGTACCTGAAGCTATCACCAGTGAAGGTTGTGAAACAGCAAAGGTGGAAGCCTGCTCCTTTATCAGAGAGCTCCATCCCAGGGAGGTACAGACCTGTTGCTGGCCCAAATGCACCTGTAGGAGGTGGCTGGTGACCCCGGATGGGCGGTCTCTTCCATTCAGGAGGAATGGAATTGGGGACCTGCTTAAAAATATAGTCCGGCCATGTTTTTGTTGAGCAGCTGTGCTGGGCTGGGGGCACACTTCAGCCCCTGGTCACCTCTTAAGGCTGAAGGCTGGAATGGCTGAGTCACCTGAACAGCAAAGATGGTGGCCTTCCTTTCGTCTTGGGAGCTCTGTCCCAGGGAGACCTGAAACCTCTGTCAGACAGAGAACACTGGTGGGTGTAGCCGAAGACCCTGGTTGGGTGGCTCTACCTGGTGATATAGAACAAGTTTGGGGACTCACTTAAAAAAGCAGTCTGGCCATGTTTTCGGGGGCTGTTGTGCTGTGCTGGGGCACCACTTCTGCCCCTGGTAGCCTCAGACACACCAAAGCTTGAAGGCTAGAACTGCTAAGATGTCCAACAACAAAGATGGTGGCCCACCCCTCCCTTTGGGAGTTTTGTCCCAGGGAGTTTTCAAATCTTTTTTGGCCAGAGAACACCAGCAGGGGTTGCTGAACGCCCCAGTTGGGAGGTCCCCCCACAGTGAGGAGGAAGGGATTGGGGAAAAGAAACAGTCTGGCCATGTTTTGATAGAGCAGCTGTGCTGTGCTGGGGGATCCCTTCTGCCCCTGGTCAGTTTGGACTCTCCAGAGCCCACAGGCTGGAATGGCTAAGTCACCCAAATGACAAAGATGGAGGCCCGCCCCTCCCCGTGGGTGCTCCATCCCAGGTAGGTGCCACACTGCTACTGGTGGCTGGCTGGAATTCCAAGCCAGTGGGTTTTATCCTGTGAAGTGCCGTGGACATGGGGCCTGCAGACCATCCCTGCTTGGCCCCCTGGTTTCAGCCTCTTTCCTAGGGGTAGTAGGAGTTCTAACCTACTTTGCTGGAGTTGCAGTTACTTTTGCTGGGAAGCCCAGAGCCAGAGTATTTAAAGCTCCCTGGTCTCCACGTGTGTCTGAATGGCTGCTCTGCCAAGACCCTGCATAGCTCTGTGTGTCAGACTGAAGGCCTTGGTGGAGTGGTTTCATGAGGGGATCTTCTGACCCAAGGGTCGCAAAGATCAGTGGGAGAGGCGTGGGTTTCTGGGGTTGTACATTCACTCACTGCTTCCCTAGGAGGTGGAACTTCCCTTGGCTTCGTGTCGCTCCTGGGTGGGCCATCATCCCGCTTTGCTTTTCTTTGTTCTTCGTAAGTCAAGTTGTTTCCTTGATTAGTCCCAATGCAAGTACATGGACATTTCAGTTGAAGGTGCTGTATTTACTCACCCCTTCTGTTCCTCTCCATGAGAGCCATCCACCCTAGCTGCTTCTAATTGGCCATCTTGGCCACTCCACCTCTCATTTTTCTAACTCACCATTGAGATCTTTAAGTAAACTTTTGTTGAAGTATACTGTATATACAGAAAAGTGCACAAGTGATCAGCTCAATACATTTTCACAAAGTGAGCAAGAAATAAACATGAACCACACACTGGAAGTTCCCTCCAAGTCCCCATCTAGTCACTAATGCATCCTAAGTGTAACCACTATTCTGACTTCTAAAAACATAGATAGTTTTGAATTTTAAAAAACTTTAGGTAAGCAGAATCATACAGTATATATTATTTTGTGTCTAATTTTTTGCTAACATCTGTGAGAGTAATCCATACTGTTGCATGTAGAGTATTCATTGCTATTTATGTATGTACTATATTTTATGTATCCATTCTATTAATGACGGATATTTAGATTGTTTCCAGCTTGGGACTATTATGAATAGTGCTGCTATGAACATTTTTATACATGTCGTTTGGTAAATATATGCATGCATTTCTCTTGGGTGTAATGTCATAAATTGTGCACAGTTTTACTCTGAAAACAAAATTAGGGGGTAGAGCCTGGAGTATAGTGAACTCAGCAAGGCAAATTCTATCTCATGGGGGCCTGTTGGGAAAACTAGGTGGTCTTGTCCAAGAGACCGCTCTGTTAATTTCCATGTCCCACTGAACTTAACACTTGACACTTCAGCTAGACTGTGTATTGCCTTAAATACTATTCTCAGAAATAACCAGTGGTGTCATTCTAGCAAGTATCACTCCAGAAAACTCCTTATACGTACAAAAGGCATAAAAAATCTTTTTAAAAAGTCATTATTTCCAAGAAAAGTGAGCAGAGGCAAGAAAAATGTAATTAAACATATTTATCTCTCCATGCCTTGTTTTATGAAATCTGCTTTTTTCATGGGTCTAAGCAAGATGATGGATATTAGTTGCTGAGGGGAGGGGAAGTAAAAAGACGTGCTGTTGCCCAGTATTCTAGGATGAAGATAAAGAAGTATAAATACAAAGAAACAGTTGCTCCAGGAGAAGATAAGAAAGTATCAGAATAAGTTTTGTCTCTGGAAATCAGAGAAAAACAAATTCCAACAAAATGGTAATGCACTTTCTTTTGGATTCCAGGATTGGTGAAGAAAAAAAAATGAGTAACAGGTCTGGTGTGCTGGGGGGAAGAGAGAGAGGCAGGCACACTCTTGCATCACTACTGGTGGCAACCATGGCTCATTAGTGACATATATCTCAGGTGACCAAGATCTGTGGGAAAGTCAAATCTTTTTGATCCAGCCATCAGCTCTCTGCTGTTGACCTCAGAGAGGCACGTTTGTAGATGAGTGAAGAAAGAAGAAACTGCTCTGGTTATGTGCAGGGTGGTGTGAGAATGAGGATTGCCTGGGAAGTCTTAGGGTCAAGATTGGGACAGAGTCATCTTCCCCTACACTCTCGCCCCACCCACCAGCTTATTTTAGTTCTCTAAATGGTGCATAGGATCGGGGGAGAGTTGGTGTTGCGGAACCGAGAGTGAGAGGTGAGAAATGTTTGACAGAGTCCAGAATCAGTAAAAGGAACTGTGGCCTATCACCCAGCACTGTGTTCACCCACCCTACTGATAGATATTGGTTTGTTTGTCTGTCTGTAGGGGGCAGTGCAACCCAAGAAAAAGGAAGAAGAAAATTACAGGTTATCTGGCAGAGACTGAAGAAAGAATGTATTCCTTCAAGGATATGTGGAGCCAGAACCTGTCACAAGAGGGTGGTACACACAAGTGCTAAACTAGAACTTGCCCTTCTACTCCTGTCCTGTTTTCGGAAAACCCTTAATCCCAATCCTTTATGGCTCTGGGAAAGCAGTGTCAAAATCTATAGCACAGAAAGGGGAGTGAGGTGAGGTAGATCAGAAAAGTGGGCATTCATAGGAGAAGGGCGAGGAATAAAGTGGCAGGAGGCCAGGGTGGGGAAGATGGGTGTGCCTGAGACCTAAATGGGAGACTCTGGAAAGTTATATTCCTCACTCTGGAGTGGATGCACCTGAAACTTATGTGTCAATGCATTTACCAATCTCTATCCTCTTTTCTCTGTCTACCTGTAGACAATAATCTAAGTAAGGGAGGAAAGAAATTGCTCCACAGAGTGTGATATGCTGGAGATAAGGGGTGGAAACGAGGCGTCCGAGGCAGACTACAGAGTCCAGAGGCAATTCAGCTTCTCCCTCTCACAGCCTTTGTTTTTTTCTCCTCTTATATTGGTGCTGGAAAAAGATAAATGCTGCACCTGTGGGAAAATAGTGGAAATGAGCTTGAGGGAGGTTAAACCCCAGAGGAGGAACATTTGAAAATTAAGACCTTCAATCCGGAAATAGAGATACTGATACCCTTGTATCCTGTGCATTGACATGTCTCTTTGGGGAGACTCATCTGAAAGCTTTATGTGTTTGCATTGCTGCTAGGTCCATGTTGGATGGCAATTAGATTGATTGTGTCCAGGAAAAGAATGTCTAACAATCTCCTTCCTAGAATGCCACAACTAGAGCACCTTTTAAAGAGTGATGCCCATCTGTGACTTGCATTAGATGTGGGATATACTCAGACTGACGAATTTGTGAAAGAAGATATGGAAGTCTGGTCTACAAGTTGACACAGTGTTCATCCACTTATCAGAAGAAGGCACAACCAAGCAAGAAAAACAAAAAGAGCGTGGGAGCTGCAGACAGTGGGGAAGACAGGCAAGGTCCATGATCTTCAGTCAAGAACTGAGGATAAGCCAAGCCCTGGGGATCAGTCTGACAATAATCATGGGCAGTAAGAACTCTCAGCCTCTCCAAAAGCAAACCATCGAAATAAAAATGAATGACCTATTCCCCCAATGAAAATAAAAAAATTTCTGGGTATGCTCAAAACTTTAAAAATGGCAGTTGTGTTCTAGACCTCTCCAAGTGTCTTTTCATTCAGGGAAAACTGTTGTTTGCCGAGCCCAAGGATGCGGGCTTTCCATTTAGCCAGGATATCAATAGCCATTTGGCCAGCCTCTCAATGGCTAGAAACACGAGCCCCACTCCAGACCCCACTGTTAGAGAGGCTTTGTGTGCCCCGGATAACTTAAATGCGAGTATTGAAAGTCAGGGCCAGATTAAGATGTACATCAATGAAGTGTGTCGGGAGACTGTGTCACGTTGCTGCAACTCATTTCTGCAGCAGGCCGGATTAAATTTGTTAATAAGCATGACAGTTATTAATAACATGCTTGCCAAGTCCGCTTCAGACTTGAAGTTTCCTTTGATATCAGAGGGAAGTGGATGTGCTAAGGTTCAGGTTTTGAAACCGCTGATGGGTTTGTCTGAAAAGCCAGTCTTGGCGGGGGAGTTAGTCGGTGCCCAGATGCTCTTCTCATTCATGTCCCTCTTTATCAGAAATGGAAACAGAGAGATTCTCCTGGAAACCCCTGCCCCATAAACGGCCCTCTCGAACACAATGGGACGGAATCCACCCACAACGCGCTTGGTTTGCAGATGTCAAAGAATCTGCAGAGGGTGCTACTGAAGATCCAGCCTTAGCCAATCACCACCTCATTGGGTGAAAGTTCCAGGGCTCAATCCAGGACCACACTCTTATTGGCCAGGCAGGGGCTCCCACAGAGCTTTGAGTAACTTCTTGGTTGTGCAGTCTGCAGGCAATGTTGGCATTGTAAATTCCTCCCTTGCAGCCTCCTTCATGTGGTGAGGGGATCACTTCAGCTGCCTGCTGTGGACAAAGAACATCAAATTACAGCATCACGAGTGCTATTGTTGCCTGTGGTGGTCTCCCTGTCCAAGCGGGACCGCTTTGCAGAGACCAGAGGCATATCGCGGCTTGAGCTGAAAATGCATTTGTTGCAGCTTAGGTTGAATTATTTTTCGTTTGCTCTTTCTTCTACACGCGCCTGATGGATAGTGAACCTATTCATCAAAAAAGTGCACTGCTCTTCTGTCTATTGTACCGACTTAACCTCTTCCACCCAAGTCCGCATCTGTGTGTATCATCAATAAAGTTGTGTGCTTTGATTGGCAGAAAAGAGTCATGGTCCTTGTCCTTGAGTTTACAGTCTGCACGGAGAGAAGGACAAAAAAAAAAGCACGGTAAACGCCAGCTGACTGGAACGTCTGCTCCGTGACAAATGCAGGCTTATCGGTGCTCACAGGAGGCAGGGATAGAGAGGGGCTGCAGTGCTCAGAATAAACTTCAAGAAGGGGCTGGAGGCGGGGGTGGGGGAAGGGGAGGGGCACAGCGGGGGAGTTCGTGGAATTAGGATGGAATGTTGAGAGGACTGAAAGAGACAACACCCGTGGAGCAGGCAGCACCGTGCCCCGGCACAGAGAAATCCCTTCTTAATGTCTTTTCCTTGACTGCCAGCCTGGAGAGAAAGGTCAGTAACCCTGGCCTTTTCGATTGTCGGCGCATCCCGACGTGGGGATGGGGACCGGGGTGGAACGGGTGGGGGCGCTCTACCACGCATCGGGGCGCATTTATTGCACAATGATGGCGATAAAGGTTGCCGCTTGCCCAGCACCTACCCTGTGTAGTTCTATCCCTCCTGCGAAGCCAGGGGGAAATCTGCTTCCAGCCCTCCTTCTCTCTTCCTTGGGATCCCCAGCGCTACTTCCTGGCAGAGTGAGAGGGTTGGCCGCTGCTCCCTTTGGAGCAACCTCCTTTCTTCCATATCCCCACTACCTGTGGTGGGACCCAGGAAGGGGACAGTGGAGCCCTCCATCAACTACCTGCGGGGGTGATAGGGCAGATGCTGAGGGCACTTGGCACGACCGTGGCCACTCCATCCATCCGGAGACACCTCCACACTCTCCATCTGAGGTGCCTGCACCTTGCCAGGAAAGGAAGAGCCCGTGGGCGCAGAAGCACTCCATGGGTCAGGGCAGCTCGTTCTGCCCCGCCCCCACCTCCAACATTACCAGATCCCGCCCAGCAGGTTTAGCCCCTGAATCAGCAAAGCCAGGTTCCCTGCATGTTTGTGATGTGTCAAGAAGTGGTCCCCTTCCCTAAAGCCATGGCAAACCCAGTAAACACATCTGCTTCCCCTTGGGCAAGGCTGCTGCCGTGCCCGGTGCCCTCTCGGTCTCCCAGGGCTGCTGCTGTGGGTCACTGTGTCCTGGGCAGCCGCGATCTCTGTGGTGCTGGGCATTCTGCTTGTTCTGTTCCACACAGAACAAAGCTTTCTTTTCTTGTCTTATTCTCCCTTCCCCCCGCAGCTTGCCTTCCAGGTGGGTTACAACTTTCCTGCTTGTACCATCTGCCCCACAGTCCATGCTGGCCAGACGGCCTGAGTGCCTGCCGGGTCCCCTGACCAACTCTGGGAAACCCTCCCACCTGGAATGGGGACCAGACCTCTTCCCAGGCCCTGGTGCCTGGGATGGCCAACAAGTGACTTGCAGTTGTTGTGACACCACATCCCCTGTCAAGGCTCACACTGCTGGGGCTTCCTTGGCTGGCTCTGGGAGCCCTGTCCCGGTTCCTAAGGGTTCCTAAGAGCTGTCAGAAGGACCACCCTTTCTCCCAAGCCAGCCGCAGTTTGGCTGGGCAATCTGATTTCAAAGGGGATTTCCCTGCAGACAGCTCCGCATGCACTTTTCCCAGTGGAGCCTGCTTCGCCAATGCTGTCTTTAGTGACACCTCATTGCTCAGTCTCTTTGAGCACAAAGGCATCCTCCTAGCCTGTGGTCCCGAATTAGCATGCACCTCCCTACTTCCCTGCACGCTACCAAGTTTCCCTTTACGTGCGCTTGTCCACCATCGCTGAGGCACTTGACACCGTGAGGCCGCAGCTGAGTCCTAACTCAGGGAGCGCCCCAGAGGCTTTCTGCCCATCTCCTGAGCAAACTCTGTCACAGAAAAGCCCATCAGCGTCCAAGTGTCTCCACGGCGTTGTCTTGGCCCAAGTCAAAACCCTCCTGTCCATTTGCTGGCACTGCCCTCCCGAAAGCACTCACGCACAGCCCTTCTGTCCTGCCCCTCATCCCCTGACTGGTTGCAGTGCCTGGGTACGAGCCCAGTTCCCGTGGATTCTGCCTCCCTGGGATGCGCGGGGGGAGTCGGGAGCATGCCTGCCTCCCAGGGCCTGATCAAGACACTGAGAGGTTCTCAGCACTGGCAAGAGCGCCGGTGCCCCCATTCCATATGTAACGCAAACATAAAAACAGCCCTGAGCCATCAATCACAATGCATACCTGCCTGCTGCAACCAAAAGACAGCCTTTCTGGGCTTCCCCGTGGCAAACATTGGAAAAGGTCATCAATCCTGAGCTTGCCACATTCTGTGAGAAGTGCTCTGCCTTGATGGTGCCGCCCCAGCCTGAGCCCGTCTCTTGTGTCAATCTGGAACTGCCGCCACAGGCTGTCTTCCACCTCCAGAAAGGGCCCTCAGTTTTGCTTCTCATCTATCTTATGAGCACGTTTCCATTTGGTGCCTGTAGGCACTGACTGACTTCCAGACCAACTTCAGGTGCCCTCCCCAGCCTGCTGCCTCTCCTAGGGATTTTGTGGTTTGCCACCCCCACCCCGCCCCCCTCCAGGTGAGTGCACACAAGGTTGCAGACAACCAGCTTCCCGGCAGGCACGTCCTGTCTCAGACACGGGACCCTCACCGGGGTGCTATGTGTCACTCTCAAAGCAGTATCCACCACGATCCCCTTACTTTTAAGTGCCACCCTGGACCAGCATAGCCCTCACCCAGTCCGTCCCTCTGACGATGCACCACTGGGCTAAGAGTTGGGCAGCTGTGGCAAGGGGTTGCTCTTGCCTCTCTTCTGAGGGACACTGGCTGCTCTATGATGCAGATGGGCACTGCACCAGAGTCCAGCAGAGTGCTGCAGAGGGCCGGCCCTTGCCCCGTCTGTTACAGACGCCAGATGTGTCTTCTCACTGGCTGCCACTTCCCTACTCTCTCTGCTCATGGCCTCCTTTCCATCCTGGAGGTCCATTTTCCCTTATTGCCTCTTGTTTTGGTGTGAGGTTTAGGACAGCCTTTCCCACTTTCCCATGAACACAGTCTCCTTGGCAGTTTTCTCGTTCTTTCACACCTTTCTATTCAGAGTTTTGTCTCATCGATCTGCCTGGAATTTACTTTTGTGCAAGGTGAGAGACAGTGATGTGACTTCACTTCTTTTCCCGCATGATTAGCCGATGAGCCCAGCACCACTGGTTGAGCACTCCGTTCTAGTGCTGTCTGTGGCACTTTCTGGGATCCTCATGCGCCCAGCTGCACACCCGCTCTGTGGTTTCCAGGCATTAAAGTTTCTCCTGAGGCACATCCCTTTCCCTCAGGAACCTCTTACTGACTTGGAGTCCCTCAGCTCACTAAGTGGCCTAAGGCAGGTGGGGTGTGTGTGTGTGTGTGTGTGTGTGTGTGTGTGTGTGTGTGTGTTGGTGGAGAGAGCTGTGTTGGTGCTTGTGAGCAAGCCTCTGCTCCAGGTACGTTCTCAGGACGTATTGCGGCCCACAGGAAGCTTAGGAACTCTCATCCCGCCGACCTTTGCATCATGGCAAACTGGGCACTGGTCTCTCTCCTCTCCCAAATTACTATATCTGTGCAAGACAAAAGCAATTTCCTTTTCTAAGTATAGAGTTGCTGTACTGTCCCATATGGTAGTCATTAGCTACACTTGAAATAAGATTCTTGTAACATGTTGCAACCATTGCAAATGTTTTCACTCACCCCATCTCTTGATATTTTTGTGTATGCGTGATTCATTTCATCGCTCAGGAAATTGGGTTTTCTGCTTCTGTCAATATTTTCCTTTTAGGACTTCTATATGTACTGTTTTCTTGCTTCCTCTTCCCTTCCTTCCTTCCTTTCTTTTTTTTCCATGACAGCCTTTCCTTCTCAAAGTTATAAGAAAAACTTTTGCCTATTTCCTTAGAAGGAATACAAACACAGTATCTTTTTTACAGTTAGCTTCATTGTTAACCTACTAGTAGTGTGTGTGTGTGTGTGTGTGTGTGTGTGTGTGTGTCTGTCTGTCTGTCTGTCCATACAGTTTGAGGTAGATTTTCTATCTTAATTTTCTCTAAATATATTATTAATTATACTAATGTCATTTATTGTAGAACACACCGTTTATGTTTTGATTGAAATCATATTAACTTTATGGATCAAATTGGCAAGGATTGGCGTCTTAGAATTTTATCCAGGTACAACTATTTAGACCTTTTCGTCACTTGTGATATTTTCTTTATAAAGATCATTCACATTTCTTTTTGGGGTTATTCCTAAGGATTTATCTGTTTTTCTGTGTGGACATGATATTTACCTTGTCCTATAAGAGTGCTTTTTTGACTCTGCTGTCCTCATCCTACATGCCAGCACACAGGCCATATCTTTGGCTTCTACTGCTTTGAGAATAGCAATGAAAAAATTGGACAATGAAGTGCCTCACCATTGCTACTCTCAAAGAGGAGGGAAGGAGGAAAAAACAAAGCATTTGGACCTAGTGTTCTACAAATGTTCTTTTCCCAGAAATCTTTCTAAAGACCCTTTCCCTGCCTTCATTTTATTTTTATGTTGTCTTTCTCCCCGACTCCCCTGGCAGTGGAGTAGTCCAAACTAGTTCTTCTGGTTTATTCAATCATGTTTCTTTCGACCCTGGCAAGGTCTTTATTAAGTCTAGCCATCAGTATTCTATTGTTCTTTGTTCTCAAATATCTGGATATGGGATAATTTTGAAGGAAGGAAAGGCAATTTGATGGCTCAAGCTATTACCACGATTAAGCACTCCAGATAACCGTGTTACACAACCCTCCTCTGAATAAATATTTGCATCTCACAAAGACCAATTGTCAATACGTAGATCTATATCCAGTGTTCTGTATTTTTAATTATCCAGTCCTTTGAGTTGGGTAGTAGATGAAGTTGGCAACCTCCCCTCACCTTGGGATGGGGCATGGAGGTAAGGGAAGTGTTGGGAGATGTTATCACCAGCCTTCTCTCACAGCCTTTTCTAGCCTTACACTTGAGCTGTCCCATGTTAGACTCAGCATTTTTTCAGCTTGTGCCTATGGAAGTGAAGAAACTAACCCCAATACTCTTAAATTTCCCAGTAACTTATCTGGTCATACCTGATACCCACCACTCTCTACGGTTTCAATTTGGGAATTGATTTGAACCAGGACACATGAGATTGGCTGTTTTTTCCTCATCTTTCCTCTCTCCTTTCCACTAAGTTTCTTTCTGATAAACATTTCCTTTAGGTCCTGAGTTCTCACTACCTTTGGCTTATATTAAAGATCTTTGGTCAGAATCTCCCAGGCCTGGTTACCAATATGTAATGGCAGCTTTTGGAATTCAGGAAAACTTGAAATTGATGGCTATGAATTTTTAAAATTAGCTTTGAGAACTCAAAGTTTCTTGAGCAAGGTACTGGCAGTACCTTTCTGCTTCTTATAAGCCATAGGGTCCATTGAGTTGCTGTCAACTTGTACATGATTCTTATTTTTGAGAAATATACAAACAGAGAAATATCCTAATTACTTAGTCTTGATGGTGAATAATGAAAATGGGGAGGCACACAGGGGGAACATTGACAATGAGAACATTGCCCTGTACCCTTTGCCTCAGTTTTCAGGAGGATAGAACAAAGACAGATGTATGTGGAATGAGGAAACTCTACAAAACATATATTAGGGATCTCACATGATATCTACAAAGCTGGGCAAAGATCAATCAGCCAAATCTTTACATTTTATATTATCATTATTATTATTATTATTAAGACGGAGCCTCACTCTGTCTCCCAGGCTGGAGTGCAATGGCGCAATCGCGGCTCACTGCAACCTCCGCCTCCCGGGTTCAAGCAATTCTCCTACCTCAGCCTCCTGAGTAGCTGGGATTACAGGCGCGTGCCACCACACCCAGCTAATTTTTCTATTTTTAGTAGAGATGGGTTTTCGCCATGTTGGCCAGGCTGGTCTCAAACTCCTGACCTCAGGTGATCTGCCCACCTTGGCCTTGCAAAGAGCTAGGATTGCAGGCATAAGCCACCGCGCCTGACTGCATTTTATCTTATTTTTAAACTTAATTTGTTTTTAAAAACTGGTAACACATCCTAGTGGTTCAAAATTCAAAAGATAACAAAGGGTATACACGTAAAATCTTTTAACCCCCTCTCTTACCAACTACTTGCTTCTCTCCCACCAGAAGCAGTTTCTAATGCATTATTCTAGAGATATTACACAGGCACACATAAACACACAAATAAACACACATACACACACACACAGCAATATGTTAATAACCTTGTAAATCCTTGGTTATCACTAGATTAAAAATTTGCTTTTCACTTTATAGATGAATAGTATTTTATTGCATGAATGTGTCATAATTCCTTAGTCCCCTGTTTGTGAATATTTTGTGTGTGTGGTTTTTTTTTTCATTTTTCTTGTTATTATGAATAATGCTTTAAGGATTAACTTTATACACATTTAGTCCTCTGCCCTACTCCCTTTCCTCTTTTCATGCACTTTTAGTTGATTAGATTATATTTCTTAGTGTTTATCTTTATACTATTCAATATACTTATATCTGTATCACCATATTTGTCTGGTTTAGATGGTATTTTTGACCTCAGTCATTAAGGATAAGAAAATCAACATATTTACATTACCTCCCACCTTGTTTTTCTTTCCTCTTCCAATTGTTGTTCATTGTATAATTGCTTCTCCATCTGAGTGTATCACCATTACATTCATTCTGTAAACATAATCACCACATTTGTTTTGGTCTTAGTCCTAAATGTACACAGATTTGACACTAATTACTATGCTTTTGCCATGGTTTCTCTCTTCCTTGTGCTTCTGCCATTTTTGCTTTCATCTCTGTGATTGTTAAATTTCTTTTTTCACATTCTTCACAGAAGCCTCACAGATCACATTTCTTCTCATTCTTATTTTGCCACTCCTTTCTTGAGCTCTTGCTTACTTGCTTTATTAAAACTTTCAAATTCATATGAAATATTTGGTGAAAAATTTCATCTACTTTATGGTAACATTTTTCAGATGACTTTTCATCATCTGCCATTTAGTTTTCATGTCCCTTTTCTCTCTTTTTCATGTATTATTTGTGTTTACCTTGTATGCCAGTTTCATTTTAATTCACCATATTTAAGAAATATCAGGTTTTCTCAAATCAGTTATTTGCAGATAGTTCTTCTAAGATTAGGGCCAGCATTGTTTCCCCTAATGTAAACAATTTTCCTTGTGGCCCAAGTCATTATAAAGAGGTAGCTGGGGCTTTGCAAGACAGCTGGGGCTCTCTCCTGCTAGTCAGGGGCAGGGTCAACTACAATGTTACCAAGGGAACAGATTGCTTCGTGCAAACATGACCTGTCTCTGTGATTTCTTCATCTCAATCTCTTTCTGCTTCTTATAACCCATAGGGTCCATTGAGGTGCTGTCAACTTGTGCATGCTTCTTATTTTTGAGAAATATACAGTCTCTCTCTTTTTGGGATTTGGTGTTACTGAGTGAGTGACTCAAGAGTGCAGCTAGGGAGTTTCTGGAAAATTAACTGAACAGATTATAAAGTATAAAACCAATTTACAAATCTGAGGAGACACTCTCTGTGAAGGAGTCAGAACCCAGAATATTGAGAAGCTTGGTTTGGACAGAGCCTCTAGTAAGACCCACAATGGCAAACAACTTCATGTTCTCTGTCATCCTTCTTGAACGTTCTTACTACACGGTACAGGGAGCAAAGGAACTCAAAACAGTTTCTTCCTGTTCTTGCAACTAAGCTCATGCGAAATAAGAGGAAAATGGAGGACATTGAAGATGCTTTAATCACATCCCACTGCATCTGTAGGTGAAGTGGATTTCCATTATTAATTTTTATACCATTCATCACACTCCATTGTAAATTCCTATTTTCTTTGACTATATTTTCTACTAGATAATAAGCTGTATTAACACAAGAATGGTGTCTGTTTTGTTTACTATCGAATCTCCATCTGCCTGGCACATAATTAGTGCTCAATGCCTACTCTATTTGATCATCGAGGCCTGAAGCTGCAGTTCTGGTTCTGGAGAGTAGTTTGTGCTTATCTACATGTTTTTGAAATGGCTTCAATAAATGTGCGTTATTTTTGCAAAGATACAATTTGTTTTTAAAAAATCTTAAACCATATTTACAGTATAGTCCTAATTAATTTAAAAATTAAGATGCATAAAACAGACTAAAATATTACACACTCAGTATACTGCTGTTCCTTGGGGTCCTGTTCTCAAGTCTCTTCTTTTTCCAGGAATCTCATCCACTGCCATCGTTTCAATTATCATCTATATATTAATGACTCACACATCTATATATCTGAAGTTCAAGATTAATTTATTTGATGCCTACAGCTTACATATCTCACAGATATTTCATGCTCAACATATTTGAAATTGGAGCCATTATTCCCTGCTCCTACAACAAAACTATTTCCCCGCCTGTATTCCCTGTCTCCGTGAAAACAACCATCATCCACCCAGTTGCACATGCCAGAACCCTAATCATTATTGACTCTTCCGTCTTTTTCACTCTATATTGCCAGCTTGTCACAAAGCCCCATTGATTCTACCTCAGTAATGTTTTTTAATAAATATTAATATGTATCAAAACAATACATACACTTGACAAAAACTCTATAGTACAGAATTTATAATAAAAACGGTTTTCCCTTTTGAACTTGCCTAGACTCAGTATCACTTTCTAGAATGCCAAACTTTTCTCAACTTTTCTGATTTTTAACTCCTTATGATGCAGTGGTTCTCAACTAGGAGTGATATTGCTCCGTAGGGGACATTTGTCACTGTTCAAAGACATTTTGGTTGTCACAACTGGGGGAAAGAGTGCTACTGGCATCTTGTAAGTAGAGACCAAGGATCCTACAATGCACAGGACAGTCCCTGGCTTAAAATGTTAATAGTGCCTGGGAAATCCTGTTCTTGTGGTTATCGTCAAGACTTCTAAAATACACTTGTATTCCTAATGAATTTTTGATATGAAAATAAGACACTTTAGCTCATTTATATTATCATACTTTCTCCCCCTCTCTTATTCCCATTTTTATAGCATTATTATTATTTTAATTTAATCATGCAGTCCACAGATATTTCTTGAGCACCATTGTGTGCCATTGAAATTTGGTAGTGAGCAGGGCAGAGGTAGCCTTTATTAAGCATGTTTTCCTGTGAAAGAAGCAGGCAATAAAAATAAAACACATAAAGTAGCTAAACTTAACTTTAACTAATATACACATAACTTTATTTTATTTCATAAACTTCCACTAGTATTTCTTTACTTTGCACTTTGTAAAATGAGGATATCCATTCCACTATTCTTTCTTCTGCCTTTTATCATCTTCTATATCCCACATTCTGTCAGCTACACTGAATCACATGTCTACTTAAAATCTCATCCCCACAGGTGATATGTGAATCATTTTCTAAAACTATGCAAGATGGGTTCAAGCGCTAGGACACTACTTGGCTCAGCAATGGGCAGCATTTATGTAGTCATAATAAACTAAACACACTTCATGGTTTTCAATGTCTAGAGTTGAAAGCAGAAAGCTTTAATGGGAGAAAGACCTGGCTGTTACAGAACAGAATATAAAAGTAAACTGGAACTTAGCTGCATGCAGATGGTTATATAAAGCAGGAAGTTCAACTGCATTCTCTCCATTAAAGAGGCAAGCTCCCTTTGATTTTATGATCGCATGGAGGTACCCTTTTGAGGATAATATCACATGATTAGTGTTCACATATCTCAGATGCTTTCACAAGTTCAACCTAAGCCTTTCTTGGGATGTAGAAGGGTTGCCTTCATATCCATTTGGTCACTTCAGACTTCTCTGGGAGCCACGTAACCGTCGTCTACTTATGTAATACCTTCTGGTGTAGTACAGCTAGGTGCAAGGTAGAAATAAACTATATCACGTTATGAATTCATCTTACCCTGGGAATATTTACCTGAATCACTCTTAGTAAGTTGGGAGCTAGTTCAATCCTGCCCCATCTTATGTGCCCAGGTCAGATTCAAGAGACATCTGGGATTAGGTTATGATTTAATCAAGCCCACTATAGTTGTTTAGAAATATTCCAGCTCAAGGCTCTTGAGTCACGTAAGGGGGACTGTTCTTACATTCAAGACTTAATAGATTCTTTTTCCTTATATTCCATCAAAATGCTGAATTCATTCTGTATCTTAATTTGCTGCACTTTTGGAGCAAGTACATATTTTTGTTTTGTTTTGTTCATCTGTTGTCTATTGTTAAATTAAAAAAAAACACTCCAAAACTCAGTGACTTTAAATAGCCATCTTATTTGCTGGTTATTTTGTGGATTGGTAGTTCGTATTGGGCTTATCTGGTTAGTTCTTCTGCTAGTCTTGCCTGAGGTTTTTCATGTGGCTAAAGTCAGCTGGCAGATTAGCTGAGGACTGGTTTTCCTGTAGCTAGGATTGCTATATCCAGCAAATTAAAATACAGTATGCCCAGATTAATTTGAATTCAAGATGAACAATTAATATTTTTAAAGTATAAGTATGTCTCATATAATATTTGGAAAACACATACACTAAAATTTATTTGATATTCAGCTGAAATTCACATTTAACTGGGATTCCTATATTTTATCTGACAATTCTTTCTAGGATTCCTCAGTTGAAACAGTTCATCTCTGTTCTATGTGGTCTCACCCTCCACAGGTTAGCCTGGGCAGCTCCACACATGGTGGTTTCAGAGCAGAAAGAGTGCAAGTCTCACTGAAAATGCTCTGTCCAGGCCTCCTCTTTTGTCATGTTTCCTAACATTTAAACTGGCCAAAGCAAATCACGTGGCCAGGCCCAGAGTCAATGCGGGAGGGGACTATACAATGGCATGGATACAGGGAGGCATGGTTTATTGAGGGTCATTACTGTAATATTTTCTTAGATGATCTTCTAATTGTTTTTCTTCCCTTATTTGCTTTTATTGCACCCTCTAGTTTTTCTAACCTCTCAATTCATTTTACCAAGTCTCCTTTTATTCATGAGTTCATCTACTACCCTAAATCTTCTATCATATTGCTCCACTTTGGTCTAGTTAATCAGGACCTATTATTTGACCATCACCTTAAAAGTAACCTTTATTACTTTTCCAAGTTGGGATCACTATTTCCTGGATTCCATATTTACTTTTCAATTGATTACTACCTCATTTTGTGGGAGTACATGTTCAAACAATTTTCTAAGGAAAATTCTACAGGAGATCAATTTTCTAAGGAAAATTCTACAGGAGGTAAATTTTATGAGTAATTTCAGTCCTGAAGACATCTTTATTGTCACTATATATTTGCCTGATAGTATGTTTAGGAATAGAATACTAGAGAAAAGCATATTCTCTAAGGATTTCAAGGCATTTATACATCGACATTTATCATCAAGTATTATGACTAGGAAGTCTGATGCCAGTTTGATTTGTAGGTGGCATTCCCCTTATCCTGGGAAGTTTTAGGGTCTCCTTTCAGTCCTTATTATCCTAAAATTTCTTGAGAATATGTCTAGGTGAAGGAATTTTTTAAATTAATTGTATTGGGTACACAATACATCTTTAGTTTTAATTTAAAAAAAGATATACAGAGAAAAAACAATGAGGATCTATGTATACATCATCCATAATTAGCAATGCTAATGCTTTCTTTATGTTTGTTTATAATCTTTTTCTTAATAGATAAAATTAAATTGCATATATTGTTGGAGTCACATTCTCCTCCAGCCGTTCCCAGAGGCAACTGATATTGCAAAATTGATGTGCGTCTTTCAGTGTCCATTTTAAATTTTGCTATAAATATATGTATCAATATAACATATAGTTTCATATGTTTAAAATTATATAAATGGCATTATACTATGTCTTTCTGCAAATTGATTATTTCATTCAACATTAGGTTTCTGAAAACTGCCTAGCTTGATACATAGAGATCTAGTTCACTCTTTCTTTTTATTTATTTATTTTTTTGAGATGGAGTTTTGCTCTTGTTGCCCAGGTTGCAGTCCAATGGCGGGATCTTGGCTCACTGCAACCTCCGCTTCCTGGGTTCAAGCGATTCTTCTGCCTCAGCCTCCGGAGTAGCTGAGACTACAGGAATGTGCCACCACACCCGGCTAATTCTGTATTTTTAGTAGAGATGGGGGTTTCTCCATGTTGATTTGGCTGGTCTCAATCTCCCGACCTCAGGTGATCCACCCACCTCGGCCTCCCAAAGTGCCGGGATTACAGGCGTGAGCCACCACGCCCGGCTGTTCACTCATTTTTAATGCCTGTAAATTCTATTACATAAACATGCCACATATTATTTATTCAGAAACCTCCAGTAAACACCAGCCTTACACTGAAACATCAACCATTAAAATCAGAAATGAGACCAATATGTGCCGTATCATCAATACTGTTTTTCTGGAGGTCCCTGACAGTGCAATGAGATAAGTAAAAGAAATGAACTAAAAACTATTGAATAGGAAGAGCTAAAACTGTCATAATTTGTACAGTACGTTTATCTACTTAAGAAGTCAGAAAGAAAAAAAGAGACAATATAATAAAATTAATGAGATTTCACCGAAAGAGTCTGACTATAGAATGACAATGCTACATCAACAGCTTTTACAGAAACCTGCAATAATTGCCTTTTAGTAAATTTATTTTCCAATAGGACATGGATACATAAGTACAAAATTCAAGAGGCACAAAGGACAGAAAAAGACAATTAAGTGAGTTATTGATCTTTTCACTTGCAAATCTAATATATAATACATGCTACGAGCCAAACAAAAAAACCAAAGCGACCTATTCATTGTGCATCATTCCAGAGATACTCGACACTATGTTTAGGAAATGTATAATCACATAAAACAGTATATAGTGTTATAGGATATATAATATTTACAATTATACACACAGTACACTGTTCTGCAACTTTTCTGTACAGATATAGTAATTTGGGAGAGGAGAGAGACCAGTGCCCAGTTTGCCATGATGCAAAGGTCGGCGGGATGAGAGTTCCTAAGCTTCCTGTGGGCCGCAATACGTCCTGAGAACGTACCTGGAGCAGAGGCTTGCTCACAAGCACCAACACAGCTCTCTCCACCAACACACACACACACACACACACACACACACACACACACACCCCACCTGCCTTAGGCCACTTAGTGAGCTGAGGGACTCCAAGTCAGTAAGAGGTTCCTGAGGGAAAGGGATGTGCCTCAGGAGAAACTTTAATGCCTGGAAACCACAGAGCGGGTGTGCAGCTGGGCGCATGAGGATCCCAGAAAGTGCCACAGACAGCACTAGAACGGAGTGCTCAACCAGTGGTGCTGGGCTCATCGGCTAATCATGCGGGAAAAGAAGTGAAGTCACATCACTGTCTCTCACCTTGCACAAAAGTAAATTCCAGGCAGATCGATGAGACAAAACTCTGAATAGAAAGGTGTGAAAGAACGAGAAAACTGCCAAGGAGACTGTGTTCATGGGAAAGTGGGAAAGGCTGTCCTAAACCTCACACCAAAACAAGAGGCAATAAGGGAAAATGGACCTCCAGGATGGAAAGGAGGCCATGAGCAGAGAGAGTAGGGAAGTGGCAGCCAGTGAGAAGACACATCTGGCGTCTGTAACAGACGGGGCAAGGGCCGGCCCTCTGCAGCACTCTGCTGGACTCTGGTGCAGTGCCCATCTGCATCATAGAGCAGCCAGTGTCCCTCAGAAGAGAGGCAAGAGCAACCCCTTGCCACAGCTGCCCAACTCTTAGCCCAGTGGTGCATCGTCAGAGGGACGGACTGGGTGAGGGCTATGCTGGTCCAGGGTGGCACTTAAAAGTAAGGGGATCGTGGTGGATACTGCTTTGAGAGTGACACATAGCACCCCGGTGAGGGTCCCGTGTCTGAGACAGGACGTGCCTGCCGGGAAGCTGGTTGTCTGCAACCTTGTGTGCACTCACCTGGAGGGGGGCGGGGTGGGGGTGGCAAACCACAAAATCCCTAGGAGAGGCAGCAGGCTGGGGAGGGCACCTGAAGTTGGTCTGGAAGTCAGTCAGTGCCTACAGGCACCAAATGGAAACGTGCTCATAAGATAGATGAGAAGCAAAACTGAGGGCCCTTTCTGGAGGTGGAAGACAGCCTGTGGCGGCAGTTCCAGATTGACACAAGAGACGGGCTCAGGCTGGGGCGGCACCATCAAGGCAGAGCACTTCTCACAGAATGTGGCAAGCTCAGGATTGATGACCTTTTCCAATGTTTGCCACGGGGAAGCCCAGAAAGGCTGTCTTTTGGTTGCAGCAGGCAGGTATGCATTGTGATTGATGGCTCAGGGCTGTTTTTATGTTTGCGTTACATATGGAATGGGGGCACCGGCGCTCTTGCCAGTGCTGAGAACCTCTCAGTGTCTTGATCAGGCCCTGGGAGGCAGGCATGCTCCCGACTCCCCCCGCGCATCCCAGGGAGGCAGAATCCACGGGAACTGGGCTCGTACCCAGGCACTGCAACCAGTCAGGGGATGAGGGGCAGGACAGAAGGGCTGTGCGTGAGTGCTTTCGGGAGGGCAGTGCCAGCAAATGGACAGGAGGGTTTTGACTTGGGCCAAGACAACGCCGTGGAGACACTTGGACGCTGATGGGCTTTTCTGTGACAGAGTTTGCTCAGGAGATGGGCAGAAAGCCTCTGGGGCGCTCCCTGAGTTAGGACTCAGCTGCGGCCTCACGGTGTCAAGTGCCTCAGCGATGGTGGACAAGCGCACGTAAAGGGAAACTTGGTAGCGTGCAGGGAAGTAGGGAGGTGCATGCTAATTCGGGACCACAGGCTAGGAGGATGCCTTTGTGCTCAAAGAGACTGAGCAATGAGGTGTCACTAAAGACAGCATTGGCGAAGCAGGCTCCACTGGGAAAAGTGCATGCGGAGCTGTCTGCAGGGAAATCCCCTTTGAAATCAGATTGCCCAGCCAAACTGCGGCTGGCTTGGGAGAAAGGGTGGTCCTTCTGACAGCTCTTAGGAACCCTTAGGAACCGGGACAGGGCTCCCAGAGCCAGCCAAGGAAGCCCCAGCAGTGTGAGCCTTGACAGGGGATGTGGTGTCACAACAACTGCAAGTCACTTGTTGGCCATCCCAGGCACCAGGGCCTGGGAAGAGGTCTGGTCCCCATTCCAGGTGGGAGGGTTTCCCAGAGTTGGTCAGGGGACCCGGCAGGCACTCAGGCCGTCTGGCCAGCATGGACTGTGGGGCAGATGGTACAAGCAGGAAAGTTGTAACCCACCTGGAAGGCAAGCTGCGGGGGGAAGGGAGAATAAGACAAGAAAAGAAAGCTTTGTTCTGTGTGGAACAGAACAAGCAGAATGCCCAGCACCACAGAGATCGCAGCTGCCCAGGACACAGTGACCCACAGCAGCAGCCCTGGGAGACCGAGAGGGCACCGGGCACGGCAGCAGCCTTGCCCAAGGGGAAGCAGATGTGTTTACTGGGTTTGCCATGGCTTTAGGGAAGGGGACCACTTCTTGACACATCACAAACATGCAGGGAACCTGGCTTTGCTGATTCAGGGGCTAAACCTGCTGGGCGGGATCTGGTAATGTTGGAGGTGGGGGCGGGGCAGAACGAGCTGCCCTGACCCATGGAGTGCTTCTGCGCCCACGGGCTCTTCCTTTCCTGGCAAGGTGCAGGCACCTCAGATGGAGAGTGTGGAGGTGTCTCCGGATGGATGGAGTGGCCACGGTCGTGCCAAGTGCCCTCAGCATCTGCCCTATCACCCCCGCAGGTAGTTGATGGAGGGCTCCACTGTCCCCTTCCTGGGTCCCACCACAGGTAGTGGGGATATGGAAGAAAGGAGGTTGCTCCAAAGGGAGCAGCGGCCAACCCTCTCACTCTGCCAGGAAGTAGCGCTGGGGATCCCAAGGAAGAGAGAAGGAGGGCTGGAAGCAGATTTCCCCCTGGCTTCGCAGGAGGGATAGAACTACACAGGGTAGGTGCTGGGCAAGCGGCAACCTTTATCGCCATCATTGTGCAATAAATGCGCCCCGATGCGTGGTAGAGCGCCCCCACCCGTTCCACCCCGGTCCCCATCCCCACGTCGGGATGCGCCGACAATCGAAAAGGCCAGGGTTACTGACCTTTCTCTCCAGGCTGGCAGTCAAGGAAAAGACATTAAGAAGGGATTTCTCTGTGCCGGGGCACGGTGCTGCCTGCTCCACGGGTGTTGTCTCTTTCAGTCCTCTCAACATTCCATCCTAATTCCACGAACTCCCCCGCTGTGCCCCTCCCCTTCCCCCACCCCCGCCTCCAGCCCCTTCTTGAAGTTTATTCTGAGCACTGCAGCCCCTCTCTATCCCTGCCTCCTGTGAGCACCGATAAGCCTGCATTTGTCACGGAGCAGACGTTCCAGTCAGCTGGCGTTTACCGTGCTTTTTTTTTTGTCCTTCTCTCCGTGCAGACTGTAAACTCAAGGACAAGGACCATGACTCTTTTCTGCCAATCAAAGCACACAACTTTATTGATGATACACACAGATGCGGACTTGGGTGGAAGAGGTTAAGTCGGTACAATAGACAGAAGAGCAGTGCACTTTTTTGATGAATAGGTTCACTATCCATCAGGCGCGTGTAGAAGAAAGAGCAAACGAAAAATAATTCAACCTAAGCTGCAACAAATGCATTTTCAGCTCAAGCCGCGATATGCCTCTGGTCTCTGCAAAGCGGTCCCGCTTGGACAGGGAGACCACCACAGGCAACAATAGCACTCGTGATGCTGTAATTTGATGTTCTTTGTCCACAGCAGGCAGCTGAAGTGATCCCCTCACCACATGAAGGAGGCTGCAAGGGAGGAATTTACAATGCCAACATTGCCTGCAGACTGCACAACCAAGAAGTTACTCAAAGCTCTGTGGGAGCCCCTGCCTGGCCAATAAGAGTGTGGTCCTGGATTGAGCCCTGGAACTTTCACCCAATGAGGTGGTGATTGGCTAAGGCTGGATCTTCAGTAGCACCCTCTGCAGATTCTTTGACATCTGCAAACCAAGCGCGTTGTGGGTGGATTCCGTCCCATTGTGTTCGAGAGGGCCGTTTATGGGGCAGGGGTTTCCAGGAGAATCTCTCTGTTTCCATTTCTGATAAAGAGGGACATGAATGAGAAGAGCATCTGGGCACCGACTAACTCCCCCGCCAAGACTGGCTTTTCAGACAAACCCATCAGCGGTTTCAAAACCTGAACCTTAGCACATCCACTTCCCTCTGATATCAAAGGAAACTTCAAGTCTGAAGCGGACTTGGCAAGCATGTTATTAATAACTGTCATGCTTATTAACAAATTTAATCCGGCCTGCTGCAGAAATGAGTTGCAGCAACGTGACACAGTCTCCCGACACACTTCATTGATGTACATCTTAATCTGGCCCTGACTTTCAATACTCGCATTTAAGTTATCCGGGGCACACAAAGCCTCTCTAACAGTGGGGTCTGGAGTGGGGCTCGTGTTTCTAGCCATTGAGAGGCTGGCCAAATGGCTATTGATATCCTGGCTAAATGGAAAGCCCGCATCCTTGGGCTCGGCAAACAACAGTTTTCCCTGAATGAAAAGACACTTGGAGAGGTCCAGAACACAACTGCCATTTTTACAATTTTGAGCACTCCAAGTATTTTTATGTTCATAGGGGAATGGCCGCTGTTTTATTGGGTGTGCTCGGTTGGCCTTGCCTCCCCCTGAGGGCCTGTCCTCAGTGCCACCTGGGGCCCCAGGTTCAGTCCAATCCCCATCCTCAGTCCAGGGCCGAGCCATAGTTTCAAAATCAAACCAAATATCAGGCTCCTCCTCATCCAGCTCCTGGTCATCGTCCCACTCCTCTTCCCCCTCCTCCTCCAGCTTCTCACTGTCATCTCTTCCTATGGTCAGTTTGTAAACGCAGTAGCAGGCACCAGCCCCAATCATCAGTCCTGCCGCCATCCAACCCACTTCCCGAGCCCGGCCCATGCTCAAGTCTGTGCCAGCCTTGGGGCAGGACAGGAGAGGGCCTTGCTCCACCTGATTGAAGAGGTCTCTCAGGTCCAGGGTGAGTAAGGATGGAGGGTAGCAGTCTTCAGCTTCTTCCAGGCTCTTGTAGCTCTCTTGTGATGAATCTGTGGGTGAAACAGAGTATTAGGGCTCGGGACTATGTTTGGCTTTGTGCCTCACAGACAGGGTGGATTTCGAGTTGGTGATAAAGGCAGATTAACAGGATACAATTTCTTTGTTCTTTTCTTTTCTGTCTTCCTCTATCGACCTCAGGAGCCCCCATTTCTCTTCCTGGGTCCACAGGGAAGGGCAGGAGATGGGTCTCTGCTATGATAGCTAGGAGGGTGACAGTGTGAGTACCTCTCAGGTAGTCTCCTACACCAGACCTCCACCCCCAAAGATTAAGGGCAGTTTCTCTCATTAACCTCTACCAAAGTCAGATAAATTCCTTCGTTTTCCCTTGTCTTCTGTTGTCAGTGGTCCCTCCACGGTGATAGAGGATAGAGTCTGGCAGAAGGACAAATGCAAAGACAGGTAGGCGGCAATGGAGAAATGAAAGTGTAGTGGATGAACTGAGGACACAGGTCCCAATTTCTGTTTTTGTGAATTTTAGACACTTGAGTTTAAAATATTTCTCATACTCTACTGACTTTCCGGACGCAGGCCTCCTCCGCCCCACTTGTCGTCCGCCATTTCCCCAGCAAAGGCCGCCACACCCCTTTCCCTGCACTGAAATGGGAGTGGGTGTGGAGAAAGAAGGGGCCAGGAGAGGGCGACTCGGACCTGGCCCTCTCATATCCCAGCCCCCCTCCTCCGCCACCCCCACCCATGGTCCTGGGCTAATCCCACCTTCACACTGACCTGCAAGGTTCCAACCAAGGCAGTTTTCTCCTTCTCTCGCTGAAACTTGTGCCGAAACCTACAGGCCAACAGACCTACAAACCTGCAAACAGACAAGGGACCGAGGGGACGGAGTGCTTGGTGGACGGACCAGCACCCGGGACACTAGAACCTTTCTTTTCTCGGAGTCTCTGGAAACGCCATTCACTCCCCTCACCCCCACCCGAAACCCGCCACTTCTCTCTACTAAAATGAGCACGGGGTGGGGTGGGGGTGGGTAGCAGTATTTAGAAAGTAGGCGAGAAAGGGACCCAGCTGTGATCGGCCTGAACTCGGATCTGTGGCGTTCTTGGCCCTCTTCCACCCATACCTCCTCTCAAGCAGCGCCCACCCTCGCACCGACCTGCACGGTCCGAGCTAGTTTCCTTCTTTCTTCACACGCCTGCAGAGTAATAGGGGGCTGGTACCCAGACGGAGGCGACTAGCAGGACTTGTGCTCTAGGCGGCTCTTGGTCACGTGACGGCCACGTCACCAGTGCGCTCTGGCCCCCAATTTCCACTCCCACAAGCAGTGCGGCAGGCGCCAGCCTGCCTTGTATCTCCCCCTCAACCCCCACAGTGGGCCCTGTCACTTTTTTCCTCTGTAACAATACCAGAAACCAGAAGTGGCCCTGTCTTTCTGGTGTTTGAATTTATGTTTCTCTAATTCCAGGAAGGGGCAGCATCTTTAGGAAGGGGCAGCATCTTTTCCTGAGTCTACCCTTCATTTACACTTCTTGGGGAATTGTCTCATCCTTTCCTTGGCTCTGAAACTTCTGCAGCCCCTTTCTTAAATTTCTACACTTTTCCGTGTTCAGTCTCTACACCAACATTGGGTGAGGGGGCAGAAACGGAAGTCCAGGCAGTGGTGAGATTTTAATTAGTATTTTGATAACATTTAAGTTATATTTTGTCCTTTCTTTTTTATTGACTTGAACTACACTATTTTGTAATCGGAAAAAAACAATAAAGCTTTTCCCACTTGGAGAAGAAATAATTCAAATCTTTTTTTTTTTTTACAGATATATATATATATAACATAAGCAAGATTTCCCAGTTAATAGGAGGCCTCATTGATTTGATGAAGTTAGTTTGTATCAAGTTGAACATATTTTCTTCGGACTGCACAGGAAATAGCAGCTTTCAAACAACATATTAAAATGTAAAAACACACCCTTAGAAACAAAACCAGTTGTGCTTTCAACATGATTTATAAATTGATGGATAAATGAATCTATACCGAGAAGGTCAGTGTTCTAATTTTGACCATTTTAAGTAAGTGAACTATTGTCCCTTTCTTTCTCCTGGCTGAACTCATAGTATTAGGTGTCAGATGACTGAGATCTTCATAGAAGATTGCTGGGTGACTTTCACTCTGGCTTCAAAGGACAGATTTTATGCAGACCCCAACTTCAGATGAATCTTACATCTTCAGATGAACTTTACAGATTAGTGACTCCACAGATTAGCCTGCCTTTCATTCACAGGGCTTTATTTACAATCTATTCTGAAGTTTGTGGTGCAACCTATAAATCTTCCAGAAATTAGAGAATTTCCTGTTATCCTATTGATGAAAATGAGACTTGATAGAGGTAATTTTCTTTCCATCATGACACTGTTGGCGATCTCTCTGTTGTCTGCCATTCATGTATTTTATGCTACCCTAGCAGTGGTGAGTGTTCAGCATTTTCCAGTGGAGATGGTGGTGAGGGTCTGTGGGTGACTGGGAATCAGTGCAACACCCCTGATGTCTGTGTCATTTTTTCCCCTCACAAGTGGAAGGGCAATGCACAGGATCTCAAGCAGTTGCCAGAAAAAAAGAGGACTTTTCATTTCCTGCCTTCTATTACAACTTCATTGAGCCACCAGTACAAGCCCCTCAGAATAATCCCAAAACTCAGGGACCAAGTATGCAGAAGTTAGTCCTCATGCATCCACCTGTCCCTGCTGAGGAGTCATACTCTAAATATAGACACTCCAGGCAACCTCTTAGAACATTGAAATATGACACCCCAGAGGGAGGGGCTCCCCAGTGAGGGGCTCCTGTGTGGAGGAGGCCCTTTCAGGAGGCAAGCCAGGGAGTCCTAGTGCCTTGCTGGTGAATATTCAGAAGTCAATATGTCACAACTTTCTGGTCTTCCCCTTTTATAGTCCAAACTCACCAATATCACATCTTATCTCTCTAAATCTTTACCTCATTTTTTTTTCATGACCCTTTATTAACTTCCCCTAGACAAGTGAATTATACTTATGAAGGCTTACTAACAGAACTCTCAGATTCAACAGTCCATCATTCAGTGTTTGGCTGCTAGGTAGTTGTATAAGTGGCTTTTGTTTGTTTTGAATATATACATTAGAAAAAACTAAGGAGTATGTAAAGCTTAATAAAGACAGATGACTTGGTGTCACAGACATGGCTTTACAATAAGAACTCACTTTCACAACACTTAGCCAGGCTTCAAGGACAAAAACTTTACTCCTACCTCTCCTCAGTAGTATAAAATATCTCCACCCTTTTGGTATATTCTCCAGTTAGTCCGATGTATAACTTCTCACTACCATTCTCCCAGTATGCCAGACCTTTCCTGGTTTGAATCCACTCCCTGTCTAAAACTTCCTAAAACCCCATGGTTATAAAAACCCTTTCAATTCTCTTACCTCTTTGTTCTTCTGATCCACGATTCTATCAATTCCTACCTGGAGACTAGCATTAAAAAAAAAACTACTTTGCTCTCCATTATACATCTACCAAGAAATATTTAATTAAGGACATGTTATAAGGCTCACATACCTTTCAAAAGTGAGAAAGGAAAATGCTTAAAGAAGTCCTCAGACACTACTGTTAAAAGTTTCTGAGTCCGCAAAAAACTACTGTGAAACCACTGCCAAAACAAAACTTTTGGCTTAAATCAGTTCACATGTGATATGTAACTTACAAAGCACCCAGAAACAAAAAACGACCAGCAAATGGTGACACTAATGGAATTGTGGAGGGTGAAAAAAATAAATTATAGAAGGTTGTTATCTTGAAAAGTTATATTACTTTTTGTATTGTGTAATTTTGGTATTGTGTCTTACTTAAGGTTGTTTGGTTGCAAGCAACAGAGAACAAGCCTGGTTAACTTAAGGAGGAAATGTTGAAGACAAGGCTCATCTCCGAGGGGTTTAGGTAGAAGGAATTGATAGACGTCTTTTCAGGATGTCATAAGTCCACCGGTTTTCAGGTTTTTATCTCTCTAATGAAGATTGAAATTTTAGTAAGGCAGCTTTTGGTTGTTCTGTTTTGAGCACAATACCCACCCTTTTGCTGAGGAAAACAATAGGGTCAGTAAAATGTAAAATGCACTTCCTTTCTTTTCCCAGGGAGAAATTTAAACTGTTTCAGATGTTGTTGTTGATTTGCAGGAGCCCTTTTATCACTTTGGAAATTAACCTTTTGTTTATCTATAACGGTAGTGCTGGGGGCATAATATGCCACAGAGTATCTTAGTTGTAATTTCCACCATTAACTAAACATTAGAAAGGTATGGTTATGAAATGGTGATGCACAAGGTTGTCCTTTGAGCCAAGGCCATCTGGCTTCTCCCACAGGATTCCCCCAAGGTTGCGTCTACAGTTCAGGGTCTCTTCCTCAGTATTGCATGACCAAATCCTGATTTTGTTTGTATGCTGAGAAGAATTGCCTCTGGATGCCTCAAGGAAAGACTCCCATTCATAGAGACTTATATATAAACAGATCTGAATGCTCAAACCTAGGGATCTCTGCATTCTCTCCCCATAAGTAGACCACAAGGGAAGCTGTTTCAACAGGAGTGACAACTGAATAATTTGCCCTCAGAAATACAATTGTCAGGGGGTACTGGAGGTTTCCGTCAGTCTTACCTGCCTATTCTTTCCCTGTAGACAAGCTACTACTTGGGAAACCACAACCTTAGAAGGTTGTTTGGTGAGCCTGCAATCAGAGCAAGGGTATTTGTTCATTTTAAGAAGGGGGTTTCAGCTGAGGACGCATGAAGTACTATTACACATCATGGGCATGACTCTGCCAGAGAAAGTGAAATGTTCCATTCTCCTTAGCCAACACTTTTTCTCCTCCAGGCAGTGCTTGGGTGGGAAATACCAACACTTTCTTCTGACTGTCCTTTTCATATATTCCTATGCTTGAATAAGCCCCTTTGCTACACATGATCTTTCTCTAAACACAGGATCATATAGTTGATTTGGTTTCTGTTTACTAAATAAATTTCAATCACATTCTAGTACTGCCTCCCAGAAGTTACACAGATATGAATTTTCCTGGGGGTTTGCCTGTTCTCAACTTCCTCAGTCTCTTGATTTACTCCCATATTGTCTGTGTATTTTAAAAGTTATACTCAAATAATAACCTTTTATTCAAACTATTAGTGAATATCTCACTGAAGACCCTATGTTCTGAAAAGCTATATTACTTTTTGTATTGTTACCTGTTTTTGTGTTGTGCTTTAGTTAAGGTGGTTTGGTTGCAAGCAACTGAAATCAAATCTGGTTAACTTAAATAATGAGGGGATGTAATTATTTTATTCCTTTTCCTACTTTAAAAAAGGTAAATCATTGATGATGGGTGAATTATTCAGTTTATCAAACCAGTAAGTAAAATAGTTTCATACTAATTGCTAGGTCCCAGTTTCAGCCAATTTTGTCTTGGTCTGTGTTCCTCTAATACTTATTTCATTTATAGATGATATTCTCTATTTTGCCCAAGCATATTTTGTAATGTTCTTTTTATGCACACTCATTTTTTCAGTGTGCATGCTTTATCTCACAGATACCTACTGTGCACTTATGTTTTCTCCTCAGTTTTTTTTTTTTCTGCGTTCTGGCTTTTGTGGGTTTAATGCCTCCTCCTTGCTAATGGGTGCAGGTGAAAGTCTGTAGCTCTTCTATTCAGAAGACTGGTCTAGTCAGAAGACTTACGTATTGCCAGACACACTGATTAGCTCACTCAGGGCTGTGCTGTGTGCTAGGCCCCAGAAGACATTAAGATTGCTTTGAGTGAAGTGTGTAACACTCTCCACCAAGTGAGAAAATGTGGGACTTTTGGAGGCCATCACCCAACATCATTCTTCAGCCTCCACTCATTTTTTTCTAAAATGGAAATAGCTTTATAGTATTTTTTTTTCTCATAAAAAGAATGCAGGCTGGGGGTGGGGGAGGACGGAACAAAAATAACAAAGTATTAAGAAAGTAAAAACCACACTCTCATTCCAGATTTTCTTTTCTGATCGCTTGTTCCTTTCAGATCTGGGACTAGATTTCAGAGGAAATGGTAGACTTTCATAGCTCGGGGGAGGGGAGGTGGAGGGAGAGGCTGCTGTCCCAGGAGCCTAGGGAAGGAAGAGGCAATTTTTCATAAAAGTACAAGTGGCCCATAGCCCCAGGGGAAGATGCCGTCCCTTTCTGGTAATCGGTGGAAGGGAAACACAACTACAAGGTGATGAGATTATCGAAGAAGAAAGAGTAATAAGGCCTGGTGTGGGGGAGGGAAAGGAGGGGGGCGGGCCCTCTTCTGCCGCACTGCTGGTGGGAGGGGAAATTGGGGACCCGAGTTGGTGGATGACGTAGCCCTCACGTGACCAAGAGCTGACGTGTGCAGAAGTCCTTCTTGTCCTGGTCGTTGTTCCCGTCTGAGTACCAGCTCCCCACTGCCCTGAGGGCGGGCCGGCCTGCGGCGGAGGGAAAAAGGAAGAGGAGAAGGAAATTGTCCCGAATCCCTGCAGGTCAGTACCTGGAAGATTCCATAAAGTCGGGGTGCTTGAGGGCGTAGGGCCGAGACCGTCGCGGGTACTGAGGCGCCTCCGTCGTCTCTCCCACTCGCCGCCCGCTTTCCAAGACATATGTCCCGCTTGCAGCCCATTTCGATGCTGCGAAACGGTGAGCTGCGGGGTGTTTGGGGAAGAGCTCAGAGACTGGGAAATGGGAATCTGCTGGGAGCCTAGGGCCGCAATCCGGAAAGGGAGCTGTGGCCTGGGTGTTGGCCCCTAGTCCACCAGGACAGTGCCGGAGGGGAATGGCTGGATATGGGGGCGGGGGTGGTGAGATGCAACGCGATATGTCAGCAGAACCCCAAGAGAGGTAATAGGGGTGGGAAACCTCTGACAACCAGGCCTCCGAATTAGAAAAGAGTTTTGTGTTCTGGGGACTAGTCCGTCCACCAAGCGCTCAGTGGCGGCAGTTTCCCGTCTTTCTGCCTGTGGCTGTGTCTTACTGACCATGGCTCTGTGTCTAGTGGGTCCAAGCCTCTCCCGGGTGGCCAGTCTTTCTGTAGGTTGCGGCACAACGCCAGGCAAAAGAAGAGGAAGGAATTTAATCCTAATCGGTGGAGGTCGATTTGAGGGTAAGACCATCTGGGGACCCTAGGAGGGACGGGGGTGGCGGCGGGGGTGGGGAGAAGGCAGAGAAGGTAATAATCTAGGTACATGTCTGAGTCCGAATGTGTTTCTTGCACTCCCCGGACTGTGGCGAAATGGCGTGCTTTGTGTGTCTGTGGTTGGGGGGAAGTGGGGGAAATGACAGCAGGGAAACCTATCGGATAGTTTGTTCGTAATCCTCCTCTCTCAACAGCACTTACTCTCCATGTTTTCGATCTGTCATCCTGCAGGTCTGCTGTAGCAGGTGGCTCCGCTTGAAGCGAGGGAGGAAGTTTCCTCCGATCAGTAGAGGTCGGTGTGGGCGTGGGGGCTGCCTGGAATGGGGGAGGGGTTAGAAATCGCCGGCACTTTGGACAGGCTCTTCCAATCCTGCTTTATTTTCCTTACCTCCCTCCCATTTCAGGCTAGGGAGGGGGCAGACCTGTGCATGTCTGGGATAGCATAAAGAGGTTAAAAACAAACCTGATAACCGGAATGGTGAATCAGGAAAGCAACGAATCAACAGTCAACCCATCAAGTGCTCCATTCTCACTGGCTCTGGTCTCTCTGCAGATTGGAAAGATTGTTGGGAGTGGCACACCACTAGGGAAAAGAAGAAGGGGCGAACTGCTTGTCTTGAGGAGGTTAGTGCAAGGGTTCTAGTCAGGTCCCTAGGGACATCTGAGGTTGTGGTGACTGAGACCCCAGCAGAGTCTGTGGATTCCATTGACATTATCTAGGCTTTGGGCGGGGTGACCTGGGATGGGGAGGGAAAGGCTGAAATGAGAGGCATAGAGATTTCGTCAACAATCTACATTTCCTACCTAGCATTCAATTATTATTATCTTGTCCCTCTGTGCAGCTCCCTGCATGGGGCAACACAAGCAGAAGAGAAACTCAAACCCAATTTTCTTCTTCCACTCCTAGGTCAACCCCCAGAATCAGCTCTTGTGGCCTTGAAGTGGCTGAAGACGATCACCCTCCACAGGCTTGAGCCCAGTCCCACAGCCTTCCTCCCCCAGCCTGAGTGACTACTCTATTCCTTGGTCCCTGCTATTGTCGGGGACGATTGCATGGGCTACGCCAGGAAAGTAGGCTGGGTGACCGCAGGCCTGGTGATTGGGGCTGGCGCCTGCTATTGCATTTATAGACTGACTAGGGGAAGAAAACAGAACAAGGAAAAAATGGCTGAGGGTGGATCTGGGGATGTGGATGATGCTGGGGACTGTTCTGGGGCCAGGTATAATGACTGGTCTGATGATGATGATGACAGCAATGAGAGCAAGAGTATAGTATGGTACCCACCTTGGGCTCGGATTGGGACTGAAGCTGGAACCAGAGCTAGGGCCAGGGCAAGGGCCAGGGCTACCCGGGCACGTCGGGCTGTCCAGAAACGGGCTTCCCCCAATTCAGATGATACCGTTTTGTCCCCTCAAGAGCTACAAAAGGTTCTTTGCTTGGTTGAGATGTCTGAAAAGCCTTATATTCTTGAAGCAGCTTTAATTGCTCTGGGTAACAATGCTGCTTATGCATTTAACAGAGATATTATTCGTGATCTGGGTGGTCTCCCAATTGTCGCAAAGATTCTCAATACTCGGGATCCCATAGTTAAGGAAAAGGCTTTAATTGTCCTGAATAACTTGAGTGTGAATGCTGAAAATCAGCGCAGGCTTAAAGTATACATGAATCAAGTGTGTGATGACACAATCACTTCTCGCTTGAACTCATCTGTGCAGCTTGCTGGACTGAGATTGCTTACAAATATGACTGTTACTAATGAGTATCAGCACATGCTTGCTAATTCCATTTCTGACTTTTTTCGTTTATTTTCAGCGGGAAATGAAGAAACCAAACTTCAGGTTCTGAAACTCCTTTTGAATTTGGCTGAAAATCCAGCCATGACTAGGGAACTGCTCAGGGCCCAAGTACCATCTTCACTGGGCTCCCTCTTTAATAAGAAGGAGAACAAAGAAGTTATTCTTAAACTTCTGGTCATATTTGAGAACATAAATGATAATTTCAAATGGGAAGAAAATGAACCTACTCAGAATCAATTCGGTGAAGGTTCACTTTTTTTCTTTTTAAAAGAATTTCAAGTGTGTGCTGATAAGGTTCTGGGAATAGAAAGTCACCATGATTTTTTGGTGAAAGTAAAAGTTGGAAAATTCATGGCCAAACTTGCTGAACATATGTTCCCAAAGAGCCAGGAATAACACCTTGATTTTGTAATTTAGAAGCAACACACATTGTAAACTATTCATTTTCTCCACCTTGTTTATATGGTAAAGGAATCCTTTCAGCTGCCAGTTTTGAATAATGAATATCATATTGTATCATCAATGCTGATATTTAACTGAGTTGGTCTTTAGGTTTAAGATGGATAAATGAATATCACTACTTGTTCTGAAAACATGTTTGTTGCTTTTTATCTCGCTGCCTAGATTGAAATATTTTGCTATTTCTTCTGCATAAGTGACAGTGAACCAATTCATCATGAGTAAGCTCCCTTCTGTCATTTTCATTGATTTAATTTGTGTATCATCAATAAAATTGTATGTTAATGCTGGAAAGAAAAAAAGAAGAAAGAAAGAAACCATCCCTGTCCTTCAGTTTATAATCTAGTTGGAGAGATAAGAAACGTACAAACCAAAAGATAACAGAATATCTGAAGCATGTACTCATTGTCAGATGTTCCCTCTGAGAGCACAGAGGAGGCAAAAGCTTCTGTGGGATGTGCTAGTCGGCTAAAGCTTCACAGAGGAGGTGGCAATTGAAAATGAGTCCTGAATGGGGTAGGGTGGTTAGGGAATTCCATGAGACAAGACAAGGGGGGCATGGTGTGAGAAAGGCATGGAAGTAGGAACCCTCTTCCTATGACAGGAGATCATTCTGCTTAGAGTGGAGAGTGTGGAGAGTGGGAGTAGATAATTTTGGAAAGCTGGGTGAAGCCAGTTGTGGAGAATTGTTTGAATATTATCCCATTGAATACCCAGAGCCACTAAATCTTTTTTTACTAGAAAATAATTGGGGTCCATATGAAAGTCTCTATTACTGAGTAGTGTCAATGAGGGTGTGGCAAAATGGAGCCTTTCACATCCTAGTGGTGGCCATTTGGTAATACAGATATAAGCCTTAAACTATGTAAACCCTTGTCCTAAGGAAGTAATTGAATAATTGCCCAAAGATTGTATGTATGAGGCTGTTCATCCCAGCACTGTCTAAGCTAGTAAAAATTGGAAACAATTTAAGTATCTAGCACATTGGATTGGTTATAAAGCAAGGAATGTTCACACAGTAGGATATTATAAGTATGCTGATGGAAATCTATATTGCCAGGAAAAGCTATTCATTATGCGTTGTGAAGTCAGAAAGTAAAAAAGGGTAGATAGAAGTATTCGAAGTATAGTTCCATTTTTTGAGACTAATAAAACATATGTTTAAAAGGACACTAAAAACTGGAGTTATAGATATCCAGATAGAAACAGTAGTTATCTTTGGGTAGAAGAATAATGAGTGATCTTTACTTTTTTACTTTTTATTCATCTTTGTGTTTTTATTTATCTAAAATGGGTATTGATTTTTAGGACGGTTTTGAAAAAGAAAAGTGTTGGGAATGAAGCAAGTGATTGATTGGAAAACATACTGAATGGAAGAAATATTTAGATTAAAAATGAGGTAGGTTGAAGTTTCTTCTCTGAAATGATAGATAAATGGTGAAGATAAGGCTTATTGTGAGGATTCAGTGAGGTAATATATGCAAAGTACTTACAATGTTCTGGCACATAGTAATTAATTAAGAAAATCGAGCACCCTTAATTACCTAGAATGCAGGGTTGTTAGTTTTTTGGTTGACTTTTGTTTTGCTGGGGCATTCTGCCATGTTTTAGTGTCATTTAATAAATAATAGTAACAATAAAGGTTAACATTTATTAAGTGACTACTGTGTAAAGTTCTATCATTCCTGCAAGGCAACTGTTAAAATAATTTCTCACAGGAGTAGAGTTTTCTTTCTTTCCTAAAAATCCAAAGTGTTTCCTCAGACATGATCACACCAGCCTCCACAATATATTTCTAGTTGTTTGGGGGATGTTATCCTGCTTTATATATGAGGCCAGGAAAGGGTAAAATCCTCTATTCACTTACCTGGTTTTATACCCAGGTTTCCCTGTATGTACTGTAATGGGGTGATGGAAAAGTGAACTAACATTTTTTCTTGTTCCTATTGTTAGGTGAGAGAGAGAGATTTGTGGGGAGATGGAGTGGGGAGGATTAATTCCTTTAAAATAAATTCAGTTTGATGTACCTGCGTGACACTCAGATGGGGATATCCTATTGTCATTTGAATGATTGATCTGGTGCTCAGAGGAGATGAACAGGCTGCAAATAAGGATTTGAGAGCCATTGGAGGATGGATGATAATGGAGCACATGGAAGCAGATGTGGCCCTTCAGAGAGAAGGTGCAGAGTCAGAGTGAAGGGTTGCAAAAGAACTGTAAGGGACTATGGGCAGCTGGGGAGAGAAGCACAGAATTGAAACAATGTATACCCTTCCAGACACTTTTACTATTCATATACTTATATATTCTTTACATAAAATTGGATCATACTATTGAAAAATTTTCAGTGCCTGATTTAAAACTTTTTTCCTCAAAAAAAGAATAATATTCATTGGAGATATAATACTTGAAAAAATAGAGTTGATGAGTACAAACTTGTGCCTTGACCCAGATATGTAGCTTGAACATCTAACAAAAATCCAGATCAAGCCATGTTGAACTTGAGATGCGGAGCGACTTTTACACCTGGGGTGAAAATGAGGCTAACTCGAGTAGTAAAAATCCCCAGTGAGGCAGGTATAGGCCTGACTAGCACCCATCTGCTCCTTTCCCCATTCCTTTGTTCCTTCTCATTCTTCTTTCCACTTCCTTCCTCCTACTTTTCTTTATTTTATCCTTCTGGGAGATCATTGGTGGTAGCCTCTCTGGGCTTCTCTGACCCTTCAATTCCCATGACGCCATGCCATGTATCAGTGGGCATTTAATACAGAATAATAACTGTCATTGCTCTGGTCATAAGTTGACCCTGGGTGTGACTGGATGCCAAGAATTTTTGGAACCTTTGTTGGACAAAAAGAGACTGAGAAGGAACTAGTCTTAACTTGTCACGGCCACATGTGCACTGCATGAATTTTTGATGTCCTGTACCCGGTCTTATTTAGACTGAATAACCCGGAGTCTGGGAAAGGTGTATGAGATAGATGTGTGACTGCTTGGTCCAGGCAGCCAGGTCACAGGTTGATGTCCCAATGTTTTCACATAGGAGGTTGTCACTCTCAATCCTTTTGGAAGGGGCAGAGTTCTAGGATTGTAGCTGATTATGGCAGCCCATTGGCACATGGAGGAGGCAGTGTCTTCTCTTTAGAGAGGATGGCAGCTTCTGGGAAACCAAGGAAACCAGAAACTCAGAGGATGTCCTGCTATTTTGGTTTTGTTCTCATCTAACAGTTTTAGGAATATAAGTGGATCTATCCCAGTGCAAACATGTTCAAAGGCGATTTTACAAAAGTGGAGTGTTGTTCTGTTGTAAATTGTCAGCCAATATACATAATATTTCAAGGCTCAGGAAATGGATTTTCTTTTTTGAAAAATTCACATTTTACCTGTCTTTTTTCAAAAGAGATTCCAAGTGTAGGCTTAGCAAATTGATGTGGTTCAGGCAAATTTTATGTTTATGGCTCTCTTTCATTAATTTCTTTGCTAAGTTCCCTTGAGAATGGCCTTTTAGATAATGATTCATACTATTTTCAATGCTAGCTTTTTACATTTATTTTGCATCGCATCCCAGGCTGAAGATTTTTTTCCGGTTTTTCTGTTTAAACCATGGCTCTTTCTTGCTTTTAAGCCAGAGCCGTGTCACCACCATCCTGGGGTCCCTTATCTGCCCTGCCCCGAGGGTATGGTATTAGCAGGATAAGTAATATTTACTTATCTGAGTGGCATAGCTCAGTGCTTGACCCTCTCCACTGGGGCCCTCTCAGGTATTGTGCTAAGGGCTTGGGCAATGTATGCTTTAGGGGATAGATGGGAGAGGAGGGAGAGGGGAGAAGGGAGTGAAGGAAGCCTTATCAGAGAGGTAACTTTATTCTGACAGGGTGCCCTCAAAGTAGGAGAACTTGGTGGATCCATCTCCACTGTGAGGATAAAGTTATTGCTGAAATCCAATTCTTGTATTCAAGAGATGCAGCACATTTCTCCCTGGACACAATTATAAATTTTGTCTGCCCAGATGCTCCTTTAGCAGAGGTAGAGCATCGGTGGGTGGTAGTTTTATGACTATTAACATATATGATCAAATTGGCTATCAAAAAGAGTTTAAGAGAAATATACTTTTTTTTAGCAGTGTGATTAATTTTTTAAATTATATTTTTAAAAAAATGACGAATAATAAAAAGTATGTATTTATGGAGTACAGTATCATGTTATGATACATGAATACATTGTGGAATGATTAAAACAGGCCTATTAACATACAACACCTAACATACTAATCTTTTGTGGTGGGAACACTTAAAATCTACTTTTTAAGCAATTTTGGAATATACAATATGTTATTATTAAGTATAGTCCCCATGCAATGAAATAGGCTACTAGAACTTAATCCATTTGTCTAACTGAAACTTTGTGCCCTTTAAGAAACATCTCTCCTTTCCTTGTGCCTCCCCTTACCCCCATCCCGTGGTAACTACCATTCTACTCTACTTCTATGAATTCGACTTTTTAAGATTCCACATATAAGTGAGATCATGCATTATTTGTCTTTTTGTGCCTGACTTATTTCACCTAGTACAATGTTTTCTAGATTAACATGTTATTGCAAATGTTGCAACTGACAAATTTTCCTTCTTTTTTTTTTTTAAGAGACATAAGACATAAGAGTCTCATTACGTTGCCCATGCTGGTATCGAACTCCTGGGCTCAAGAGATCCTCCCACCCCAGCCTCTGAATTAGCTAGGACTACAGGCCAGTGCCAGTACACCCGGCTGGCTAGAATTTTCTTCTTTTTAAAGGCTGCATTGTTTCCATTGTATTTCCATTTGCATGTGCCACATTTTCTTTATCCATCCAATGATGGACACTTAGGTTGATTCCACATCTTGGCTATTGTGAATAATGCTGCAATGAACATGGGAGTGAAGATATCTCTTTGATACACTGATTTCAATTCCTTTGAATATATATGCAGAAGTGGGATTGCTGGATAATATGGTAATTAAAATTTTAGTTTTTTGAGGGGCCTCCATACTCTTTTCCAAAATGGCTGTACTAATTTACATTCCCACCAACAATGTTCAAGGATTTCATATTCTTGACATTCTTACCAAAATTGTCACAGTTTGTAAAAGGTAGTCTAATAAGTGGCCTAAGTGAATGTGACAACACTTCATTGAAAGCAATCTTAGGTTTTTCCAACTATAGTCAATAATAACTTAATTGTACATTCTAAAATAACTCAAAGAGTGTAATTGGATTGCTTGTAACTTAAAGGATAAATGCTTGAGGGGATGGATGCCTCATTCTCCATGATGTGCTTATTTCACATTGCATGCCTGTATCAAAACATTACATTTATCCCATAATATACACACTTACTATGTACCCCCAAAAAATAAACATTAAAATTAAGTTTTCAAAAAAAAAAAAACCTTAATGTTGTCCTAGGACACATGACAGTGAGTAATCTAATCAGTGTACTTGAGAGTTTGAAAGTCTACTGGCTATTCCAGTCTTCCAACAAGACAGTTATTATATATTATCATGTGTGCTTGGAACCAAAGATAAGAAACTGATCTTTTTGAAGCATAGAATGAATTGTCAGATATAGAGGGTTTAGGCACTATGAGTTAAGACATTTTGGTGGACACTTACAAGATAAAGTAATATGCTTATCAAACATGGTGAAATAGTTTAAATTTATAAAATAAACTTGGGTACAAATGGAAAAAATAGTAAATCATATAATAGTGTAATAAAAAATAAAATAAGTGTCAGAGGGACATTGAGACTGATACAATTGGTTGAACTAGCAATTGATGCAATCATTCTATGCACTAGTTTGATGAGTTTGATAGATAGATGATAGTCATTTACGAGTGATACATGTTCTTTTAATCAAAAGAAATAAAAGAATAATGTTGACACATGGGCTCTATAGTGTAATACTCTAAAAACTTGCTAGAATAGAGAAAAGCTGTTGATTTAAAAAATATTTCTTATGTTCCACCACCTTTTCTAATTTGCTGATTGACTTTCTAATTTTTAAATAGTCCCTTGTTTTTTAGAAGAATACAATCATTATCAGTTGTAAATATAAATTAATTTTATCTTTTCCCAATTTTACACTATTTCTTATCTTATTGCAATAGTTATAATCTCAAAAAACACTTGAATAAGAATGGAAATTGTGAGTAACAGTGACTCGTTTCTGGTTTTAGTGGGAATTACTTTGGCATTTCATGGTCTGAATGAGGATTGCTGTTGATTGTTGGTAAAAAGTGCTTTTAATATTTAAGTCATCCCCTTCTATTTCTATTAGTGTCTGTTAGGATTAGCTGCTGATTTTTTCCCTAGTGGCTTTTCAACATCTATTAACAGAATCATGCACTTTTTCTCCTTTAATTTTTTTTTTTTTTTTGAGACAGAGCTTCGCTTTTGTCACCCAGGATGGAGTACAATGGTGCGATCCCAGCTCACGGCAACCTCCACCTCTCGGGTTCAAGCAATTCTCTTGCCTCAGCCTCCCAAGTAGCTGGGATTACAGGCATGCACCACCACGCCCAGCTAATTTTGTATTTTTAGTAGAGATGGGGTTTCTCCATGTTGGTCAGGCTGGCCTTGAACTCCTGACCTCAGGTGATCCACTCACCTCGGCCTTCCCAAATATTTTATGTAATTAATTATATTGATAGAATTCCTGGGGGAAAAAAGACACTATCTGTCTCAAAACGCACATAGAAAAAAAACTTTTTTAGAAAAGAGAATTCAGCCTGTAGTCCCAGCTATCTGGGAAGCCGAGGTGGGAGGATCACCTGAGCCTGAGAGGTCGAGGCTACAGTGAGCCGTGATTGTGCCATTGAACTCTAGCTTGGGTGACAGAGTGAGACCTGTCTCAAAAACAAAAACAAAACAAAACAAAAAACAAAAAAGAATTTGGTGTTTGACTATTTATTTTTGCCTTTGTGGATCTATCCCTATCAGGTAATAGTACAGTTTTTTTCTTGCTATACTTCTGAGATCTGTTTGTCTACATATTTTAGAGTTTGTTAATATTTTATTTTTTTTATGTTTATCATTGATAACTGCTTATAGTTACCTTTTTATGTACTATCTTTAACAGATTTTGGTCTCAGCTTTGCTAGCTTTATAAAATCATTAGTGAACTTTCCATTTTTTCCTGTTTTCTGGTAGAGTTTAGATAACATTGGTATTATCTTTTCCTTAAAGGTTAGTTAGAACCCAACTGCAAAACTTTTGGTTTGTTTTACAATGGTAAATCTACAAACACATTTCCGATCTCATCTGTAGTAATTGTTCTAGTCAAATTTTCTATTTCTTGAGTTAATGTTGGTAACTTCTATTCTATTAGGAAATTATATGTTATCTTTAGATTTTCAATTTTGATGTCATATGTTTGTGTGTAAAATTATAATAATAATAATTATAATATAATAATAAATTACTCATGTGATTTATAATAATCACATCTATTTGTGTGGTTCAACCCTTTAATCATAATTTGTATGCTTTTGCTTTCCCTGTGTTTTCTTAGTCATACTCATGATGTTTATGTATTTTATTGGTGATTTAAAAAAAACCAACTTTTTATCACTTTTTAAATTACACTTTAAGTTCTGGGTTACATGTGCAGAATCTGCAGTTTTGTTTCATAGGTATACACGTGCCATGGTGGTTTGCTGCACCCATCAACCTGTCACCTACATTAGGTATTTCTCCTGATGTTATCCCTCCCCTAGCCACCCACCCACTAACAGGACCCGGTGTGATGTTCCCTTCCCTGTGTCCATGTGTTCTCATTGTTCAAAAATATATGGAATGCTTCACGAATTTGCGTGTCATCCTTGCGCGGGGGCCATGCTAATCTTCTCTGTATCGTTACAATTTTAGTATATGTGCTGCCGAAGCGAGCACTATTTATCACTTTTACAATTGGCTTTTTTGGTCATTATCTTAAACTTTAATTTTACTAATTTCTTCTACTGCCTTTGGATTATTTCTCTCGTGCTTTTGAATTTCTTCAAGAAGAGTGTGTATTTCTTTTATTTATGGTTTTATTGAATAATAATGGTAATTATGACTATGGGTTTTTCTCTGGGTATATCTTCAGCCATGCCACAGTACAGTTTGATATGATGTGTTCTCTTTTTCTTTGCTTTCCATATAACTTGCAATTTTATTTTTAATTTTCTTTTTGACGTAGGGGTTATTTTGGAGAATATTGCTATATTATCAGGCAATTACTATGATCATTTTTATTATTAATTTCTAATTTTATTTTGTTAAGAGGATATGCCTATATATTCTCTCCTTTTTGGAATTTATTAATGTATTTTTATGTTTTTGAGGACATGATCGATTTGTTAAAAGTTTTATACATGTAAGAAAAAAGATGCACATTCTCTCCTTATATCATGCAAATTTCTTTCTATTGAGTTAATATCATTGGTTGATTATTTAGATCCTCTATGTCTTTGATTATCTTTTCATCTAATGGGTTGGTCAAATTCCGATAGAGGTGTATTAAAGTTCTCCTTGTAATTCTAACAGTTTTTGCTTTATCTGTTTAGTTGCAATGCTGTTTGGTACATACAAAAGTATTACTTATAATTTCTTTAGTTGTGCCATTTTTATTCATACAAATAATGATTTAAATTGTGTTTTAGAGCTTCCTTTGGCTTATATTAATATTTTCAACCATGTTTTCTTTTTGCTTGCTTATGCCTGATATCTCCTCACTCACTGATCTGTTTCAACATTTCTTTGTTGCTATGCTGTAGGTGTGTTTCTTGTAAAGAACATATAGTTGGATTTTTAATTCACTATCATGGTCTGTGCCCTTTTACCTTTAGTGCAACAGTTAATACCCTTGATTTTATTCTCTTCATTTTGTTTTATGTTCCTATTATTTTTACTATTAATTTTATTTTGTCGAGCCCCCATTTCCTTTCTCTAATTTATTTTTTTTAGTTTATTCAAACTTCTATTCTTACACATTCATTATATTGTGAATTTGGAAAATTTACTATGCTTTTCTACACACTTCATTCCATGAATGCTAGCACTCAAAATCAAACAATGTTTCTCTACTGTTGAATCCAAATGAGATAATTATACCACCCACTGAGGCACCTTATTTTCCCACTGCCCCCAACTCCAAAAATAGGAAACCTTTAGAAACATTTATACAAAGTCCAAGTAGCATTCAATACATAGTGGTTAAATTTGTGATCTCAGAATGACAGTGGCTGAGTTAGAAGCTATTTATTTAAAAGCTGTATTTTCTTGGGTGAGTTTTAAATCACTGTCTATATAAATTTCTTTATGTGAAAATGAAGTTAAGAATTGGATTATCTCATAAGGTTGCTGAGCTGATATGTAAAGATATGTAAAGTGCTTAGAGCAGCACCTGACAAGTACTAAGTGCTCAATAAATGCTACCTGTGATAATTTAGACATGGATTGTATTCTCTCTGAATCTTTGCATGCTTGAATATATCCTACTTCACCTTGACTTGTAATGATTACCTAGGTTGGGCACACAGTTTTGGAGTTACTACTCTTTCCTTTTAGTAGTGTGTGGAGATTATTTCCTTGTTTTCTTACCTCCAGGATGGCAAGTAAAAATAATTTACCTGTCGGATATTTTCCCTTTTTATGTAACTTCTTTTTTATAATATTCTCTGTGATTGGAATTTATGAATTTTATAATGATACTTCTAGGCATTTGAACTTTTAAAAACTAATGGTGTCTGGAACTTGGGGTATCTTTTTATTGTTCAACCTCAAGATTTTCTTTAGATTAGAGAAATTTTTCTTCACAATTTCTTTACCTATCACTTTTCCATCTGTTTCTCTTCCTCGTCCTAGAAATTCATTAATGTATTGGGCCTTTTGGATCCGTCCTCCAAGATTTATCTTTTCCTTCATCATTTTCATTTATTGTTTAAATTTTCACCTGATCACCTTGGCTGCTTATTCAATTTTCAACAGTGACATTATCTCTTTCATTTAGTGTGAGTTTTTAAATTTGAAAATCATGTTTCTCAATTCCAGAAATTATTTTTCCTGTTTTAATTTTATTTCTTCCAGTGTTGTTATTGCTTTTTGCTAAATATGATATTTGACTCTTTCTATAGTTCTATTTCAGTCAGAAATAATATAAATTTTGAAATGCACAGACAATGGATATGAATTGTCACCTATGGAAATACTACGAGGGACTGGAGAAATTTGGAGAATGGAAAACTCCAAGGAAGGTCTTTTGGGGGATAGGCAAAACTGGGATTGATTGAAATCAATTTTGTGATTCTGTATTTCTTCACTGTATCAACATTTTGCTTCACATACTGTTTCTTAGACATACCTAGAGAGGCCTACCTAAGTGATGGATTAAAGATTTTAAGAAAGTATCTTTAGACTGTAATGCATAATTTACTTACTCTCTCAATCTGTCTTCCCCATCCCTTCCAAGTCTCTGATGTTTCTTTTTTCTTTTCTTTCTTTTTATTTTTTGAGATGAAGTTTCTCTCTTGTTGCCCAGGCTGGAGTGCAATGGCGTGATCTCAGCTCACTGCAACCTCCGCCTCCTAGGTTCAACCGATTCTCCTGCCTCAGCTTCCCAAGTAGCTGGGATTACAGGGGCCCGCCACTACGCCCAGCTAATTTTTGTATTTTTAGTAGAGATGGGGGTTTCACCATGTTGGCCAGGCTGGTCTCGAACTCCTGACCTCAGGTGATCCACCCACCTTGGCCTCCCAAAGTGCTGAGTTTACAGATGTGAGCCACCACGCCCATCCGTCTCTGATATTTCACATTAGCACATTGCTCCAGCTACTGTTATTGTATGTTGATTACCTTAGCTGTGGCTTTAAAATAACTATCCTCAGAATTTAGTGTCAGGAGAAAGCAGGACGATTAAGCTGGGTAGAGATTGTGGCTTGACTAACAGCTGATACCATTTCTCAATGGGATCATTTTGTATATGTCCCCAAGAGAAACCTCTGAATAGTCAGAAGGAAGAAAATGTGCAATGATTTACGAAGGAATGGGATGACAGATACAGAAAACTGTTAAACATTGTCACGTACCCTCTGACTGAAATCCTGGAAAGAGAGTGCTATATCCTCCTTTCCTTGAAGACAGTTTCTTACTTTTTCTTAAAAAAAGATTTACCATTTCACTAGAGATTGTAAATATTTACACATGTGCATATATGACAGAATAGTATGTTTTATAAACTTATGTTCTTCTGTTTCCCACAATATTTCTTACTTTTCCATTTTCCCATTCCTTGTTTCAGGAAAGGTTTATGGAAGGGCTTTTCGATTTCCCAAAGCCTAAACACATGAAAATATAGTGTTAGGTATAGTTGGTGCTCTTCCCTAAGATGTATCAAGCTATGGCTTTACTTCTATTTATGCTGCTTAAGGATTCATGTCTAGCATCAGTTGTTGAAAAATTCACGCCACTATCTCTTCAAATATTGTCCCTTCCTCATTCTCTCTAGACTCTCTTTATGGACTTCGTTCTAGGTATATTTTGAAACTTTCCCTTTTTCTGCCATGTCTTCTAGCTTCTCATATTTTGTACTGTTTTATCTTTGTGTGCTGCATTCTGGGTGATTTATTGAGATCTATATTTGAATGTCCTAATTTTCTCCTTGCCTTTGTCTCTGCTAAGGCTATAAAAGTTTCACCAGTTCCAGATTAATTTTTATATTAGTGTATGTCCCTTGAATTCTCTCACATGTACAGATTATGAATTCGGCCTATGAATGGAGCTGGCCTGGATTTTGATTGCTCCCAGGGGGCTCTGTATCCACCCATGACCTCACATAAAAGATGAGCTTTCTTCTCATGTATCTTTGCTGTGGGATAAAGTTTTCTAGTTATCATTTCATGTACTGGTTGTGTTTCTGTGGGGCCTAGATTTAGATTGGAGCTCAGTACCAGCTTCCCATCTTCCACTGCCTAGAGGCATTGTTTTCTGTCCCTATGTGGGATTAAATCCTGGTCTCTAGATCTTAAAGCCGATAGCCGTCTGTCTTTATCTCCCGCTCCTTGCTAGCTCCTTCTTTGTTTCTTGGAGATTTCCATTTCATGATGATGAACTTGACTATTTACTGTTTTTAGCATTCTATCACATCTGTGAGTTTCGAGTGGGAAGGGGGAAGCTTTCCAACTCACTTCAGTCTGCTGTTGACTGGAAGTTCGCTGGACAGTTTTGTTGGATTAAATTGTGTAGGTGACATGTCATACCTGTTAAGAGATACCTGAAGCATTGCTGCTTTACATTGCTTCCAGACATATAGTATAGAGTCTAACGAAGTTTTCTGTATCTCAGCATAGCAAAGGCAGGGAAGCAACACAGAAAGTCTTGATCATTCAAGGTCGACACAAGCAAAATAGAGAGCTACAATATTTGAAGAGGTCCTGAGGAAGGAATGAAAATGGTGAATTATGTAGAGCAGTATTACTAGAATCATGTGGACCTCCTCCAACAACTCTAAGGTGCTTTGTAAGCATCTTTGATCTTAGACACACCACGGAAAATGCAGCAGATCCTAAATTGATTCCATTTCAGCACAACAATGGGATGAGAAGACAAAATATAAATTATGAGTATTGCTATAGAAAATAAAAGCTGGATGTTTTATACACTTGGGTTTGTGGACTGTGATTTATTCCAATTACACATATGTGTTAGCTATGGCATTCTGCAGGATGTATGATTACCAGACATTTATATTATCCTCTTTGCCTAGTAATTATACTTTTCCTTATTTCCTCTCAAATTTTACTTCCTTAGGGAAGTTTTCTTTGTTCCCTTTTTAGCCCCTCAGAGTATGTCTTGATCTGCAGCAATATACTCATATACATACCTGTGTTCCATTCCTTCTTTGTATTTATGTGGAATTATAATTATCCATACACTCATGTGATTATTTGATTAATGTATATACCCCACTAATCTGTGAGCTTCATGAATACAAAGACCTAGTCTGTTTTTCCTACCATTGTATTCTCAATGCCTTGCATAGGTGCTCAATAGAGACTTATTAAGTGAATGAATGAATACAATACATTTCTGCGTTGTTTGACATTTTTACAATGACTATATTAGTTTTACTATTAAAAAATGAAAATCATCCTATTTAGAACAAATATAAACATAGACCTTCTGGGCCAGTGGTTTTTAATATATTTAGGGTTATACTTCCCATTAAAAACATGTTAATAATTATAGCTTATAGCCGCTCACCTGGAAAACTTATATGCACCTTCCCCTCACTCCCAATACACAACCTTGTATACAATTTCCAGGAGTTTATAGACTTATCCAGTTGAGAACACCTGGTCTAGGTTAATCAGTATGGTCAGTAGGTGAGAGTTTCTTGGACACTGTCCTTAGCCTGGCTGAAGGGCCACTAGGGAGGAAGGTGACTGAAAGGCAGCAAAGCTAGGTTCCCTAGATTCCCTGGAGATGCAGATTTTGGGCATGAAAGGCCCACCAGACTGCACTGCTCATGATAGGTGGGAGGCAGCAGATAGGGTCCAGGGAGGCTTCCACTCAGACACTGTGAATAAGGGCAGAGAGCAGGGAGATGGCTAGGGACACTCCCCCAGCAATCACTTCTCCAGGCCTCATGGACACCCTCAGCTGCAAGGGTCTAGAAGGCATGAGTTCTGGTTTCCAGTGGCAGGAACAGTGCTCCCTTCTCTGCTGGGGCTGGGTTACCCCTGTGGAAATTTAGGAGAGGGAGGAGGGAAGGATCCAAAAGCATTTACTCAGGTCACCACCTTGGTCATCTGTCCAGGTATATTTTTGGAGTGAGCAAGAGTCAGGTGCCCATATGCAGGAAATGAGACGTTCTGAAATATGAGAGGGGATGGGGGCAGCACCTTCCCCCTATCTTGACTGGGCAGAAAGGATAGGACCATCTCTGCATTCCTCATACCTTGCAGCATCAATCTCACAGCTCTTCCCTTTGCTCAGAGTTAAATTTCATTGTTTAGAAGGATTCAGTCTAATCCTTCTAAATACCTTATCAAAAACCTTACCAATCACCTTATCAAATACCTTAGCATGTTTATAAACTCTTCTTGTGCAGAAAAGCAATACATTCATAAAACGTAATTGTGCTAAGGCACTTCCTCCCTCTTAAATTGGACTTTTTTTTTTTTTTTTTTTTTTTTTTTTTTTTTTTTTAGACTGAGTCTCCCTCACTCTTACCCAGGCTAGAGTACAGTGGTGCCATTTTGGCTCACTGCAAACTCCACCTCCTAGGTTCAAGCGATTCTCCTGCCTCAGCCTAATGAGTAGCTGGGATTACAGGTGTGCACTGCTATCCCCGGATAATTTTTGTATATTTACTAGAGACAGGGTTTCGCCATGTGGGCCAGGCTGCTCTCGAACTCCTGGCCTCAAGTGATCCACCTGCCTTGGCCTTCCAAAGTGCTGGGATTACAGGTGTGAGTTACCGCACCTGGCCAGAAATATTTTTTATGATAGATTTTTCCCAGATTAATTCCTCATTAATTTTTCAGTGACCATAACTTCATTTTTTTTCTGATTGTAAAAATGATTGCATACTGACGCTTTTTTTTTTTTGATGGAGTCTCTCGCTCTGTCACCTAGGCTGGAGTGAATTGGCACGATCTAGGCTTACGGCAACCTCCGCCTCCAGGGTTCAAGCGATTCTCCTGCCTCAGCCTCCTGAGTAGCTGGGACTACAGGCGTGTGCCACCCCGCCCAGCTAATTTTTATATTTTTAGTAGAGGTGGAGTTTCACCATGCTAGCCAGGCTGGTCTTGAACTCCTGACTTCAGGTGATCTGCCCGCCTTGGCCTCCCAAAGTGTTGAGACTACAGGCATGAGCCACCGCGCCTGGCCACTGATGCTTATTTTTTAAGGCGGTAATAGTACATGAGGAAGTGAAAATATGAGGAAGTACAAATCTCATGTTCATTCCCTGCCTCTGTTACTGACATGCTGTCCATTTTCTAATTCTAATCCCTGCCTGCCTCTCCGCCCTCACGTTTTGGGGGATGGACACAGTTGCAGGGGAAATGGAAGACATTACTGATCGTGGACATCGAGGGTGGAGAGAGAAACTTGGGCATCAAACTAGCCCTGAGAACTGTACCAATGAGGTTGAAAACATTTGTAAACCATTGCCTAGTAAAAGCAGTCACTGAGATCAGCGTTTTGGATGATTAATATCTCTTAAAAACATTTTATAATTCCCTCAACAAAGCTCTTGCAAACTGTGGTAGAGGCTGTTAGTGCTCTCCAATATCCATGTTTTCTGCCCACTCCTTGGAATCCAGCTAGATTGGTCAATAGTGGCCTAGCTATAGTGGTCAACGTCCCCTATGATTGGGTGCAACCATGAGACTGAGTTCTGGCCAATGGATTGTGGCAGGAGTGATGTGTTCCAGATTTTGCCTCATGAAACTTCCTCATGCTTGACTTGTGCTCTCTCTTTTCCTATCTACCCGCTGAATGGAGATAACTTTGAGTACCTAGAGAAGGATGGAGCTACAAGATGGAATGAGCCTGGGACCCTGAATGGCCACGTGTAGCAGAGCCTCTCTGCTGACCTGGAACATTAACCTCAGACTCTTTTGGTAATGAAAATATATTTTTTAAGTCATACAATTTTTGAGTTTTTCATTACAGCAGTTTAGACTTTTATACTACTACAACATTAATGGATTTCTGTCCTTCCTTTTTTTTTGGACCTTAGGTGATGAGGATTATACTAACCATATTCTTCCCTTCGTAGCATACCATCTGCATTGGTCTAATCAAAACCCATTTTCTTTCCTTTATTAATTCATTTACTACTTTATTTGTTTCCTTTCTTCTCTATTCTTTACTTCCATCTCCTCCCCAAAGGCAACCTTCTAATTTATTTGATGTGTATGTTTGTTTGAGTTATTTTAAAACTTACATTACTTTGTATGCATGGATTTAGATAGTAGTATGGTGCTGTGGATCTTATTCTGGCTTTTTTCCCCACTCAGTAATATTTTTTTAAAGATCCATCTATGTCACTCTGTGTACATGGTCTGTAGTTTCACACTGTTGCATAATGTACCATGGTATTCATCCACTCCAATTTACTTCCTCATTTTCCAGGAAATAAAATCTATACTGCTTCCAACTTTCTGTTACCTCATACATTGTGATGAACGTCCTCATGCATGTCCCCTTATGGACCTACATGAAAAGTGTTCTGGAATATATATAAAATGAATGGAATTGTTGAGTCATAGGGCATATGTATAATTCATTTATGTATGTCAGATTGCTCTTTGGAATAGCAGCTCCAGTCTAAACTCTAATCAGCTGTGTGCATTAGAATTCCTCTATCTTTGTACCCTCACTAACAATCGGCAGGTCCCAGCTTTAAAATTTTTGCCAGCCAAATAGGTATAAACGGATTTATAACTGAATTTTAATTAGCAATTAACTGGTTAATAATGAGTTTGAACATCTCTTCATTTATTTCTGAGCATTTTGGTTTTCATCTCCTCTGGGTATATTTGTCATGTTTTGTCAGTTTATTTTATTTTACTTTATTTTACTTTTTGAGATAGGGTCTCACTCTGTCACCCAGGCTGGAGTGCAGTGGCACAAACATGGCTCACTGCAGTCTTGACCTCCTGGGCTCAAGCGATTCTTCTGCCTAGCTGCTCCAAGTAGCTGGAACCAGAGGCATGCACCATCACATTCAGCTAATTTTTTAAAATAGGTTTTTTTTTTTTTTTTTTTTTTTTTGTAGAAACAAGATCTTGCCATGTTGCCTAAGCTGGTCTTCAACTCCTGGCCTCAAGCTATCCTTCTGCCTTGGCCTCCCAAAGCACTGGCATTACAGGCAGGAGCCACCTCATCCGTCCGTCCTCTTTTGTCACTTTAAGGCAGTGTATTCCTGTCTTTTTCTTTTGGATTTGCAGGAGTACTTTGTATATGCTAGCTATTAATCCTTTGTTAAAGGTATTGTAAATAACTTTTCTCTGTCATCTATTAACTTTGTTTATGGTGTCTCTCATTGAATAGAAATTCTTATTTTTTATGTAATCAAATCTATTAATCTTTTGTGTCTTATGGCATCTACTTCTGAGGTTTTGTTTAAGAAATTGTTATCTAATTCTAGGCCACAAAGATTTTTTCCTATATCATCATCTATTAACTTCATAATTTTAGCTTTCAAATTTATTTTATTCTCTGTAGTCTAGATTTATACATGGTGCTAAGGAGGGTTCCAGCTTTATTTTTCTTCAAATAGTGAACTAGTCTTTCCAATAACATGTATTATACCGTCCATCCTTTCTCCATTGATTTGTGCTGCCTATTTTTTCTGTATCTACTTAAGTCTGTCTCTAAACGTTTCCATTTATGTATTTATCTCTTCCATATTACTTTTGTTACTATGATACGGCAGGGAGAGCTGGTACTCACCAAATGATTTTTGTACTTACTTTCCTAGCTTGCCTTGCAGTTAGATTGAGGTCATATGACTATCTGGACTACACACTACAAGCAAAGTAATGTTTATTATTTCTGGGTCAAGGTTATTTAAAACTGGTGTAAAAGGCTGTGTGTTTAGATGGAGGAACCACAAGATGGAAGAAGCCTTAGGTTCCTGAGTAACTGCATGGAAGACTGGAGAGCTGCCTAATCATTAAATTTTACGTAAATAGGAAATAAACCTTTGTTTACTTCACTGAGGTTTTGAGGTTCATTTGTTACTTCAGTATAGCATATTGTTACCCTGACTGACACATACAGTGTATCTTACTATCCAGTAGGGTAAGTCTCCACTCTATCCTTTGTTTCCAAATTGATGTAGCTCTTGTTGGGTCTTTATATTTCCATATAGTGTTAGAATGTATCAATTAAGCTTTGATAGATTTTTTAAAATGTTAAGCCAGCTCTGCGTTACCATTCTGATCATGACTTTTTAAAATACATTGCTGGATTCTACTTGCTGGTATTTTGTTTAAGATTTTCACATTTATATTTTGAGACTTGTTTGAAATTTCATTTTTTATACTGATCTTGTCAGTTTTAATATAAAAGATATTTGGCTCATAAAATGCATTGAACAACATTACTTATTTCTAGGCTATAGAAGAGCTTGTATAAGATTGGACTTTATCTGTTACATCTGGGTCTATTTTTCTGAGGAGAGGGGCAGGGAACTTTTAAACTACTGATTTAATTGTTTTCCGTGGTTATAGGACCCTTTGGATTCTCTGTTTCTTTCTGAGCCAATTTTGGCAAGTCTTATTTTTCAAATAATGTATCCATTTCATCCACATTTTCGAATTCATTGTCATAAAGTTAATTATGGTATTCTCTTATCTGTTAAAATCACTGCATATTCATTATTGTGTCCTCTTGTTTACTGCTAATATTGTTTATTTTCACCTTTTTTCTTGATTGGTCTCATCAAAGGCTTGCTTTTTAAATTATATCTTTTGAGGACCAATTTTTCAATTTTTAAAATTCTATCAAATGTATTTTTTCTATTTCATCTATTTCTGCTCTTGTCTTTTTCATTTTATTATCTTACATTTATTCTATCAGTCTATTTCTAACTTTTGATTTGGATGCTTAGCTCATTAATGCTTACCTTTTTTTTCCAGTCTAACATAAGATTTTTAAAACAGCTTTATGAGATATAATTCACATTCTAAACAATTCACCTATTTAAAGTGTAAAATTCAATCTTTTGTTGTATGCTTGCAGAGTTGTGCAACCATCACCACAATGAATTGTAGAATATTTTCATCACTCCAAACAGAAACCCTGCACCTATGAGTTGTCACTCTTCAACTTGCCTCTGCCACTCCTTTCAACTATTACTTTACTTTCTGTCTCTATAGATTTCCCTGTTGTAAACATTTCATATAACATTAAAAACTTAAGACCATAAATTTCCTTTGAAATAATGTTTTTATTGAGAACACAGGGACACGGGGAAACAACATACACCAGGGGCTGTTCGATGGTGGGAGGTGAGGGGAGGGATCGTAGAGGACGGGTCAATAGGTGCAGCAAACCACGGTGGCACACATGTACCTATGTAACAAGCCTGCACGTTCTGCACATGTATCCCATTCTTTTTCTTTTAGAAGAAATAAAGAAAAAGAAAGCAAAAAAAAAGCAATACTGTTTTTACTGAATCCTACAAATGTTGATATTTAGTGTTTTTGTTATTATTCAGTTTTCAGTGTTTTAAAATTTCTATTATGCTTCCTTTTTTAACCCATAAACTACAAAAAAGTTTTTTTTTTTTTAATTTCCAAACATGATCGTAGGTGGTGGCTCACACCCGTAATCCCAGCACTTTGGGAGGCCACCCGCCTTGGCCTCCCAAAGTGCTGGCATTACAGGCTGAGCCACTGTGCTCAGCCTCTTTATATATTTTGAGGTTATTTTATTAAATACTCACAAATTTATAATTTTTTGGCGAATATAACTTTTTATCATCGCTTAAAAACTTTTATTGTGAAATAATTATATATTTACCTGTAATTGCAAGGATAATACAGACAGGCAGGAGGATCACATGAGGTTAGGAGTTGGAGACCAGCCTGGGCAACATAGAGAAACCTGTCTCTACCAAAAATACAAAAATTAGCCATGGAATGTGGCATGCACCTGTAGTCCCAGCTACTTGCGAGGCTCAGGCGGTATGATCCATTGAGCCCGGGAGGCGGAGGTTGCAGTGAGCCATGATCGTGCCACTGCACTCCAGCCCGAGCGACAGAGTGAGAACCCATCTCAAAATAATAAATAAATAAATAAAATAAAAATGTCAACAAGGAGGAGCTGGTACCATTCCTTCTGAAACTATTCCAATCAATAGAAAAAGAGGCAATTCTCCCTAACTCATTTTATGAGGCCTGCATTATCCTGATACCAAAGCCTGGCAGAGACACAACAAAAAAAGAGCATTTCAGACCAATATCCCTGATGAACATTGATGCAAAAATCCTCAATAAAACTGGCAAACCGAATCCAGCAACACATCAAAAAGCTTATCCACCATGATCAAGTGGGCTTCATCCCTGGGATGCAAGGCTGCTTCAACATATGCAAATCAATAAACGTAATCCAGCATATAAACAGAACCAAAGACAAAAACCACATGATTATCTCAATAGCTGCAGAAAAGGCCTTTGACAAAATTCAACAACCCTTCATGCTAAAAACTCTCAGTAAATTAGGTATTGATGGGACATATCTCAAACTAATAAGAGCTATCTATGACAAACCCGCAGCCAATATCATACTGAGTGGGCAAAAACTGGAAGCATTCCCTTTGAAAACTGGCACAAGACAGGGATGCCCTCTCTCACCTCTCCTATTCAACATAGTGTTGGAAGTTCTGGCCAGGGCAATCAGGCAGGAGAAGGAAATAAAGGGTATTCAATTAGGAAAAGAGGAAGTCAAATTGTCCCTGTTCGCAGATGACATGATTGTATACCTAGAAAACCCCATCGTCTCAGCCCAAAATCTCCTTAAGCTGATAAGCAACTTCAGCAAAATCTCAGGATACAAAATCAATGTGCAAAAATCACAAGCATTCTTATACACCAATAACAGACAAACAGAGAGCCAAATCATGAGTGAACTCCCACTTACAATTGCTTCAAAGAGAATAAAATACCTAGGAATCCAACTTACAAGGGATGTGAAGGACCTCTTCAAGGAGAACTACAAACCACTGCTCAATGAAATAAAAGAGGATACAAACAAATGGAAGAACATTCCATGCTCCTGGGTAGGAAGAATCAATATTGTGAAAATGGCCATACTGCCCAAGGTAATTTACAGATTCAATGCCATCCCCATCAAGCTACCAATGACTTTCTTCATAGAATTGGAAAAAACTACTTTAAAGTTCATATGGAACCAAAAAAGAGCCCACATTGCCAAGTCAATCCTAAGCCAAAAGAACGAAGCTGGAGGCATCACACTACCTGACTTCAAACTATACTACAAGGCTACAGTAACCAAAACAGCATGGTACTGGTACCAAAACAGAGATATAGATCAATGGAACAGAACAGAGCCTTCAGAAATAATGCCACATATCTACAACTATCTGATCTTTGACAAACCTGACAAAAACAAGAAATGGGGAAAGGATTCCCTATTTAATAAATGGTGCTGGGAAAACTGGCTAGCCATATGTAGAAAGCTGAAACTGGATCCCTTCCTTACACCTTATACAAAAATTAATTCAAGATGGATTAAAGACTTAAATGTTAGACCTAAAACCATAAAAACCCTAGAAGAAAACCTAGGCAATACCATTTAGGACGTAGGCATGGGCAAGGGCTTCATGTCTAAAACACCAAAAGCAATGGCAACAAAAGCCAAAATTGACAAATGGGATCCAATTAAACTAAAGAGCTTCTGCACAGCAAAAGAAACTACTATAAGAGTGAACAGGCAACCTACAGAATGGGAGAACATTTTTGCAATCTACTCATCTGACAGAGGGCTAATATCCAGAATCTACAAAGAACTCAAAGAAATTTACAAGAAAAAAACAAACAACCCCATCAACAAGTGGGTGAAGGATATGAACAGACACTTCTCAAAAGAAGACATTTATGCAGCCAACAGACACATGAAAAAATGCTCATCATCACTGGTCATCAGAGAAATGCAAATCAAGACCACAATGAAATACCATCTCACACCAGTTAGAATGGTGATCATTAAAAAGTCAGGAAACAACAGGTGCTGGAGAGGATGTGGAGAAATAGGAACACTTTTACACTGTTGGTGGGACTGTAAACTAGTTCAACCATTGTGGAAGTCAGTGTGGTGATTCCTCAGGGATCTAGAACTAGAAATACCATTTGACCCAGCCATCCCATTACTGGGTATATACCCAAAGGATTATAAATCATGCTGCTATAAAGACACATGCACACGTATGTTTATTGAGGCACTATTCACAATAGCAAAGACTTGGAACCAACCCAAATGTCCAACAATGATAGACTGGATTAAGAAAATGTGGCACATATACACCATGGAATACTATGCAGCCATAAAAAATGATGAGTTCATGTCCTTTGTAGGGACATGGATGAAATTGGAAATCATCATTCTCAGCAAACTATCGCAAGGACAAAAAACCAAACACCGCATGTTCTCACTCATAGGTGGGAATTGAAGAATGAGAACACTTGGACACAGGAAGGGGAACATCACACACCGGGGCCTGTTGTAGGGTTGGGGGAGTGGGGAGGGATAGCATTGGGAGATATACCTAATGTAAATGACGAGTTAATGGGTGCAACACACCAACATGGCACATGTATACATATGTAACTAACCTGCACATTGTGCACATGTATCCTAAAACTTAAAGTATAATAAAAAAAATTTCAAATACATGGTTTTTAAAACATATTACCTTGTTATGTATTTCTATCCTAATTGCATTTTGGTCAAATAAAGTGATTATTATGACACTGATTCTTGGAAATTTGTTGAGATATGTTTTATGGCCAAATTCATGATCATTATTATAAACAGTCCCTCTATGCTTGAGAAGAAAGTGTATTCTCCTATTATTTGGTTCAGGATTTTGTGTACATCCATTAAATCAGATTGTTGACCACATTGCTCAATATTCTATATCTTTACTATCAAGATATATTAATAGAATACTTTTTGTTCTCCTTATTCTTTAAATACTTTAGAGATGTTGTATTCTTCCGTGCGATTGTTGATTTGTTCATTTCTTTTTATAGTTCCATAACATTTTTCTTTATATATACATATATATGTTTTGAGATGGAATCTCGCTCTGTCATCCAGGCTAGAGTGCAATGGCGCCATCTCGGCTGACTGCTACCTCCACCTCACTGGTTCAAGCGATTCTTTTGCCTCAGCCTCCTGAGTAGCTGAGATTACAGGCATGCATCACCATGCCTGGCTAATTTTTTGTATTTTTAGTAGAGGCGGGGTTTCATCATGTTGGCCAGCCTGTTCTTGAATTCCTGTGACTTGAAGCGATCCACCCGCCTCGGCCTCCCAAAGTGCTGAGATTACAGGCTGAGCCACTGTGCCCAGCCTCTTTATATATTTTGGGGTTATTTTATTAAATACTCACAAATTTATAATTTTTTGGTGAATTTAACTTTTTATCATCATTTAGAAACCTTTATTGTGAAATAATTATATATTTACCTGTAATTGCAAGGATAATACAGAGAGGTCTTCTGTACCTTTCTTCACAGTTTCCCCCAATGGCTACATCTTATATGACTGTAGTACAATATTAAAATGAGGAACTTGATACTGATAGAAAATGCGTCATATAGTTCTATACCATTGTATTACACCACCACAATCAAGATACAGAACTATTCTATCCCCACAAAGATATCCTTTGTGGTACCCCTTTCTAGTGATACACAGTATCCACCCCACCACCCCTAACACCTGGAAACCATGAATCTGTTTTCTATTTCTGTAATTTTTTCATTTTAAGACTGTTATACAAGGAACTAAACTCAAGAGCAAAACCCCAAATAATTCCATTCAAGTGGGCAAAGGATGTCAACAGACATTTCCCTAAAGAAGACATACAAATGGCCAACAGGTGTATGAAAAAATGCTCTACATCAGTAATTATCAAATAAATGCAAATCAAAACCAGAATGAGATATCAACTCACTCCATTTAGGATGGCTACTATCAAAAAGACAAAAAATAACATGCTGGCAAGGATGTGGAGAAAAGGGGACACTTATACACTGTTAGTGGGAATATAAATTTGTACAGCCATTACAGAAAAGAGTACAGGGGGTTGTCAAAAACAGCAAAACTGGAACTATCATCCAATCTAGCAATCCCACCACTGGATAGTTATCCAAAGAAAAGAAAATCAGTATATCAATGGGATACTTGCACCCCCATGTTTATTGCAGCACTATGCACAATAACCAAGATTTAGAAGCAATCTAAGTGTCCATCAATGGATGAATGGATAAAGAAAATATGTTACATATACACAGTGTAATACTATTCAGCCATAAAAAGTATGAAATCCTGTCATTTGCAGCAACATGGATAGAACTGGAGGTCATTATGTTAAGTGAAATAAGCCAGGCACAAAAAAGGCAATTGCATGTTCTCACTCACATGAGGGAGCCAAAAAAAGTTCATCTAATGGAGGTAGACAGTAGAATGATAGTTACCTGAGGCTGGGAATGGGGCGAGGCGGGTAGCAGGGGATGAAGAGAGGTTGGTTAATGAGTACAAACATACAGTTAGATAGAAGAAATAAGTTATTGAGTTCGATAGCACAGCAGGGTGACTATAGTTAACAATAATTCAAAATAGCTAGAAGATTTGAAATGGTCCCAACGCAAAGAAATGACAAATGGTTAAGGTGGTGGATATCCTGAATATTCTGACTTGATCATTACACCTTGTAGGCACATATCAAAGCATCATACATACCCCACCAATACTACAATTATTATGTATCAATAACAAAGCAAAAAGAATGTTATAAAAATGGAATCATACAGTATGTGACTTTTTTGAGATTTGTTTTCTCACTCAGTATAATGCCCTTGAGATTAATCTAGATTGTTGTATGTATCAATAGTTCATTCATTTTTATTTCCAAATGGTATTCCATGTTATGGATGTAACACAGTGTGTTTAATCATTCGCCCATTCTTTAACAATGTTTTTCCTTTAAAATCTATTTAGTCTCATATTTATTTGGCTATGCCAGCCTCCTTTTGGTTAATGCTTACATGGTATAACTTTTCCTATCTTTTTGCTTTCAAAATTTCTGCATGCTTATTATTTAGCATGTAGATGGTTTTCAAAATCCAGTTATATATATTTAACAAGTAAATTTAGCCATTTTCACTTATTGTGGTTACTAATACATTTGAACTATGTGCTTTCTATTTGTCTTCCTTTTTTGAGGCTTCACTTTTCTCATTTCTCACCTCCTTTTGGATTAAAAATATTTTCTCAAAGTGCATTTTTTCCTTTATTGCTCTAGATATTATACACTCTATTTCTATAATTTTAGTGGTTGTTCTTGAAATGTTACCATTCATATCTAACTTAAGTCTAGAGCTAATCAATATATTATCCATATATTAACAATAGGTGAGAACTCTAACTGCAATTAATGTGGACTGATCTAAACTATGTCCCCTAGTCAGGCACACTCAAAATCTAATTCTCTGGTTTTAATATTGAATTATCAACCTCATATTTTAAAATATCAACCTTGTATTTTAAAATACAAATTTCAGTGGGGGCATATGAGACAAATTGTTTTTTTTTTTATATAAGCGAAGCATAGTGGGAAATATTTTCAAAAATCCCAGAGAGGCTCAGTATTTGCCAGATTACCTATCCTGGTTACCAGTGTTTCCAGTTTCACTAAGGAAACCTGGTAAGTTGGTGAATTCAACTAATATTACAGTTAAGTAATAGAAAAGGCCAATTCCTAAACTCATTCTTCAAGAGGTCTCTGACAGTCTTAACTGGAAAGGATTCTTGCAGTAGGATTCCTTGTTGTTTTAGCTTTCACATTAAATTCCATATTCAAGCCTACTCATTGTTTTCACTGGAAGTTGTTCAGTGTCCCTAGATACAAATACCTGATCCCACTCAATTCCTCTTCCCCGTGAAATGTTCTATAGGAGCAATTACCTTGTCACATAGAACTTTTGTCACAGGGAAAGCTCTCAATTAATTGTAGACTGTTTTCAACCCCAGATTGGGAAGGAAGTCTCATTTGCATTTTGCCCACCTCAACCCAAATATCCCATGATTTCTTGAGACTCTATTGCTTACTGCCCCATCTCTCATCTTACTCTTAGTATGAGGCCTTTTCCTTAAGCACAAAAAGATAATTTAAGGAAATATATTGTGATAGATCTTACAAGGGAAAAATTCAATAACCTGGCCTGATAAAGGGTGGAAACAAATGCAGCTCCAGGAACTCCAAGAGTAGGAGTTTGTATCAATTTATCATTGTGCTCTGCCACTAAAATGACAGCCTTGTATCCTCAGTCCTTGCATTTATTGGGCCACATTCTTAAAAAGAGAGAACATGAATGTTTCTTGACCTGACTGTTTACCCAGACTAACAAATTGAAGCAAGGAAAGCAGGACTATTCAGTGCAAACAGTTGTGAGAACTGTACCCCTTCATATAGGCCCTGGACACACAATATAAAAGGTAAATACTATAGTACAGAATACCTAAGGAATGTTTCAACAGTCACATTTCAGGAATAATAGAATACTATATAGCTGATGCTCAATTCCTGGTACCTATTGTTATTATTTTACGAAGTTAAATCTTTCAAAGAGCTACTCTTTTAGGATTTAGCCACACCTGAACTACGCTCGTACTTTCACATGTGATATGATTTAAGGCACAAAAATTCAGACCTTAGGAAATAAAGCATTTCCCTATTGTGTGATTTGTAGCTTATTCGTTAGGCCAGACCACACATCTCTGTATGGGAATAGGTTTCACCTGAAGATTATGGAAGTTTCCACTGTTAATCAGAGCAGATAAAGCTGGTTAGACTACCTGAATAGTGAGGATCAAGCCAGGAGGTTCTGATGCATCCATCTTCCATATACGAACTCAAATACTACCTCTATCTTACCCCAGAAATACTTTTCCAGGACTGACATATTTTCAGGTTATCCTTAGTAATGGTTCAAAAATTCTTGGGTCTAACCTCACTCAGGGTCATGTTGTTACCACAGCAATTGTATTATTTATTAAATAGCCATAGATTCGATGTCATATGGGTTACAATGATTACAGTAAAACTGAGTAAGAACATTAGGCCCTAGGGTCTTCTATCAATTTTCTCCTAGGAGAAAAAGAAAAAAGGCCATCACCTCCATTATTATCACCAGTGATCTCTTCAGAAAAATCTTCAAGAGAAGCTGTCAAGCTTGAATTTGTGGATACAAGTTTTACAAATTTCTAATTTTGCATAAAAGTTCAAATTTTATTGCTGGTGACAAATCCTGTCAGTTGTTTTTCTTGAAGTCTCACTTCATTCATTTTCAAGAAAATCTCTGCTAAATACCGAAGTCTGAAAAACCATAGTTTGTCTGCCAGTCATTCTTCAAGTAAAACTAATGTTCCATGAAAAAAGCAGCTAATTCAGTGCACAACTAAAATGATTATGCAAATATTTACCTTAGAGACAACCATTGTCCTAAGCTATGTGGCAGAAATGCTTTGTGCGTACTTCCTATTTCATCACACGGAATATTAAAAAGACTTGCACTCAATCATTGAGATTTTATCATATATAATTTTTATAAATAAGGACTATATTAAATACATTTTTAAATAAATTTGGATTTAAAAAAATTAGAGCGTGTGGTTCTAAAGAATGCAATCACTACTAGTATAGTATGGGGACACTGCCTTAATCCATGCTAAGGCACCAGCAGTTTTACCCACCAATGCTTTTGCACCATCAGTGCAAATGTCAACTCGGTGAAAACAGCAAATAACATGTTACTATTGTTTTGAAAATAGTTTTGACCTTACTGTTTCAGGGACCTGCAGTAGTCCATGGACTACACATTGAGAACCATTATCATACAATATGATTCCAATTTTATGAAAAAAATACGCAGGGATGTATATAATAAACATATGAAGGAATTTTCACCCAGTTTTAATTGTGTGGACTTTTTGACTGATGCGACAGGCCCTTACACGTAGTTAATGTCTTTTCATGCCAATATAGAAGTATATCAGTTTTTAAAAAATGTATTTTTAATAGACGAATAAGAATTGTATATATTTAGGGGTAAACATGATATTTTGATATATGTATACATTGTGGAATGGCTAAAACAAGCTAATTAACATATGCATTTGCCCCCATATAGTTATCTTTTGTGGTTAGAACACTTAACATCTACTCTTTCTGAAAATTTTAAGTATACAATATACTGTTGTTAACCATAAAGGGTGTCAGGAAAGCAGGCTGGGTTTGGAAAAATCTCTCGGACCCTCCCACTTTCTAATTGCTTCAGTGGGCCAGGGAGGAAAGCATACCTGTTCATAAGTGAACTTGGGAGTGGGGATGGGGACTCCCATCAAGGCCTCACCACTGCCCCTCTTCTAAAAGATGGCAGACCTAAACCTCTAACCCTAGGAAGCCAACCACTGCTCTGTGCCAAGAGTCATTCTTTCTGCCACACTGCTTTTTTCTCATCCCAAATGGTGACTCACTTTGTCATTGTGCCGTCTCCACAGTTGCCCCCCAAATAGGGCTCTTCCCTGTCAGGACCTGCATGAGGTTATACAATCCTCCAGCTTTGTTGATCCACAGACAAGCGTCAGGCAGCAGATCTTCGTCCTTCTTGTTTTGTTTTGTCTCTTATTATCATCATACACTAACAGTTCCCTTAGTCACCACCCCACTTCACCCCTCATCATCTCTTGCTTGGCTTATTATAACTTTCTAACAAATGTCCAGTCTCCAACATAGCTCCAATCCATCTTTAATATTGCCACCAGATTATTTTTCCTTTAGTCAAAAATGTTCAGCAATTTGCATAATATGACAAGATATTATTTCAATATTTTGGCTTGGGGTTCAGGATCTTCCTCAAACTTTCCTCACTCTGAATTTTCACATTTATCTCTCATCATTCCTCTTCCCATGGCTTCCATTCCAAGCAAATTGGCTACCTTCCTATCACAGGCACAGATTTCTCACTTGCATGCCTTTCTCCAAAGCATTTCCCCCTCCTGGAATGCCCTTCTATGTTGTCCTTCAGGGTTCAGCTTAAATGCGCCCTTCCTCCTTGAAGCTTTCTCAGCAACCTCTGCTTCATTTAAACAGATAGTGTATATTTGACAAAGAGCATATGCCCAGGTACTGTTAGTAATCCTTTTGTATTTATTTATTATTATTATTTTTCATAGATCTTTGTATATATACTTTTGTATTTATGTACCTTATCTCTCCATCTGGGTTTTAAATTCAAGCATTAGAACGACTTTTTGTCAGTTGAAACATACAACTTTATTGATGATACACAAATGAAGTCTTTGGTGGATAAATTCAAGTCAAAACAAATAATAGAACAGTAGGCCATTCATAATGGACAGGTTTACTGTCAATTCAGAAGAACCAGTAAAAATATTTCTATCCAAGCAGCACGATTAAAGTCACAAATATGTTTTCAGTACAAGAGGTCTATTTATTTGGTATTCATAAAATGGTTCAGCTTAAAGCTGGTGACTGTCACAGATAACATCACTCTGGATGATACATTATTCAACACTGGCAGCTGAAAGGATCCCTTTACTATATGAGCAAGTGGAAAAGCAGTAACTTTCAATTTTCAACGCTTCCACACTGCAAAATCATGAAATTTCTTCAAGTCTTTTGACGGTACATAACCAATCAGAATTTGTTCACTAGTTTTATAACTTTCACTTTCACTAAGAGGTCATGGTGATTTGCTAAGGCTCTAATTTTCTTAACACACACTCCAGATGTAGTGCATAAGTAAAAAAGGGAACCTTTATTGAATTCTCTATAGTTAAACACTTCTGCTCTGAGATTGTCATAGATAATCTCAAATAGAGTAAGGGCATTAATAAGGATTTCTGATTCCACGTAAGAATTATAGAGGGAACTAAATGATGCTGGCACTTGGGTACTGAGAAGTTTCTTCAACATATCTGGATTTTCAGCAAAATTCGAAAGGATTTTCAAAATCTCAACCTTGATTTTTCCACCTCCCTGAGATAGCAAACGGAAAAAGTTTGCAATGGAATTGACAAGCAGGTGTTGGTAGTCATTAGTAATAGTCATGTTTGTTAGAAATTTTAGTCCAACTACTTGAACTGCTGAGTTCAGGTTAGAGGCCATGATATCATCCATCACTTTATTCATGTACACCTGAAGCCGGCCCTGATTTTCATAATTCTCACTCAGGTTATTCATGGCCATTAAGGCTTTTTCCTTAATGTGTGGATCAGTTTTGTTGATCATGTTTGCAATAATTGGGAGGCCTCCCAATTTGCGGATTGTCTCTTGATTGCATGAATAATTGGCATTGTTGCTCAGAGTGAGCAAAGCTACCTGTTGGATGAAAGGATCATCAGATTTCTGAAGCAAGGCAAGGACCTTCCTGAGATCGCGGACACCCAGAATCTCATCAATTTCATAAGGAAAGGGGCGCTTCTGCATGGCAACGGGTCTTCTTCCCCTCCCTCTGCGCTGGGTCTCGGGCTCAGAGTCTGAATCTGACTCTGTGTCAGTCCACCCGGACTCCCCTTCCTCAGAATCAGGGACCTCTGCCAGGAAAGCCTGTCCGCCATTAGCAGAGGCTGCAGCAGCTGCTGCAGCCCCATCTCCAGGACGGAAGCCCATCCCCAGTTCGTCTACTTCAACTTTGCTTTTCTTGCCCTTGCCCTTGCCCCCATTCCGGGACCTGGTTACACCCTTGCCTCCACCTTTGGGTACCGCTCCAGTCGCTGATGTGGCTTTCGGTATAGCCCCAGTGTGAGCCCCAGGGGTTGCTTTCTTGGCAGCTGATGTTCCAGGAACCACCGCTGTTCTAGGGGAACCAGAAGTTCCAGGAGACTCTGCAGCCCCAGTAGGTGCTGCAGCCCCAGTAGGCGTTGCCGGCACAGGAGCCTCAGCTGCCTCGGTAGGCGATGCCACCCCGGGAGCTTCAGCTACCTTGGTAGGTGCTGCTACCCCAGGACCCTCGGTCACCTCAGTGGGTGCTGCCGCTTCGGTAGGCACCACTGTCCCAGGAGGCACCGCTGCCCTGGAAGTCTCCGCTTCTCTGGGAGCTTCTGCCACTTTGGGAGCCCCTGCCATTGCAGGGGCTTCTGCAGCCCCAAGGGCCTCTGTCACCCCGGGAGGTGGTGCTATTGCAGAAGCCATTGCAGCCCCAACTACTGATTCGGCCTTAGGCCCAACCCCGGCTCCATCTGCCTCTTGGGCCTGACTGCCTGCCCCACTCTGAGCCTCAGCGCTGGATGCAGCTGGGGCCACTGCCTCAGCTCCAACTGTGTCCAGAGCAGAGGCTTCATCCTGGGCCCTGTCCTCTGCTTCAGCACGGACTGGGGTTGGGGGACTGAATCCTGACCCAAGGTCGATTGTGAATCCGGCTCTTAGCCCAGCTCTAGCCCTGGCTCCAGTCCCAGCCACAGCCCGGTTTTTGGGCTTGGCCATTCTCTTCTTGGTCTGGTCTCTCCCCCTGGTGTATTTGTAGACACAGTACCAGGCACCAGCCCCTATCACTATCCCCGCCGCTACACAGCCAGCATCCCGAACGCGGCTCATGGTGCAGCTGGGGTTATTCACTGATCCAGGGCGTGGAACTGGATTGCTTAAGGTTAAGGGATGCCTGCTCGTCCGGGTGAGGCTCTTCAGTTTAGGCTTACAAGTTCTGCTGAGGCTTAGGCAGGGCCTAGGGGTAAAGGATAAAAATGAGGCTTAGGGCTCTGGCTCACTTCGTGTCTAACCAGTTCTACTTAGAGAAGAGTTTAGGGACACAATGCTTCGTTGGCGGGCTAGCACCCAGACACAGGTGTCAAGGCCTGTGTTTGCTGATTCACAGACCTAGTTTAACGTTTTCTACATCTTCAACCTTAGCCTGCTCTGCCAATGCCTACAACTTCCAGCATCTAAATGGAAGGACGAGAGGCAGTACAGACATGGGTAAAGCTGGTAGAGAGCTGGAAAAACAGTAGAGATCTCAGATTCTGCTATGATGCCCCACCCCCTACCCCCAAGGCCCCTACATGGTGCTCATGCACATACCAACCTGGGATCAAGAGCAGTTTGCTTTTTTCCACTGTAGCTGCAGTTGCACAGAGCCCAAAAGGAAGACAGACCTGAGGACAGATCAGAAAGGGCGTTTTTGAGCCATTGGTGGACGAATTCTGGTTCTTTTCCTGATTTGGGCCCCTGTGGGTCAAAGGTTTTCCCCCCTCAGGGATCCTCTTTTCCTCTTCAGCCTCTCCTCCCCCAAATATTAACTAAGGCAGATGCCACGCCCCTTTCTCTGCACCAAAAAGAAAGGGCCTGGGGCAAGGGTGTCTTTGAAATTAAAAGAGAGAAGATGCAGGAGGAGCCTCTGGTCCCATACTCTACTCTTGTCTCTGCCACACCCACACCAGGGGGCCCCAGACAATTCCAACCCCAGCACTGACCCTCCAAAGATTCAAGGCTGTTTCTCCTTACTTCAGTTCAGTTAGAGCTTCATCCTAAGGACAGACTGAAGAGCAGAAATATAGACTGTCGACGTTAGACAATGAAAGCCTGGTGGATGGATCAGCATCCAGGACAAGGGTCTCAGTAACTGCCTTTTCGTGTTTGCACATCAGAATGTCAAATGATTCTACCTCTCAATTCCTTCAACTCTTCTCACCCCACCCCTCCCACCTCAATCCTCCTCCTGCGCAGGCTCCCCAGGCACTCAATCCCTCCTTCCGCTTTGCCCCGCCCCCGTCCGCCATTTCTCCAGGACACACCGCCACACCCCTTCTCCTGCAACGAAGCGGGAGGGGAGCGGGGCGAGGGTGCAGCAAAAGCTGGATGGGACGCGGTATGGGGGACTCCTGCCAAACAATTCAGTGTTCCCCTCCCAGGATCACCCATCTTTCGCTCCCCAGCCCCTAGGCCTAGCGTTAGCCTGCAGAAGAGGGGCCTCAACGTCTGCCTTTTCGGGTTCAGGGTCGAGATTTTCCACGATTTCTCTGCTATGGGCTCTACCTCCCACTTCCCACAAATCCCCCCAACAACCGCCATTTCTCCCGCCTGCATACCCGAATTCCTTTTCCAGGACTGAAAAGACGGGGGGTGAACGGCTGTGTGGGCCGGAGGTGTCTGGAAAGCAGTCTGCGAGTTAACAAGGCGGTTTAATACCAGATTCTCTCAGGGTCCGCCCCCTCCCCCCCACCTCCCGTGAAGCCCAGACAGCGCCAAACCCGCCACCTCTCCAACAGCAGCTGGTACACCCATTTCCCAGCACTCCCAAATCACAGAGGGTCGGCTGGGGGATGGGAGGGTGCCGGGGCGGTGGTGGGGAAAGTCAGGGTGGGAGTGTGCCGCCCAGATTGTTACCAAATTGCATGCCCCACCCCCGCCTCCTGGTTACCCTTTCCCAACCTCCCTGCTGGCCTTCTATGCGCTGCCACGTTTATTTCTCTTCCCTCCTCCTCTCAAAACAGGACGGAATGTGGGGTGCGGGCCTGAATATTATAAACAAAACCAAAAAACACTGGCTGGAAAGGAAGTAAGCGGATTCTTCGTAAAGTCTATCAAAAGTCTTTTCGTTTCCCCCTCCCCCTTTCCCCACCGCCCACCAAAATGAGCCGCGTTTGAGCACCTCAGGTCTGGAAAGCCGGCCAGGAGTGGGGGAGACCGAGGCACCCGCGGCCTCCGACTCCCGCATCCCTAGATTACCCCTATTCAGGGGTCCCAGACTGTGCCCACCCTCACACCCACCTGCCCGAATCTGGGGGAATTTTCTCCTCCTCCTCCTCGCCTGGGTTAAACGCACGGCAGCGAGCTGCGCAATAGAGTTGGTACCCAGAGGAGGACGGAGAACGACGGTCAGGGCTTTAAGTACCTTTGCCCACGTCAGCTCCTGGTCACGTGAGGGCTGCATCGCCAGTAAGCTTGGGTCCCCAATTTCCACTCCCACCAAGAGTACGAGCCCCCTCCTTTACTTCCATTCCCATCTCACCCCACCACATCAGGTCCTGTCACTCATTTTTTTGTCTTTGTAGTCCTGGAGGCCTAAAGTAGCCCCTTCTCCCTGCTTTCACAATTTGCCTTTCTCTGGTTACCTGGGAGGGGCTGCATCTTCTCGGAGGGCTACTGAAAATTTTTACTTTTTTGTTGGGGAATTGTTTCATCCTTTCCTGGGCTACTGGACACTCTTCCATCTCTCCACCTCTAGTTCCTCAGCCCCTAGTCCCCAGGATTTTCCTTGCAGTTGACTCCCTGTTCCAGTATAGTTAAGGGGCAGAGTGTCAGAAAGGAGACAAGGAGTGGGAGTGGGGTCTGTACTTCTCAAATACTTCTGTTTTGTTTTCAAAACTATCATCATGCTTTATTTTTATAGTAAGAAAATTCAGTAAAACAAGAATTCAATGTGGGAAGTAGCAACAAAAAAAGGGTGGGCATGTTTTGTAAAGAAAAAAGGTTTCCTGCGTCCATTGGAAAGCACCATTAATTTTGGTTAATTTTTACCGAATAGAACATGAATTCTTTTGGTCACATAGGAAATAGTTTTTAAAATATGCTAAGGTATTTGAACATCTAAAATGGAATATTTCTCAATAAGATAAGCATATTTCCATGTGATCTGTAAATTGATCCACAGAGAGATGTTCAGTTCTTCAATCTTGTTTATTTTGGACAAATAATACGCTACTTTTTTCTCCTTCTGGGACAGCTTTTAAGTTGCATAAATAAATGATCCTGTCTTGTCCTGTTAGAGAAACACATTTATTTAATATTCCCAAACCATTGCTGACTGCTGTGTGTGAACCTCCTGTAATTTGATGGCTGTAACCATGACAGTTTTAAACACCTGTCTTCGGATTAGGTTCCAGTTAATGATTCAACTCTGGGCAAAAGGAAGAGCTGTGAGGCCAAGGAAACTGAGTGTGGTGGGTGCAGAGTGGTCAAATCCTCCCTGCCCTGTCAGGAGGAGGAGGGAGATGCTGTCTCTCTACTCCCTCCCATATGCCAGAGCCGCTCATCTCCTGCATTCAGGTACCTGGCTCAGTTGCTCACACCCAAAATATATCCAGACAAGTGACCAAGATGCAGACCTGGTTAAATGTCTTTGGCTCTTTCCGTCCCTCCCCCAAGTTCCCAGAGGAAACCCATTGATGCATAGAAAGGATTGCTGTTCTTACCTGACCCTGCAGCTGACGATTTGTGAAACCTGTGATTTCACAAAAAGGTTTTTGTGATCACACAAAAAGTGATTGTTGGGGGAAGTTCCCAGGCCTGACTGCTGTCTGTCCTTATTCGTGGTTACCAGTGAACCTTGCTCCAAACACTGTCTGCTACTACCACTTGGCCTAAGAGATGCATCCTCCTGGGCCTCTCACTTCTGCCTCCTTAGCTCCAGGGGACCTAGGAAGAGTCTAGCCTTCCTGCAAGGTTACTGCCTGCCAGTACACATCCACCTTGGTGCCCTCTCAACCAAATGTATGCCCAGGGAACAATCCCCACTGATGAACCCAGAGTAGGTGTTCTCACCCGGTCAACTCTGTAGACCACCTGAAATTGCATTCACCTGCAAAGCTTTGTTTGGGATTATATGTGTGGTTAAATGCATTTTTTTCAGGAACAGAGATCACTGACCTCATCAGTTTCTCAAGGGGTCTGTAACCCCCGCCCTGCAAAAAATTAAGAGCTAATACAATGGCCAAGAGGGTCTGTGTTATATATATATAATAGTCCAGATTAGGAATCTTGTATTTTGTTCTGGTAATACAAGTATTATATATTAGTGGTTAAAAATATTCAAAACAATAAGGAAATATATAAAGTATACAGGGAAAGAAACTTTTGTTATCTTTTCCACTCCCAGCCACTGTCAACAGTTTCCAACTTTCTTTTTAGACACATTAGTAGTGCGTTTGTGCTTATTAATCAAGTTCCAAATTTTTGTGATCTGTTTTATTAATTCTAATTTAAAGTGATACCTTTGGTTTATCTTGGTATTATATATAATCATTTGTAAATGATGATTTTTCATTTCTTCCTTTCCAACATTTATGCCCCCTTTTCTTTCTTCTTCTGCATGAGTCATTCTTGGTTAAATTAGACATAAACGAAAATATCCTTAACCTGATGAAGAATATATCAGAAGTTCTTCTGATCTGGCAGATTCGTCCCTCCCTGTGGTCTACCAAGATCACAGAACTTAATGACTGGCATTGACTAGAACTTCCTTACGAGCCTCCTGATCTTGTTCTTGAAGACAGTGGGAATGCCTCTTTTGTTTCATTATTTAGTATAACTTTTGTTGTTTGTGATTGATGTATTTTTTTTTCAAGGCTAATTTCACTTATGTTTACTAGTCCCTCTCTTTCTCTCTGTCGCACGTGCACACACACACGTAGTACAAAGAAATACTATCAGTGAATGGAGGCAAGTCATTAAGTTCTGTAATCTTGATAGTCCAGAGAAAGGGATGAATCTGCCAGATCAGAAGAGCTCCTGATATCTTCTTCATCAGGTTAAGGATATTTTCTTTTATATCTAATTTAATTCATCTAAGAACGACTCATTAAATTACGTATAATTCTTTACTACATAAATGAAGTTCCCTCTTATTCCTATTTTACTTTTTTTTTAAATTAGGAATGGTTACTTATTTTATCAAATGCTTTCATTATGAGGTTTCTTTTCTTCTTTGGTTTGCTGTTGTCAGGAATGATGTAGACAGGCCAGTCTCCCTGTCACTCTTCTCTTCCTATAGTTTATTCTCAACATATCCAGACACATGTCCCTTGTTCAAACTCCCCACCCACTTACTGTGTTGTTTAGAGGAAATATAAATGTCCTTATTATAACTGACAAGGCCCTACCCTGTTCAATCTTACTACTTTTCTGCCTAATCTACTTCTCTCTCTCTATCTAACTCACCCTACTCAGTCATCTTGGCTTTCTTGATGTTCCTGGAATATACTGGACATGTTCCCTTTACAGAGCCTTTTCAGTTGCTCGTCTCCTTACCTGGGATGTATTTCCATCCCACATCACCACACTTAGTTAGATCCCTCACAGACTTCAGATCTTTACTCAAAGGTCACCTTTTTAGTGAGTCCTTCCTTGGTCACCCTTTCTAAAAGTTCATCCCATCTTGACTTTTCATATCTTCTTTCCTGCCATTTATTTTTTCTTTAGTACTTATTAATAACAATATACTATATGTTTTATCTTGTTGGTTGGTTGTCTCTTTCACTAGAAAGTAAGAACTATGAGGTTAGAAATTTAGGTCATCTCTATTCACCGCTGTAACCACAGCATCAAGAACAATGCATGGCATGTAGTACCTGCTCAGTACACATGTTGAATAAATGAATAAATGAATGAATGGCTTTCCAACACTCAACCACCTTTACACTCCAGAAAAAAGCCTAGTTGGTTCTGGCATATCATCAGATTTGTAAACTCTCAAATGAGTGATTACCTAATCAGGATGTTGTCATGGGACAAGATGTAGAAAACTTAAGATTGCTTTGAGTGACATGTGCAGAACTCATTATGCAGTGAGAATTATTGTTTATGATATATGCCATTTAATAAAAGTGAATCATTTTTCTTGAATGGAAATAGTTCTTTAACATTTTTCAATAATAAAAATGCATGTTTGTATAACAAAGAACAGAATGGTGTTAACAAGAAAGTAACAGAATCCATTCCTACTGTTTCCTTTCCTGACACTCCCTCCCTCATCTTCATTTCCAGGTATTTTCAGGACTGCAGAGATGAACATTAGTGAGCCCAAATGGAAGTGGTGAAGGGAGCAGAGAAGAGGATGGGCCCGTTTCCCAGAGAAGCAGAAATGACCAGTAGCTCAGGAGAAGATGCTGTTTCTTCTGGTAATCAGAGAAAGATGACACTTTTGTTGTGTGCACGAAGACTAAAAAGAAAACGAGTGACAGTGCCCTGCATGGTGGAGGTGGTGGGAGGGAAGGCGGGGGAGTGAGGGGCCTTGCAAATAATGGGAGGGGAAATTTGGGACCCAGACTCACCAGTGACGTGGCTTCACGTGACCAGGAGCTGACATGCTGGTGTGTTGGTCCAAATAGCGGTTCCTCCTCAGCTACCAGCTCCCTGTTTCCTTAAAGGTGGTGTGACTGTGGCCAAAGAAGGTGGAGGAGGACAGGGAGGAAACCCATCCAGATCCTTGTAGGTTGCTGTGAAGGTGGGTGTTGATTGGAGACTCCTGAAGTCCAGGTGGAAGGGAGCAGCACAATTTTCAAGTTAGGAGGCACTTCTCTGTTTCCCCAAGGGGACAACCCGAACCCAGGCTTGTTCTCATTTTGTGACTTGTCAAAGGCAGGGCAGTGTCAGCAGCAGAAATGGTTGACATTGGTGACTAGAGGAGGTGGAGGGGAGAAAGTGGTTATCATGTAGCAGAGTGACGGAGGACTGTGAAATAAGAGACAGGCTTGACAACCTGGATTCTGAACAGGGAAAGGTCTGGGTCTGGACCTACATTCAGATGTTGGTGCATCCACTGAGCACTAAGTCCGAATTGTCTTTTCTTTGTTCCTGTCTGGTTTTCGCTTCCGTCTGTCTGTGTCTGCTGCTCTGTCTGTCAGTGGTGGGGTTTCCACGCAAAAGGAGGAGAAGCTAAAAGCTTCATTTCCTTCCTCCTTCCCCTCCCCCTAAACACTCAGTCCCTACATCCAACTTGATTGAAGCTTCAAACTCCTGCCCTCAATGTGTTCTCACTAGCCTAAGGGAGCACCCCTGAGACATTCACAGTGCTGTAGAATGGTCCGAGCTTAGAACTCAGACTTGATGGCAGTGGGACTGGTGATTTGGGCTGGTGCCTCGTACTACATATACTGACTGGCCTGTGGTAGACAGCAAAAAAAGAAGAGACCAGCTGATTTGAAAAACAATAATCACATCTACAAAAGTTTAGAAAATACAGAAAACTATAAGAAATAAAATAAAAATAAGCCACCAATAATTACCACTCCTTGTCTTTCCTCTCTAAGAATGTGGTTGTGTGTATTTAACATTATTGCAGTCATACTATATGTTGCCCTGAAATTATTATTTTTTCAGAAGCATTGCAGGGTATTACTTTTATTAGTTAATGAAAATGCTTCATAAACATCCTATTAATTAATGTTTCATAATAACAAAGCATAATAATCATAACCTTACCCTTTTGCTGCCTTTCATGAAGCAGGTATGAAACTTAACTCATGTGTGAAAGAATTATTAAACATCTTTATTTTTGTAAAAAAACCCAGTCCTCTGTAGATTCCAGGATGGCAAAACATCCTATCACATGGATTTGGAGGTGGTGCCAGGTCCCTGGGGTTACCCATTACCAAGGTATTGGGGAGTGTCTTTCTATACTTGTTATAGCTGTGAAACGGATCATCCATGTTTCCATGAGTTTCCATGAGCCTTTCAATGGGCCAGTTAAGCAGCTTGTGCGACATGCTTGGCATAGAGGGGACAGGAATTTGGTGAGACTGGGCATCCTGGATAGGACTCAGCCTCCAAGGTATATCACATGGCCATCAGCATTGAATTTCTACTCTGTTCTCTAGGTTGCTGGGGAGCAGGCCAGAGGTCCCATCTGCTGAAGGAATTCAAAGGCCCCTTTCTTTTCCCCTTCAGTAGTGGTGGTGAGGCATTTTCTTTTTAGTGTGAGGGAAATCTTTCACTCCTCGAACTCTGTTCTTCACAATGGACTTGGATTTCTGGGAAATGAACTCTGGGAAGTCCTGACGTAAACTTTCTCTGAGGCAAGGAAGTGCAGAGTTAGCTTGACTGAGAAAGGGAAAGTGGAAAATGTAAACAGACACAGAGATGAAATATAAATTAGTACCCTGGTGTCTTAAGTGGGGTTCCCTAGAAGCAGAACCAAGAATGGGGATTCTTGTGAAAGTGGTTTATTGAGGGAGTATCCTTAGATGAAACCTATATGGAAGTAAAGGGAGCAGCATAGGACAGGGGAAGAAACTAAGCATAGATATAATCCAGCTGAAATCTAGCCTCAGCCTGAGCCCAGGGGGACTGTGGAACGTGAAGGGCACCAGGGAAAGAACACACCTTGAGACAAGGGAGCCAGGCTTTTATACCCACTGATTGCAAGACAGGATGCGTGAGTGGGTGGCGGGCGGTGGGGCGGGGGCGGGGGGGAACAGGGCGCGGTGTGGGGTGAGAAGAGAGAGGTTTTAATTCCTCAGGTTTTCTAGACATAGTGGATCTGACAAGGGCAAGAGTACAAATCTTCAGCAGCCAACACTCACAGCAGCTAGGGGATGGATGCACTGGCCCAATAAGTGGAATCTGGACAGGGCATCAATAGCGTCCACTATAACTAGCCAATCTGCATTCTAGCAGTGAAAATGTACTTCCTATCTATGTGTCCCACCCCCACCAGGAGGCCTTAATTTCAGTGTTACTAGCTGTAGAATCTCTTCATGTGTTCAGTCTACTAGGAAATGACCAACTTCTCCATTAACAAAAGAAAAAGAAGAGAATGCTTGTGCTTCTCTAATCTTCTAGTGGTTGTCTCAGAAATACCACCCTCAGAGGCTAGTTTTGTCTCTTTAACCTAGAATCAAATCTTCTCCTTCAATGTATACATTTCAGAAAAGGACTACATAACATGTAATTTAGCACTTAGTGAAAACGTGTTCTGCTTGTAATGACATTAAAGGCCAGTACAAAGTTTGAGGGAAATTTAGACGTAGGATGATTGGCTCTGGATAATTTAAAACAGATTTTGGCAAGTGTTAAAATGACCACCATACAACTTGTCTCTGAATTTCTTTAAATTAGTGAAGAAGTTGCTAAAGGAAAGGCAGACATCATTCACTTAATTCAATCCAAGGTGAGCCAAGCAAAGATGGAAGGGTATCATGGCAAAGGGAGCTTGCCACACTGACAAATGGACTGCCCATTAATCTAACATCCATATAGTAGCCTTGGGCTCTTGGGGATAGAAGGTGCCTTGGAGGAATATAAACTTTGAGCTTCCATATTGCTAATATGGAAGAAAAATTAGCCTTATTTATTTTTGTGGTTCCCTCACTCATTGAGTGTTGTCAAAATTTGGGAGCCAAGATATCAGAAAAGCAAGCCCTTCCACAAACGTTATTGCTGAGACACATATTGTCCCAGATTGCAAACTCATTTAGGGCTTAATGGCTCTGGTGCTTCTGTGCTGTGCTAGAGGAACAGCAATCTTTGTCAAAGCTGGAGTTGCTAGGCTTAGGATCCAGTTTCCCTGGTGCATTTCATGGCTGTCCTGTCTGGGGCTTGCAACATCTTTGAGACACTGTTGGAGTAGGGCACAGGTATCTCCTTATCTCCTTATTTAGGAGCCCTCCGTTGCTTCATCCTCACTAACCCTGTCCCAGAGCAGAGGAGGGTTTTTTGTTGTTGTTGCTGCTGTTGTTGTTTGTTTTTTAACAGGGGAAAAATTCCTGTCTTTTAAAACACAAGTTATCTCGCTCAACTTCACAGATAAGGCCGGAAGAGAATAAGTAAATTAACCAAGACTCTATAGACATTGGTGGGTCATTAAATACGTTTTTTCTCATTTTAAAAGTATGTATCCAGTTAAAATAATTAAATACTGAGAAACAGTACTATTATTCAATTTACTCCCCTCTCCTGTCCCCAACCAGTTTCATTTGTAATTAAAAGTTATACCTTCTAACACTGTAATATAACTAAATATTATAGAACATTATAGGATAAGATGTGAGAGTCTACAGAAAATGTCTCCATAACAAAGGTTCCCAGTTCTCAGCTAATTGCCGACTTTATTCAATATAAGCATTTCTTTCACAACTATGTTTTCATAATTCAAACTGGATACAATGTAATTGATCAATAAGACCTAATTTGCATTGTGCAGAGTAGTTGGTAATAATGTCATCAAAACCAGAAGCCATTATCAGTCGCGTTTAAAGCAAAAAACCTTGAGACACACCACAAGATGCCTTTCAGTTTTGTTTATCGTAACAGTAGGTGATAAATGTGATAAAAATTGATAAGAATGTGTAAGAAGTTTTATGTTAGTTATAGAGCTCAGGGTGATAAGGAAAATAAAAGACATCACTCGAGCAAATATTTCTGAATTTGTTCACTGAAGTCTGTTTTATAGTTACACACTTACAGGTCTAATAAAACCTTTATTATTGAAATTTCTGTAGAAAACATAACTTTGTTATTGCAAGTTGCAACTTCTCTGGACCTTAATTTCACTTTCTCAACTGAAACAAATGTTTTTAGATGGGAATTTTGAAAAATGTCGGTTTCTTTGAAATGCAAATACTGCCTTAGAGGAGAGCAGGGTGTACTTGTGAATCATGTGAACCATTAAGTAACCATGACAATCCTGACTACTAAGTGGAGAAGTGCCTTTCTGTTATCTAGATCTACGGCCCCCAAGGAATTTGAGACTCCATAAACATGTTTTTCACCTATTTTAGTTTTACTTTAAAGGGTGAGTCTAGAATTGGTTCACTGGCTGACCATACAATAAAAATCAAATCAAGAAGAATTTGGGGACTCCAAACCAATCTCCTGTAATATGTGCACTTCCCATATTATATGTTGCAGTAGATCAGATGGTATCTTGGGAAAAGGAACTCAAGCACCTGAATCAACACCCAGAAATGCCTCATCAATCTCACACTAACCCTGTGGCTTCCCACTCCTCTAGAAAATACAACATTTATTATAAATCAGGGAGACAGTATGCTTCCTTAGGCACTCTTCTTTCCTCCTAATGCCTGGCATAAAACTCTAGGGTTGCAGCCTCCAGATTCTTTTGGAGCATGAATAATAATAATAATAACTAATGTGATGAAGCTTTCCATGAGCTATTTCAATCTTCACAAAATGTCACTGGAAATGGTATGAGTTTAGAGATGAGGAAATGGAGATGCAGAGAGGTTAAACAACTTTGCCAGTGTGCATACAGCTAGAAATTAGTGAAGGTAGTCTGAACTGTGCTCTTCACCACTGGATTATGCTGCCTGTTAAGGCCAAGAGCCCTCAAAAGCCTAAAGAATAGAAAGGTAGTAAAGAATGGCAACCCCTAGGCTGCTCTACCCCCAGAAACAAAGACACACTGTTAGCAGGACCCCACCATGGTAAGGAAATAAATGATATTGCCTCTGGGGGATTACAAAAGTCCTTTTCCACACCATGTGAGAAAATTTAGGCATCAGCTGTCTGCCTCATGGTTTTCCCTGTTTCTCATTTCTCTTCTCCATTTTCATGGTTGGGTGTCCTCTAGCCAGCTGATCCTCCCTCTGGTTTCTGAAAGCTGATGACACTCACATCTTCATCTCCCAGTGCAGGCCTCACACCTGAGTTCCAGATCCATATGATCAACTGGTCACTGAAGAGCTCCTTTTGGGTAACTCACTGCCTCCCACACCTCAAATTTCTCAACCTGAACTCCTCCACTTTCTCTTCAAATACCTGTTTCTCCTTCCCTTCCTCCTCTTCTTCCTGCTTCTCCTCAAAGGGTTCTCACTCTCCATGACGGACACCATCAACGCACCTCACTGGCCAAGCTAGTCTCTCTTCTCTGCCTCACCCCCACATCCCATCTGCTATTGTCTGAAGGTTGGTGCCTCCCCAAAATTCACATGTTGGAACCTAATAACCAGTGTGATAGTATTAAGAGATGAGGCCTTTGAGAAGTAGTTAAGTCAGAGGAAGGCTCTACCCTCATGAATGGGATGAGTCCCCTTAGAAGAGAGGCTGGAGCAAGCTCTCTTAGCCCATTCTGTCATGCGAGGACACAGTAACAAGGCACCATCTATGAAGCAGGGGAACCCTCATCAGATACCACATTTGCTGACACCTTGGTCTTGGACTTCCCAGCCTCTAGAATTGTGAGTGATGTATTTCTGTTGTTTATAAATTACCCAGTGTAAGGTATTTTGTTGTAGCAGCCCCAGTGGACTAAGACACCACCCATGTACCTCTGAGATGTCTCTCATCAGTCCACTCCTACCAGATGCCACTCCTGCCTACCTTGCCCAGGCCATCTCTCTTCTGGATATCTGCAGCAGCCTCCTCTGCTGTGGGGTGGGGGTGGGGACAACTCCAATACACTGTAGCCAAAGACACCTTCCTAAAATCTGAGTGCTTCCATGTCTGACTGAGAACATCTCAATGTCTGGCTTCCCAATGTACTGGGGACAAGGTCCAATCAACCTTAACGTGGCAGACAAGACCTTCCACTGCCTTGCCCCTGCTTACTTCTCTATCTTCACTACTTTGGCCATACTGAACTTTTCTAAGATCTCTGAATGCATACTGCTCTCTCTCACCTCCTAGCTTTTACACATGTTGTACTTTTGCCTCAAGGGAAAGTAAGGTCATGTCCCCACTCAACCTTGACTGGTGTGTTGGGTGTCTGTGTATTTTGCTATCATACCTGAACAGGCAGTCCTTTGATTGTGTCCTCCAATCCAATCATCACATCCATTGTGGCTGGCTTTTACTGGTTTAGCTTTCGGAGGAAAATCTTATTTCTAAATTCTTGAATTGTGTGTGTGTGTGTGTGTGTGTGTGTGCATCTCACTGAAACTCCTATCTACCAAAGTTATACATCTACTTTCAGTTCTTAAAAAATTGACTACAGGTGCATGATTTGTCCCATGAAACTAGGTGACAAAATGATTTTGTAATTTATTACCAGAAGTAGATTTTAGTTCTTTTTCTTCGTGCAAGCATTCCTTTAATTATCCAGTATGCTTTCTCATTGCTGGTCATTATTGATACTCAGGGGTATATTATGATCTAATAACTCATGCCTGCGTTGTATCAACATTGTCAGCCTGGGTGCCACTTTCTCCAGCTGATGTGACTTTTAAAGAACTCATACTAAACTGTTTTTCTTTTCCTGCAAATTTATCTTTAGAAAATTTGACCATTGCATCTTTGAGTAGCTTTTTATTTTTATGTCTGAACCCTCTTCTTTTTTGCTTTCCAATAGGTACTGGAGCAGAAGAGTCTCCTGCCTTAAATATCTTGCTAAATACATGGCATTGTTTATGAATCTGATTTTCTTTGTGTTGGAAATGCTATTAGGCACAAATTCATCTTTATGTTTCTTTAGTTTTTAACCTTTGAAAAGCAAGTTTGGTGCCATCTTAGGCTGGCTACCAGTTAAATTCCACCTCTTAAATATTTATTTTCAGGTCAAGTCCCAGTTAATTCATTCTTTTTCTGCAATTATATCCTCATCTGTTTTAGATGGTGCTAAACAGAATGTTTTGTCTTCACAAGCTAGTAAAACAATGTTCTCATGAATATATATATTGGCTGTTATTTCTGATTAAGGTGTATTATTTCTTTAGTGATTGCTTAATTCACATCTAATATTTGTTTTCCCCATTTTCCAGATTTGACATTAAATTCTATGTTGTCTCTCCACATGAACTAATGCCTGTCTCTTGCTCCCAAGCAAGGATAACTCTATGTACTTCTCTTATTTAGAAGCAGTGGTCTTCCAAGTGAGGTGCATAGTCCCTAATAGATGTATGTTTTTGTTTTTTATCTCACTCTTTCAGATGATTAAGTTTTATGTTTTATAATGTACATAACACATTAGTACAGTTATATTTTTATTATTTATGAAGAGATAAATACTGTATACATACATTGATGTGAGTGCTAATTTTTTTTGCCAGTAGGGGCCCATAATAAAAAACTTTTGGAAACCACTGAATTAGAATATTAGCCAGCAGACTTGCATATGCTAAGACACAACAATTTGCAGTATTGTCAGACACTACAGGCTAGAAGGAATTGAAGACTCTCTGAGTAAAGTGTGCAATGTATTCACTGAATGTTCCCATCCACCTTTTGTAAATTCTAGAGTTTTCATAGCCCAAAGCACACCATATCAAATCTTGCATGATAAACTGCACATATAATTAATTCAGCAGTACATGATTAGTACACAACCCTACATTATTAATTAAATTCATAGTAAAACTGTTTCATTAACATTGACTTTTGGGCCTAATACTAAAACTTGCAATTAGAAATTTTCATTGCCCATGACAAATAATTATTCTAATTTACAAGATAATAAAACCCTCAGCATATCGAAAAGTTCTTAATAATAAGTTAATTTTGAAAATAAAACTAACAGAGGCTAGATGTACTCAAGCTAATGACTGTTAGACTTACTCAAATAGAAGGCTTTATCTATCCTATCAGCTTCCAGCTGATAGGTTTGCTCTCAGGTTGATGGGTTTACAGTTATTTGCCCTCCAAACAAATCTAGCAAGTAGTAGTACCACCAGTAGTTATTAAAATTCCAAGGCCACATTTTACTAAATTTGAGTTCTAATTTCTCTGAATTCTAACTTGAATGGTATATTTCCAATTACATTAACATTTCAAAACTACTAGATTTAACCATATGTAACCACTAGTTATATAGGTAGAAATGATAATACCACACTTGTGAAAAGATGTCTTTATTCATTCAAAATATGCCTCAGCAGCATTCATAGTTTTTCCCATTGGGAGAGTGCAAATAGTTCAAATTCTCCAATTACTGCCTCTTGAGTGACAAATATTTTGTTTCTTAGAAAGAGGGCCAAATGATGAAAAAGGTGGTAGTCCTTTGGAGAATATTCCAGTAGATGTGAAAAAATGTCATAGCCTAATTCAGTTTATTCTCTAAGGTGGTTTGTGATGTGTGTAGTCAAAAGCTGTCATACAAAATGATGGATCATTGTTTATTAGTCAACATGGGTTACTTTTGAATCATTTAAAAAAGTAATCAGTTTTATTAAGTTATAATTTACCTGTACAATGAAGTTAGCTATCTTTAAATGTTCAATTTGACAGATTTTGAAAATTGTATCCAGTAATGTAAAAACTACCACAATCAAGATATAAAATACTCCCATTACCCCAAAAGGAACCCATTAGCAGTCACTCCGCATTTCTCTCCCACCTCCACCCTCCAACTCTAGACGACCACCAATCTAATTTCTTTCTGTATTGGTTGGCTTATTCTGCATATTTAATATAAATGAATCATACAATACAATGCCTTTTGTGCCTGACTTCTTTCACTTAGCATAATGTTTTCAAAGTTCATCTGTGTTTACCCTGAACTAGTACTTTCTTTTTATTGCCAAATAATATTCAATTGTATGAATATGCCATATTTTTATTTATCCATTCAACTGATGAACATTTGAGTTGTTTCTACTTTTTCCCTATTGTAAATAATGCTGCTATAAATATTTGTGGACAGGTTTTTCTGTTGTGGACATATGTTTTTATTTATCTTGGGTATATATTTAGGAGTAGAACTGCTAAGTCATATAGTAACTCTATGTTTAACATTTTAAGGGACTGCAAAATTGTATTCCACAGTGGTTGCAGCATTGTATATTCCCACCAGCAATGTATAAGGGTTCAAGTTGCTCCCTTTCCTTTCCAATATTTAGTATTGTTAGTCTTGTAATTATAGTCATTTAATTTTAAATTTTGAGAAAGTAAAATTTATCAATTTTAAATGAATTGCATAATTTTGGTGTCATGTCTAAGAATGTTTTATATAACCCAAAGTCAATACTTTTTTCTATGTTTTCTTTTCTTCTATGGATTTTAGAATCTGTATTTTACATTTAGATCTGTGATCCATTTTGAGTTGATTTTTTAATTATGGTGTAAAATGAAGGTCAAGGTGCTGCTTTTACGCATATGGATTTTCAATTGTTCTAGCATCGTTTTTTGAAAAGACATCTTGTCCCTCATGGAATTATTTTAACAATTTTTTGCAAAATCAATTGACCATGTAAATTTGTTTCTGTTTCTGGATTCTCTAATATGTTCCATGCTTATACCAATCCCACATTATTTTGATTACTGTATCTGATTAGTTAAATTTTAAAATCAGATTCAGCTGTGCTTAATGAAGATAACTTACTTGCTTTCCTTTATTACTAGACAGTTGCCAAATCCATTCTTATTTTTATCCTTAGGCAGCAATATTTTAAATCCAGGGACAAGTCAACCAGGCATGATAGCATGTGGGCTAGGCCAAATTATTTGTTCACAAAAGGAGAATGAATTCTAGCTTCTATTAGACATAGTCGTTGGCAGATTATCACTGTGTCTTTGTCTCATCAACCCCCTGTGGTCTGGCAAATCACTTATCATACAGAAGCTACTAAGTACGTTGTTAAATGAATAAATAAATCAGTGAAAGAATTACAGCAATTTTTTCTCAGTTTTTTACCTCCTACCCCCATGGCACTACTGGGGCTGGAGGCAAACTATTTTTCCTTATTTGCTATTTCTTGACATTTTCAGATAATATCTCTTCTCATATTTTACACATCCTAGTTCTTTTTGAATCCTAAGCCATTTGAGCAAACCACCCACTACCCCTTTTCATTGTACTTATCTATAATTCTCCTGGTTTTTACTTCTCATTCACTGATGACTTTAGCAACTGGCCCACTGTCTGCTTTTCTCTACAATATTAATTTTGTTTTCATTCTTAGTGACTTCAACTTCTTGTAAACAGTCCATCAAACACGACTCATCTCCATGGGTCTTATCCTCCACTCCACATCACCTAACTACTCCCGTTTGTCATACTGTAGACCTTATCACAACCAATAATGGCACTGTCTTTGAAATACTGATTTCAAGAATCCCTTCTCCAATCATCAGTTCTATCTTTCCATGTTACTTGCTCTCCTATCCTTACCCCAACTTCAATCCATTGACCCCAGTACTGTGTTTCACTGTTCATCACCTTCCTCCCACTCATACTTCCCTCCATAGCCAGTTTATATCTATGGTCTGATTCCATAATCACTCTTTTGCATATTCCATTGTCTCTCTTTACCTCCATCTTTACATATCTGGGAAAATCTGGACCTTGGTTAAACTTAACTCTCTTCTTACTCTTTTTCTGTTTCTGACCAGCTAAAATCACACAATTCTGCCAACTGTTCCCTCTTTTTTTGGCAAGTGGTCAATGAACACTGTGTGGCAATCCTACTGCAGTTCCCTAGTGAATTCACTTTTCTAATCTCTAAGACACTATATACTGTCTTCTTGCTCTTCAAAGCCTCCAACACCAAGTGCAAAGTTCTTAACATACATTTGCACATATTTCCAAATCAAATTTTATTGTAATTCCTGGGGAGGTGCTATATAACTGACAGGAAAAAATTTACTGCTTAGACAGGTTCCTGTTGTTTTTTTCTGCCATTTCATTGCTGCACTTGGGGTTTCTCTGGTAGTCTATAAATTTGAGTTCATGCCAAAGAAAGATAAATGGTGGAGTTTAGTTTCTAATTATTCAGACTACTCTTGGCCAAAAACAATGAAAAATGCTGGATAAAATATTTTTAAACTATTTAAGAATGTATTAAAGAGTTGATAAGATTTTAAGAAATTGCCAGGCCAAAATCTAAGTGAAAGCAAAAACCCAGTAGGTAAGGAAAGCACAAAAACTCTTTTTCTGTGAGGGTATTTGCCAAACTAGTGAACTGGAACTCAAATTTTTATGGGCTAGTGAAGGTTGAGGGAGAGAAGACAAAGACCAGAATCTGCTTACAATGAACAGTCTAATAGTCTAAAAGGAGACATCTTCCAATAAAGTGGTGATACTAAAAGTATTAGGGTGATCTTCCCCATTCCAGCTTGGTTGCCTTGGCACTGAACAGATGGGGAGGCGCTTAGGATGTTGCAGACTTTAGGATGTTGCTCTCATGAAATTTGCAACCCAAATGTCTAACAACCAGTAGTTGAAAAACTTCATATTACTATCAGCAAAGTAGACTTTAAAACAAAAATTACTGGAGATACAGAGGAACATTCGTAAGAATAACAGATTCAACTCATCAGGTTTAAATGACAATTTCAAATTTTTTTGCACTTAATAACGTAACCTCAAAAAGTATAAGCAAAACTTGACAGACGCATAATGAAAAATACACAAATCCACAATAATAGTGAGAGGTTTTAATATGCTTCTCAGTAATTGATAGTACAGGCAGACCCTCTCCCTGCTTACAAAAAAAGATCGGTAAGGCTATAAAAGCTTGAACACCACCTTATTTTGTGCGATTATTATTTTTTTAAATCACTGCCTATTCTTCATGAATAGGAAGTTAATAATAGGTATATCAATATTGATAGATGTCAACCAAACCACATTCATCCAGTGACACACTTGCAGGTATTCATTGTGCACTTTAGTTTTTTTAAATTGTTAATTATTTTTAAGGATAAATTATTAGATTCATCCACAAATTCATTAAACAAAATTTTTTTGAGTGCCTGCCATGTCCTAGGCATCATTGTAGGTGCTGAAGATGCATAGGGAGCAAAACACAAAAATCTGTGCCCTCATGGAGCTTTACATTGCAGTGGGGGAAGACAGACATTAAACAGTAAATATAATGAATAAGAACATTATAGAATATATTAGAAGGTGATAAGAACTGTGAAATAAAAATGGAATATCTTAGAGGGATTGGAAGGTTAGGAAGGGATTGCAAATTTAAAAGGAAAGAGTAGATAGACTTCATTGAGAAGTAGACATTTACTCAAAGATTTGAAAAAGGAGAGTGATTGAGCTATGTAGATATGTAGGTAAAGAAAGATTCCAGGTAGAAGCAACAGACAGGGCAAAGGCCCTCAGGTAGTGGAGGGGAAGTGGTCATTGCTACGCCCAGATCTCCTTTCATGCCTACTGGTTCGGTGCAGCTGTCCCCAGACTTTGCATTTTTGCTTCTAATGGCTGATGCCTATAACTCTTCTGCCCTTTGGCTACTGGAGCTGTTTCACTCGCCTGTGTAGAAAGCCAGAAATCCTGGGAGTTTATGTCCCCCAAGGTGGCCCCATAGGGAGTGACTGACTGGTTTGGACATTTTAAGAGAGCCTAGCTCCCTTGCTTCAAGGTAAGCAAAAACTCTGAGGCATAATTTACGCTTCAAAGTGCCCTTGGAAATCAGGCTGAGGCTTCCACTTTGTCTGAAATCTTACCCTTGCTTGGCTTCTTACTTTTCCGTGTCCTGCTTTACCCACCCTCTTTCTGATTTCCCTTGGTAGCACTTCCTTAAAAAATTACTTGCACATGAATTTTTCTGTCAGGTTTTCTTCTAGGAAACATGATCTGAGACAGGTAGTAAGTTGTGGGGTTGTATGTGAAACTTGGGGTTGTTTCAGTTTTAGGTACATGATCTTAGCTAGTTTGTCTGGTTTTCTGCTCTGAGCCATTTAGGGAACAAGACTCATATGAATACACATGTAGAGAATAAATATAAATATAAAATGTAAAGAAAAGTATAAGTATGATTTTGGTAAACATGATTTTCTGTATAATTAGAATATAAAACTATAGAAGTGCTTAATTATCTATTCATTACAGAAAAGCTAGGAGATATAAATAAGCAAAATGAAAAAAATGCAAACACCTCATTACCCAGAGATAGCCATTATTATTATTTTGGTGTTTAACTTTTCAGAATCATTTCAGTTTATATATATATTGTAGCTGATATGAATACTACTTCACAAACTTGGGTGTGTAAGAAACGTAACATTATTATTTTTAAAATATCAAAATTAAATCTGACTTCAAGCTTCCATCCCACTTGACTGGTGGAAAATTCAATCTTAGTTGGTTATTTTGTGTCACTGTTTTGAAGAGTGCCCAGAAAATGGGGTCCTGTGGTCACTGCTGCTATGTTCATTGTCCAAGCCTAGAAAGCAGGGAGTTGTACTGCTTTTGTGTGAAGATTGGTCCCAGGATTCTGCTGAGACTGGAAGTTTTGAGGTTTGGGGTCCAACCCTTTTAACTGTATCACAGAGTTTTTCTCTTCTGAGCTCCTGCTATCTCCCTTGGGCACTAGTTGGGAGTAGAATTTTCACTTAACAAAGGATCTGCAGAATTCTATCCTTTTCCCTAATCTTGGGAAACTCTCCCTGTCTGGCTACTTTCCCTCTTTCTCTCGATCATCTCTTTCCCTTTCCCTGAAGCACAATTCTCCCTAGGAACTCAAGCTTTTATAAAACAAAAGCCAGGAAGGGAGGTTGTTGGCAGACAACATCTATTTTCAGCCCTATAGCATCAACTTCCCCAGGGGTAAAGAAGTACAATGAGCATGATTATTTTGTTGAAACTGGGGGTGGAGAGTGGAAAGAGAAGAAAAATACAGTGAACACAACACAAAATAATAAATTGATCCCTCAATACATTTACCTGCCACACATATTTTCATGACATTGAAATTATGTTGAAAATACTGTATTTTTGCTTGATTTTTTAAAAACAATATACTGTGTCAATAATATACTTGAAAAAATATTCTTTAGACAAATGGGATTGCTAAAAAAAACTTCTACACAGCAAAGAAAACAATTAACAAAATGAAGAGTCAATCCACAAAATGGGAGAAAATATTATCAAACCATGCATCTGATAAGGGGCTAATATAGAAAATATATAAGGAACTCAAACAACCCCATAGTCAGAAAACAAATAACCTGATTAAAAATGGGCAAAGAATCTGAAAAGACATTTTTCAGAAGAAGACATACAAATGGCCAAAAGATATGTGAAAAAATGCTCAACATCTTTAATTATCAGTGAAACACAAATTAAAACCACAAAATGAGATATCACCTCCCACCTGTTAGGGTTGGCTATTATCCAAAAGATGAAAGACAACCTTTGTTGGCGAGGATGTGGAAAAAAGGACACCCTTGTACACTGCTGGTGGAAATGTAAATTAGTACAGACATTTTGAAAAATAATAAGGAGGTTCCTCAAAAAACTAAAAATATAATTACCATATGATCCAGCAATCCCACTGCTGAGTATATATCCAAAGGAATTAAAATCAATATGTCAAAGAGATATCTGCACTCCCATGTTCATTTCAGCATTATTCACAATAGTGAAACTATGGAAGCAACCTAAGTTTCTATCAACAGATGAATGAATAAAGAAAATGTGGCATACATAGGCAATGGAATACTATTTGGCCTTAGAAAAGAAGGAAATTCTATCATTCATGACAACATGGATGGAACTGGAGGGCATTATGTTAACTGAAATAAGCCAGGCATAGAAAGACAAACACCACATGATATCACTTACATGTGGTATCTAAGAAAGTCTACCTCATAGGAACAGAAAGTAGAAAAGTAGTTACCATAGGCTTGGGGAAGGGGAAGAGATGAGGAAAGAGAAAATGTTGATGAAAGGGTATGAAGTTTTGGTTGGACTGGGGGAATAAAAGTTTTAGTAATCTATTGTACTACATGGTGACTACAGTTAATAACAATGCATTGTATATTTCAAAATTGTTAAAAAAATAGATTTTTAATGTTTGCACCACACAAAAATGATAAGTTGGTGAGGTGATGCATATGTTCATTAGCTTGATCGAATCTTTCTACAATGTATACATAGACCAAAACATCACATTGTACTTATAATCATAGACAATTATTGTCAATTAAAAATAAATTTAAAATAAAAAATATTGTCAGCAGTATCCCCCTATTTGTAATAATCCAATCTATTCTTATTTGTCTTCTAGGTTGTGTTTGATCATATTTTCATTATAAATTCTGCTGCACTATTCACAGTAGTAAAGACATGGAACCTTCCTAAGTGTCCATTAACAGTTGACTGGGTAAAGAAAATGTCATACATATACACCATGGAATAATATGTAGCCATGAAAAAGAATGAAATCATGTATTTTGCAGCAACATGGATGCACTGAAGGCCATTATCCTAAACAAAATAATGCAGGAACAGAAAAGCAAATATTACATGTTCTCAATTATAAGTGAGAGCTAAACATTGGGTATTCAGGGACATAAAGATGGCAACAATAGACACTGGGGACTACCAAATGGGTAAGGGAGAGAGAGGGGCAAGGGCTGAAAAACTAACTGTTGGGTATTACACTCACTTCCGGGGTGATGGGTTCAATCGTACCCCAAACCTCAGCATCATGAAATATACCCATGTAACAAACCTGCACATGCATCCCTGAATCTAAAATAAAAGTTGAAATTATATAAATAAATAGATAAATTCTGCTGCATTAAAGAACCTTGTAACTTACCATTTCACATTTACCTAATCTATGTTTTACACATTGGTAATAGATTTATGCTTTTTTGTTTAGAAATGGTTTAAACTAATAAAAATTTTAAAATATAGACTTATCTAGTGAAAGAGCCTCATATTCCCTACAGCCAGAGATAAACAGTTTGGTGTATAAGTTTTAAGTTATTTCCTATGCATATTTAGCAATACTAATAATATTTGAATTTTTAATTGAAAGAAAATTACTATGTATTATTCTTAGTTTTGTAATCTGCTTTTTCTCACATAATGTAATATTGTGAGCAGCTTGCATGTGTTTAAGTATAGGTTAGATCATCCTTTTACATGACTTCATTGTATCTCTTGTATGAATATACCATATTTCTAACCAGCATTTACCATAATTTAGATTTTTGCCATTTTTCCCTCTTACAAACAACTCTTCAATAAACATGCTATACATACATTTGGGTGCACATTTGATTGTTTCTTAGGAATGGAATCCCTTGGTCAAAATGTAAATAGATTTATGATTCTGATGCATAATGCCAAGTTACTGCCAGAAAAGGTGTGCACTTTGACACTCGAATCAAACAGAATGTTTGATCTATTCTTATTTGTCTTCTAGGTTGTGTTTAATCATACTTTCATTATAAATCCTGATGCACTATTCACAGTAGTAAAGACATGGAACCAACCTAAGTGTCCATTAACAGTTGACTGGATAAAGAAAATGTCATATATATACACCATGGAATAATATGTAGCCATGAAAAAGAATGAAATCATGTATTTTGCAGCAACATGGATGCACTGAAGGCCATTATCCTAAACAAATTAATGCAGGAACAGAAAAGCAAATATCACATACTCTTATTAACTCTTATTAACATGGAATATTATTCTTTTTCATCTTAGCTAATCTATGGGCAAAAAAAGATTATTTTATTTGTTGATTATTAGTGAAGTTGAACACCTTTTCCTATGTTTGTTGGTTATTTGTATTTCTACTTCTGTGAATTGCTTTCCCATTGCCTGTGGGGTGTTATTTATCTTTTCTTCTTGTAAGGTTTCTTTTTTAATACTAAAGATATCAACTCTTTCTCTGATGCATTTGTTGCAAGTATTTTCTTTGTTTATTTTTTGCTTATCATATAGAGAACGAGTATCCTCTGTTTTAATTTATATTTCTGATTAATGGTAAATTTGAGCATATTTTCGCTGACGTATTTAGTATAATGTCTTTAAAAAATATTTCAAATGGGCCAGGCACGGTGGCTCACTCCTGTAATCCCAGCACTTTGGGAGGCCGAGGCGGGTGGATCACGAGGTCAGGAGATCAAGACCATCCTGGCTAACACGGTGAAACCCTGTCTCTACTAAAAATACAAAAAATTAGCCGGGCGTGGTGGCAGGCGCCTGTAGTCCCAGCTACTCGGGAGGCTGAGGCAGGAGAATGGCATGAACCCGGGAGGCGGAGCTTGCAGTGAGCCGAGATCGCGCCACTGCACTCAAGCCTGGGCAACGGAGTGAGACTCCGTCTCAAAAAAGAAAAAAAATTTCAGATGACTTTGTCTTATAATGCGTGCTATCGATATATTTTTTATTTAAACAAAATGCATAAAATAAAACTGTTTTAAGCAGGTAGTGATGAAATCTGGTTAAAATGGAATGTAATTATAGAAGATACAAATATAAGGCCCAGTGTAGTGGCTCACGCCTGTAATCCCAGCGCTTTATGAGGCCGAGGCGGGAGCATCACTTAAGGCCAGGAGTTTGAAACCAGCATGGCCAATATAGCAAAATCCTGTCTCTACTAAAAATATAAAAATTAGCTGGGCATGGTGGCACATACCTGTAATTCCACCTACCCGGGAGGCTGAGGCATGAGAATCACTTGAACCCAGGAGGTGGAGATTGCAGTGAGCCAAGATTAAGCCACTACACTCCAGACTGGGCAACAGAGTGAGAGTCTGTCAAAAAAAAAAAAAAAAAAAAAAAAAAGAGATAAAAGTATAAAGCATGAAATTTGTTATATATTTAGCTGATAATACATGTCTTGAATTTTGTAATTCTGGGTCTTTTATTCCCTTTCTGGGAGAAAAACCTTTTTGTAGCTCAAATTCTAATATGTCATACAATGCAGAAATGGCATAAAAGAAATTCAGCAAATTTTCTGCTATTATAATAAATACTTTGGAACATTTTTATAACAGAATCAAATCTCTCTCTGAACTCCCTGTTGTTATTCTCCAAAGTTAACAAATTGCTGTTTATCCTTTATACTATTTCTTATGGAGTTCTTTGAATTTCAATTGGACCATATTATACACATTCAGCCTCAAAATGTGACAGGGTGGATGTAGTGAGGATTGTTGTTGAAACCAAGCACACAAAAATGTCTTGCATACTGCTTGTCCTATTTGGGAGATACTGGGCAGCTTGGTAAGGGCGGGAGGAAGCTGTCCTTGTGGAAATTTTACATTCCTGGATTTGGTTCTATGCACCACCCCCTCTACCCAGTCTTATGTTTCTAAGTTTGGGATAGATTGCATTTTTTGCAGTGGCTGTTTCATTGTGTGGGATTTGATATTGCCCTTCAGTAGTGCAAAGGAAACACACTTCCCTTATGCAAACAGGGGGTAAAATAAGGGGATAGGAAAACCCAGGAAACAGGAAGAAATGAGGTAGATGATGACTTCATTCCCCTACCCCAGACTCAGGGGTCCATGAGTCAGTTGGATGGAGATGGTAGAACTGCCTTCTTCCCTTCCCCCAGCCCCATCAGGGCGCTCATTCCACCACATAGAAATGGGACTGACTCATGGTGCAATTAGAAACGTGGGAGTGTTTTTTTTCTTCTCTCCACATGCTCTCTAGATCATGCTGCCCCCTCAAATGTATTCACATTTGTAGTTAACCCTTTCCTGCCTCTTCCACTAGTAGCCAGGTAAAGCTCCAGCAGACTCCTGACTCACAGCAGGTTCGTCCTCAAAAAGTGTGAGTCTCCTTTTTTCCCCTTCAAATGTACTGTTCTGCCTATGTCTTCTCAGGCCTATTGAGACTCCAGACCCTAGGTGAGACAGTTGCATTCCCAGAGAAATGTATGGCTCCTGCTGACCAACTTTCTGAGTCCAGTGGATTTGTTCAAGGGAGCACGAAGGTAGCTGGATCCTCTTTGGGAGAGGGCTGTGTCTGGGCAGGAGCGGGAACTCACAGGTTCTGATCAGATCCAGCAGTGATAGACAGGGAGATATTTAGTTGTAGAGTAATGTGGTTGGTGGAGTAGATTCTTTTAAAAGAATTAATGTAACCCCGCTTGGCAAAGTGAGAAAAGCTGTATTTATTGAGGGCCAGGCAAAAGGCTTCTGAGAAGTCACTGCAGCTCCTCAGGAGTGATTCAGAAAGGAGGACAGAAGGAGAGCCCTTGGATGAGGTCTGTTATTGAGAGCTGTAAAGGAAGCTGAACCCCATGTCCAGCATAACCTACCTAAAGCAAGTATAATGATTCGTGGTCATGGTGAAGCCTGGGCAATAATTTCATGCAGCAAAGCAGTGGTTTGACACTTTTGATGAATGCTTCAGCATTTGTCTTCTCTCCTGATGTGCTGGCAAAAACTCATCACAAGTAATTTTTCAGTATGGAATAGGAAATACCAAATAAATCAGCCAGTGAATAAGGATCCTAGGAAAACTAGCAGGAGCTCCTCCACCCAAGGCTGAACTGGAAGCCAAGAGTCTGAAAGACAGTTCCAAATGCTAGGGTAATAATATAGACTTTAAAGAGAACACGGAGATGTGGGTAATAATGAAGTAACTCTGTTGCCAGGTCAACAGACATGGAGCTTCTCTGTTCAGATTCCCTTTCAACCTCAGGCTCAAATCATCCATCACTGTGAACTTAGACTGAGTGAAAGAGGAGACGACAACCCGGAGAATTTGTGGCTGTGGGAAGCCTCCTCTTACAACGCTTAAAAATGATGAAGACCCTGCTGTTGGTAGAGTGAAGAGAGGGCCTTCTTTGCGTGAAAAACCTATCCATCACAATGGTTGGTTGGTCAGATGTGATTCTCTATTACCGTTTAATGTTGCAGCTAATCTTCTCTCTTCTGCTCCTCATCACATTAGTGTCACGCATGGTCTTCCAAATTTGGAAACAACGTTGGACAACTTAACCTCAGGAGATGAAAGATTTTCAAACTTAGTGGACATCTGCAACTTTCAGAAGAAGAGAACAAATAATGGACTAAAAGGGAAAAGGACATGTACTTCATTATTGCCTCTTGGCATTTAATAGCTGGCTCTGGTTTCATTCACAGAACCAATGATCTCCACACCATCAGGCATAAAAGCAGACAACATAAAGATACAGCAGATTTCCTTGCCTCTGCCTCTGCATATTTTTGTCATTGTCTACCTAAAACTTCTCATTTTGTATAGTTTTGGTAAATAACCTTTACTGTACATACTCTTTATAATGTGACAGGAATTGTAAGTACGTTACATGTGTAAATTAATTATCACCACAAGCTTATGGGGTAGGTACCCCTATTATGCTCATTTTACCAAAGAGGTAATGGAGGCTGAAGGGGTTTGTCTGCAGCATGAGCTTATTATAAGTGGCAAGGCCGGAACTGAAACTCAGACTATACGTCCCCTCCAGATACATGCTCTCAATCCCTAGGATGTTCCCTGATGAACAGAGAGCGTCACAGTCTTCTATAATTCTCAGTGTACAATTTGGTGAGACAGGATGGCTTCTTATTACCTCAATTTCTTCTTATCCTAGCATGAACTCCTTTGAGGCTGTAGCCTGATGCCAGAGTCAAGAGAAACAACCCTTTTCACATTTTGTAAGTAGCACAATGATACACTTTTGTAAATTCTTTACATGTTAGCAAACAATGTTTTTGCTTTTTTTTCACATGTTATTCCTTGAAATATACTTGGAAAATTTGTGTGAGGGTGAAAGAGAACACAATGTAATTTCTTTGGAATTTTTTATGTAGGCAATAAAGTCATCTGTAAGTAGTGACAATTTTATTTCTTCCTTTCTGATCTAAATACCTTTTATTTCCTCTTTTTGCTTCATTGCAATGGCTAAAAGTTCCAGCACTATGTTGAATATGAGTAGTGGGAGCAAAAATCCTTGCCTTGCTCCTGATCCCGGGGGAAAAAATTTAGTCTTTCACCTTTGCGTACAATGTTAGTTGTAGATCTTTTGCAGATGCTCTTTTATCAAGTTGAGGACATTCCATCTATATTCCTAGCTTGATGAGAGTTTTTAATCATGAATGGGTGTTGGATTTGATAAAATTCTTTATCTTTGTCGGTTGATATGATAATATTTTTTTTGGACTATTTATATGCTGGATGGATTACATTGGTTGGTTTTTAAATGTTGAAACAGCCTTGCATTCATGGAACATAACCAAACTTAATCAGGGTATATAATTCTTTTTATATATTGCTTAATTCTATTTGCTACAATTTTTGAAGTATTTTTGTGCTTATATTTATGGGGGTTGTTGATCTGTAGGTTTTATTTTTTTTTGGTACTGTCTTTGTACTGGCTTTGGTACCAGGGTACTACTAGCTTTATAAAATGAAAGTGTTCCCTCCTTTTCTATTTTCTAGAATTGGTATTAATTCTTCTTTAAAGGTTGTTCAACATAATTTACTTATGAAACTCATTTGGACAAATTAGTGTGATTTAGCCCAGTTTTATTTTTAATGATTTTTGCTTAAGTTTCTGTCACTGAGAACCCGTCTTCCATTTTTTCCTATTCTTAAAATGGGTGTTTCATTGAAGTTTTACATCCTCTCCAAAACTTAAGGTGTTTTAGTTAGTGGGGCTGTCAGTCTAGCACTTTCCTCTCAGAACTCTTGGGGAACTTGTATACACAATGGCATGCCCTGTGATAGGATCCACAGGGGCAGACAAAGCTGGTAGTCTCTCTGGAATGTTATAGGAGCTCATGTATTCACTTAGCTCCATATCCTGTGGCTGCTTGAATTCCCTCTCCCAAGCTAGCTCACACTGAGAAACAGGCACTGCAGAAAAGGCAATCAATCTGAAACTTGGAAATAGGAGGCAGAGAGGGGGCAGGAAAGAAGGAGTGGTGCAGGGAACCAAACTGGGAATGTTAAATCTTCCTCCTGCCCTTACCAAGCTGTATTCAGAATGTAAAACATAGTGTTTGGTTTGGCATTGGTATTATAGTTGGAAAAAACTTCAAGAGAAACTCAATTTATACTGGCAATCTTTCTCTATTGCTTTTTTAAAAGTCTCCCTTTAAAAAAACATTTTTTTCCTCTGTTACTGTTTCCGATTACAAAAGTAATCTGTGTGGTAAAAATTCAACAATGCAGAAGTATATAATATAAAAAGTGACTTTCCCCTCTTTTTCTGCCCTTTCTCTTATTTTTTTAAGTCCTTCTCAGGTTCCAACTTGGTGCTGAACTTGCCCACATTTTCTTTTTCTTACTCTTCTTCCTCGTCTCTTTCTGTAAGAGTTCTAAACGATTTTTAAGGGAAGCCAAGCCTTCCTTTAAAAAACCAAGGCTACTTGTGTTTGCATAAAGCACTGGCTACTAAGCACTTACTACATGCCCTGCCTTGTAGCACCTACCCTCTTCCCATGCAAATGGCTCTGCCCAGCTCTACAGATATCTACTTAACAGCATCTGGCTTAGCCAAACCATTTCACACTAACCTAGCCACATAAAACTATTTCTGGCTAAATCTCTAACATCTTGGTTAAAGAATATGTTTTTAGCACTTTTGAGTTATAATTTGGGGTGGAATATTATTGTGTGGGAGACTGCTATTAAAATGGTTTTGGCAGTGAACTCTGAGGGGGAAAGCTTTTCTAACTTTGCTCCCTGTCTTATTGGCTGGCATTTAAAGCTGGATAGTTTTGATTGGCCAATCATCTGCTTAAGACATTCCTTTGTTTCTTTACTTCCCAGTTAAAGGAGTTGGATATTTCTGTTATATAAACATGCCTCGGGCTTTGGAGTTAGTTATATCCCTTCTGATAGTCAAGTACATAGGTAGCAAGGGTGAAGTGGTTCAGCGTGTGGATTCTGGAGCCATACTTCTCGCCTGAGTGTCTGTTTGCCTGCCCATCTGTCTGCCTCCTTATTTTTCAAATCCCACAACTACCATTTACTGCCTATGCAATGTTAGATAAGTTAGCTAACCTCAAAGTGTATCAGCTTTTTCATCAGTGATGGTGAGATTATGGCAGAATGTACCTCAGGGGGTTGGTGTGAGGATTACATATGTTAATGTGTGGAAAACACTTAGAACAGACCCTGCCATACAGTTAGTCCCATATAAATATTAGCTATTATAGTGACTACATAGAAAATATCCAGTAACTTATATACGGCCAAGCGACCAGAGTCTCTACATTGTCAGGGTTATACAGAAGATAAAATGTAAGATAGCTATTCCCTAAAAAAGAAAGGATCAGAGACCCTAATTCCTACACACCAAGGATAAAGGGTAAAGGTTGTAGCAATAACTAAATTATTTAGTGTTTCCTGATAATATTCTGTTCACTCTTCCCATTCTCACCTCACTCGATCATTTGTGTGGCTATAGTGGGGACAGAATTCTTGGCAGTGGAACTGACAAGGATAGGTTTAATAGGGTATTTATGATAACCCCTTTCTGAGGCAGCCGGGATTGGGAGTTGACCTCACTCCTGTAGCAGGGAAGGATGTTATGCTAACAGTAAAAAGAATTTACTTGCCAACAGTCTCTCTCTTAATTTATATTACCCAAAGGCCCTAGATGCCACAGTTACTCTATAAGGAAAAATACTTCAACTTATCTCTTTATATCTAAACACCTTTCCCCAATATATTCTCTCATTAAACTAACAAGCCGGCCTATTCTCCCAGACTATCAGGTACTTCCTATCTTGCTTTAATCTTGACTCAGTCTGGACTTGTGGATAATGTCCCTCTCAATAGCCCCTTCAATTTCCTGGACTTGTCATTTTAATTCACATCCATTTGTCACTCTGCAGCCCTGGATCAATTTTCTCTGCTGCTTCAAGGAGCTCCCAGCCCCTGCTGCTGCTGTGCCTGCTCTTGCGGCCACTGGAGAAATCCTGGTGACAGGGTGCTCAGAGGCTTTATTTCCACATTAATGAGCGCCAGGCTCAACTAGGCTCTCCATCCTACTCTGCAACCTCTTTACTTGTCCTAGTAATCTCCTTGCACTGTGGTGTATGTAAGAACAGGGCTCTTGAGGTTTCACAAATGAAAAACCCTTTCCTTTTATGATGTCACAGTGATTATTTGCCAGGCCTGATCCAAGGGCTGTGCTACTGAATTAGATGCCCCCTCACTGATGTTAATGACACATACATAATTTTGCATCCTTTCTTCTACCTTAGCTGTATGTGAAATAGTATTTTTGAGATATTAACTTGTTGTTCTTGTTGCTTTTCTCGGTATATCACTCTTCTGCCTTCCTGTTATTCAAACAGATATCTGTGCTTCAGTGAAGGTTTGTAGCAAGGTTTCCTGGTCTTTGTGTTTTTATAAAAACCTGAGCCCATTATTCTAGAAGCCTCTGAAGCAAACAAGAATAACAAAGAGAACGATTTCCCCCTGATTAGAGAAAAACTCTCCCCAACCTCAGTGGTGAGAGGAGAGAAGGAGAGGAAATGATGACAGCCAAGAGTCCAGAGAGGAAGTGAATGCAGGTTGTGTCAAGGTGGATTAGGTCCTGTGCCTAAACCTACAGAGGAAATAGTTGAGAGAGGTTTTGGAGTTGAAGGGGCCACCAGACAGGAATGAGGGACTTTCAGCAGCCATCTCCAAGGGCCAATGACCTACACCTGTGTGACTTATTACTCTAGGACTACATGTCCACCACCACCCAATATCTTTGCTCCCCTCCCCTTTTTGCACTGGACTTTAAACACAAACCTGCTGAAAGGAAAAACCCAAACTTTATGGGAACTAGATTTTTGCTGCCCCAGGGGAGTGATAGGCTCAAAATAGAAATTAGGTTGAATTAGTTCAAAAGTTACATTTCTTGCTCATTAAAGTAGATTCCTAAAAGAAAGAAATGATACTTTTGCACACCTGAGTATGAGAAAAGCTTGTACACACAAGTTTGTGAACATTGCATTTTGGTAGAACCTTCTCTCTCTTAAGTAACATTTTAAAATCAACAGCAATAGTCACACAAAGCGGTGCCTTTCAGATTGGCTTCCAAGAAAATTTCTAATGGACCTTCGTAGAGCTTGAGGGGAAAGCAGGTTGGTAGGAGTCTGGACATCAACCAGCACAGCTTTCTCCAAAGTACTTTCCCTTTTATCTGTTTAATGTGAGTATTATTGTAACATTCTCTTTAAATGGAAGATTCAGATAAAAAATTTTTATAGTTGTTCTGTGAGATAGATCTATATAGGCAGGATACTAATTTGTTTTGGTTGTTGTTTTATTTTGCTTGTACAACTTCGGAACCAGTTCTGAAAGCAATTCCCGGTGTTTTTAAAGCAATGACAACAGAAGTGCATGGCTTCTTTTAGAGGGAATTATTTTGAAGGTCAGCACTTGGTTGCATTTTAAGTTCTCATGTTGCTAAAGAAGAAAGTCAGTCTCTTGGCTCCAGGGTCACATGTCACATTTTCACTGTCAATATAGTTCTGATAAAACAGGATTAATAAATCTGTTCCTTAAAATGCAAGGGCAAAACTGTGAATAAGTAACATTTCAGTTGGGCTAACTAGAATATTCTTTGCTGGTTGAGTCTATTATTTCCATTGCAATAATCATTTCCATTTCAAAATTAAATGACACTCCAACCTCTAACAGGACAGGAAATGGCTTTCTCGTTCCAGGGTTCAAGGAAGAGTGCTTGAGAATGAATAATAGTTTTCTTCATCATCCTTCACTTCTCTAATACAATGCTAGCATACTGGGTATTTCTTCCTTCCTTCTTGAGACTTTTCAGAACTTTACCAAGGGGAACTCTCTGGGCTCTGGGCTGTTGAAGGAGCCCCCTAGACAGAAGAATAACTGCTGGAAAAGAAGCAGTTTCTACCCAGATTGTGGATCTGTACCCTTCCTTCTCATGTACCCAATAGTCTGAGAGCATCTAGTTTTGGTTTGCTATTAAGGGGTGGATTCAGCACATACAGCAGGTAGCTGCTGCATCTTGGATGATTCCAAAGACTTCGTTTACTTTATGAAATCCTTGGTCCTTGGTACTGACTCTTGTGGTAAAGAGGAGAGTTAGGAAGCTTCTAGGAAGGAGGTAGGGGATTCCATTCAGAATGCTCTGCTGACCATTAGTGGCCAGAACAAATTGGAAATGATCATACGACACTAGAGGTAATCTAGGAGGGCAGTTTGTGTCCCTTAGTGCAAAATTCATGTGTTTTAATGAAGAGTAGTGTCATCTCTGGTCTCTGTTGCTCTCTCTCTTTTCTTGACAAGTTAGGGTCTCTAGACATCTATTTGTTGTGTAGGACTTTATTTTCTAAATGGTTTGGAAATTTAATTGATTTCCAGATTAAATGGATAACACTTCTTTTAGTCTTCTCTGGATGAAACTTGAAAGGTTAATGAAAAGTATGTGGAAATTATTTGAGCTCAGTGATTTCAGTGACTCAGTTAGGTATGAAATTCTGAAAGGACTAAATATTTTATATATATATACATAAATATTATATATATGTATATATACATAAATATTATATATATGTATATATACATAAATATTATACATACATATGTATATATACACGGAGAGAGAGAGAGAGAGAGAGGAGAGAGAGAGAGAGGTCTCACTCTGTTGCCCAGGCTGGAGTGTAGTGGCGCCATCATGGCTCACTGCAGCCGCGACCTCCCGGGCTGAAGCCGTCTTCCCACCTCAGCCTCCCAGGTAGCTGGGCCTACAGGAATGCCACCATCATGCTTGGCTAATTTTTTTATTGTTTGTAGAGACAGGGTTTTGCCATGTTGCCCAGGCTGGTCTTGAACTCCTGGGCTCAGGCAATCTGCCCGCTTAGCCTCCCAAAGTGTTGGGATTACAGGAGTGAGCCACCATGCCCAGCTGGACTAAATATTTAACACACTTAGACTGAATATCAAAAACCTATTGCAGTCTCTACATTTCTATCTTGGATAGGAGTAACAAAGAAGTTACAAGTAAATAAAAGATCAATTAGAAGTTCACCAATGAAATGCTGCTACTAATAAGTATAAAATATTTCTTTTACAAACACGCATCCTTATTTCAGAAATTTACAGTTGTACTATATAGAGTATTTCATAATTTTTCCCTTTCAATATAAAATAAATTATTTTAAAAGTTAATCAGCATTATAAAAATAAGCTGTGGTTCAGAACATATCTTTAATCTTTGAAAAAATATGTTATGACTCCAGTCAAGAATATAGAGTGGTGTTCACTTTGGCAGCACACATACTAAAATTGTAATGATGCAGAGAATATTAGCAGGACCCTGTGCAGGAATGACATACAAATTTGTGAAGCATTCCATATTATATTTTTTAAAAAAGAATATAGAGTGTATCATTCATTCACATTTCTATCATTCTTCAAAGAGCCACAAAGTTAGGAGGACAAGTGACTTAAACATTTTAGTATTAAATATCCCTTCCATGAAGAAATCCTTCCTCTGTGTAACCAAAACCACTCAAAAAATTACCTCAACTTCTTTAAATTATGTTAGTATGTTTTACTTACTTCCATTCTTTCATTGCCTCAGTAGATAAAGACAGGAATAAAGGAAGGAACTTTTTTTTTTAAATAAACACAATGATGTCATAAAAGGCCTTACCATTGTCCCTGTTCTAAAAGAAAACAGACGTAAACTTCTAACCTCATAAAACAAATCATGCATGAACACTAAAGGTCATTCTTTCCATCACTGCTTATTTCTCATTATTCAAAATGGTAATTTTTTCAGTTACTCAATCACTGGAATTGCCCAAGAAAAAGGACATTGACCTATCAAAATATGCATAGGATCATACAATCTTCCTTCTCTGTCACTCATATATGGTACCAGATTTAGCAAATAAAGATACAGAACACCAGTTAAATTTGAATTTCAAGTAAAAAACAAATAATTTTTTAGTGTACGTCTCATGCAATATTTGGAACTCTGTAGTTTATCTGGCAATCCTATCAGCTAACAGATTTTCTTCCTTCTTTTATTGAAGTGTTATTCACTTCCATAACCACTCCTCTAATCTCAGCATTCACACAGCTTCGTCCTTACATCAGGCCTTATTCATTTCATGCATGTCCCACAATAACTTTCAGATTGTTTTCCTGTCTCCAGTCTCTTTCCTCTGCATGCCCCTGCCGCCAGAATAGCTTTTTATCATGCCACTTCGCAGATTAAAACTCTTAACAGTTCTGTAAGAAACAGATAATTCCTGTTATTTAAACTATTCAAGACCACAAATTTATAAAGCTTCCAGATTCCTTTTTATAAAGCTAGCAATAACTAAAGAAGAAGTTATAAATATGGTTTCCCAGTAAATCTTCCAAAACTGGACACTTGGCCTTTTTAGAAATAACAATGCAAACATCTCAAATAAAAATATTAGCAAAAAGTATCCAATGTTACATTAAAAATAATACTTCTTGTTTGGTTTATTTCAGTAATATAAACATGTGATATTAAGAAATATATTGCTATAATTAATAAAAAAATAGTTAAAGGAGGAAAACCGTATGATCATCTTTATAAATGCAGAAAAGGAATGTGCCAATGTTTATCACTGAAGCCTGGCTTTTTAAAAGCCTTTATAAAATTGATAAATATATCTCAAGTCCAAAGCTAGAATAATTTATGGGGACATACTATAGAAGCATTTTCAGCAAAATCAGGAACAACGTAATAATGCTATTGCCACTATATTTTAAAGTAGTTCTGGAAGTACTAGCCAGATGCAATTAAATGTGAGAAAGAAAGCACTAGACACAGCAAACGAGTTCAGTAAGTGGCCAGCTATAGGATTAATATATAAAAATCAATAGCTTTCCTGTGACTAAAAACCAGGTAAAAGAGCAAGGAGGTTTTGCTTTATTACTGCATTTCCTAAGGAGCTCACTAAGTCTCTGTTGTCCAAATATGTGAAAAGCAATCATTTTCTTGAGGGTTAAGAAACAATAATGTATCCTGATGTGATGAACTGACATCCACTTGAAGCTCAATAAAAGTTATTTCCTTCCTTTTGGAAGCTCTGACTTCACCTTCCACTCTCCTAAATTGTAGTTCAAATCTCAGCTAAGGCCCCAATATGATCTGCAGTAGGTCTCTGATGGAACAGAAGCCTTTCTTGATGCCTGTGGATGAATGAACTGGTAAGAGCATGGCTGGTGTTGGGACTCCTTAGATCTGCACCTCCTTAATAACTCACTGACAACAGTCCCTGAAAGTGAAGTGGCTGTCTCCAAGCCCAGACCAGAAACTGAAAGGATCAGCCCAGAACAGTGATCTAAATACTCTAGTTCCTGATTCTGGTTAGTGGTCTTTAAATGTTTATCACCTTACTATTACTCCTCTTGTGACTTCCCTTCTTATATTGTTCCACCCCCCGACACACGTACACACTGATCAAGTTATAGATGGCTGAAGGCGTAACAGCTGGTCTACACTCTTCTTAGCCATACGTCCTGGAAGTTTCCAGTTAAAGAGAAACTGAGACTGTTTATACAGAGTTTTTTCTACTATATAAAAAAGTGTGTAGGTTATAACTAAGTAATGTGGAATTAATTTCTTCTTCTTTATACTTAGTTGCACCTACTAAACTGCCTTGGTATCCTAAACTGCCTTGGTATACTAAACTTGCTTTGTCACTGGGTTGAGTAATTGAGGCTATTCTCTAAGAAAATGGGAACCAGAATAGATCTAAATACTCAAGTTCAAAGTTGTAGGTAAAAAGAAAAGCAAAAGCAAGTCCAGGAGCATATCAGTGAGGCTTTCTTTGAAGCAGGAGGGAAGGGTAGGGGAGCTGAAGATGGAGAAGCAAACCCAGTGCTCCTGGATGGAGAGGAAGCTGTTAAGGATATGGCTGGACTCTGCTATCCGGGACTAAGAACCAGGAATCCTCTTGAAGTTTGTGAAGATTTTCAGTGTCCTCATGGGATAGGACTAGCAGAGGACATGGCACCCAGACAAAACCCAATGCATTTGTACAATTGTCCCTCAGTATCTGTGGAGAATTAATTCCAGGGCACCCTCACCCTATTCCTCCATTCCCGCCCCTGTGGATACCAAAATCCATGGATGCTCGGGTCTCCAATATAAAATGGTGTACAAAAAGACAAATACCGAATGTTCTCACTTATAAGTGGGAACTAAATAATGTGTACACACGGACCTAGAATGTGATAATAGACAATGGAAACTCAGAAAGATGGAAAGTTGAGGGAGGTAGATGATGAGAAATTACTTAATGGATACAATGTATGTTATTCTGCTGATGGGTACACTAAAAACCAAGACCTCACCATTATGCAATATAGCTATGTAACAAAACTACATTCATATTCCATTAACATATACAAATAAAAAAATTTAGTAAAAAAGTAAAATGGTGTGGCATTTGCATATAACCTAGGCACATCCTCCTATATAGTTTATATTATCTCTAGACTATTTGTAATGCCTAATACAATGCAAATGCTATGTAAATAGTTGTTATACTGTATTGGTTTTTAATTTGTATTATTTTTATTGTTGTATTGTTATTTTTTATTGTTTTCTTCTGAATATTTTCAATCTTCAGTTGGTTGAATCCATAGACACAGAACTGGTGGATATGGAGGGCTGACTGTATTCTCTTTTTCTTGAATCTCTGTCCTTATCCCTTTCCTCCCTAGTTTGCTACCCTGGGTTCAGTCCTAATTTAGAGCCCTAGTGGGACTGGCTGCCAGCTGGGATCATGGCCCTATTTTCTTATGTACAGGGTGACTGTGTTTCAAACACTTGCTGAAACTATGCAGAGATGTCCAGATTGTTCTTTATCTACAGACATACAGACAGTAAAAGACGCTGCAGATTGCTATTGGCTCCAATGTCATTTGTGACTCAGGGCCCTAGTTTTCCAGTTTCCTACTGTGTGATTTTGCTCTTAGAGGATTCCATGACACCTGTTTCTATCTACATTATTCTTCTGTCACAAATCAACATACAGTCAGCAATTATAACAGTATGAAGGGATGGGGAAAGAAAGAATGGGAGAGGTTGAGGTAGCTCATCCCTGAAGATATAACTAGACAGATAGGGTGGAACAAGATGGCCAAACAGAAGGCTCCACCAATCATCTTTTCTGCAAGGATACCAATTTAAAAACTGTCTACACAAAAAAGCCCTTTCATAATAACCAAATCATGTGAGCACTCACAATACCTGGTTTTTACTTTACATTGTTGAAAGAAGCACAGAAAAGGGTAGGAAAGATAGTTTTAGATTATGGACACCACACTTCCTTCATCCCATGGCAGCAGCTGTGTGGCACAGAGAGAGAATCTGTGCACTTGGGAGAGGGAGAGCACAGGAACTGTGACACATTGTGTTGAACTCAGTGCTGCATTGTCACAGCAGAAAGCAAAACCAGGCTAAACTCAGCCGATGCCCACCTATGAGGGAGCATTTAAACCAGCCCTAGCCAGAAGGGAATTGCCCTTCCCAGTAGTTGGAACTTCAGTTCTGGCAAGCCCTGTCACTGCAGGCTAAAGTGTTCTGGGGCCCTAAATGAAGTTGAAAGGCAGTCTATGCCACAAGGACTGCTATTCCTAGGCAAGTCATAGTGCTGAACTGGGCTCAGAGCCAGAAGACTTGGGGTACACGTGACCCACTGAGACATCAGCCAGGGCAACTAAGGGAGTGCTTGTGTGACCCCTCCCTCAACCCCAGGCTGCACAGCTCACGACTCCAAAAAAGACCCCTTCATTCCACTTTAGGAGAGGAGAGGAAAGAGTAAAGAGGACTTTGTTTTGCATCTTGGATATCATCTCAGCCGCAGCAGGATAGGGTACCAGGCAGAGTCCTGAGGCCCTAGCTCCCAGATGACATTTTTAGAAACACCATGGGCCAGAAAGGAACCTGCTTCCTTGAAGGGAAGGACCCTGTCCTGGCAGGACCTATCACTTGCTGTTTGAAGAGCCACTGGGCTCTGAATAACCAGCGGCAATACCCTGGTAGTATGCTATGGGCCTTGGGTGAGCCTCTGAGACTTCCTGGCTTCAAGTGAGACTCAGCACATTACCAGCTGTGGTGGCTATGGGGAAAGACAGCTTCTTCTTGAGAAAAGTGGAGGAAAAAGTAAAGGAGAGTTTCCCTTGCACCTTAGGTACACGCTCGGCCACAGGGTGTGGAGCACCAAGCAGGTGCTTGGGGTCCCCAATTCCAGGCCTTGGCTCTTTGACACCATTTCTGGACCTGCCCTGGGCCAAAGGGGAGCCCACTTTCCTGAAGGGTGCGCCCCAGGCCAGGTAGCATTCACCACAAGTTGACTTGAAGAGCCCTTGGGCCTTAAGGGAACATTGACAGTAGCCTGGCAGTACCCACCATGGGCCTATGGTGGAGGTGGCCATGAAGTGAGGCTCCTCTGCATGTGGAAAGGGGAGGGAAGAGGGAGAAGAACTATGTCTCATGGTTTGAGTGCTAGCTCAGCTGCAGTACAATAGAACACCAGGTAGATCTCTAAGGTTTTTGACTTCAGTTCCTATTCTTGGATGGTACCTCTGGATCTGCCCAGGGCCTGGGATAAATTGACACCCTGAAGGGAAGGACACAATCCTGGCTGGCTCCACCACCTGCTGATTATACAGTCTCAGGGCCTTGAGTGAACATAGGCAGTAGCCAGGTAATGGTTACAGTGGGCTTTGGGCAAGACCCAGTGCTGTGCTGGATTTAGGTCTTACCCAGCACAGTCCCAGTGATGGTGGCCACAAAGGTGCTCATGTCACTTCACCCCCAGCTCCAGGCAGCTCAGAATAGAGAGAAAGAGAGACTCCATTTGTTTGGGAGAAAGTAAGGGAAAAGAAAAAGAGTCTCTGCCTGGACATTGAGACATTGAGAGAATTCTTCTGGATCTTATCCAAAACCATCAAGGCGGTACCTCTATGAGTCTGCATGAACCACAGTGTTCCTAGGATTGGGGTGCCCCCTAATGCAGTTGTGGCTTAGATCACAACACCCAAGTCATTTCAAATTTCTAGAAAACCTTATCAAGAAGGATGGGTACAAACAAGCCCAGACTGCAAAGACTACAATAAATACCTAACTCTTCAATGCTCAAACATAAACATCTACAAACATCAAGGCCATTCAGGAAAACAGGACTGTACCAAATGAACTAAATAAGGCACCACGGACCAATCCTGGAGAAACAGAGATATGTGACCTTTCAGACAGAGAATTCAAAATAGCTGTTTTGAGGAAACGCAATAAAATTCAAGATAACACAGAAGGAATTCAGAATTCTATCAGATCAACTTAACAAACAGATTGAAATCATTAAAAAGCATTAAGCAGGAATTCTAGGGTTGAAAACTGCAACTGACATACTGATATAGTTTGGATATTTGTCACTACCCAAATCTCATGCTGAATTGTAATCCCCTATATTGGAGGTGGGATCTGGTGGGAGGTGTTTGGATCATGGGGATGAATCCCTCATGAATGGCTTGGGCCATCCCCTTGGTGATAAGTGAGCTCTCCCTCTGAGTTCACACAAGGTCTGTTGGTTTAAAAGTGTGTGGCACCTCCTAGCCCACTCTCTCTCTCTCTCACCCCTGCTTTCACCATGTGAAGTGCTTGCTCCCACTTTACCTTCTGCCATGATTGTAAGCTTGCTTCCTGAGGCCTCCCCAGAAGCATATGCCAGTACCATGCTTCCTGTAAAGCCTGGAGAACCATGAGCCAATTAAACCTCTTTTCCTTATAAATTCCCCAGACTCAGGTATTTCGTTATAGCAATGCAAGAATGACGTAATATGCATCCTGAAGAATGCATCCGAATATTTTAATAGAAGAATTGATCAAGTAAAACAAAGAATTAGTGAGCTTGAAGATAAGCTATTTGAAAATAAACAGAGGAGATGAAAGAAAAAAGAATAAAAACAATGAAGCATGCCTACAGGATCTGGAAAATAGCCTCAAAAGGGCAAATCTAAGAGTTGGTGGCCTTAAAGAAGAAATACAGAAAGAGGAGTAGAAAGTTTATTCAAAAGGCTAATAACAAAGAATTTCCCAAACCTAGAGAAAGATATCAATATCCAAGTATAAGTAGGTTATAGAGCACAAAGCAGATTTAGCTCAAAGAAGACTACTTCATGGCATTTAATAATCAAATTCCCAAAGGTCAAGAATAAAGAAAATATCCTAAAAACAGCAAGAGAAGATAAACAACAGGATGGGCACGGTGACTCACGTCTGTAATCCCAGCACATTGGGAGGCCAAGGTCGGCAGATCACCTGAGGTCAAGAGTTTGAGACCAGCCTGGCCAAGGTGTCGAAACCCTATCTCTACTAAAAATACAAAAATTAGTCGGGCGTGGTGGCGGGTGCCTGCAATCCCAGCTACTTGGGAGGCTGAGGCAGGAGAATTGCTTGAGCCCAGGAGGTGGAGGTTGCAGTGAGCTGAGATGGCACCATTGCACTCCAGCCTGGGCAAAAAGAGCAAGACTCTATCTCAGAAACAAAACAAAATAAAACAACAAAACAAAACAAAACAAAAAACATACAATGGAGCACCAATATGTCTGGCAGCAGACTTTTAGTGGAAACTTAACAGGCTAGGAGAGAGTGGCATGACATATTTAAAATGCTGAAGGAAAAAAAAGTTTACCCTAGAATAGTATATCCAGTGAAAATACCCTTCAAACATAAGAAGAAATAAATACTTTCCCAGACAAGCAAAAGCTGAAGGATTTAATCAATACCAGACCTGTCTTACAAGAAATACTAAAGAGAATTCTTCAATCTGAAAGAAAAGGATGTTAATGAGCAATAAGAAATTATCTGAAGGTACAAAACTCACTGGAAATAGTAAGTACACTGGAAAAAAACAGAATATTGTAATAATGAAGCATCTTCTTTGACCACAATGAAATAAAACTAGAAATTAATAACAGGAAGAATTTTGGAAACTATAAAAACACATGAAAATTAAACAATATGCTTCTGAATGACCAGTGGGTCAATGGAGAAGCTAAGAAGGAAATTGAACATTTTTTTTTGAAACAAATGATAATGGCAACACAACACACCATACCTCTGGGATAGAGCAAAAGCAGTACCAAGAGGGAAGCTTATAGCTATAAGTGCCTACATCAAAAAAGAAGCAAAACTTCAAATAAACAACCTAAAGATGCGTCTTAAAGAAATAGAAAAGCAACAGCAAACCAAACCCAAAATTAGTAGAAAAAAAGAAATAATAAAGATCAGAACACAAATAAATGAATTTGAAATGAGGAAAACAACACAAAACATCAATGAAACAAAAAGTTGGTTTTTTGAAAAGTTAAAATTGACAGACCTTTAGCCAGATTAACTAAGAAAAAAATAGATAAAATCCAAATAAATAAAGTCAGAGATGAAAAAGGAGACATTACAACTGGATACTGCAGAAATTCAAAGGATCATTAGTGGCTACTATGAGCAACAATATGCCAATAAATTGGAAAATCTAGAAGAAATGGACACATTCCTAGACATACACAATCTACCAAGATTGAAAGAGAAAGAAATTCAAAACTTGAACAGACCAATTTTAACAAGTAATGAGATTGAAGTCACAATAAAAAGTCTCGTAGTAAAGAAAAGCCCAGGACCCAGTGGCTTCACAGTGAATTTCTACCAAACATTTAAAGAAGAACTAATACCAATCCTATTCAAACTGTTTCAAAAAGTAGAAAAGGAGGGAATACCTCCAAACTCATTCTATGAGGCCAGTATTATGGTGATACCAAAAGCAGAAAAAGACACATCAAAAAAAGAAAAAAAAAGAAAACTTTAGGCCAATATCTCTGATGAATACTGATGCAAAAAAATCCTCAACAAAATACTAGCAAACTAAATTTAGCAATACATTAGAAATATCATTCATTATAACCAAGTGGGATTTATCCCTGGGATGCAAGCATGGTTAAATATATGCAAATCAATCAGTGTGATACATCATATCCACAGGATGAAGGGTAAAAACCATATGTTCATTTCTATTGATGATGAAAAAGCATTTGATAAATTTCAACATCCCTTCCTGAATAAAAAAAAAAACTGGGGATAGAAGAAACATACCTCAACATAATAAAAGCCATATATAACAGACCCATAGCTAGTATCATACTGAATGGGAAAAAATTGAAAGCCTTTTCTCTGAGATCTGGAACAAGGCAAGGATGCCCACTTTCTCCACTGTTACTCAACATAGTGCAGAAAGTCCTTGCTAGGGCAATCAGAGAAGAGAAAGAAATCAAGGGCATTCAAATTGGAAATGAAATGAAATTATCCTTGTTTGCAGATGATATGATATTATATTTAGGAAAACCTAAAGGTGCCACCAAAAACTATTAGAACTGATAAATTCAGTGAAGTTGCAGGATACAAAATCAACATATGAAAATCAGTAGTATTTCTATATGCCAATAGCAAATAATCTGCAAAAGAAATAAAATTAATTCCATTTATAATAGCCACACATACAGATAAATACCTAGGAATTAACATGACTAAAGAAGTGAAAGATCTCTACAATGAAAACTATAAAACACTGATGAAAGAAATTGAAGAGAACACAAAAAAATGAAAGATATTCCATGTTCATGGATTGGAAGAATCAATATTGTTAAAATGTCCATACTACCCAAACCAATCTCCAAATTCAATGCAATTTGTATCAAAATATCAATGGTACTCTTCACAGAAATAGAAAAAAAATCCTAAAATTTATATAGAGCCACAGAAGGTCCCAAATAGTCAAAGCTTTCCTAAGCAAAAAGAACAAAACTGGAGGAATTACATTACCTGCCTTCAAACTATACTGTAGAGCTACGGTAACCAAAACAACATGGTACTGGCATTGAAAGATACACATAGACCAATGGAACAGAATAGAGAACCCAGAACAAATCCACACACCTACATTGAACTCATTTTTGACAAAAAGTGCCAAGAACATACACTGGGGGAAAAGGCAGTCTCTTCAATAAATAGTACTGGGAAAACTGGATATCCATATGCAGAAGAATGAAACTGGACCTCTGTCTCTTGCTATATACAAAATCAAATCAAAATGGATTGAAGACTTAAATCTAAGACCTCAAAATATGAAACTACTACAAGAAAACAGGGAAACTCTCCAGGACATTAGTATGGGCAAAAACGTCTTGAGTAATATCACACAAGCACTGGCAACCAAAGCAAAAATGAACAAATGGGATCATATCAAATTAAAAAGCTTCTATACACCAGAGGAACCAGCCAACAAAGTAATGAGACAAGCCACAGAATGAGAGAAAATATTTGCAAACTACCCATCTGACAAAGGATTAATAACCAGAATACATAAGGAGCTCAAACAACTCTATAGGAAAAAAATCTAATAATCTGATCAAAAAATGGGTAAAAGACTTAAATAGACACTTCTCAAAAGAAACATATGAATGGCAAACAGGCATATGAAAAGGTGCTCAATGTCAGTGATCATCAGAGAAATGCAAATCAAAACTACAATGAGATAACATCACACCTCAGTTAAATGGCTAAAAGGCTTATATACAAAAGACAGACAATAACAAATGCTGACAAGGATGTGGAGGAAAGGGAATCCTCATACACTGTTGGTGGGGATGTAAATTAGTATAACCAATAGGGAGAACAGTTTGGAGGTTCCTCAAAAATCTAAAAATAGAGCTCCCATATGATCCAGTAATCCCATTGCTGGGTACATATCCAAAAGAAAGGAAGTTAGTATATTGAAGAGATATCTGCACTCCTGTGTTTGTTGCAGCACTGTTTACAATAGCTAACATTTTGGAAGCAACCTAAGTATCCATCAACAAATGAATGGATAAAGAAAGTGTGGTACATATACACAATGGAGTACTATTCAGCCATTAAAATTAATGAGATCCTGTCATTTGCAACAACATGAGTGGAACTAGAAATCATTATGTTAAGCAAAATAAACCAGGCACAGAAAGACAAACATCATGGCCGGGCACAGTGGCTAAACCAATCATTTATTATTATTTTTTAAAATCCAAGTAAATGACGCTGGGCATGGTGGCTCATGCTTGTAATCCCAACACTTTGGGAGGCCAAGGCGGGCAGATTGCTTGAGGTCAGGAGTTTGAGAACAGCCTGGCCAAGATGGTGAAACCTCGTACCTACTAAAAAATACAAAAAATTAGCCAGGCATGGTGGTGGGTACCTGTAATCCCAGATACTCGGGAGGCTGAGAGAGGAGAATCACTTGAACGGTGGAGGCAGAGGTTGCAGTGAGCCAAGGTCGTGCCACTGCACTCCAGCCTGGGCAACAAAGCAAGACTTCATCTCAAAAAAAAAAAAATCACATTTTCTCCCATTCTGTTCTCATTTATTTGTGGGATCTAAAAATCAAAAGAATTGAACTAATGGACATAGAGAGTAGAAGGATGGTTACCAGAGGCTGGGAAAGGTAGTTGGGAACTAGGGGGGAGGTGGGATGCTTAATGGGTACAAAAAACATAGTTAGAAAGAATGAATAAGATCTACTATTTGATAGCATAACAGGGTGACTGTAGTCAATAATAATTTTACATTTTAAAATAACTGAAAGAGTGTAATAGGATGATTTGTAACTCAAAGGATAAGTGTTTGAGGGCATGGATACCCCATTCTCCATGATGTGCTTATTTCGCATTGCATCCCTATATCAAAACATCTCATGTACCCTGTAAATATATACACCTACTATGAACTCACAAAAATTAAAACTAAAACTTATATAAAAACAAAAGTCAGGCAATAACGAATACTGGCAAGAATGTGGAAAAAAGGGGAACCTTTTATGTTGTTGGTGGGAATGTAAATTAGCACAACCACTCTGGAGAACCATTTGAAGGTTCCTCAAAAAATTAAAATAAAGCTATTGTATGGTGCAGCAATTTCACTCCTAGGTATATACCCAAGAGAAAGGAAATCGGTATATCAAAGAGATATCTGCACTCTTGTTTGTTGCAGCACTGTTTATAATAGCTAAGATTTGAATGCAACCTAAGTGTCATCAACGGATGAATGGATAAAAAAAATGTGGTACATGTACACAATGGAGCATTATTCAGCCGTAAGAATGAAGTCCTGTCATCTGCAACAACATGGATGATTCTGGAGATCATTATGTTAAGTGAAATAAGCCCAGCACAGAAATGCAAACTTCCCATGTTCTCACTTATTTGTCGGAGGTAAAAATTAAAATAATTGAACTCATGGAGATAGAGAGTTTAGAAAGATAGTTACCAGAGGCTGGAAAGAGAAGTGAGAGGTTTGGGGGAGGGGAGTGGGGATCATTAAGGGGTACAAAAACTAGTTAGAAAGAATGAATAATAACTAGTATTTGCTAGCACGATAGGGTGACTATAGTCAAAAGTAATTTAATTGTACACTTTTAATTAAATAAAAAGGTACAATCGGATTATTTGTAAGACAAAGAATAAATGCTCGAGGTGATGGATATCTCCATTTACCCTGATGTGATTATTATTCATTGTATGCCTGTATCAAAATATCTCATGTACTCTTTAAATACATACACCTATTATGTACACAGCAACTTTTTTTTTTTTTTTTTTAGAAAAGATAACTGGACAAATATTAACAGCTTGGGGGACAGAAAAATACTTGCAGTTCTTTATTCATGGCCATGCTTGTCAAAATTTTCACACTTGAAATTCCATTTCTTCCATGGCTCCACTAATACTGTCCCCCTTCGTACATCTCATTGACCAGAAACATCCACCTGACCGACTCACAACTGGGGGTATGTGAAGGTGGACTGGGTTGAGAATAGAAAAGTAGTCAGGCAGTGGGAGACAAAACTGAGAGGCCAGACTTTCAGCTTGTCCTCATTCCCTAGGCAGCCAGACAAACAGAGATTAGGCATTAGGGATTGCAGAGGTACTTCAGAAGACATAGGATGGGATGAGTAACCCGGAAGAAGCAGTGGTTGCTTCAGTATCCCAGCTCGTTTCAGCCATCCCCATTCCACATACACACTGGGTACTAAATAAGTATCCAAGTACTCAACTAGCCCCAGGACACAAGTCTTAATATCAATCTTTTCTGATTTAGGACCATGCTTGTAAAATATTTCCTACTTTAGGATTGACCCAATGTACCCCCAACACTCACTCCGGGCTCCTCTGCTAGAAGCCACTTCCAGAGAACTTTTTTAAAAAAAATTCTACTAAATTCTAGAAATTTTTAAAAATATTTCAGTTTAAAAGTTTTTGGAAGGTAATCAGGGTATTTTACTAGGAGTCAAGAAGGCACAGACCCAAATTTTAGGTTAAAGAAAGTATACAGCATGAACTTAACTATAAACTATGTTTTTCTCCACCCTCTCTCAACTTCTGTCTGTCTGTCCCTGTCATGCTCTCTCTTTTTCTCACTCTTTTTCTTTCCTCCTCTTAATCTCAAGAGTTTCTTCTTGATGAATATGGCCTTGAGCCATCCTTAAACCTAAAAGTAGTGTCATTGATTAATTAAGGTGCATTCTGAAACCAGGGCTTCCTGGTTTCCAGAGAATCCTGATACCTTGATGCACTGAGTCACAGGATAAGGGGAGTAGCTTAAATGTCCATGCTTCCAAATGCCTCTTCTGTGCCTCACCTTCATTCAACTTCTCTGAGGGCTAGTTGCCCATAGAAGCTTCTTAATGATGTGATTATTCTAACTCAATTAGCAGAGAATGAAAGGAACAAAGGAAACTGATTTTGCAGTTCGCTGGTCATTGAAAGACATCCTACCTTAAAATGTCAGCTAATTAGCAGATGGCGGGAGAGAGAGATTTTAATGAGCACTTAGACCATATTATCAGATTTTTCTGTAATTATTAATATTATATTTCAACAAATAAACCCAAACATATGGTACAGCAAATTTTATTTGAAAAATAAATTTCTATCACTCTCATCCTAGCCAGATATTATAATCATAATGTCCAAAATCATAGAAATAATTAATTCCCAAATTAGTATTTTTATAATTAAACACTGACCAGTTCTCTTTAATTACTTTGTGGACTCTGAACCTGTAATAATCTTTGGATGTACTTAATTCTCAATTAAGAAAGATGGAAAGTTGAGAGAAAAAGGTACATTTGAGAAAATAGCACTGGAAGAGGGCCAGTGGCTGCAGATTCTAAAATGCAGAGAAAGTAGCTGTTCTATTCTCTGGAAGAAAAGGCATAAGCAAAGGAAAGCAACATCTAGGTTGACAACTTTGGTTAAAATTTACCCAGCATTTATTATGTATTAGGCACTGCTCTAAGCATTTTATACTCATCATATCATATATACCTCATAACTGCCCTATGGAAAAGGTTGTTTGTTATCCTCTTTATGTATGCATCCTAACATACATAATGTTATATGTATGTATCCTAACATACATGTTATATGTATGTTAAATGTATGTATATGTACATACAAAAAGAGGATAACAAACAACCCTTTGGCAGGGCAGTGGAAGGTATGTATGTACATATGTATCCTAACATACATAAAGAGATTAAGTAGCTTGCTCAGTCATAAAAATAGCAACAGTAGCAGGATTTGTAGCTATACGGTCTAACTAGAAAGACCAAACTCATAATTATTATGCAGTTCTTCGAAGAAAGATGAGATCACAAATATTCTTAAGCATCAAAAAAGACCAGTAATGAAAAAGCACAGTAGATTATTAAAGGAATACATAGCTAGAGATGAAGGGCTTAACCCAGTCTCTGGCATAAAATTATTAAATTATCCTTTAACCAAGTTTTTTTTTTTCCTTTTTTTGAGATGGGGTCTCACTCTGTCACCCAGACTGGAACGCAATGGCGGGATCTCAGCTCACTGCAACCTCTGCCTCCCGGGTTCAAGTGATTCTCCTGCCTCAGCCTCCCAAGTAGCTGGGACTACAGGCGCATGCCACCACACCTGGCTAATTTTTGTATTTTTCATAGAGATGGGGTTTCCCTGTGTTGGCCAGGCTGTCTTGAACTCCTGACCTCGTTATCCACCAGCCTCAGGCTCTCAAAGTGCTAGCATTACAGGCCTGAGCCACCGCACCTAGCACCAAGGTTTTTTTTTTAAAGAGGGAAATACACACATATTCATACATATGTCCAAGTTTGATGGGACAGAGACCATGCACCTGTAGTCCATTTTTTTAAAAACTGAAAGTAGATGTATAACTTTGGTAGAGAGGAGTTTCAGTGAGGTACACACACACACACACACACACACACACACTTCAAGAATTTAGAAATATGATTTTCCTCTAAAAGCTAAACCAGTAAAAGCCAGCCACAATGGATGTGATGATTGGATTGGAGGACACAATCAAAAGACTGCCTGTCCAGGTATGACAACAAAATATGCACACACCCAACACACCAGTCAAGGTTGAGTTGGGACCAGTCCAATGAAAGGGAAGACAGGTCATGTCCAGGCAGAAGTATGGCATGTGCAAAAACTAGGAGGTGAGAGAGAGAGAGCAATATGTATTCAGAGATCTTAGAAAAGTTCAGTATGGCCAAAGCATTGAAGATAGAGTAGTAGCCAGGGGCGGGGCCCTGAAAGGTCTTGTCTGCCACATCAAGGTTGATTGGACCTTGTCTCCAGTACAGTGGGAAGCCAGACATTGAGATGTTCTCATTCAGACATGGAAGCATTCAGATTTTAGGAAGGTGTCTTTGACTGCAGTGTATTGGAGTTGTCCCCACACCCACTCCACAGCAGAGGAGGCTGCTGCAGATAACCAGAAGGGAGATGGCCTGGGCAAGGTAGGCAGGAGTGGCATCTGGTAGGAGTGGACTGATGAGAGACATCTCAGAGGTACATGGATGGTGTCTTAGTCCACTGGGGCTGCTATAACAAAATACCTTACACTGGGTAATTTATAAACAACAGAAACATATTTCTTACAGTTCTAGAAGCTGGGAAGTCCGAGACCAAGGTGCCAGCAAATGTGGTATCTGGTGAGGGTTCCCCTGCTTCATAGATGGTGCCTTGTTACTGTGTCCTCGCATGACAGAATGGGCTAAGGGAGCTTGCTCCAGCCTCTCTTCTAAGGGCACTCATCCTATTCATGAGGGTAGAGCCTTCATCTGACTTAACCACTTCTTAAAGGCCTCATCTCTTAATACTATCACACTGGTTATTAGGTTCCAACATATGAATTTTGGGGAGGCACCAACCTTCAAACAATAGCAGATGGGATGTCGGGGTGAGGCAGAGAAGAGAGTCTGGCTTGGGCAGTGAGGCGCATTGATGGTGTCCGTCATGGAGAGTGAGGACCCCTTGAGGAGGAGCAGGAAGAAGAGGAGGAAGGGGAGGAGAAACAGGTATTTGAGGAGAAAGTGGAGGAGTTCAGGTTGAGAAAAGTTGAGTTGTGGGAGGTTGTGAGTTACCCAAAGGGAGCTCTTCAGTGACTAGTTGATCATATGGATCTGGAGTTCAGGTGTGAGGCCTGCACTGGGAGAAGCTGTGGGTGTCATCAGCCTTCAGAACCCCGAGGGAAGATCAGCTGGCTAGAGGAAATCCAACCATGAAAATGGGGAAAAGAAATGAGAAACAGAGAAAACTGTAAGGCACAGACAGCTGATGCCTAAAGCTTCTCATATGTTGTGGAAAAGATGGAGGACTTTTGCAATCCCCCAGAGGCAATCTTATTTATTTCCTTACTATGGTGGTTTCTTGCTAACTGTGTGTTTGTGTTTCTGCAGGTGGGGCAGCCTAGGGGTTGTCATTCTTTTACTACCTTTGTATTTTTTTAGGCCTTCGAGAGCTCTTGGTATTTGTCTGCTTTTGAGGAAGGTAGTTTCCTTTTCCTTTTCTTCCTCCCTCTTCCAGACTATTTGTGTAGTTCTGTCTGCCAGAGCTTGCCAGTGGGGACTTCTTAAACATGTACATATGAGGCAGCTTAATTCATTGCTGAAGAGCGTAGGTTTGGCGTCACAGTCCTGATGGTTGTCATGGTTACCTAGTTATTAACATGGCTAAGTATGCATGAGAAACAGGCCATTGCCTAAGTCTTGGGAATCCTTGTCACATGAATGGCTTTATAGATGCAATTGATTTTCTGTAACTTATTTTATTTTTTCAGACACCAGAAATATGTCTTTTAATAATAGGAAGAAGCCTTATAGAGAGCATAGAGTAAAATGAATAATAGGAAACAATTTCAACAGGAGATAATTTTCACAGGAAGGTGGTAGTTATATTCCCAAGGGCTCAAGGACCTACTAATATTACCTGGCTTTCATTCCAACATCTTGTCCATCAGAGAATCTTTGTGCTTTCTGGCCCTGTAGTATTTTCATATTTTGGAATCCAAAGACAACACAGACACCTAGTTGATGTTTATCTCCTAAAAAGCACAGCAAGTCACCATGATTCAATAGGAGAGGGATGAAGATTTTGCCCCAACACAACTTCATTAGACACCACACTGTAAATTATAGAAAAGGCACTGACTATCGTACATAATATAGATGAGGAAGGTTCTTTTACTTCGAATGCTCTTTATACCATGGTTTAGCTATTTGACAGAAAAAAATGGCTGTTTATAAATGGGAAGTGTTCAGGATAATAGTGAAGGGTACTGACTTTAGCAAAGTGCCTACTATGTGTCAGACACTGAATTGGGTATTTTTCATTGGTTTTCTTTTCAACTCCTACCAATTAAATGAGCAGTGTTTATATTTCTAATCCTCTTCTATCTATATCTGTTTAAAGAAAATTTGAATATCTCTGTACATATTGGTTCATTGCCTGCTTAGAAAATAACTTTCATTGCTTCATTTTTTTTCTTGTACTAATGAACATATGCACTGGGAAGCAATTAGAAAATACAGATGAGTGACACTTAGGAGTCCAGAGTCAGAAATGCAACCTGAACATCACAGAGCAGGAATGTTAGAAGGGAAGGTAAGAAGGAGGGAATAAAGAAGTGGGAAGGGGCTGCTGCTGTAACCGCCAGACTGAGCTTTCCAGAAGTTTGCCTGGCATAGTAAGCACATCAGTGGCAGGCAGCCTCTGCTAAGATTCTTCTTTTTTTTTTTTTTTAATCTGTTGAGATTTCCTCCAGACAAGTCAGCTAGGCCTCTAGTCTATGCTCTTCTTCCCCCTTCTCCCACTATATCCCTCCCTCTCCCTTATCTCCCTCCTACTACTTCCAGCCTACTTGTCCTACAACATGCACAAATCAGGCTGGGAACTGCCAAAGTCTGTCCAGAGTAGGCAGGGAGCTGTCTCAGTCCTAGGGAATCTTCCACCCTCAGATAAAGAGAAGCTCTGGGTGTGCATGCACACATGTGTGTGCACACGTATGCATGGGTTTAAAATTAAGATAGGATTATGTCGTTTGCAGTTTTTTCTGATTATAAAAGTTGTGCTTGTTTACTGAGAAAAAACAGTGAAATTCAGAAAAGTGTAAAGAAAATAGAAATTACCTAGAATCTTATAATTCAGATGTTCAGTTATGTTTTGGTACTTTTGTTTGTAGAGCTTAGAATTTTTCTGTGCACAAACGTATATGTACATGCAATTTGTAACCACCATTTTAAATTTAGCCATGTGTTGTGGATCTTTCAATGTCAATAACAATTTATATCTTACTTTCTGAATTACTTTAAAACAATATTTTTTATGTTTCAAACTTTAATCTCTATTTTTCTGATTTTAAAGCTAATAAAATCCTTGTAAAAATCAAATAATATGCAAACATATAACATAGATAATGAAATTTTCCTGTATTTCTTTCACCTGCCAAACCTGTAGAAATATCCTCTGTTAATAATGTCAGATGCATTTGAAACAGAGCAACTCCATCTTAAATAGGGCTGGGTAAAATAAGGCTGAGACCTACTGGGCTGCATTCCCAGAAGATTAGGCATTCTAAGTCACAGGCTGAGATAGGAGGTCAGCACAAGATACAGGTTATAAAGACCTTGCTGATAAAACAGCTTGCAGTAAAAAAGCCAGACAAGACCCACCAAAACCAAGATGGCAATGAGTGACCTCTGGTTGTCCTCACTGCTACACTCCCACCAGGGCCATGACAGTTTATAAATGCCGTGGCAACATCAGGAAGTTATCCTGTATGATCTAAAAAGGAGAAGCATGAATAATTCACCTCTTGTTTAGCACATAATCAAGAAATAACCATAAAACTGGGCAACCAGCAACCCTCGAGGGTGCTCTGCCTATGGAGTAGCCATTCTTTATTACTTTACTTTTCTAATAAACTTGGTTTCACTTTACTATATGGATTCTCCTTGAATTCTTTCTTGTGCTAGATCCAAGAACCCTCTCTTTGGGTCTGGATTGGAACCCCTTTCCGGTAACAATAATACATTATTTTAGAAACGTTTTTCTTGGGATATATACATATATTCTTTCATAAAAGTGGGGCCATACTAAAAGCATATTACTCTGCATATATCTTTCCAATTCATTCTTACGTTTACAATGTTTGCAAGCTGCTTTTGTTCACCTAGCAATAAATCATGAACATATTTCAGGTCAATAAATATATTCCTATTTAATTTTATGAATCACTCACTATTCAGTAAGATTTCCTCCAATTTTTGAAATTTTAACTAAGCTATTTTTCTGATCATAAAGTATATATGCTTGTTGCAAAATTTTATTTATTTATTTATTTATTATTATTATACTTTTAAGTTTTAGGGTACATGTGCACAATGTGCAGGTTAGTTACATATGTATACATGTGCCATGCTGGTGTGCTGCACCCATTAACTCGTCATCTAGCATTAGGTATATCTCCCAATGCTATCCCTCCCCCCTCCCCTCACCCCACAACAGTCCCCAGAGTGTGATGTTCCCCTTCCTGTGTCCCTGTGATCTCATTGTTCAATTCCCACCTATGAGTGAGAATATGCGGTGTTTGGTTTTTTGTTCTTGCAATAGTTTAGTGAGAATGATGATTTCCAATTTCATCCATGTCCCTACAAAGGACATGAACTCATCATTTTTTATGGCTGCCTAGTATTCCATGGTGTATATGTGCCACATTTTCTTAATCCAGTCTATCATTGTTGGACATTTGGGTTGGTTCCAAGTCTTTGCTATTGTGAATAATGCCGCAATAAACATACGTGTGCATGTGTCTTTATAGCAGCATGATTTATAGTCCTTTGGGTATATACCCAGTAATAGGATGGCTGGGTCAAATGGTATTTCTAGTTCTAGATCCCTGAGGAATCGCCACACTGACTTCGACAATGGTTGAACTAGTTTACAGTCCCACCAACAGTGTAAAAGTGTTCCTATTTCTCCACATTCTCTCCAGCACCTATTGTTTCCTGACTTTTTAATGATTGCCATTCTAACTGGTGTGAAATGGTATCTCATTGTGGTTTTGATTTGCATTTCTCTGATGGCCAGTGATGGTGAGCATTTTTTCATGTGTTTTTTGGCTGCATAAATGTCTTCTTTTGAGAAGTGCCCGTTCATGTCCTTTGCCCACTTTTTGATGGGGCTGTTTGTTTTTTTCTTGTAAATTTATTTGTGTTCATTGTAGATTCTGGATATTAGCCCTCCGTCAGATGAGTAGGTTGCAAAAATTTTCTCCCATCTTGTAGGTTGCCTGTTCACTCTGATGGTAGTTTCTTTTGCTGTGCAGAAGCTCTTTAGTTGAATTAGATCCCATTTGTCAATTTTGGCTTTTGTTGCCATTGCTTTTGGTGTTTTAGACATGAAGTCCTTGCCCATGCCTATGTCCTGAATGGTAATGCCTAGGTTTTCTTCTAGGGTTTTTATGGTTTTAGGTCTAACGTTTAAGTCTTTAATCCATCTTGAATTGATTTTTGTATAAGGTGTAAGGAAGGGATCCAGTTTCAGCTTTCTACATATGGCTAGCCAGTTTTCCCAGCACCATTTATTAAATAGGGAATCCTTTCCCCATTGCTTGTTTTTCTCAGGTTTGTCAAAGATCAGATAGTTGTAGATATGCGGTGTTATTTCTGAAGGCTCTGTTCTGTTCCATTGATCTATATCTCTGTTTTGGTACCAGTACCATGCTGTTTTGGTTACTGTAGCCTTGTAGTATAGTTTGAAGTCAGGTAGTGTGATGCCTCCAGCTTTGTTCTTTTGGCTCAGTACTGACTTGGCAATGCGGGCTCTTTTTTGGTTCCATATGAACTTTAAAGTAGTTTTTTCCAATTCTGTGAAGAAAGTCCTTGGTAGCTTGATGGGGATGGCATTGAATCTGTAAATTAACTTGGGCAGTATGGCCATTTTCACGATATCGATTCTTCCTACACATGAGCATGGAATGTTCTTCCATTTGTTTGTATCCTCTTTTATTTCATTGAGCAGTGGTTTGTAGTTCTCCTTGAAGAGGTCCTTCACATCCCTTGTAAGTTGGATTCCCAGGTATTTTATTCTCTTTGAAGCAATTGTGAATGGGAGTTCACTCATGATTTGGGTCTCTGTTTGTCTGTTATTGGTGTATAAGAATGCTTGTGATTTTTGTACATTGATTTTGTATCCTGAGACTTTGCTGAAGTTGCTTATCAGCTTAAGGAGATTTTGGGCTGAGACAATGGGGTTTTCTAGATATACAATCATGTCGTCTGCGAACAGGGACAATTTGACTTCCTCTTTTCCTAATTGAATACCCTTTATTTCCTTCTCCTGCCTAATTGCCCTGGCCAGAACTTCCAACACTATGTTGAATAGGAGTGGTGAGAGAGGGCATCCCTGTCTTGTGCCAGTTTTCAAAGGGAATGCTTCCAGTTTTTGTCCATTCAGTATGATATTGGCTGTGGGTTTGTCGTAAATAGCTCTTATTATTTTGAGATACGTCCCATCAATACCTAATTTATTGAGAGTTTTTAGCTTGAAGGGTTGTTGAATTTTGTCAAAGGCCTTTTCTGCATCTATTGAGATAATCATGTGGTTTTTGTCTTTGGCTCTGTTTATATGCTGGATTACATTTATTGATTTGTGTATACCGAACCAGCCTTGCATCCCAGGGGTGAAGCCCACTTGATCATGGTGGATAAGCTTTTTGATGTGCTGCTGGATTCGTTTTGCCAGTACTTTACTGAGGATTTTTGCATGGATGTTCATCAAGGATATTGGTCTAAAATTCTCTTTTTTGGTTGTGTCTCTGCCAGGCTTTGGTATCAGGATGATGCTGGCATCATAAAATGAGTTAGGGAGGTTTCCCTCTTTTTCTATTGATTGGAATAGTTTCAGAAGGAATGGTACCAGTTCCTCCTCGTACCTCTGGTAGAATTCGGCTGTGAATCCATCTGGTCCTGGACTCTTTTTCGTTGGTAAGCCATTGATTATTGCCACAATTTCAGCTCCTGTTATTGGTCTATTCAGAGATTCAACTTCTTCCTGGTTTAGTCTTGGGAGGGTGTATGTGTCGAGGAATTTATCCATTTCTTCTAGATTTTCTAGTTTATTTGCGTAGAGTTGTTCGCAGTATTCTCTGATGGTAGTTTGTATTTCTGTGGGATCGGTGGTGATATCCCCTTTATCATTTTTTATTGCATCTATTTGATTCTTCTCTCTTTTTTTCTTTATTAGTCTTGCTAGCGGTCTATCAATTTTGTTGATCCTTTCAAAAAATCAGCTCCTGGATTCGTTAATTTTTTGAAGGGTTTTTTGTGTCTCTATTTCCTTCAGTTCTGCTCTGATTTTAGTTATTTCTTGCCTTCTGCTAGCTTTTGAATGGGTTTGCTCTTGCTTTTCTAGTTCTTTTAATTGTGATGTTAGGGTGTCAATTTTGGATCTTTCCTGCTTTCTCTTGTGGGCATTTAGTGCTATAAATTTGCCTCTACACACTGCTTTGAATGTGTCCCAGAGGTTCTGCTATGTTGTGTCTTTGTTCTCGTTGGTTTCAAAGAACATCTTTATTTCTGCCTTCATTTCGTTATGTACCCAGTAGTCATTCAGGAGCAGATTGTTCAGTTTCCATGTAGTTGAGCAGTTTTGAGTGAGATTCTTAATCCTGAGTTCTAGTTTGATTGCACTGTGGTCTGAGAGATAGTTTGTTATAATTTCTGTTCTTTTACATTTGCTGAGGAGAGCTTTACTTCCAAGTATGTGGTCAATTTTTGAATAGGTGTGGTGTGGTGCTGAAAAGAATGTATATTCTGTTGATTTGGGGTGGAGAGTTCTGTAGATGTCTATTAGGTCCACTTGGTGCAGAGCTGAGTTCAATTCCTGGGTATCCTTGCTGACTTTCTGTCTCGTTGATCTGTCTAATGTTGACAGTGGGGTGTTAAAGTCTCCCATTATTATTGTGTGTGAGTCTAAGTCTCTTTGAAGGTCACTCCGGACTTGCTTTGTGAATATGGGTGCTCCTGTGATGGGTGCATATATATTTAGGATAGTTAGCTCTTCTTGTTGAATTGATCCCTTTACCATTAAGTAATGGCCTTCTTTGTCTCTTTTTATCTTTGTTGGTTTAAAGTCTGTTTTATCAGAGACTAGGATTGCAACCCCTGCCTTTTTTTGTTTTCCATTTGCTGGGTAGATCTTCCTCCATCCTTTTATTTTGAGCCTATGTGTGTCTCTGCCCATGAGATGGGTTTCCTGAATACAGCACACTGATGGGTCTTGACTCTTTATCTAATTTGCCAGTCTGTGTCTTTTAATTGGAGCATTTAGTCCATTTACATTTAAAGTTAATATTGTTATGTGTGAATTTGATCCTGTCATTATGATGTTAGCTGGTTATTTTGCTCGTTAGTTGAGGCAGTTTCTTCCTAGTCTTCATGGTCTTTACGTTTTGGCATGATTTTGCAGAGGCTGGTACTGGTTGTTCCTTTCCATGTTTAGCGCTTCCTTCAGGAGCTCTTGTAGGGCAGGCCTGGTGGTGACAAAATCTCTCAGCATTTGCTTGTCTGTAAAGTATTTCATTTCTCCTTCACTTATGAAGCTCAGTTTGGCTGGATATGAAATTCTGGGTTGAAAATTCTTTTCTTTAAGAATGTTGAATATTGGCCCCCCCTCTCTTCTGGCTTGTAGAGTTTCTGCCGAGAGATCTGCTGTTAGTCTGATGGGCTTCCCTTTGAGGATAACCCGACCTTTCTCTCTGGCTGCCCTTAACATTTTTTCCTTCATTTCAACTTTGGTGAATCTGATAATTATGTGTCTTGGTGTTGCTCTTCTCGAGGAGTATCTTTGTGGCGTTCTCTGTATTTCCTGAATCTGAATGTTGGCCTGCCTTGCTAGATTGGGGAAGTTCTCCTGGATAATATCCTGCAGAATGTTTTCCAACTTGGTTCCATTCTCCCCATCACTTTCAGGTACACCAATCAGACGTAGATTCGGTCTTTTCACAAAGTGCCATATTTCTTGGAGGCTTTGCTCGTTTCTTTTTATTCTTTTTTCTCCAAACTTCCCTTCTCGCTTCATTTCATTCATTTCATCTTCCATCACTGATACCCTTTCTTCCAGTTGATTGCATCGGCTCCTGAGGCTTCTGCATTCTTCACGTAGTTCTTGTGCCTTGGTTTTCAGCTCCATCAGCTCCTTTAAGCACTTCTCTGTATTGGTTATTCTAGTTATACATTCTTCTAAATTTTTTCCAAGTTTTCAACTTCTTTGCCTTTGGTTTGAATGTCCTCCCATAGCTCGGAGTAATTTGATCGTCTGAAGACTTCTTCTCTCAGCTTGTCAAAGTCATTCTCCGTCCAGCTTTGTTCCATTGCTGGTGAGGAACTGTGTTCCTTTGGAGGAGGGGAGGCGCTCTGCTTTTTAGAGTTTCCAGTTTTTCTGTTCTGTTTTTTCCCCATCTTTGTGGTTTTATATACTTTTTGTCTTTGATGTTGGTGATGTACAGATGGGTTTTTGGTGTGGATGTCCTTTCTGTTTGTTAGTTTTCCTTCTAACAGACAGGACCCTCAGCTGCAGGTCTGTTGGAGTACCCGGCCGTGTGAGGTGTCAGTCTGCCGCTGCTGGGGGGTGCCTCCCACTTAGGCTGCTCGGGGGTCAGGGGTCAGGGACCCACTTGAGGAGGCAGTCTGCCCGTTCTCAGATCTCCAGCTGCATGCTGGGAGAACCACTGCTCTCTTCAAAGCTGTCAGACAGGGACATTTAAGTCTGCAGAGGTTACTGCTGTCTTTTTGTTTGTCTGTGCCCTGCCCCCAGAGGTGGAGCCTACAGAGGCAGGCAGGCCTCCTTGAGCTGTGGTGGGCTCCACCCAGTTGGAGCTTCCAGGTTGCTTTGTTTACCTAAGCAAGCCTGGGCAATGGTGGGCGCCCCTCCCCCAGCCTCGCTGCTGCCTTGCAGTTTGATCTCAGACTGCTGTGCTAGTAATCAGTGAGACTCCGTGGGTGTAGGACCCTCCGAGCCAGGTGCGGAATATAATCTCCTGGTGTGCCATTTTTTAAGCCCTTCGGAAAAGCGCAGTATTGGGGTGGGAGCGACCCGATTTTCCAGGTGCTGTCTGTCACCCCTTTCTTTCACTAGGAAGAGGAACTCCCTGACCCCTTGCGCTTCCCGAGTGAGGCAATGCCTCGCCCTGCTTTGGCTCGCATATTCCGCACGCACCCACTCACCTGCGCCCACTGTCTGGCACTCCCTAGTGAGATGAACCCGGTACCTCAGATGGAAATGCAGAAATCACCCCTCTTCTGCGTCGCTCATGCTGGGAGCTGTAGACCGGAGCTGTTCCTATTCGGCCATCTTGGCTCCTCTCCCCCACAAAATTTTAAATGATATAAAATTATATAAATTAGGAAGTGAAATTTCCCTGTTTCTCTCCATTCCCCTGTGAAGGTAGCTAATGGTGTCTATTCTTCCATTAATTTCTTCGCAAATACCCCCCGCCCCCGTGTCTGTCTTTCTCTCTTTCTCTCTCTCTCTCTCACACACACACACACAAACACACACACACAAACACACACACACAGACACACATACACACCCATTTATTTTGCAAAAAGATTGGATCATATGGGGTATATTGTTTAGCAACTTGCTTTAAAAAAACATAGCTATCTTTTCATGATAGTACATATAGATCCACTTCATTTCCTTTAAACCATTCAGAGGGTTCCTTTGCATAAATGTATACTTTAAAATGCAACCAATGAGCTCTAAATGCCCTTTAGACTTTAAAAAGTGTTCATTATTACAAATCATGCTAAAAGTGGACATTTTTACATACATATTTACTTATGTGTACCATTATTTTTGTATACATTTTTAGAAGTGAAATTGCTGTCTTAAAAGAACATGCACATTTTCTATCATCATAAGGCCCATCAAATTTGCCTCCAAAAGATTGGGACAATTTATAGTCCAATCAAGAGTGTAAGTAAAAGTCAGCTTTCTGCAACACCATGTACCTTCAACACATCAAAAAAAATTTTGTCCCCTGTTATATCATGAAATATTTATTTAGTCTTCATTTCCATTTCCTGACACACAGCTAAAATCCTTGGACTCTCCCCATCGATGAGTGTCTTTTATATGATAATGAAATGACTGGTGGCTGGGGGCCCTTAGGTAACTTCAGAATGGGGTACTGAAAATGGGAAAGACCAAAGCAGGATTAAAAGGTTGGGACTTTCAGCCCCACCCCTTAACCTCTAGGGAGTAGAAAGGGGTGGAAAGTTGAGTTGATCACCAGTGGCCAATTATGTAATCAATCATGCGTACTTAATGAAGCCTCCTAAAAACCCAAAAGTATAGGGTTTGTTGAGTTTCTGAATAGCAGAATGTGTGGGAGTTCTTCAAGAGCTGCATTCCCAGAGAGGGCCTGGAAGCTCTGCGTTCTTTCTCCCATACCTCACCCTATGCATTGCTTTCTTCTGGCTGTTCATCTGTATGCTTTGTACTATCAGTTATTATAAACCAGTAAGTGTAAGTAAGTGTTTCCCTGAGCTCTGGGAGCTTCTCTACCAAATTAATTGAACCCGGGGAAGAGGTCATGGGAACCCCCAGTTTGTAGCCGATCAGCCAGAAGCTCAGACCACAATCTGTGCTTGTGTCTGGGATTTAAAGTGAGGAGCAGTCTTGGGGACTGAACCCTCAACCTGTGGGATCTGATCCTCTCTTTAGGTAGATAGTGTCATAATTGAATTTTTAAATTTAGAGGACGTCCAGCTGGTGTCTGCTGCAGAGGATTCTGCAGCACTGCTTGCTGGTGGGGAGAAATCCCCATACATTTTGGGGACCAGAAGTCACAGAAGTATTCCGTGTTATATTATACTGAATGATTAAGAGTAGGAATAAACACACTTTGATTTTTCCTCTATGCCATAGACCCCTTCATCAAAATTACCCCTGTAAATCCTAGGATTGCAAGAAATAACACTTGACCATTATTATTTGTAGTGTTGCGTGGTGGTATGTTTGTGTTTCTGTTAATGTTTGCAGCTGCCTACAACTCCTCCCTCTTTCCTTTTGCACCTTCCTGGCTGCTTTTCACATGTGATAATTATTCCTTCTCTAACTTCAGGTCCAGGCCAAAATTAGGGATTTACAGAGAAAAGCATTCTTGCAACATTATACTTATGTACATCCTGAAACTGTATCTTAGGACAAATTCCTAGAAGTGGGACTGCTGGGATGAAAGGACACATATATTTTAAAGCCAAATGCTTTATAATATGCGCTTGTAACTCCCAAGTTTATCTCCTGTCTAACTCTCTTCTTAGTTTCAGACCTGATATTAAACAACTTACTTTCTTTATGTTAAGTGAAATAAGCCAGGCACAGAAAGACAAACATCACAATGTTCTCACTTATTTGTGGGATCTAAAAATCGAAAGAATTGAACTCATGGACATAGACATTAGAAGGATGGTTACCAGAGGATGGGAAGAGTAGTGGGGGAGCTTATTGAGGAGGTGGGGATGGTTAATGGGTACAAAACTACTTAGAATGAATAAGACCTAGTATTTGATAACTCAAGAGGGTGACTATAGTCAATAATAACTTAATTATCTGTTTTAAAATAACTTAAGTGGTGGCTCACATCTGTAATGCTAGCACTTTGGAAGGCTAAGGTGGGAGGAGAGCTTGAGCCCAGGAGTTTAAGACCAGCCTGGGCAACATGGCAAAATCCGGTCTCTACAGAAAATAGAAAAATTGTCTGGGCTTAGTGGTGCATGCCTGTAGTCTCAGCTACTAGGGAGGCTGAGGTGGGAGGATCGCTTGAGTCCAGGAGGTCAAGGCTGCAGTGAGCCATGATCCTGCCTCTACACCCCAGCCTGGAGGACAGAGTGAGACCTTATCTCAACTAAAAAAAAAAAACTTAAAGAGTATAATTGGGTTGTTTGCAACTCAAAGGATAAATGCTTGAGGGGATGGGTACCCCATCCTCCATGATGTGCTTATTTCACATTACACGTATGTATCAAAACATCTTATGTTTTGATATATATATAAATATATATACCTACTATGTGCCCACAAAAATTGAAAATTAAAAAATATTTTTATACAAATAAAAAGAAAAAATGAAATTGCTAATTCGAAATGTAAACATGCTATCTTATTTAAATTTCCATTTGGCTAGTTACTAGGGAGGCTGAGTACTTTTGGTTTGTTTATTGGTTGTTTGGGTTTCTTATTTTGTGAACTATCTATGTTATGGCAAAACATTTCCGTTTTCTTTTTTAAAATAACTAAAATTTTCTTACTACAAAAATGTACATGTCATAAAATTTCAGACAGTGTAGGAATGTGCAACATGGCAAATACGGTTCCCTAGATCAATCCTAACCTTGAGGAATCACCACTGCTGACAGTGTGAGAATTATAATTCCGGAATCTTCTAGAAATTTTTGAATGCCATCCATTTGGCTTTACAGGCTCCTGAAGTTTCATTCATGGTTTTAGTATCTTAAGAGTTGTTTTGCCCACTGATGTCTTTGTCAAATAAAGGTAGTAGGTTTATTTTGACAAACCTACTTTTGTTTCAACATCTCAAACTCAAGATGTCCAAAAACTAAATTCGTCATCTCTGCTCTCTTCCATCCTCCAACATGGCCCTCCTCCACCTTCCTTATCTCAGTTAATGGCAGGCAGTGTCACTTTTTTTTTCTTTCTAAGGTGTATATTTTAGACAAAGGTCCTTCCACATTTATTACATTTGTAGATGTTCTCTCCTATAGAAATTCTCTGTTGATCAAAATTTAAGCATCAGTTAAAGGCTTTGTTACCTGATTTACATTTGTAAAATTTCTCTCCAGGATAAATACTGTGGTGTTCTCTGAGGTGTATATTTTGGACAAAAGTCTTTCCAAAATTATTACATTTGTAGGGTTTCTATCCAGTACCGATTCTTTAATTTTTAGTAAGATGTGAACACCTGTTAAAGGCTTTGCCATATTCTTTCGATTTGAAAGTTTTTTCTACAGTATGGATTCCCTGATGTTGTGTGAGGATTGAGTAGCAGCAGTTAATGGGTTTGCAATTCTTTACATTTTAATGACTTCTCTCCAATATAAATCTTCTTATGTCTATTTAGATGTGATGATTGACTAAAGACTTTTCTACCCTTATTACATCTGTGTGATTTTTTTCCAGTAAGAATTCTCTGATGCTGAGTAAGTGGTGAGAACTCGTTAAAATTTTCCCACATTTCTTACATGTGTAAGGCTTCTCTTGAATATGGATACTCTGATGGATAGTAAGTTTTGAGGGTTGTTAAAACACTTTCTTATATTTGTTACATTTGTAATGATCATCTGGAAAATAATTATTCTGATGTTTACTGAAATTTGAGCTATGGTTAAAGTTTTTCTGAGTTTCATTACATAAGGTTTATTTCAAAAATCAATGTTGATATTTACTTATAGAAACATATGTTTCTATATAGAAGTAGCTGATGTAAGTTGAGGTTTCTTCTGAGATGTTCTATGTTCTTGATCTCCTGTGGCAGTTAAATTTCTGTTATGAGTAGTTGTTGCCCATTGGTTATGCACATTATAACATTCTTTTTGCCCTTCACCTCCACCCCACTTTCACAGTTTTTCCTGAAGTGTAAATTCTCAAGGCCACAGCTTTCATATCTTCCCAATATTACTTTTTGAAATGAAACATCTATGCCCCGCTTTGGTGAAAGGCCTTGGTTGTAATGACATGACAGATCTGAGTGTGTGGCTGTCTCATGTTTCTTCACATCCCAGCACTCTTTCTTCTGCTCCAGATAGGTGACCAGGTCCAGCTTATAGGCAGTGAGACCATTTTCCAGCTTCCAGAGTGTCCCAGAGTCCCCTCTACAAATCTTCCAGTACCTGCAGTTCACAGGGAGACAAAGGCTGCGATAGGGAAACCTGGAGCCTCCTGGAGAATGGGAAATGGAGCATTAGAGACCAGCGTTACCTATTTTTTACCAGCTAGAAAGTGTGACTCCTATCTCTCTGTCACCTTTTCATCCAGTTTATCCCAAGTCGTACTGATTGTGTCTCCCAGGTGTATCTTGAACCTGTCTGCTTCTCTCCCACTTCATTGTTACCACACTAGAGCAAGCTAACATCTTTTCTTAGCCAAGCTGCTACAAAGATCTCCTAACTGGCTTTCTTATTCATTTATTTTTTTAGAGTAAATGGCATGTATTACTTGAAATTCCAGGAATAGGAAAAGCCAGGCAAATTATATCACCATCCATATTTTCACATAGAAACACTGAATTTCTCCATTTCACATTATTTGTAACATTTAGCCTTGTTTTAATTTTTTGCATATCAAAATGTGAAAGACACTGACTGCTATGGACTAATGTTTGCGAACTCCCTAAAGTCATATGTTGAAACTCTACCCCTACCTTTGATACTATTAGAAGGTGGGGCCTTTGGGAGATGATTAGGATTAAATGAGGTCATGAAAATGGAGCCCTCATGAATGGGATTAGTGCACTTCAAAGTGTCATGAGAGAGATTGCTTCCCTTTTCTGCTCTCCACCACGTGAGAATACAATGAGAAGTCGGAAGTCTGCAACCTAGAAGAGGACCCTCACCATAACCTGACCATGCTAGCATCCTAATCTCAGATTTTCAGCCCCCAGAACTGTGAGAAATGAATGTCTGTTGTTTAAGCCACCCAGTCTATGGCATTTTGTTACAGCAGTTGGAGCTAAGACACTGACTTTCACTTTTTGAAACTAGATGCCACTAATAAGCAAAGTGTTAGAGTGAATGAGGGACACCGAAAGTTGTAATATCTACATTTTTGAAAGAAAAATTTTGCAGTTACAAAATAACTGATAAAACAATTTGAAATTATCTTTGAGTTTTAGAAATATTGGGAGACACTTGGTCACTTGCAAATCTTAACTATTCTGATAATGCTATGGACATGGAGGGGAGTCTGGAATTCAGAATGCCTATGTAATGTCTTTTTTCTAGTTTTGGAAACAAACAAGTAGTAATTTATCTTTCTAAAATGTCTAAGATGAATGGAAAAATGTATATAGATGAAATTTTTCTTTTAATCGAGAAATTTCAGAGAGCAAATGCTCACTTTTCTCCACTCCTGTGTGATATTGTGAAATATATATTGGGTCATCATTTCCATTTCCTTGTATACAATTCCTAAAACCCTTGGAATCTCCAAAGTTTTGTTTTTTTGTATGCTAATGAGATGACTGGAGGCTGGGGCCCCTAGGTATTTCAGGATGGGGGCTGGTCATGGGAAAGATCAAGGCAGGATTAGGTTGGAGCTTTCAGCTCCAACCCCCAACCTCCAGGGAAAGGAGAGGGGCTGAACGTTAAGTTGATCACCAATGGCCAATGATGCAATCAGTTATGCCTATCTAATGAAGCCTCCATAAAAACCAAAAAGAACTGGGTTTGAAGAGCTTTCAGGTCACTGAACACGTGGAAGTTCCTGAAGGATGGTGTGCCCAGGGAGGGCACAGAAACTCCACGCTCCTTCTCATACCTCACCCTATGAATCTCTTCATCTGTATCTTTTGTAATATTCTTTAATAATAAACTGGTAAATGTAAGTGTTTCCCTAAGTTTTGTGAGCCGCTCTAGAAAATTAGTTGAACCCAAGGAGGGGATTGTGAGAACTCCAATTTATATTCAGTTGGTCAGAAGAACAGAAGAAGAAAAACAGCCTGGGGCTTGTGATTGGCATCAGATGTTGGGGAGCAGTCTTTGGGACTGAACCTTCAACCTGTGGGATCTGACCCTGTCTCCAGGTGGATAGTGTCACAATTGAATTAGAGGATATGTAGCTGGTGTCCCCTGCAGAATTCATTACTTGCTTTGATTACATGTTTGGTTACTGAAGTCTTCTGTATTGATTGTTCGGTGAGAGTATAGGAGAAACAGAGTTTATGTTTACCCTAGTTTTAATCAAGTTCTTTATCTTGCTTTCTTTTTTCTTTCCTTCTTTCCGTCCTTTCTCCCTTTTTCTTTCTGTCCTCCCTCCCTCTCACCTTCCATTCCTTCTGTTCCTTTTAATCTTTTTTCTTTGTATTAAGATATAATTCATATACCATAAAATGCACCCTGTTAAATTGCACAATGGAGTGGTTTTTATACATCCACAAAGTTTTGCAACCATCATCACTACCTAATTTGAGAATAATTTCATAACCCCTAAATGAAACCCCATATCCATTAGCAGTCACTCCCCACTGTTCTCTCTCCCCATCTCCTGGCAACCATTAATATATTTTCTGCCCCTCTGAATTTTCTTATTCTGAATATTTAATATTAATGGAATCATACAGTATGAAATCTTGTGAGTCTGGTTTCTTTCACTTAGCATACTGTTTTTGAGGGTCATTCACATTGTAGTATGTATCAGCATGCACTTCATTCCTTTTTAAGGCTGATATTTCATTGTATGGATATATGATATTATGTTTACTCATACATCAATTGATAGGCATTTGTGTGGTTTCCACTTTTGAGCTATTATGAATAATGTTGTTACGGACATTCACGTGCAAATTTTTGAGTGGTGGACATATGTTTTCAATTTTCTAGTATATATATACCTAGGAATAGAATTGATGGGTCCCATGCTAACTCTTTGTTTAATTTTTTGAAGGACTGCCAAACTGTTATCCGAAGTGGTTGCAGTGTTTTATATTCCCATCAGCAATATATGAGGCTTCCAATTTATCCACATTTTTGTTAATATTTGTTATTGCTCATCTTTTTTATTATAGCCATCCTACTGGGTGTTGAGTGGTATTGCATTGTGGTTTTGATATGCATTTCCCTAATGACTAATTATGTTGAGCATCTTTTCATGTACTTATTGACCATTTGCATATCTTTGAAGAAATATCTATTCAAACACTTTACCTAGTTTAGATTGTGTTGTCTTTTATTATTGTTGAGTTGTAATAGTTCTTTGTATATCCTAGATACTAAACTCTTATCAGGTATTATTTGAAAATATTTTCAACCCATCCTATGGGTTGTCTTTTCTTGATGAAAGATTTTTTCCTAAGTTTTGAAGCACAAAAAATTTAAAGTTTTCTGAAGTAAAATGTATTTATTTTCTCTTTCGTTGCCTGAGATTTTGGTGTCATATTTAAGAAATCACTGCCTAGATCAAGTTCATAAAGATTTCTCTCTAAGTTTTCTTCTAAGAGTTTTACAGTTTTAGTTCTTATAAGTCTTTGATACACTTTGGGTTACCCAGGATGTGATATAGACTAATAATATTAAAGTTTAAGAAAAGTTAAAAAAAAAAAGAAAGAAAATGATGTGAAGTAGGGGTGCACATTAATTCTTTTGCATGAGAATATCTATTTATCCCAGTACCATTTGTTGCAAAGACTATTCTTTCCCCATTGAATGGCCTTGAAACCTTTGTTAAAAGTTAATTGTCCATTAACGTTAGGGTTTATTTCTGGATTCTCATTTCTGATCTGTTCATCTATATGTCTATCCTTTTATATCATTGCCACACAGTCTTGATTATAGTAGCTTTGTAGTAAGTTTGAAATTGAAATGTGTGAGTCCTCTAACTTTGTTTTTTTCTTTTTCAAAATTTTTTTTTAGCTATTGGGTGTACCCTGCATTTCCATATTAATTTTAGAATCAGCTTGTGTATTTCTGTAAAAACTCAGCTGAGATTTTGATAGGGATTGTATTGAAAGTGTTGATCAATTTGAGGAGTACTGTTATCTTAAGAATATTAAGCTTTCCAATCCATGAACGCCAATGCCTTTCCATTTATTTGTCTTTAAAAAATTTTTTTACAACAATGTTTTGTAGTTTTTCAGTTTGCAATTCTTGCCTTCCTTGGTTAAATTTATTCCCAAGTATTTTTGTTTTTTTTTATTTTGAGACAGGGTCTTACTTTTTCACCCAGGCTGGAGTGCAGTGGTCCAAACACAGCTCACTGTTGTCTCAACCTCCTAGGCTCAAGTGATCCTCCAATTTCAGCTACCCAAGTACCTGGAACTACAGGTGCCACCACCATGCCTGGATAATATATTTTAAAATTTTTTTTATAGAGATGGGGTCTTGGTATGTTGCCAAGGCTAGTCTCAAACTCCTAGGTGCAATCTATATACCCTTGCCTCTGCCTGCCAAAGTGCTGGGATTACAAGCATGAACCACTGCACCTGGCTCTAAGTATTTTTTTGATGCCATTGTAAATAAAATTGTTTTCTGAATTTTACTTTTGAGTTTTTTATTGCTTGTGTATTAAAATGTAAATGATTTTTGTATATTGATCTTTTAGCCTGCAACTTTGCTAAACTAGTTTAACTCTAATAGTTTATTTGTGGACTCCTTAGGATTTCCTATATACGAGGTCGTGTCATTTTTGAAATAGAGGGTTTTACTTCTTCTTTTACAATTTGCATGCCTTTTATTTCCTTTCCTTTCCTAAGTTCCCTGGCTAGAATATCAATACAATATTGAATGGAAGTGGTGAAAGCAAGTATCCTTGTCATGTTCCTACTCTTAGTGTCTTCATCTAATCGATATTGCTCTTGATTTATTCTCCATCTAGAGAGATTATTTAAAACATTAAATTACACCAAGTCACTACTCATCCTAAACACACCAGTGAATTTCTATCCTGTTTGAAACCCAAATTGCCCCTCTTGGCTTATAAGGCCCTCCATGCCCTTCTTCCCCAACTTTATCTCATATTGCTTTTCTTTTTTAAAAGTTAATTTATTTTTAAATTGACAATAAAAGTTTACACATTTATTATGTATGACTTGATGTTTGAAATATGTATACATTGTGGAATGGCTAAACTGAGCTAAATTAGCATATGTATTACCTCACATACATATCTTTTTTTTTTTGTAGTGAGAACACTTAAAATTTACTCTCTTAGCAATTTTTAGGAATATAATATAGTTGTCTCTTGGTATCATTGTGGGCTTGGTCCTAGGATCCCGTGGCTACTAAAATCTGGATGCTCAAGTCCCTGAACTAAAATGGTGTAGTGTTTACATATAACCTAGGCACATCCTCCTGTATATTTTAAATTATCTCTAGATTACTCATAATACCCAATACAATGTAAATGCTATGTAATATTTGTTACACTGTATAGTTTTTTTGAAAAGAGATTATTTTTATTGTATTGCCATGGTTAATTGTTTTTTTTTTCTGAATATTTTGAATCTGCAGTTGGTTGAATCCACTGATGCAGAACCCGTGGATATGGAGGGCTGACTGTACGTTGCCATTTACTATAGTCACAGTAGATCTCTTGAACTTATTCCTCCTATCTTCATACAACTTTTCTTACTCTGCATGGTAGCCACATGGACCATACTCTCTCCTGCCACAAGCTCTATATCATGCTATCCCTTTCCTTGGACAAGCCAGTTTCTTCAACTCCATTGCCTCTTTGTTCTAATTCAAAATTACATGTGAAAACCCTATCCATGAAAGAATCAGTCCAATTTCTTCCTTTTTGTTCCTAATATTGTTTCTGTGTGCTGCTGAGAAAAATAACATAGCCTCAAGATTTGGTCTCAAGGTCCAGGTGTGCCCAATATTTCTTCAGTATTTCTCTACAATCATCTCTTAGACAATTTTCACAGTGACCACATCACACTTTTTCCATTGTTTTCAAACCTCTGAACCTTCACCATCTCATCATTTTTTCCTATTTAGTGCTAAGCCCTTCATCTTTGTTTTGGATCCCTTTCCCTCTTGCATCCTCTGTGGCCTTATTCCATCAGCTATTCTCAATTTCTTCTGTAGTTTCAACTTCTCTTCCAGCTCCTTTTCCAACAGATTTCAAATATACTCAAATTCCTCTCATAAAAAGGCAAAAAAAAACACAACCCAACAAACAAACCTTTCCTTACCCCATACCTCTCACCAGTTATTGCCCTCTCTCTCTCCTGCACTTCCCATCCAAACTACTAGAAATAACTGTGTACATTCTTTATTCCCACTTTCTCACCATCCACTCTTTACTGGAGAGGTAGTGACCTCTCCTATGAAATTGCTCTTGCCAAGGTCATAAATAATACCATCGTTGTTAAAGGGATAATTCTCAGTCTTTACATTTAAGTTATCTCTTACTAGCATTCAGTCACTTTCTCCATTCTAAAATATTTTTTTTCCTGTATACAAGGAAAATCCATGATCCTTGTTTTTTTCCTTTTTTAATTTTTTTCCTATGACCCTTGTTTAAAAGTCTAAACATTTTGGAAATGTATAATATAGAGATGAAAGAGCCCTGTAATCTCATCCCCCAGTCACCAGGACTGTTAACAGATCAGTGTTTATTCTTCCAGACTTTTTCTCTATGCCAAAACTAATGTACTGTATATAACAATAATTTTTGGTTAAAAATAACTTACAGTTTTTTGCAGACTTTTTTTTTTCTTTTTTGAGACAGAGTCTCATTTTGTCACCCGGGCTGGAGTGCAGTGGCCCAATCTCGGCTCACTGCAGCCTAGACCTCCTGGGTATTAATAGCTGGTATTACAGGTATGCAACACCACACCTCGCTAATTTTTTTGGTATTGTTTTACAGACCGGGTTTCGCCATGTTGCCCAAGTTGTTTCCAACTCCTGAACTCAAGCGATACGCCTACTTTGTCCCCCTAAAGTCCTAGAATTAGAGGCGTAAGCCACCACACCGAACAAGAGCCTCCTTTTTACTTAATGTATCTTGGACTGCTTTCCATGGCAGTCCATATAGCTCTACCTCATTTCTTTTAAGTGATTCATCTTTCTTCCATGGCAAAGATTTACTGTAATTCATGGAACTCTCCTGTGTTGATAGATGTTTACCAATGTTCACCATTACAAACAATGCTGCCGTAAACATTCTTGTAACTTGTGCAAGTGCTTCCTTGGGACAAATTTGTAGAGCTAGAATTAAGATATGTTAATACTGTAAGAGAATACTTTTAAAAAAATTATACTTTAAGTTTTGAGGTACATGTGCACAACGTACAGGTTTGTTACATATGTATACATGTGCCATGTTGGTGTGCTGCACCCATTAACTCGTCATTTAACATTAGGTATATCTCCTAATGCTATCCCTCCCCCTCCCCCCACCCCACAACAGGCCCCAGTGTGTGATGTTCCACTTCCTGTGTCCATGTGTTCTCATTGCTCAATTCCCACCTATGAGTGAGAACATGCGGTGTTTGGTTTTTTGTCCTTGTGATAGTTTGCTGAGAATGATGGTTTCCAGCTTCATCCATGTCCCTACAAAGGACATGAACTCATCATTTTTTATGGCTGCATAGTATTCCATGGTGTATATGTGCCACATTTTCTTAATCCAGTCTATCATTGTTGGACTTTTGGGTTGGTTCCAAGTCTTTGCTATTGTGAATAGTGCCTCAATAAACATACGTGTGCATGTGTCTTTATAGCAGCATGATTTATAATCCTTTGGGTATATACCCAGTAATGGGATGGCTGGGTCAAATGGTATTTCTTAAGTTCTAGATCCCTGAGGAATCATCACACTGACTTCCACAATGGTTGAACTAGTTTACAGTCCCACCAACAGTGTAAAAGTGTTCCTATTTCTCCACATCCTCTCCAGCACCTGTTGTTTCCTGACTTTTTAATGATTGCCATTCTAAGTGGCGTAAGATGGTATCTCATTGTGGTTTTATTTTAGTACAAATATGTGGTTATTTAGAAGTTTGGATAATACATCAAGGTTTAAAGAAAATAAAAGTCACCACCAATTTCCCATTCATAGATAACCAATTGTGTTTGTCATTTAGTGTGTGTCTACAGTAGTATTGTGCTATCATTTTATATACATTAACTCACTTAACCCCTGTGACAGTCCTGAAGGGTCAACATTATTATACCCAATTTTATAGGTGAAGAAACTAACTCTTGGAGGGAATGAAGAAACTTATTAATGATTGCATAACTGATAGGTAATGGAGTTAGCATTCTGGCCAAAGTGCTGTGCTAGCATCTCTACATGTGCAAAACATGGAACTATTATCTCTATTCTTTATATCAGGAAACTGAGGCTAAGAGAGAGGTTAGATGTTTTGCTCTGGGTCAACAGTGAGTAATTGACAAAGTTAAGTTTCCAACCTGGGTCTGACTTCAAAGCCTTTTCTTTTTCCTCTAGATCACATTTTCTACCTCTTCTTACTATAAATATTTTTATGATATTTTACAATTATGAAAGTAATGCACATCTATGAAACTGTAGAAACCATGTTCAAACTTAGAGAATAAAATGTACATACCAAATAGTCCCAGCCCCCTACTAATAACTATTCTTCTGGTGTATTTCCTTCCATTATTTTCTATGGACCTTCAGGCCTTCTTTCATTTGGTGCCTTAAGGACTTCGCATACTTGCTCTTCCTGTTTGGCCTCTTCTTCCAGATATTCACTTGGCTGGTTGTTTGTCATTCAGGGCTTAGTCTAAATATTACCCTCTCAGAGAGTGCTTTGCTGACCATCTAACCTAAAGTAGCCCAAAGTTACTTCTAGCTCTTACTCTGTTTCATATTCTGCATAGTACTTTTTGTTTTTTATTTTGAAGTTTTTGTTTCACTTTATCCCTACCCCAGAAGCTATACAATGACATACAGCAAGGTAAGAACTATGCGTAACTTGATCCCTTCTGTATATCTTCTGTGTCTAAAACTTGGTACATGGTAGGCACTCAGTAAATGCTTTTGAGTCTCATCAATGGATGAATATTTCTAGAACCGTGCTAGAAGTAAGAGAAGTTTACAGATAATTCTTTAGTAAGTTTAGTTGTTCAGGCACTGTTACCACACAACTCTCTGTTTGCTTATTGAATCATGTTTTTTGGGGGGCAATGCTTATCTCTCTGAAAAGTTCGAATGCCTAGACCATAATTTGCTCTCTTAACTACTATATTAATGCACCTTGCTTTCTAACATATTATTAAATAGCTACTTGTTTATTGTATGTTTTACCCGATTAGAATGTAGGCTCTAAAAGGGCAGATAGCCTTCCTTTTTTTTTTTTCAGTGCTGTATCTCCAGCACCTGGGATGGTGCCTGGAAAATAGAAGATGCTCCGTAAATATATGTTAAACAAATAAATATCTCCTGATATCAATGATGGTCTGCCCCTTGGGCTAAGAAAACCGGATCTGTGGGCCACATGGATTATATGGTTTCCAAGTCAGTCTTCATATATGTAAATTGCCTTAGGAAGGAGAGAAGATGTCATGGAGGAAAAGAAGTTAGTATTTATCAAGTTCCACACATGTATGAGGCATCTAAATTTTCTCTCTTCTACTCACAACTTTTTGAGGTAGGTATTATTCCCACTATGTAGATGAGGACACTCAGGCTTAGAAAAGTTGAGTAACTTGATCTAGGCCACCCAGCTAGGAGGTGACTGAGCAAGAAATCAGTATCAAATAGTATTCTGAAGTCCAATGGGTGATATTCACCCACAGACTCAGAAAGTTAGTACAGTCTTCATTCTGGTCACTACTAGGTTTGAATCCCGTTGCACTTTTATATAGGAATTGTTAAGGTACTACAAAGTCTCTAGATGGATAACATTGTTTTTTAATACATCTCAGTGTATTGGTTAATATTTTTCAATGAGATGTATTTTTTAGCTAGAAAATAAATTAAAAATGCTTTCTGTATTGCCTAAACCACCATTTAAAGACATATGAAAAACAATAATAAAACATTTCCATCACATGTTATAGACAGAGGATTAATATATTTGATATGTAAAGATCTTTTACATCTTCCACCAGAGAGATGGTCAGAGGATATGAACAAGAGATTTAGAAAAGCAACTAATATAAAGAGATGCTCAGTAGCATTAATAATTCAAAAATTATAGTAAAATAAAATTACTTTTCATGCCTATCAGGCTGACAAAGATGAAAAATGTAATTGAGAGTCAGCACTATGTAAGATGTGGCAAAAGAGGTATTTTCATACTGTGTAGAAGGCATGTAAATTGCTGCATTTTTCTGGAAGAGAATTTGGAATTATCTACTACAATAAAATGTATTCATACCATTTGATTCAAAAATTCCACTTTTGTATATTCCTACAAAATTCCTCTTTTAAATATACAAACATGCCAGCCAGGTTGGTGGCTCACTGCTATAATCCCAGCACTTTGTGGGGCTGGGGTGGGAGGATCACTTGAGGCTAGGAGTTTGAGACCAGCCCAGGCACCATAGCAAGGCCTATCTTTACAAAAAATAAAAAAAAAATAGCCCAGCTGGTGGTGTGTGCCTGTAGTCCCAGCTTCTTGGAAGGTTGAGGCAAGAGGATTGCTTGAGCCCAGAAGTTTGAGGTTACAATGAGCTATGATTACACCACTGCCCTCCATCCTGGGTGACAGAATGAGACCCTGTCTCTAAACAAACAAACAAACAAAAATGAATGTACAAAAATTAATTGCAGTAGTATTTCTAACATTGAAAATTATAACAGTGAATCAACAGAAAAAATATTGAAAAATCAAAAATGACTAAATCTCTATGAATGAGAGAAATGATAGGTATATTTCAGTATGGTACTTTCAAACAATAAAATACTCCACAGATCTAAAGAGAAATGAAGAAGCATTCTTCATTGGAAAGTTTCATTTGAAAGTTGCATTGACAGTAATATGTCCAAGATATATTAAATGGGGAAAATCTTGCAACAAAGTTATAATTGTTTTGTAAAAAATATATTTTCAAATCCATATACGCACCTTCAAATTAATAAAATATATACATAAAATATTAACAAATATTAATATCATTAGTTCTTTAAAAAGAAGACCAACAATTAGGGGAAGTGCAAATGAATGATTTTTCCCTTTTTGCTTTCATGTTTTCTAAACATTCCATAATGAATATGCACTATTTGTGTAATAATAATTAAAGAATAAGGATGTATTTTCATCAGAAATTACCAGGGTATATTAATATAAGCCTAGAAGATATAATAGCCAATAAATTTAACATGCTGTAAATTCCTTTTTGGCCCCATGCAATATAGATGAAGATATAATTTCAGAGATACTATACGTAAAATGTTAAAAGAGTGAGGACACATATTGATGACATGAAAGGTGTACCTACAGCCATTTTCATGAATTGGCATTACTTCAAAAAAGAAAACAAAAAATGGGAAAGTGTAAATCCCCAGACTATGTAAATCAGATGCAGGAACAATGCCAGTGGTCTCATCAAGATGCGAATAGTGGGGGAAATCTCATGTAAGACTTTCCACTGAGAAGCTGACTGGATAGAGTGCTTGCAAAATAGCCCCAGCTCCCACAGAGACTTACCACAGACACTGAAAGTGGAAAGTGTTAAGAGAAAAACCAGTCTGTTCTCTGGAAAAAAGGGTCAAGGATAGGGTGAGGGTCAGGGATGGCTGTTGCATGCATAGCTTGGTAATAAAAAACAGTCTTTTGACATTCATCACTGACATTTTGAAGTAGCCTTTGCATAACAGCTGCATTAAATCAGCCTGGTCAAAATGTCCTGCTTTTCTCTGAGAGAAAGGGCCTCTGCAAGAGAAAATAGCATGCAGGATGGCAACTCTGGGTCTAAAGATGAAGATAACTGGCTGGGTGCGGTGGCTCACGCCTGTAATCCCAGCACTTTGGGAGGCCAGGATGGGCAGATCACGAGGTCAGGAGATGGAGACCATCCTGGCCAACATGGTGAAGCCCTCTCTCTACTAAAAATAGAAAAATTAGCTGGGTGTGGTGGCATGTGTCTGTAATCCCAGGTATTCAGGAGGCTGAGGTAGGAGAATCGCTTGAACCCGGGAGGCGAAGGTTGCAGTGAGCCGAGATTGCGCCACTGCACTCCATCCTGGTGACAGAGTAAGACTCTGTCGGAAAAAAAGAAAAAGAAGATAATCACTACATGTATTACTGAAGAATTTGTACCATTCCTCCAACTAAGGCAATTCTATAGTGTCAGGGATGAAAGGCACTTGCATTTATTGAGCGAAATCTAAACTGTGTCCAGGAGACACATTAGGAGGCCTGGGATAAAAGCAGATGTTAGAAGTCCTAGGGAAAATGTGGAAAGATATTTTTGGAAGAAAACTGAGGAATAGATGGCATAAGTATGACTCGAGGTGGAAGAACTTAGGAAAGACACAAGAAGAATGAAATGAGTTGTAAAATCACCCAAACACTTCTAGATAAGCTGGATCTCTGGCCTCTAAGGAAAGGGTATCTGCAAAGGAAGATGGCTATCATGAGGCACCAGACTACACAGCATTCTTGTAGATAAGTGAGGACTGGTAATGAGAAAGATGACTAGGTAATCAGAAAAAGCCTGGTACAGAGACAGTAGGTCCAACTTTGTTGCAAAGGACTGTGTATTACTGATGATTAATTCCAATACCCATGGAATACCATGCACTGGTATAAACAGATGATCAAGCAACATATGGGATATCTCAGCAGATTCCTTCTTGGACAAGAGATTTGGATACCAGAATGCTTCCCCTAACAACATTCTCATACTATATAAGACACTGCACTCCAGACCTTATGTCCAACTCCAGAAAATGAGGGCAAAATATCTAAGAGAACTATGTATCCAACTGTCCCATCACAGGCAATGTATCAGGCTGAAAATTAATCAGTGGATACTCAAGAATAAAATAAGATCTACATAAGCAGAAAATGTAAGCTGATAACATTCTCTCATGATAAAGCAAACCCTCTTCTTTTAACTTTAACTTTGAAGTAAAAAGGCAAACAAGTAAAATCTACACAATATGTATGTAAGTAGTGGCCAGTGTGTTTAAATGTAGAAGGTAGGATTCCTTAAAAGCAAAAATTATAGTATTATGATTAGGTAAATCTTGGAATTAATTTAGGAAGGAAGCAAAATAAAATTTTATCATTATTATCTCTTATTTCATTCTTTATATGACATTCAAAATTTGAGGTTTTATTCTAACACTAACATAATATTAGCCACCTTTATAGGTTAAAAAAGTCAAGAATACTCCCAACTAGAAAATGAATCCTGGGGTTATTTATGTTTGTATTTTGCAGTAGCAGTAGAAATAGGTGGCTGGTCTGGAATATTACTTCTGAATGCTGTTTACTATGCTAGTTATTTGTAATAGTGGTGCCAAGAGTTAATAAATAAAAGCTCTTTTTTTCCCTGTTACCTTTTAGGGTCCTGAGCCCTTTCCACTTGTGAAGAGATAATGATTCCAGCTTCCAAGAGATGTTGTAGTGATTTAGAGGTACCCATAAAACCTCAGCATCAAATCCAATAAAAAATGCTGAGCGCTAACCAGTGGTAAGGGTCCATGTATAACATGAATCAACGAGTGAGAGGTGCTGAATTAAGGAATAACATCTCATAGTTCAATCAACACTTAGGATTTGAATATTGATTGCTTTGATATACAAGTACATGTGCTTTCAAGTCCTTCCTTTACTCACGGTTCAATTTTTGTACGGACTATACCATCTACTAGATCAGGGATTTGTAATATGGCCTCTGAGCCAAATCCAATCTATCCTCTGATTTTGTACATAAAGCTTTATTGGAATATACCCACACCCACTCATTTATATTTGGTCTCTGGCTGTTCTTGGACTACAACAACAGAGTTGAATAGTTGAGACAAAGACTACATGACCCCAAAAGACCAAAATATTTACTGTCTGTTTCTTGACTGAAAAAAGTTTGACAACTCCTGGGCTAGATGGTCAAAATGGATATGGAACAACCAGTGTAATTCTTTCAGAAGGCCCACTCCCTGGCCAGCCTGCCAAATTATTAAATTCTTTGTTAGGTCTTCTGTTCTTTTTGTCCACTCTATATTTTTCTGGAACTGTTTACACAAAGCTGAGAACTGGGTGGGGTTTTCATTCGCAATGAGCTACAGTTTTCTTAGGGACAATAGTTTAATAGATTTATACAATCCTCCTTTTTTTTTTTTTGAGATGGAGGCTCACTCTGTTGTCCAGGCTGGAGTGCAGTGGTGCGATCTCAGCTCACTGCAACCTCCACTTCCCAGGTTCAAGCAATCCGCCTGTCCCAGCCTCCCGAGTAGCTGGGATTACAGGCACACACCAGCACACCTGGCTAGTTTTTGTATTTTTAGTAGAGGTAGGGTTTCATCATCTTGGCCAGGCTGGTCTCGAACGCCTGACCTCAGGTGATCCACTGGTCCTCAGCTTCCCCAAGAGCTGGGATTACAGGCGTGAGCCACCATGCCCAGCCTCTTTCTAAATAATATTTTATTTTATTATTTTATTTGTATTTATTTATTTATTGAGACAGAGTCTCACTCTGTCGCCAGGTTGGGGTGCAGTGGTGCGATCTCGGCTCACTGCAACCTCTGCCTCCCGGGTTCCAGCGATTCTCCTCCCTCAGCCTCCTGAGTAGCTGGCATTACAGGCGCCTGCCACCATGCCAGGCTAATTTTTGTATTTTTAGTAGAGATGGGGTTTCACCAAGTTGGCCAGGATGGTCTTGATCTCTTGACCTCATGATCTGCCTGCCTCGGCCCCGCAAAGTGCTGGGATTACAGGCGTGAGCCACCGTGCCTGGCCTCTGAAGAATATTTTAAAAGCAAGCAAACAAAAACACACAGTAGCAAATCTGGGAAAGAGGCCACTGAATCTGAACATTTTGTCATTTTGTCAAGCAGCACCTAATTCACAGATATGGATGACTGAGCCCTGAGAACTACTCAACAGAATCCATACGTCCAGGAGACAGGAAAGCTTTACTAGATGAGGGTTAGGAGAAGAGGTGGGATCTTTGTGGCAGAAACGAAATCGATGATGGGGTAAGTGACTCTGTAGGGATCCAGGAAAGATGGTGGTTCAGATTGTACTAATACATTTGGAGAAAGATAAGTTTGTGAAGGCTCTCAAGATTAAAAACCATGCAAGGCTTGGCTGGACCATGGGCTCTTTGGCCCACCTCATGAAAGGGCCTCTCAGAAGGGAAGACATCAGCTGTGGGTTATGTTTTAAAATTCTAGGAAACAAGCTACACAGAGGGTCTATGTTTATATTATGAGTCACAGCAGGGACAGGTGATGGGTCTAGGCCTTAACGTCTGCATACAATGTCTCTGACTGCCAAGATTGCTCTGAGGAGTTGTTTGTAAGAGTGAGTTTGAAAAGGAAATAAGGGAATGAAAAGGCCTCTTTCTTTCAGTGACCATTTTATACTTTGGACTCTTTTCTTCCATTTGGTAAGGACAAATGATAGCAGTATACAAGGGATGTTGTAGCAACTTAAACTGTTCAGCAAAATTTCAGCAGGACCTTCGATGAAAAGTACTGAACACTAGATACTACTAGGAATAGGAATAATATGAGAATGAATAAAGAGATAAATGAATGAATCACAGGGAATACCCTGGATAATGGATAATGAAAAAGTAATAAAGAAACACCCCATTCTTTTTAAACGGAGAGTCAGAATTCAAAAATATTGGCTGCTTGGAAACTCCACTATCTTAGCTTTAAAGCTCTCCCTTTTGTTCCTGAAATTTTATCTCTAGAATTTTATGTGCCATCTGCCAAATGTCCTTAGCTTGTCGCTATAACAGCCATTAACATTCCATGGGTCCGCTACTCAGTCAGTAAAGATTGACATCATGGCCATATTATATAGAACTGCCAAGGAAGCCAGGCCAAGCATGATTTTCCACATCCACTTCAATTGTTGTCTTAATTTCTTTGACAAAGACCTGAATTAAAGAACAAGAGAGAAACCTGTAGAGCATGGCAACAACAAAGAAATAGACACGGAACTGCTTTAGGCAGAAACACACACACACAAACATTCCCAAGTGCACACATACAGACAAATAAGCAGCAGGACTTGTTCTGGACAGCTGAAGCAATATGCACCCCCGCAATAATGAGGCTTTCATCTCATAGCTCATTATTAATGCAGGGGAGCTTGATGAAGAACAAGGATGTGTTCTACAATTCTATGAGAAAATTCAGTCTGCAATTTGAGCTAGAGGACAGCAACAAAGATAAGCACCCAATGGAGCATCTGACCCATACTTAGTTATATTTCTATTAAAATGTCCTTTTTCAATTTGAACTAATTATGAGCGTGTAACTGATAGTGAAGAACACCAAGCATCAAATATTTTTTACAACTCATTTGGCTTCTGGTTGTGCTATATTGTTGCCTGTGATAGAGTTGGGTTTTTGAGTGGTGGGATCACCCTGGACCAAGGAAGTTATTTCTGCATTGTGTTCAGCCCCAGCAGCCCTGTTTCAGTTCTCAAGCAGGCCAAGCATCCTCTTGAATTCTATGTCTTTGCTCAGATTGTTCCCTCTGACCATGCTTTGTCATACACCCACAAGCACTCACTCAATGTTTCTTGGTTTCTTGGTGGTGGTGATAACAGACATGCCATGCTTCTAGGACTGGACACTCCAGGAACTTGACTAGGTACATGGCAAAGCCCTGGAAAAGAAAGAGCACAGATTGGGGAAATAACAAGGATGGATGTGAATTCTGGGCTTTTCAACTTACATCCTGTGAGAGTCAACTAATAAAGTATAAGAATTCTCCCTCCTCCTCCCCCTCCCCCTCCCCTCCCCTCCCCTCCCCTCCCTCTCCCCTCCCCTCCCCTCCCCCTCCCCCTCCCCCTCCCCCTCCCCCTCCCTCTCCCTCTCTCTTCTTCGGTCTCCCTCTGTTGCCGAGGCTGGACTGTACTGCCGTGATCTCAGCTCGCTGCAACCTCCCTGCCTTGGGCTCCTGTGATTCTCCTGCCTCGGCCTGCCGAGTGCCTGGGATTGCAGGCACGCGCTGCCACACCTGACTGGTTTTTCTATTTTTGGTGGAGACGGGGTTTTGCCGTGTTGACTGGGCTGGTCTCCAGCTCCTGACCTCGAGTGATCTGCCCGCCTCGGCCTCCCAAGGTGCTGGGATTGCAGACGGAGTCTCGCTCACTCAATGCTCAATGTTGCCCAGGCTGGAGTGCAGTGGCATGATCTCGGCTCGCTACAACCTCCACCTCCCAGCCACCTGCCTTGGCCTCCCAAAGTGCTAAGATTACAGCCTCTGCCCGGCCGCCACCCCATCTAGGAAGTGAGGAGCGTCTCTGCCTGGCCGCCCATTGTCTAGGATGTGAGGAGCCCCTCTGCCCGGCCGCCCCGTCTAGGAAGTGAGGAGCACCTCTGCCTGGCCGCCCCGTCTGGGAAGTGATGAGCGCCTCTGCCCGGCCGCCCCATCTGGGAAGTGAGGCGTGCCTGTGCCCGGCCGCCCCGTCTGGGAGGTGAGGAGCACCTCTGCCTGGCCGCCACCCCATCTGGGAGGTGAGGAGCGTCTTTGCCTGGCTGCCACCCCGTCTGGGAAGTGAGGAGCGCCTCTGCCCGGCCGCCCCATCTGGGAGGTGAGGAGTGCCTCTGCCCAGCCGCCCCGTCTGGGAGGTGAGGAGCGCCTCTGACTGGCTGCTGTGCAATCTTCCAAGTGTGAAGTGACAGCCTTTCTGCAGATGTACCCAACACCTCTGAAGAGACAGCGACCATGGAGAACGGGCCATGATGACAATGGCGGTTTTGTCGAAAAGAAAAGGGGGAAATGTGGGGAAAAGAAAGAGAGATCAGATTGTTACTGTGTCTGTGTAGAAAGAAGTAGACATAGGAGACTCCATTTTGTTCTGTACTAAGAAAAATTCTTCTGCTTTGGGATGCTGTTAATCTATAACCTTACCCCCAATCCCGTGCTCTCTGAAACATGTGCTGTGTCAGCTCAGGGTTAAATGGATTAAGGGCGGTGCAAGATGTGCTTTGTTAAATAGATGTTTGAAGGTAGCATGGTCGTTAAGAGTCATCACCACTCCCTAATCTCAAGTACCCAGGGACACAAACACTGCGGAAGTCCGCAGAGAATTTTTTATTTAAAAAAAAAAAAGATTTTTCACCTGAAAAATTGAAATAAAAATGTTGCCTCATAGGCTTACTTTAAGTATTAAAGGAGAAAGCATGTAGAAAGCTCATAGAACACTGGCAGGCACAGTTCACATGAGTTTCCGTAGTTCTGTAGAGGGAAGGATCCCTGTCTATCTTGGTGTCATTTGTGTTTCACAAGTGCTTTTTGATATTTCATAAATAATTGACACTTGTGTGCCTAATATGTAGTGTTCTGTTATTCCTGCAAATTAATTTATGTTAAAATAATTCATTGGCTTTAACAGATCTCCCCAGCCAAGAACCCAGAATGTTTGCTCTATGGGGAGTCTCATGGGTCTTTACAACATTCCAGGAATGGTGGGCAGGCTCCCTAATTTAATCCCAGTGATCAATTGGCAAACAAAAGGGAAATGACTTGTTCAAGGTCCTGTCATCAGTGATGTCTACATTCTTGGGACCCAGAAAGTAACCCTGACTTTCGCTCCAGCATCGTGGAGTGATTTGCTTTGTAGCTTTGTGCTTCCATAGTCTTTCTGGGGCTAACAGGGTAGCATAGACACCCACATTATGTGTTTGCCTGATGCTTACCTTGAGATTCAAAAGGAGGAGAAGGGAAAAAAGTCAGTAGAATAAAGATGAAGTCTGTCTTCCTCTTTGAACTCAACATGCAAATCGTTCTATTAGATTGAAACATATCAAATTCTTGTTTTTGTAAGTAAAAAATGATTAAATGTCAGCAATTTCATTTGGTTTGGCTAAATATAATAAAGAATGCACTGTATTTCTGACATAATGTAAATGCATATTGTTTTTTCTTCTCTGTAGCAGTTCCAAATGCTTTTTATCACATAATTTCACAGTTTCATTATGGTAATACCACCTCTGCTACAGAAGGGAGGGGACAGGATGGGAATAAAATTTTTGCTGAGTGCCTAGTACAGGCCAGAAACTCTGTTAGGCATGTAACCAACGTTTTTACTTTAAATGCTTAAAAATCCTGCAAGTATATATCAGGGTCTCTTTTATTACTCATATTTTCACTAGGTATGCTCTGTGAGGTCTCTTTTATTACTCATATTTTCACTAAGTGTGCTCTGTGAGGCTCAGTGGAGTTAATTACATTTTCCAAGATTACAGTTAATAAGAGGCAGAGCAGGAGTTCTAACATAGTTGTGTCTGACTTAAAAGCCCAAGCTCTTGCCAATTGCCACATGGCTCCCCTTTTACATGGTAAGCTGCGAGGATTCAAGGCCAGGGTGGTCTAAACTTGTTGAGTATAGTCTGAATGAGATCATAGACATTCATTTGGTTAGTTATATTTATCTTCCTCAAATAAGCATGTGTAAGTAGGCAGTTTTCTATGTGAATCTGGAATTTAAGAGAAATATGTTGTGGGATGAAGCTATGGAATTGGATTTCCAGTGTCTGATACCTAATAAAGCATGATAAATATTTCTTGAAGTAATGAATTATTAGATGAATTAGTTTTTGAGAGTCACCAGCAAGTAAAATTGAGATTATACCCTCCAAATCATTTTCTATGTATATACATTTTTCAAAGTGTTTGAAATCATACAGTACAAACTGTTTTATAATCTTTTAAAAGTAACTTTTATTGGTTTTGTAGTGGGTATAAATTTTCAGGATATAAAATTCAGTGGGTAAACAAATGTATCTTTTCGTTATTATATAACTGATCTTAGTATACATTATGGGCCCCATTCTTCCTCTTGAGGAAAACCTAATCTTGCTAATCAAGGGTAAATTAAGTCACCTTAGGGTTTGCTCAACAAATCCAACATGAGCTAAATCAATTTATGCCTGAATCTAAGCCTCAGGAGTGAGGGACTTATATTGTATCATATAATCCTAGGTGGGAGGAGTAAATAAGAATGATTTGTCTTATAGCCGTTAGGCCAGGGAGAACAAGTAACTACCCTTAAATGAGAGAAGTGAAAAATCTACCCAGTAACTAGCCTTATTCACCTGACAAAAGAAGATCCTGGGGAAGATAGCACCTATTTGCTGATTTGAGTATGGACATTACTCTTCTAGACAAATTTTGGAAAATAATTAGTCTTACTTTCTTGGAGGGGGTGATACCTAAGATGAGAAGTACATTTTCTTTGTGAGGGAACGAGGCTTTTCTAGGGGTAGGAAATGTGACTAGATGAAATATTACTTGATACATTCCCTGCCCCCTCACATATGGGTTTTATCCTCTTTTTGTCTTAATACCTGGGACACCATAGCTTCACAAGAATTCTATGTGTCATCATAATATGGGTAGAGTAGAACAGAGATGGCTTCATTTCATATGATGGCCGGAGAAAGCCTGAGGTAACCCCACTCAACTTTCCAAATTACTCCGAGTTGTGAGAAAACAGTCCGGTTTTTCTTGGTTTCCAACAGGACACAAGAGTTAGCTCAGCAAGACTGCGTATAGTCCTGAACCAGTCTTATGGTCAGGATGGGAGGTTGCAGCATGACAACATGAACCACATGTTTGAGGTTTAGATGGGAACTCAAATATTTTGGAGGGTATCATCAAATACAGGAAAGGAAAAGATCAAGACACTATATAAGCCCTGAGAATCTAGATGTCATATGGGGAAAAGCAGAGGGTGGAGGAGAGACATAAACTGATTGAATTGATCATAAATTGACTAAGCAATCCAAGAAGGAACGGAATTTATCTGGAATTGGATACATTATACCTCCTATTTACAGCTCACCAGGGCTCAAAATGGAAATTAGGTTCAGATACAATATAGAAAAGTACACAAAAAGTAACACTTCTTGTACACTTGAGTGCTTGACTCTGGCTTGAAAATTTATGCCTACAATAGTTTTTCTTGTTTGTAAATATTATATTTATTCATTTGGGAAAATTAAAAAACATAGCAGAGTTCAAGCTTTTGATCAGAAATAAAACTTAAATATCTTAGACAAAAGAGAGAAAAGGCAGTGAGGAAAAGATTATCGACTTAACCTAGTAGAGAGCTATCTGGAAGTCTGTTTAGTAAAGAAAGTATTCCTAGAACCCCTAGTTATTTTCAGAACTCTAAAACATGTGAAAGAAACACATGCTTGCTGTAAAAACATGTAAGTAGTGTAGACATGTATAATCTGGAAGGTAAATCTGTCTATATTTCCTCCTTCCTCCAAAAAATCCTTTGATTTAAAAATCCTTTGATAATTTCCTTGCATTTATTATACTAATACCTATGTGTATATATACACACATAAAGTGTTCAGATCCTTAGCCTATTCCATTGTTGATTTGTAAGGGGTCTTTATATATTAAGAATACTAACCATTTTTATAATACATCTTGCAAATATTTTCTCATCTTTTGATTACTTTTAATCTTATGGTGACTTTTTTCATATACAATGTGTTAAAAATTTGCTTATAAACAAAGTTCAACGTGAACACATTTGGAAATACCAGTGTATTCATCACTCTCCTGATTATATAAACCTGAAAGTCAGCTGAGTTGGTGATTAAAAATTGACAAGATTAAAAACATGGGAAATGCAGGACTTCCAGGACTCAGTGTCAATCCTAGTTTTTAGTCCCTGCTTTCATATTTACATGTTTGGTGATCTGGGATAAATATTTAACTTATCTAAGCATCTAATGGTTTTGCTATTATTAAAGGCTATAAAATAAAGTTACCTCTTTGTAGTTCTCCTATGCTAGCTTTTTAGGCCAAGTGGCATAATTTCATATTCACGTCCTCTGTTGACATCATCATAATCATCATCATCATTATCATCATTATCTTCATCATGCCATGTGCACGTCATGGCTGCTAGCAAGTCTAAAAAAAAAAACAGTCCCTGAATCCTGGAAACATATTGAACAGAAAGGCAGACTGAAAGAACAAGAGCTAGAATCCTCTTACTGCCATTTATTAGGTGCTCATTCCTAGAAAAGTTACCATCTATAAATCTGAGATTGATCATCTGAAAAATATGAGTTATCCTGCCTTCTTTAAATTATTTTTTTCAAAGAGAAAATGAGACAATCTATGGAAAGTGTTTGGCATGTCTTAAGGCTTCCAGAATGTTATTATTTAACCTCACATGTCTTCCTTCCTTCCATTATAGAAATGACTTTTACATAAACTAAATAGTATAATAGTCAAATGATCAAACAACTCCTCCCAACTTAGATGAGTACTGAATTTCCAGTAAATTGACTCTGAACTTTCTGTCATTGTGTCAAGTAGCACCAAATTCACAGGTGTGGAATACAGATGTCTAGGAGAGGGGAAAGCTTGACTTCCTCTGGATGACTTCCTAGGGAGACATGGTGCTTCTGATTGGTGCCTATAGTAGATCATGTTCCCAAAGATGGCTACATTAATATCTCTCATTTCACATACTGTTTTGGAATGTGACTTTATCCCCATCCCATCAAGAAGAGAAGTCTGTTTCCCCTTCCCTGGAATCTGGGTTGGCCTTGTGTTCGTTTTTGACCAATAAAATGCAGCAGAAATAATGTCTGGCATTTCCGTGGCTATGCCTTAAGGAGTCTTCAGCTTTTACTTTTGTCTTGTGGAGTGCTCTTTCTTGGAATCTAGCCACCATGCTGTAAGGAGCCCAAGCAGTCATGTGGAGAAGCGTGTGGAGAAATGAGTCTCTCTGCTGCCAGATCCAGCTGAGCTCCTGTCAGTAGCCTGCATCAACCTTCAGTAATGTGATTGAGGCTGTTTTCAATTTTTTGACCATCCCAGCACCCCAGCTGACAGCACCTGAAGCAAAAGAAACACCCAGTAAGCCCATAGAATTATGACAAGCGGTAATAAAAAATCATTCATGTTTTAAGTCTCTATGTTCGGGGTGGTTTTTTATGCAGCAGAAGATAACCAAACACTGCCTATGTTTGGATTGGTAGAATATGGGAAAGACTGTTTGTGAAGGCTCTCAAGATCTGATGAAACAAGACTAGCATGACTCTCTGGCCGGTCTCTCCTACACAGGGGTCTCTGAGAAAACGGAGTCACTAGCTGTGGATTGCATTTCAAAATTCTAAAAAAGGAGGGGTTTGCCTGGAGATGCTACTATGTAGTTAATGAGGTTAGAGTTTAAAGTCTGCATATGATGCTTCTAAGTTTTTTTTTTGGTGTTTGCTTTTTTTTAAGGAGGAGAATGGTCCCTTGGGTTTTAAAACAGAAAGCAAGTTATGAAATGGCCTCTTTCTCTCTAGATATTTCATAACCTGGACTGACTTCTTTCATTTTAGAGGGGAAAATTTGATCAACATTCAAGGGGTGCTGCAGTGTTTCACAATCACCAATAGACCCCACTACCAAATCCAATGAAAAAAGCTACACATGAGCTACTTCCACAATTCAATTTTTTATAGGACAGGAGGAAGGGAGGAGGAAAGGAAAAAAATCTTGGGATAAGAAAAATATGCCATATCATTTTAATAAAGTGTAAAGATTCTGAATATCGGTTGTCTGGGCACCTTGTTGACATGATTACATCTCTGGAATGGAATGTACAGTTGTTCCAGACAGTCACAATAACATCCATTAACATTCAGCGGATCTACTCCTCTGTTAGCAAAGACCTTGGCATCAGGGTCAGCACAGTCAGAACTGCTGGAAAACTCAGTCAGGTATGATTTTACACATTCACCTAAAAGCCGATCTTAAATCCTTGGATAAGGACCCAAATTCATAGATCAAAAGAGAATCCCCAGTAAGAGAACAGTAATAAAACAACAGAAAGACATACAGAAACTTTTAGTAGACAGAAGCAGAGATACAAACAACACATGTATGATTGTGTCTATATATTTATAGAACACTGCTGTCTTACAACAATCTCTCTTTCAGAACAGTGTCTCAGAGACTTGCTGACATAATTAAATTAGTTGACAATGTAAAGAAGTTGTCACAGTGAGAGTTCCCTTAGCTTGTTCCTTTTGCGCAGGTGCCATGTGTTTTTGGATGGTCTCTGAATTCTACCAGACACCTTCCCCAACTGCACCATGAGCAGTTAAAATAGAAAATTAATAGCAGACATTTATTGGGCAATTACTCTCTAGAAGGCTAATTTTCTTACAGATAATTTACACTAAATTGATTTCCTTACACATAACAGCTTCTTCCTTTCCTTCTGAGAACTCAGAATGCTTACAGAAATGGGGGTGTCATTTATCTTTCAAATATTTTGAATGTTTGGGATTGCTTTATCCTATCGCCAGGGATTACTTAGAAATTGGGACCCAGACAGAGCTCCGGACTCTTGCTCTTGTGTCCCTCCTGCAGACCCATCATTATGGGCTAGGTTTCTATTATGTATCTTAACACTCTGAGACTTAAAGAATACTAGAAACTTCCAAGTCATACACATGCATCATATTAATCTAGAAGGTCCAAATGAATTGGGAAAAGTACAATGACTGAATTGTTCTATTATACAGAAATTGTATTGGATTACATTCATAATGTAAATAAACATATATTTAATTTTCTTTTTGCTCTTACATTTCTGGATGTTCTCTATGATATAGTTGTGCTATTGAGTTCATGGGTAAGTCATTTCTGCTAAGAAAGGGAAGAGATGGAGTGAGAAAAAGTGAATATGTGTTGAATTTTCAGACTGAATGGTTGAGTGCACTACATTTCGTATTTTCTTTTGAAACACAGATAACAGTCTCCCTGTACAGATGAGGAAATTAAGTCTTAGAGAATTTAAGCAAACTTTCCAAGCTTAACACCTTAAATAAATGGCAGAACATAAATTTTAACCCATGTTTGTCTGATTCTGAACTCAATGTTCTCTCTCTGCCCCTACTACACTGCCTTCTACTTAGATGGTAAGCTTTTAGAGCTCAAGGACTGTATAATTTGAATTGCCTTGATAAAGTGTCCATGCCTGGTCATAAATGTTAATATTCATTATGCTGTAATTGTATAACAGAGTCTGGAGCTCAGAAGAAAAGGCCTGTGGTGGCTCATGCCTGTAATCCCAGCAGTTTGGGAGGCTGAGGTGGGTGGATCACATGAGGTCAGGTGTTCAAGACCAGCCTGGCCAACATGGTGAGACCCCGTCTCTATTAAAAACACAAAATTAGCCAGGCATGGTGGCACATGCCTGTAATTCCAGTTACTCAGGAGGCTGAGGCTGGAGAATTGCTTGAACTCAGGAGGTGGAGGTTGCAGTGAGCCAAGATTGTGCCATTGCACTCCAGTCTGGGTGACAAGAGTGAAACTCCATCTCAAAAAAAAAAAAAAAAAAAGAAAAGAAAGAAAAGCCCTGTGGTGGAGATATAATTTGGTCTAACAGTTCTTTGCACTTATTTGGTATACCATAACTATTTGTTGAATAAATAAAAGAAAGAGAGAAAGAAAAAAATGAATATCTGTTAGTCATCATTAAATCAGCAAGTAAAACTGGATACATATCTCTTCCTTTTTTATTCATGTGATTGAAAACAGAATGGGGATAATTCTGTACAGGCTGTTTCATAAAATGCTTTTTGTAAATAAAGCAAAGCATATTTCTTTTATCTTGTTAAATCATATTTTTAGCAGATACGATAGAATGTACATTATAGAACTACTATAGGGTGAAAATGGCAATATTTTTAGTATTGTCTAGGATATAGTAGACTGAACAAGTATTACTCCTGTCTCCCTGCCTTCTCTCTCCCATTAAATATATGATTTTAATGTAATTTAAATAGTAAAATTATTACAGAAAATATTAGAAATGTAACAGCAACAAGTAAAATGTAAATATATTTTAGTAATCTGTGAGCTTCAGTGTCATTTCTGTGTTATAGGATGAATTACCTGGTGAATATGGGACAAGGGAAAAATAATCATTATGCCATTTTCTTTATGTTCATGTCCCCTTTCCTGTCTCTGGTATTACCCTTTAGTGGATCATTAGAGAAATAGTTTTTCTACTGAGCCCTAGAAATAAATAACAGTAGTAGTCCTGCTTGTTAGAAGACTGAAGATAGAAGATCTAGAATCCATATGCCAGATCCATTACCAATTACTGGACCATGGGTGTGTCTGTCTTTCTCTGAGATTGCCTCATTTCTAAAATACAAAGTACTATATAATAGACTGAATAGTAAGAAACTGACATTTTTCTTTGTCAAAATGCTCCAGTTGTGACTATTTTATGCAGTTCATTTTAATATAACAGTGGTTAAGAGTATGAGCTTACTATGATAAGACTTGGGTTTGAAATTAGATTCCACATCAAACCAGTTATGCTTTCTTTACCTGTAGTTTCTTGTCTTTTCAATACAGAACAGAATAGTATCTGCACCATTATATGTAATTGAAGATTTAATGTGATACTACAAGTAAAGCATTATTGATAGATACATACCAAATGCTCAATAAATGTTAGTTACCTTTATTGTTGTTGTTATTGCTATTCTTGACCTTTTAAGAGCAAATAATGGAAGAAAATGTTATATTTTTAGTTATTAAGATGTTTTATGAAGCAACGACATTAAAACAAAGTAAGACTGGCAGAAAATCTGAGATATAGTTTAATGGAACAGAATAAAAGCTCAGTCCCCAGGTTTTAAATGTGATAAACTTGATATTTCTAATCAGTAAGTAACATGGATTATTCTGGAAATGGTGTTGGGAACAGTTGGCAAACTTTTTCACTTAAAAATATAAATTTTGATCCTTTTCTTCATAAACTATGAAGGAAAAAATCCACCATGGCACTGGTATAAAAAATGAATTCACAGTTTATTGGTAAATAACAAAAAGACTAGAAATATAACCAAATTACACAATATGCATTTTCAGTATTTACCACTCTAGGTTATTAGTAGTTTCCAATTAAACAACAGTGAAACATCACCTTATTGGCAGGCAAAAATTAAAATGGTAGATGGTGGATGTCAAGTGTTGTTGGAGTCTATGGAGCCCTCCATGCACTGCTGGTAGAAATACATTCTGGAGAGCAACATAGAAGTGTTTAGTCATATAAAAGGTACACATTCTCAATGACCCAACATGTCTGCTCCAGGGTGAATACCTCAGAGTCATTTTTATATAGCTAAATAAAAGAATATGTATAAGGGTATATTTGTGGTGGTGAGAAGTTGAAGGCAACTTGGATATCTATCACAAGGACAAGGAAAAATATTTGTCTATTGTTGAGAATCATTAGATGTGCTATTGTGCATTTCTGATACCTGGTCCTTTCTTATCCACAAATCAACACTTACCAGCCAGTCAGTGAACCTCTCCCAGCTCCTGTTTCCTCAACCACAAAAATAAGGGAACTGCATGGACCATCATGGTGACTTTATTCTTTTTTATGTCCTCTGATGTATAGTTCAGTGAACTCTCATATAACTTTATGTTTTTGTCTCTACCTTTTTCATATTAGGATAATGGGCAATGACTTTGAACAGTAGTTTAAACATTAGGTGTTTGACTCTCTTTAAAAGGAATCATTGCTGTTAAGATCTTTAAGTAATAAGGATAACCAGGCCATAATTCACTTATCCATATGCTGTAAGTGAAGCTATCTGGAAAAAGAGAAAATGAGAGCATAGAAAATGGCATTTTCTTGAGCACTGAAATTTTACCTGAAAAAAGGTTAGAGAAACCTGATATAATATAAAAAGGCTAGAGAGACCTGATCATGGTGCTTTTTCTTCTTATTTTATCTCATGATCATTTTACAACTTTATTTTAAATTCCAAGCTATAAAAAGTAATATGTGGTAAAGTATAAGAAAATGTTGATCGTCACTGTAAAAAATTTCAATTACTCTAGGAGTATCTGAAGTAAAACGTGAAAGTCTAGCCCTCAAGACCAAACAGCATTATGTAATGCCTGTGTCTATCTATTGCAAATTCTCATGTAATTTAATGGAACAAACCTGCTTTTTCAGACCTCTTTCTGTGGCATCTGGATGAGTCATACTGTTTTCAGAGGGACTCTGCTGTGCCAAACTACATCTGCTGAAAAAAAGAAAGAAGAGCTTACCTTTAAGTGGGAAAATAAATGGCTCTCTCTTTCCAGGGTCTAAGGCAGACAGAATATTTGGAATCATTTAATTGCTTTCTGCATTAGTCACCCGACCCTGATATAAAACTTTTACTATTAAGAAGTTTCTCTCAGGGATCAAGCCAGGCCAAAGTCCAGCACCAAAACCAGCAATTTTTGCCTAGTCATTTGTTTGAACCTTCCTTTCTCTTGGACACCAAAACATGACAGTAACAACTTTAAGGGTTCCAGAGAGGTGCAAAGCATTCAGAACAATGAAGGCATCTGTAACATTTTGCAAAGTTGAAATATCTTTCTGTTTATCAAAAAATCCTTGAATGTTCTGGTAATGAGGAGAGTAGAGATCCTTCTTTCAGAAAACACTTGTGATCAGTGGACAGAATAGCCGTCTACTCAGGAGATAGGAAAGAGAGAAGTTGGTATCTCTTAGGATAAGATCCGCACATAAGTTAAATTTTGGCTAAATGTGGTGCTGGTCTGGAGGTACAATTTGTCTCATAATAAAGATTATAGAAGGTTCCTAAAACAATTTTAGATATTCTTCATCCAGGGATACTGACTCCAAGTCCTATGTGCTTGCCATTAATTGCCCACAAGCTGCTTCACTATGTGCTTATGTTTAATGTTACCATTTACTACTGACCACTCTGAGGTGTATTTACTGTTATTGGGGCTTCAAAGCTTCGCTCAGTGGAATCTAAGGCCTGCACTTTTTAACAGGACATCACTACATCCACGCTCCTCACTTCCCTGAGGCTTGTTTCACTTAATTCCAGTTTATGGACTTTAAACTGGTACAACTTTTCTTGTTGGCAGGCGGGGAATTAAATTAAGCATGTGTATACCATTTGAGGCAGCAATTCCATGCCTTGAAATGTACCCTAAGGAAATAGTTAAGGATGTGCACAAGTGTATGGAAACAATAAAATTCATCGACCTAAATTCCTGGCTTTGGTCTTTGCCACAAACATAAATTTATTTAAGGGTAAGAGAACACAAAGAATATCTATCAGGGAATATGGGATATGAAAACAGATAAGTGTTTAAGGACACACAAACACACACACTTACAAGCCCTCATGTGCACACATCAAACTGGTCATCAAGGTCTACTTATAAAAGCCTAAAAAGCATGCAAATGTGATTCAGAGACACAAAGAGGACAAACTATTATTAAACATTATTAAAAGTAATGGCAAAAACCGCAATTACTTTTGCACCAACCTAATAGTAAATGAATTAAATCTATTTTAAATGCAAACGTGAAATACGTCCTTTAGCAATAAAAAAATGATTCAATGTCATTCATCTCACCACTGTTTATTATAGAAAAATTCTTAGTTCCAAGGTAGGATTACGAAAGTTTTATGTCTTTTTTGATCTTTTGTATTAATTTTTTCTTTCACAAATAGGTGTTACTTATGAGATACATAAAATTAAAGAAGAAAGAAGGTCTGTCAATCAAAAATTGTAAGGTTATCATCCATATAAGAGTGTAAGTCCCTGTAATTTTAATAGCCTGTGGAAACTCATTTGGTATTACCTAAATCAAGTTAAATGATAATGAAATTGTAAAAGGGCAAAGCCACTCTTTAGCATACCAAAAATTATCATTAAGGATTGACACCACTTTTCGACTTCAATAAAAACATAGATGAGAAGTCTTAGAGGTGTAACACATCACAGTGGTAAACAAAACACAGACATGGTCCCTGTCCTTCTGGAGCTTGCAAACTTAAGGGAAAGATAGTGAAGCCAGCAATAATAAAGTTTCATAGGTGCTATGATAGGAGAACTCAGAGTGCTATGGAGCAAAGCAGATAGCACAAACACCCACCTGGTCTTAGGTGTTTTGGGGAGGCTTCCCATAGGAAGTGATGTTTAAACTGAGACCTGAGGGATAAGGAGGCATTACCCAAGTAAAGAGGAGAGAGTGGAGCTAACGTGAGAGCCTAGCCAAATATAACAGGCAGGAAATACTCTATGACCTGGTTCATCCCTGGGGATATCCTGTGTGGAAATCCACTACCCGGTAGTTGGGCATGTCCGGAAACTGCATGAAACATAACAGGACAATTGTAGAAAGTGCCTGAACTCTGTAGTTCATGCCCATGACAGAATCCAAGGTTGAGAGCTCCTAAGAGTTGTCTCATCCTTAACTCTTTCTATAGCATCTTGACAGTGAGCTTCAATCAGGAGAAGAAAAAAAATCAATAGTATGTTAAAAAAAAATCAGTGTTTAAGTGATATAGCTGAAATGCTGATACTTTGCATATCAGGATGTCTCTACTGCACCCCTTTTCCCTTTCCTTTAGAGAGTGGTCCTTCAGGACTCCTATACTCCTCTGGTTTATGTTGGCTGTCTATGATGTCTGAGCCTGGTTATGCGTGTACAGGCGAACACTAACACTGGGCATGTCTAGTAGAGCATAAACCATGTAGTTCTAGAACTCACGAAAGAGGAGGCCAGGTGGCAGTGATAGATTCAGGCTGGCAGTGGCTAACACACAGAAGATACTCAAACACTATATGGTGAATGGAAGGATGAATGGATGAATGAATGAATGAATGAATGGTATATTAGTTTGTTCTCATGCTGCTAATAAAGACATACTTGAGACTGGGTAATTTATAAAGGAAAGAGGTTTAATTGACTCACAGTTCCACAGGGCTGGGGAGGTCTCACAATCATGGCAGAAGGTGAATAAGGAGCAAAGTCACGTCTTACATGGCAGAAGGCAAGAGAGCTTGTGCAGGGGAACTCCCATTTATAAAACCGTCAGATCTTGTGAGACTTATTATCTCCACCTGGCCCCACCCTTGACATGTGGGGATTATTACAATTCAAGGTGAGATTTGGGTGAGGACACAGCCAAACCATATCAAATGGAGTGAATGAATGAAAGAATGACAGATTTTTGAAGACAGGAGAAAATAAAACTGAGTATTTACCTCTTCAGGATGTTTCTATCCATATTTGTCTTTTGAAAATAATTGTCAAAAAATTGACAAATGGGATCTAATTAAACTAAAGAGCTTCTGCACAGGGAAAGAGACTATCAACAGAGTAAACAGACAACCTACAGAATGGGAGAAAATTTTTGCAAACTATGCATCTGACAAAGATCTAATATCCAGCACCTATAAGGAACCTAAACAAATTTATAAGAAAAAACCCAAACAACCCCATTAAAAACTGGGCAAAGGACATGAACAGATGTTTCTCAAAAGAAGACATACATGTGGCCAACAATCATATGAAAAAAAGCTCAACATCACTGATCATTAGAGAAATACAAATCAAAACCACAATGAGATACCATCTAACACCAGTCAGAATGGCTGTTATTTAAAAGTCAAAAAATAACAGATGCTGGAAAGGTTGTGGAGAAAAGGGAAAGTTTATACCCTGTTGGTGGGAGTGTAAATTAGTTTAGCCATCGTGGAAGACAGTGTGGCGGTTCCTCAAAGACCTGAAGACAGAAATAGCAGCAATCCCGTTACTTGGTATATACGCAAAGGAATATAAATCATTCTATTATAAAGACACATGCATGCATATGTTCATTGCAGCACCATTCACAATAATAAAGACATGGAATCAACCTAAATGCCCATCAATGGTAGACTGGATAAAGAAAATGTTGTACCTATACACCATGGAATACTATGCAGCCATAAAAAAGAAAAAGGCCATATCTTTTGCAAGGACATGGATGGAGCTGGAGGCTATTATCCTTAGTAAACTAATGCAGGAACAGAAAACCAAATACCCCATGTTCTCACTTATAAGTGGGAGCTAAATGATGAGAACACATGGATACACAGAGGGGAACAACACACACTGGGAACTTTTGGCAGGCAGAAGGTGGGAAGAGGAAGAGGATTAGGAAACAACTAATGGGTACTAGGCTTAATACCTGGGTGATGAAGTAATCTGTACAACAAACCCCCATGACACAAATTTACCTGTGTAACAAACCTGCACTTGTACCCCTGAACTTAAAACAAAAGTTAAAAAAAGAAAATAATTGAGATTGTATTATATGTCTGCTTTCTAAGCTGATTTTTAAAATATTGTGGATCTTTATCATTAAGTTTTTTTATTTCAATAAAACTTAAAAAATACCCATTGATATTAATGAGAGTTGCAGTTTGAATATTATAGAGCAGGAAGCTTAGGAATGAGGGAGCTGTTCATGTTCCATCTTGCCAGTCAGCTTTTTGGAGGTCTCCTGGAGCAAAAATATTGCTAGAAAACTCAGCAACTGCCTCAGACTTGAGAGAAGAGAAACAGACATCCCTAGCCTGATCAGAGATGTGTGTGTGTGTGTGTGTGTGTGTGTGTGTGTGTGTGAATTTGTGTGTGAATATTTTGGGTTATATATTTTAACATACTTTACACATACATTGATTTATTTTGAAATAATAACTTACCGTATATTTTCTAATCAGATTTTTCTCCATTTAAGAGTGTAGTTTGAAGACCTTTTCATGTCCATATGTATACATTATTAGTTTTATAATTCAGTTTCAAACCAGCTATTTTCTGTGTTTTGAAGGTATCAGTACAGTTATTTTTTCTGGCTATAAAATAGATATGTGGTTATTTAAACAAAGTGGAACAATATAGTAGTAGTACATTATTAGAAGGTAAAATTTAACCTCTCTTACCTCACAACTCTTTACTCCAATGATATCACTGGTGCTAGTAGGCTATGTGTCCTTCCAGATGTTTTCTCTTGCCAATTAGATATTAACTTAGACATACCAACAGACTATACAAATACACATATAATTTTATATTCCTTTGCAGAAATGAGATCATATATTCACAATGTTATGAATTTTTAAACCTAATATTATATCTCTTTGTTTTATTTTCATTTCTATAATTATTATTTGTTGAAATTTTTTCCACATTTTATTGCCGGGGTATTACTCTGAGATTTCTGCCTTTTAATAAGTATTTATAAATCTCCATTTAGATTTTCTGATTTAGAAGACAATACAGAAGATATTTTAAAATGCCACTGGAATGCATTCTCCACTGTCCGGACCATCTCTAGGGAAATTCCAGCCTCCCGAATGATTAGATTCAAAGCCCAGGAGGCTGCAGGTCAATTGGGAGAGAGCTAGGACCTTAGAGAGTGCAGGTTTTGAGTCCTCTCTCTGCCACTTTCGAGCCTTTAGACTTGAGGCAAGTTACTTATGAGTCTTATATTCTTCATCTGTTTAATGGAGATCATACTAGTTACTTTGAATGGTGGTTACTAAGAATAAAGGAGGTAAAGTGTAATGTTTACCCTACACAGGATAAATCATACGAATGTTATGTTCATTCTCCCGATCTTACCTTCCCAAACTGCCACACCAACGTTTCTGCCTGGACCCTGCACCATCTGAGGTACCAGTCAATCTGTGTCTTAGCATAAGGGGCATATTTCAGTACTACAATTGTTAATACAAACTAATGCAATAGGTATCATATGTGCATGATACAGGTGACACACTACGAAAATTATCAAACCCCCTTTATTTCACTTCCTTTCCTTTTTTTTTTTTTTTTTTTTTTTTTTTTTTGAGACTTAGCCTCGCTCTGTTGCCAGTCTGGAGTGCAGTGGCGTGATCTCGGCTCACTGCAACCTCCACCTCCCAGGTTCAAGCAATTCTCCTGCCTCAGCCTCCGAGTAGCTGGGACTACAGGCACGTGCCACCAAGCCCAGCTAATTTTTGTATTTTTAGGAGAGAGGGGGTTTCACCATGTTGGCCAGGATGGTCTCGATCTCATGACCTCATGATCAGCCCGCCTCCACCTCCCAAAGTGCTGGGATTACAGGTGTGAGCCACCGCGCCCTGCCCCTTTATTTCACTTTCTAGGTTAATTCTAGAGAAGTTTCCCATTGAGTCTGAAAAGACAAGATGCCACAAAAGAACACAGCATAACAATGAATCTGTTTGAGGGGATATTTGCATTGAGATTCAGATGATTCAGGATCCGGCAACTGGGTAATTGTTGAGCTTATCTTAGGTAAGTGACTTCTGTTCTTTCAACCTCATTTCTATAATGGAATAATGCTGTCTGTAAGTGTTTAATAACATGGATTTTGGAGACACACAGTCCATTATTACAACTTTGCCAATAACTGTGTGATCTTGCACGTTACTTAATCTTCTAAGCCTCTGTTTTCTTCCTTCCTTTCCTTCTTTCTCCTTCCTTCCCTCCTTCCTTCCTTCCTTCCTTCCTTCCTTCCTCTTTCTCTCTCTTTCTTTCCTTCTTTCTTTCTTTCTTTTCCTTCCTGCCTTCCTGCCTGCCTTCTCTCTCTCTCTTTCCTTTCTTCTCTTTCTTTCCTTCTTTCTTCTTTTTTACATCTAACCAAGGGATAATAATACTACCTATTCTACATGGTGGTAAGGAAGAATCAAAGAGCTAACATATGAAACATTCTTAGCAGGATGACTAGCACACAGTGAGGGTTCAGTAAATTTTAGCTATTGTTAGTATTATTAGTCCTCTCAACCAGGGCCAAAACCAGAGTGAAGCGAATAAAGTACATAGAGCAAACAGTTTAAGGAGACATTCACTTTTGGGATTATGCAAATGCTAATGCTGCACCTGTACAGTCTTGAGTACCTCCATGAGAGAAAGTGCCTCTTTTACACTTGCCTCATCTTAGTCTGTAACAGGATTTCAGCTTGGTGTTTTGGTTTTGCTCACTAGAGAACTCAAGGAACTCTGAGCATCTGCAGTGTGCTTGGCACTGTAATTCCTTTATTATATATTTTACCACATCTATTCATCACTTGTAACTCTGGTGTGGGGAATTGTCACCTCCATTTCATAGATTAGGAGACTAAGGCACAGAGAGATAAGTATCTTGTTTTGGGCCACACATTCACTAAATGGTTAAGAGGTAGGAAGAAGTGTCCTTTTGACTGCCATGTTTCTTTCAGGATATCACAAAACCTCAACTGTAAATCCTGTATTTCTAAACCAGGTAATGTTTTCTTACTGCGTTGATGTGTGAAAAAACTCAAATGCATGCATTTATTTCTAGGAAGATTCTAGTCTTTCCTCTCTTATTCATTAGCTGTCTGATCTTGAGTAAGTAATCGAACCTCTCTGGACTCCATTTTGTCACCTGTAAAAAAAGTGAGTTGAATGTCATTGTCAAGAATTCTCTAAATATTTCACATCCTATAATTCATAATTTAATTCTGCCTTTTACTTTTTTGTCTCTTTCCTCTTGTTAAGTGGACAGAAATGTGCAAAGATGCCCTTAAATACTTCGAGGTGGAACTCTTTTTGAAAGGAACCTCTAAAAATAAAAGAATTCATAAAAATAAGACGATAAGCCATCTATTCTATATAACAGAATGTTATATATGGAGATAAAGTAATACAGGGCATATTTATTAAGAAATGTTCAAGAAACAGGAAATATTGTTTAAGATTATGCCTGACACAAAGTTAAGGAGAGAATCAAACAAAACCTGAGTGTATTAGCTGTGACTATAAAATAATAATCTTGGTGTTCTTGTGAGGGTTCATAAACTGGTTGCGAAGCCAGTTGCTACTATCTTGATCAATAACAATCTCTTTGCACAGGTATGTGACTTTATGGGAATGGGTGTCTCTTTTGAAAAGCAATCCTGGTCTTTGTTTAAAAGTCTGATGTTGGTGAGGAAGGATATAAATATACCCTATAGCCAGGTGCAGTGGTGGGTGCCTGTTATCCCAGCTACTCAGGAGGCTGTGATGTGAGGATCACTTGAGCCCAGAGTTTGGGGCCAGCCTGGGCAACATAGCGAGACCCCATCTCTTTTACAAAATAAAGTAATTCTTATGATTCCATTGTCATTTGAGTATAGAAAAAATTGTCATTGGAGAGTAGGAGGACATCATAGATAAGATTGGGAGGGCAGCTTGATAGTGTCTCTTAAGGCAATGGACATACTTTGTTTTCATGGGGACTTGAGTGAACTCTGGTTGAATATGATGCTTCTGTGGGTTTATTTTGTGGCAAAATGATAACTAAAAACTTTAATTCATGGAGCTTTAAAGCACTTTCACATCTTTCTCATAAAACTGGCACTGGTACCCCGGGGCTTATGAGTCCGTGGCCTGTGCCATTGGCAGTAATTAGCTCCAAGTTGCCTTGTGATTTCACCATACATTAATTTCCTACACTCAAAGATAATATAATATAATATATAATTATATTATATTAATTATATAATATATAATATAATTAATATTAATTAATATACATTATATATTATTATACCTAATAATAATATAATACTTGATTTCTCAAACACTCAATTATAATATATAGCTCATTTTTTTCTCTTGCACAATCCTGGGTGGTTGAGGGGCAGGACAGGTAAAATTTAGGTAGGTGAGATCAGAAAGATGTGAAGGGATTTAACTAAAGTTGTCACGGAATTACTGGGTTAGGTCTTTTACTGGGAGGCAGACAGACCTCCTGACTTAAGTGGTCTCTCCAGAAACCAAAGTACTGGCATTGTTCCTATGAATACCTTGCTTTTTAAGGGAACAAAGGAACAAGGATTCTCTGACATTGACATGTAGAAAGTAAAATAAGAGGACAGGAAAGCACATGAAACATAAGAAGTGCATGCATAATATTATTATTTTTAAAAATCTGCCTCCACCTGCCTAGAAGTTCCTGTGCTCTTAGGAAAACTCTGACTCGAAGCATAAAAATGGTTCCCTTTTCAGAGAGGGCATTGATCATAAAGGGCCACAGGGATTCTACTGTAAGCTCAAAACTGTCCCAGAAATCTATCACTTTGTTCTGGCAGAAAGGGTTCAATGGAAAGCTTATTTTTTATGAGCATTCATTACGTCTGGATCACAATTAGATCTCAATAAATATTGGTTAATTTTATTTGCATTGAACAGAATCTTCAGTAAGGTCTTATGGGTCCTGATCAGCTATATCCAATGACAGTTGTTTTGATAAAGTTGACTACAAAGATTAGCAAAACCATGAATCAGAGAACTGAGCTTGGCAAGAGGAGACAGACAAAAAACAGAGAGAGGAGCTCAACATACAGATGAGCCAGATATTTCACCATGTCACTACTTCATCCCTGAGGAAGTCTTGTAGAAAAAAGTAACACAGCTCAGAGGAAAGTGTCTGTTCCTCAGAATAATTATTTATTGAACGAATGAATGAACAAGGGAGATGCAGACTTGGGAGTCATCACCAGCAAATAAAAGAGAATGTACCCTTTCTATATTTTTCCAGACATGAACATTTTTCAAATATATTTTGGATCATATTATACATACTGTTTCATAATCTATTAATAAGTCACAATGATTACTAGTGTTTCTGCTTGTAGAAATAGATACTTTTCTATTGCAGCAAAGATACAATATTGAGATAATTGCCACCTGTTGGTCAAATGCAGAGCTACATCTCTGACTGTCTTGGAGGAGGCTCCGTAAAGATTTGAGGAGGGAGGGGCCTCTGGCTTGACCCACCAAACAGGGCTTGCTGGAGGCTTGAATGGCACAGGCAGCCCTTCCTGCAGAATCTATTGCTGCTTGGCTTTCTGAGCTTCTGGCAGGAAGTTTCACCCTTATCTCAGATCAAGAGAAAGCTGCCAGTGTGAGTGTCTCTTGAGGGAGTGTGTATCAGTTTTGTGTGAGTGCGTTTGTGCGGATATTTTGTATTTTGGGTCATAGCCTTTTAGACACGTTTGCTTTATACTTACACTTACTCATACATATAAGAGTATTATCAACGACAAATGGGACAGATTATATTATACATAAAGTATGCAATCTGGTTTTTATGCTTAATAGGGAATACCTTTCGAAGCGAGTGTTTCTATAACATCAGTTGTGTGAATCAGATCGTAACAAAATTTTTCCTGTGCTTTGAAAATTTTTATTTTGATTACTTTTCTGAATTGCAAAACGAATACATATTTGTCTTTTAATGATATCAAATCATGCAGAAATGTGTAAGTGGAAAATGAAATTGTGCTTTGTTTACCCTCTCAAGATAAACATTTTTAATGGTGTGCTAATATATTCTACAAATGTTTCTATCCCAATATAATGTACTAGCATATGTAAGTACTTTTATATAAAAGCCCTAAATATGTATATACACGATATAGATGTACACCACTCTATACCTATTCTTCAACAAAGACAATGAGACAACATGTTAATCTGTCCCTTTCCTTTTTCCACTTACGAAATCTTAAAATTTTTGTTTGTATTTCTTTGTTATTGTGTTTGGGTTGTTTTTCATCGGTTTGTTGGGGATTTATATTGCTTTTTATGAAAATTAGAAGTTACTCTGTATCCATCCTCTAGTAGTCAAAAAGAATTTTTTATATGAAAGATGACTGTACAATTAATTGTTCAAACTGACACTTAAAGAATAATTTCAACTGTTATTTTAGATTCGGGGAGTATATGTGTAAGTTTGTTACCTGAGTATATTGTGTGATGCTGAGGTTTGGGGTGTGATGGATCCTGTCACCCAGGTACTGAGCATAGTACCCAGCAGTTAGTTTTTCACCCCTTGTGTCCCTCCCTAACTTCCGCCTTTAGTAGTCCCAATTTAGGTTGGTTCCATGTCTTTGGTATTGTGAACAGTGCTGTGATCAACATATGAGTGCATGTGTCTTTTTGGCAGAAGGATTTATTTTCCTTTGGATGTATACCCAGTAATGGAATTGCTGGGTTGAATGGCAGCTCTGTTTTAAGTTCATAGAGAAACCTCCAAACTGCTTTCCACAGTGGCTGAACTAACGTACATTTCCACCAGCAGTGTATAAGCATTCCCCTTTCTTCACAACCTCACCAGCATCTGCTATTTTGTGACTTTTTAATAATAGCCCCTCTAACTGGTGTGAGATGGTATCTCATTGTGCTTTTGATTTGCATTTCTCTAATAAGTAATGTTGAGCATTTTTTCATATGCTTGTTGGCCACATGCATATCTTCTTTTTAGAAATGTCTGTTCATGTCCTTTACTTTTTGCTTGTTGATTTAAGTTCTTTATAGATACTGGATATTAGGCCTTGTTAGATTCATAGTTTGCAAATATTTTCTCCCATTCTGTAGGTTGTCTATTTACTCTGCTGATAGCTTCTTTTGCGGTGCAGAAGCTCTTTAATTTAATCAGGTCCCATTTGTCAATTTTTGTTTTTGTTGTAATTGCTTTTGAGGACTCAGTCATAAACACTTTCCCAAGGCTGATGTCCAGAATGGCATTTCCTAGGTTGTCTTCCTAAGATTCTTATATTTGAGGTCTTACTTTTAAATCTTTAATCTATTTTTAGTTAATTTTTGTACTAATATATGTTGAGAGGTAGGGGGTCCAGTTTCTTCTGCATATGGCTAGCCAGGCATCCCAGCACAATTTATTGAATAGGGAGCCCTCTCCCCATTGCAACTTTGTCAAAGATCAGATGACTGTGGGTATGTGGTCTTATTTCTGGGTTCTGTATTCCGGTTCATGGTCTATGTGTCTGTTTTTGTAGCAGTACCATGCTATTTTGGTTACTGCAGCCTTATAGTATAGTTTGAAGTCGGGTAGTGTGATGACTCCAGCATTGTTCCTTTTGCTTAGGATTGCTTTGGCTATTTGGGCACTTTGTTCTATATGAGTTTTAGAACAGATTTTTTTTTTTTTAGTTCTGTGAAAAATTAAGAATAGTGTTAAATCTGTAGATTGCTTTGGTCAGTATGGCCACTTTAATGATATTAATTATTCTTTTCTGTGAACATGGGATATTTTTCCATTTTTTTGTGAATTGACACTTTTGAGAGTAAAAGGTGGTCTGTGAAACAACAGACATAAATTGAAACCACATCAAGCCATATGCTCATCTTCTTATATATTATGAACATTAACTCAATGTCTGTAATACACGTGCATCATTTTTTCCCATTTTATATTTCTTTTTATCAGCTTTTGCAATGCAAATGTTTCAAATTTTCATTTTATTATTAAAAGACAATGTGGTTAATTATAAATGTTTGAAGAATACACTAGAGTGGAGTAATTTGCCAGTCTAATGTGAGATAGACACAGAGAGCATTCAAAGCCCATAAGGCCACAAGATGCAGTGAGAAAAGCTTGGGTTTTAGAAAAATTTCAGGCTTAGACTACCTGGTCTGTAATTTAGGATATTAATGACCTAGGTGGTTTGAGCTCTAGGTAAGAATGAAGATAGTAATCTTTACTTTGAATGTTTGTTTTTGGGATTAAAGGAGATGAGATATAAAGTTACCACGATGTAGAATGATTTTCTTGTTCATTTCCATCCAGCAGATCACCTCTCCAGTCTTTTAAAGCCTGAGCTTCTGCCTGAGCCCACTCACCACTTCAGGGATCTGCCAACTCATGTGGCCCTACACCCAGGTCTCTTTGCGCAAAGGGCAGGATTTCAACTCCTCTATCTTCTTCATCACCCAAAGGGATTGTGGAGTGCAGATTTGTGGGTCCACAATAGCAGGGGAGTGGAATCTGACCATTTCTCAAGCCCTGGAAGCCCATCTTCTAAGAAGGAGGCTGCTCAGGGTTTTCTAGGGAGGGTGAGGGATGCAACTGCATTCCTGCCTCTTACCAGATGTGTGACTCTGGAAAATCGATTTATACTCTGTGAGCCTGAACTTCTCCACTGCAAAATGGGAAACAATTGATACTGTCCCCACAGAATTGTGTAGGGAAAATGAGGGAACTTAAGGAAATGTTTGGTGCATAATATAACTTCAGCAAATGTTTGTTCTGCTCACCATGACTCCTCACCACGATAAAAGAGACTTCGACATAAAAGAAAGAGCAGAACTGTCAGAGCATTTGGAAATGTAGCAACAAGAAAGGAAATGTATAGGCATTTACATAATGTATGAATTTGGGTGCCATCTCAGTTGTAGAATGTTATCAGAAGAATTTGGAGAAAGGGAAGACAATATTGTACTATTTCCTTGTATTCTATTGAATTTCTGTCCCTGTTACTTCACTTTCTACTTGAACATCTGAAGAAATAGTTTTCCAGTAAGTTCTGGAAAAAGGAGACAGTACAGGGGAACCAAATATAATAAGGACCATTGGATCTTAGATGAGTCACTTCCTCTGTGCTGGCCTCATCTCTAACACCAAGTCACATGCAATATAACTGGTTAGGGGGTTTGGGCTTTGGGTGCTATTGTTTTCTGGTTGCATGACCTTTAGCAAATTTTTTAACCTCTCTGAGACCCATTTAAAAATATTTCAAATGGCTGTTATAATGGCAACAACATCATTAGGCTGTACTGAAAATTAAGTGAGAACATGCATGTACAGCATTTAGTAAAGTGTCTGGCACTAAGTAATCAATAAATGTTATCATCATGTTCCTTTATTATTGGCTTTTTCAAGACCATCAGAAGAATAATAAAGGGTTTGGGGCTGGGAAGAATGTAGTGTTTCACCTTAGATGACAGGTTCTATTACGCTGCAGCATTAAAAGGGTTCAGTGGTGGTGCAAGAACTGACATACATATTAATGGGACAGAATAGAAAAATAAGAAGCAGAACCAAGTGTACAGAGACATTGAGAATTTCATAAATGTGGCATTTGCTGTTACTTAATAATTCATAGACGCTAAGAATTGATGTTGGGTCATTTTAAACTGTTCACTAACAAAAGAATGGGAAATCTTATTCTCATGCCATATGATATAATGTGAAGCATTAGTACACACCACCACCTATCTATCCAGTATGATTGCAGTTCCATAAAATGGGTATGCAGCTGTACACATATTTGCATGTATGTGTATATTTCTAGTTTCAATGAGATTCAAGAAACTATGAACACTGTTTATCAATGAGAGTATGATTGGAAGTTACTTGTATCTTTTTATACCTGTCTGTACTTTTGATAATATCCTAAATGGGCATGGATTATTTTTACAAACAGAAACAAAGCCTGTAAAAGCTTTTAGTAGCTAGGGAACACAAGGGAGTGTGATAGGTTGGAAAGAGAAAATGTTTTGGGGCTATACATACCTTGTGTTCTCCTCTGGCTTTGCCCATTGCTAGGGGGTGACCAAAAGGTAAGGTACTTAACTCTTCTGATTTCCCATTTTCTTGTTCTAAAGAGGAGGAAAGTAATCCTTTCATTGCAGAGTTCTTGAAGTAATCTGATGGAATTATCAAAATATAGATAAATATGCTGTGCTTTATATTAAACTGTACTGGAGATTCCATCCCAGCTCTTACCCCTACAAGTTTCTTCACCCTCTGAACTTCAGTTTCCTTATCTTGGAATTGGTTATAACATTGATCTTGAAATAGTATGTATATTAGCTGTCCAACACAGTGCCATAATAGGCACAACTCCCCCTATTCCAGGTAACTATTTCCAAGAACATTATATATCCTAGTAATATAAAAGAAAGAGGTGATTTTTTTTTATGACTGGGGGCCTAAGAATTGGTGGTAATTCTTATTTTCTTCAAATAATCTTATTTTTTCCATTTAATTAAGTATTTTATATCCTGAGGAGCCTTGATCCAGCCATTCTGTTCTGAGGAATTTATCTTACAACAAAACATGTTTCAAGAATTTCCTATTTGAAACCATGGTACAACCATGGTGATTGTGCATATATTTTTGGAACTTTTGTAAGATTTTCCATAGGATAAATTCCTGAAAGTAAAAAATTTTAACCAAAACATATGGCATTGCCAAATGCAGATTTAAAATGTTCAATACCAATTTCTAATCCCATGCACAGTGGTGGTATTTCCTTTCCCTGAATTCATCTCATCAGTTAAAAAGGGGCTTAGGCACTTTGACACTGCAATTCCTGTTGCAGAAATTTGTCCTGCAGGACAGTCTGTACAGAGCTATATATTGCAAGGCTTGGAGTTTACCCTGTGGTTGAAGCACAGGGACCAAGGAAAAAAAGTGTTGAAGATCACTGAAGTGAAATAGTTCAAGTGATGAGTCATGCACTCTAGGCTGGATCGGGAAGGAGCGTGCACATTTTAGGGGCCTGATACACTGAAAGGCTCAGGGGTTGGGTTCCATGGTTCTTTCCTCCCCTGTTCTCGTCTCCTCCCACTGGAACTCTGCGCACTCCTCTGTGTCAGGCCCTGGGATTGCTGCTATACACAGTTTTACCTCCCTTAATCCTCACAACATTTTCAGCTCCATTCTCTAGATGAGAAAACTGAGGCTCTGACAGGTATTCATCGAATCTAAGACGCCACACTATTTTAGGGACTACTAGGAAAAGCAAAATTCTGGCTATTATAATGGTAAGACAGCACTAATTTAGGTGTTAAAAGTGAAAAAATATATGCCTCTGAGACACGGGGAAATGTTATAGCTTGTGTAGCTTGCATCTATTACATGAAAAAATTGAGGTTGGAGTCTATTTCCTTCTGGTATCAGATGTTATGCTGTTGCCATAATTTAGGACCACAGTGGTAAATTAGACTTGTACCAATCAGGTAATGCCCTCTTCTCTTATTGTCCTATTGGGTTTTTTATATTTATTGTGTGTTTTATATTTATTTATATACAAACAAAAATAATGTATACATACAAATATAATGTATATACACAAATATTTATATTCATTTCTGATAGCCAGGTGTTAGTTTTTCCCTCCTGTGTAGTGGTTGTGTGACCTTGGGCAAGTCACTGCATATCTATGTGCCACATTATCTCCAGCTTTATTAGGATGGACTCCAACATTAGGATCACTTTAAGCCATTCACATTTTGTAATTTAAAATTTCCACTTGCCTGACATTTAGCCTTCTGTCGCTGTGCGTCCTTCCTGTCGGGGGTTGATTGGGGTCAAGTGGGATGGTGGAGGGTGTTCTCTTTGAAAGATGCCTGCAGTAGCATTGCTAAGTAATGGGACATACCCCTTCATTTTTCATCTTAATAGAATCCACATTGCCATAAGGAATTCTCTTAATGCAGAACGCATACATACCAAAATAAATGGGAAGCGTCCGGATGTTGGAAATAATTCAAACAGCACCTTGTAAAGGGCATGCCTACAAAATATATGGAAGGTTTACTAAAAAGTAGAAAATAAATGGTTTTGGTTGGGCTTTAAAATTCTAGTTGCAAAAAAAAAAAAAAAATGCTGAAGGAGGATGCAAGCAAGGCCAAATTCAGAAAGGCTAAAACTTGAATCTCAGAATTTTGATTTTCATACTATTATTTTAATAATAAAAATATTATGTGTCCTGTTAAATGCCAACAGTACAGACATGTGTAAAGTAAAATGTAAAAGTTTCCCTGTCTGTATGTTCCTAATCTCTCTGGACTGCTAAGTACCACCCTGTGGAATTGACCCGCATATAATATTGTCATTATTGGTTTTTAAATAAAATCTAAATTTCCTGACGTGCATGGACATGGAGCACCACGTTTCTCTTCTGAAAATGTGAGTATTGAGTGGCTAAATGGCTAAAATTAGTTACCTCACAAAATGCAACTTCTTAGAAAGAACGTTATGGGGAAAGACAAATAGGAATGCTTTGAGATACATGTAAGGCTGTTTCTATGTTTGTATTGTGTTAATTATAGAATAATAACAATGTTTGCTGTATGTGCCTCTAACAATACGTGAAATAAGAGTGTAAAGAAAATCTAGAAATATCTATTGCTTGTCAAGACCTTGTGAGATGATACATATCTGCTTCTGCAGGCCTACAGGTAAAAGCACTGGGCTGAGTCAGACTGTTTTTACAAGAACTCCAAATGCAAAACTATTTCTTGCTTATGAAGGTTAAGTGGTGGATCATATTGCCTCTGATCCATATGAAAGCATTTCTACCACTCATAGCAACCATTCAGAGAAAGAAGCTTCACATTGCTTTATAGTCCACCCCTCTGTAGTCTAAGGGGCTTCTAGAATTCCATTCCTGACGAGACTTATATAAAGAACACCCCAACGTTGGAAACGGTTAAGATATTTGAATCTTCTAGAACCTTCCATAGACTGTGTGATGTTTCTTTCTTATTAATATATTATAGATTAGTTGTGATTTCTGGAAATTAATCCTTTGTTCACTGTATTTGTTGCAAATATGTTTTTCCAGTTCGAGGTTTGTCTTTCCATGCCTTTTAAATGTAATGTTTGGATACACAAGGCTTTTTTTGTATATATACATATATATGAAATGGGGTCTCACTATGTTTCCCAGGCTGGCCTCAAGCTCCTGGGTTCAAGTGATCCTCCTGCCTCAGCCTCCAGACTAGCTTGGACAATAGGCACAAGCCACCATGCCTGGCTCAAAGTTTTATATTTTGTTGTAGTTTAAGTATCAGACATTTTCTTTATGGTTTGTATTTCTTTGTGTCCTGATTTAAAAAGTTTTCTTATCCTAAAGTCAAAAACTTAATTCTTATATTTACTTCTATTTGAGTTTGTTTTTCACATTTAAATTTTTAATCCACCTGGGACCAAATTTTGATAGGTATGAGATACAGATGCAATTTTATTTCATTTTTACATATAATATACATATAAACAATTATCCCAATACCACATATTGAATAACCTGTATTTTTTCCCACTGACCTGATCTGCTACCTCTGTCATATGTTGAGGTTCCACATGTTTATGGTTCTGTTTCTAGGCTCTCTCTTTGGTTCTATTGGTTTGTTTATTTATAAGATTGCCAAGCTTGGCACATAAAATACATGCCCATTGTTTATCTGAAATTCCAATTTAACTGGGCTGCCTGTATTTTACCTGGTAAATCTATTCGTCCCTGGGCATATTTCAGACTGTCTTGATTACTATAGCTTTGAATAGGTCTTTATGTCCAATAAAGCAAGTCTCCCTACTCTGTTTTGGACTTCAGAATTATCTTGGCTATTCTTGGCGTTTTTGCTGTTCCAAATATACTTTAGAATCAACTTGTAAATTTTTTAAGACTTCTTTTATGGACCAGTACAATGTCAATTTTTATAAATGAGCCATTTATATAGAATGCTTAAGAATAATTTGATTTCTCTAATTTTCTATGTTAAAATTTTTATTTTTATTTTTGGTGGGTACATAGTAGGTGTATATATTTATGTGGTACATGAGATGTTTTGACACAGGCATGCAATGTGAAGTAAGCACACCATGGAGAATGGGGTAACCATCCCCTCAAGCATTTATCCTTTGTGTTACAAACAATCCAATTAGACGCTTTTAATGATTTTAAAATGCACAATTACGTTATTTACTATAGTCACCCTGTTGTGCTATCAAATAGTAGGTCTTATTCATGCTTTCTAACTATTTTTTTCTACCTATTAACTATCCCCATTCCCCTCCAGGCCCCCACTACCCTTCCCAGACTCTGGTAACCATCCTTCTATTCTCTATGTCCATGAGTTCAACTGAATAGATGTTTGTCTTTCTGTGCCTGGCTTACTTCACTTAACATAATGATCTCCAGTCATGTTGTTGAAAATGACTGACTCGCATTCATTTTATGGCTGAATAGTACTATGTACCACCTTTTTTTTTTTTTTTTTTTTGAGACAGAGTCTCGCTCTGTCGCCCAGGCTGGAGTACAGTGGCATGATCTCAGCTCACTGCAACCTCGGCTTCCCAGGTTCAAGCAATTCTCCCTGCCTCAGCCTCCTGAATAGCTCGAATTACAGGCGCCTGCCACCATGCCCTGCTAATTTCTTTATTTTTTTATTTTTTATTTTTTTTAGTAGAGTCAGGGTTTCACCATGTTGGCCAGGCTGGTCTCAAACTCCTGACCTCAGGTGATCCACCCACCTCGGCCTCTTAAAGTGCTGGTATTACAGGCTTGAGCCACTGTGCCCGGCCAACACCTTTTTTTTTTTTTTTTAAATCTATTCATCTGTTGATGGACATTAGGTTGCTTCCAAATCTTAGCTATTATAAACAGTGCTGTAACAAACATAAGACCGCAGATATCTCTTTGATAATACTGATTTCTTTCCTTTTGGATATATACCCAGCAGCGGGATTGCGGGATCATATGGTAGCTCAATTTTTAGTTTTTTGAGGAACCTCCAGACTGTTTTCCATAGTAGTTTTGCTAATTTACATTCCCAACAACAGTGTACGAGGGTTCCTTTTGCTCCACATCCTCACCAGCATTTGTCACTGCCTGTCCTTTGGATATAAGCCATTTTAACTGGGGTGAGATGTTATCTCATTCTAGTTTTGATTTGCATTTCTCTGATGATCAATGATGTTGAGCACCTTTTCATATGCATGTCTGCCATTTGTATGTCTTCTGTTGAGTACTGTCTATTCAAAGTTTTTGCTTGGTTTTTTATAGGATTATTAGATTTTTTCCTATAGAGTTGTTTGAGTTCCTTATATATTATGGTAATTAATCCCTTGTCAGATGGGTAACTTGCACGTGTTTTCTCCCATTCTGTGGGTTGTTTCTTCACTTTGTTGATTGGATCTGTTGCTGTGCAGAAGCTTTTTAACTTGATGTGATCCCATTTGTCCATTTTTGCTTTAGTTGCCTGTGCTTGAAGGGTATTGCTCAAGAAAGTTTTGCCCGAACAATGTCCTGAAGATTTTCCCCATTTTTTGCAGTAGTTTGATAGTTTGATTAAAGACTTAGATTTAAGTTTTTAATCCATTTTGGTTTGATTTTTGTATATGGCAAGAGATAAAGGTCCAGTTTTATTTTTCTGCATGTGGATATCCAGTTTTCCCAGCACTATTTATTGAAGAGATGTTCTTTTCCCCAGCGTAAGTTCTTGGCACTTTTTGTCGAAAATGAATTCACTGTAGGTGTATGGATTTGTTTCTGGGTTCTCTATTCTGGTTCCTTGGTCTATGTGTCTGTTTTTATGCCAGTACTATGCTGTTTTGGTTACTATAGCTCTGTACTATAATTTGAAGTTAGGTAATGTGATTCCCCCAGATTTGTTCTTTTTGCTTAGGATAGCTTTGGCTATTCTGGTTTTATTGTGATTCTATATAGATTTTGGGATTTTTTTTCAGTGTCTGAGAAGAATGTCATTGGTATTTTGATAGAGATTGCATTGAATCTATAGATTGCTTGGGTAGTGTCATGGTTTGAATATTTGTCCCCACCCAAATATCATGTTAAATTGTGATCCCTAATGTTGGAGGTGGTGCCTGGTGGGAGGTGATCGGATCATAGGGTGGTGTCTCATGAATGGTTTAGCACTATCCTCTTGGTACTGTTCTTCTGATGTTCTCATGAGATCTGGTCATTTAAAAGTGTTTGGCACCTCCCCACTCTCTCTCTTTCCCCTGCTTTGGCCAAGTGAAGTGCCTGCTCCCACTTTACCTTCTGCAGTAATGTTTCCTGAGGCCTCACTAGAAGTTGAGCAGATACCAGCATCATGCTTCCTGTACAGCCTGTGGAACCATGAACCAATTAAGACTCTTTTCTTTATAAATTACCCAGTCTCAGGTATTTCTTTATAGCAAGGTGAGAACAGACTAATGCAGGTAGTATGGACATTTTAACCATATGAATTCTTTCAGTCCATAAATGTGAAATATATTCCCATTTTAGGGGGTCCTTTTCAATTTCTGTCATTAGTGTTTTAGAGTTAATTATAGAGATCTTTCACTTCTTTGGTTAATTCCTAGGTATTTAATTTTATGGGTGGCTACTGTAGGTAGGATTACTTTTTAAATTTCTTTTTCAGATTTGTCAATGTTGGTATATAGAAATGCTACTGATTTTTGTATGTTGATTTTGTATCCTGCAACTTTAGTGAGTTTGTTTATCAGTTTTAATAGTTTCCTTGTGTAATCTTTAGGTTTTTCCAAATATAAGATCATATCAGCGAACAAGCATAATTTGTTTTCTTCCTTTCCAATTTGGATGCCCTTTATATCTTTCACTTGTCTGATTGCTCTAGCTAGGACTTCCAGCACTATGTTGAATAACAGTGGTGTCAGTGGGCATCCTTGTCATGTTCCAGATCTTAGAGGAAAGGCTGTCATGTTTTCCCCATTTGGTATGATACCAGCTGTAAGTCTGTCACATATGGCTTTTATTATTTTGGGGTATGTTCCTTCTATCCCCAGTTTTTGAGGGTTTTTTTTTCTATTATGAAGGGATGTTGAATTTTGTCAAATGCTTTTTCAGCATCAATAGAAATGATCATATGGCTTTTATCCTTCATTCTCTTAATATGATGTCTCACACTGATTGATTTGTGTATCTTGAACCATCTCTGCATCCCAGGGATAAATCCTACTTGGTCATGATGAATGATCTTTCTAATGTATTGTTGAATTCGGTTTGCTAGTATTTTGTTGAGCATTTTTTCACCCATATCCATCAGAGATATTGGCCTGTAGTTTTCTTTTTTGTGTGTCTTTTTCTGGCTTTGGAATCAGGGTAATACTGGCCTCATAGAATTAATTTCAAAGTATTCCTTCCTCCTCTATTTCTCGGAATAGCTTGATTCAGATTGGTATTAGTTGTTCTTTAAATGTTTGTAAAAATTCAGCGGTGAAGCTGTCAGATCCCACACTTTTCTCCACTGGGAGATTTTTTTATTACAGCTTTGATCTCGTTACTTGCTATTGGTATGTTCAGGGTTTGGATTTCTTCCTGTTTCAATTTTGGTAGATTGTGTATGTCCAGGAATTTGTTCATTTCTTCTAGATTTTCCAATTTATTGGTATATTTTTGCTCATAGTAGCCACTAATGATCCTTTAAATTTCTGTGGTATCAGTTGTAATGTCTCCTTTTTCATCTCTGATTTTATTTATTTGGATCTTCTCTCTCTTTTTGTTAGTTAATCTGGCTAATGGTTTGTCAATTTTAACTTTTCAAAAAACTGACTTTTTGTTTCATTGATGTTTTGTGTTTTTTTTTCATTTCAAATCCATTTATTTTTGCTCTGATCTTTATTATTTCTTTTTTCTACTAATTTTGGGTTTGGTTTGCTCTTGCTTTTCTATTTCTTTAAGATGCATCATTAGATTGTTTATTTGAAGTTTTTTTCTCTTTTTTGATGTAGGCACTTATAGCTATAAATTTCCGTCTTAGTATCACTTTTGCTTTATCCCATAGGATATGGTATGTTGTATTTCCATTATCATTTGTTTCAAGAAGTTTTTCAATTTCCTTCTTTATTTCTTCCCTGACCCAATTACTGTCATTCAAGAGAATATTGTTTAATTTCCATGTATTTGTATAGTTTTCCAAATTCCTTGTTTTGAATTTCTAGTTTTATTCTATTGTGGTCAGAGAACATGCTTGATACAATTTCAGGTTTCTGGAATGTTTTAAGACTTGTGTTGTGACCCAACATATGGTCTATCCTTGAGAATGATCCATGTGCTGAGTAAAAGAATGTGTATTCTGTAGCCATTGGATGAAATGTTCTTTAAATATCTATTACATCTATTTGGTCTATAGTGCAGATTAAGTTTGATGTTTCTTTGTTGATTGTCTGGAAGATCTGTCCAATGCTGAAAGTGGGGTGTTGAAGTCTTCAGCTATATTGTATCAGGGCCTTTCTTTTTCTTTAGCTCTAATAATATTTGCTTTATATATCTGGGTGATCCAGTGTTGGGTGCATATACATTTAAAACTGTTATATCCTCTTGCTGAATTGAACATTTTATCATTATATAGTAACCTTCTTTGTCTCTTCTTATAGTTTTTTTTTCTGGAAATCTATTTCGTCTGATGTAAGTATAGTGACTCCTGCTCTTTTTTTCTTTCCATTGGCATAGAATATATTTTTCCATCTCTTTATTTTCAGTCTATGTGTGTCTTTGTAAGTGAAATGTGTTTCTTATGTGCAACAGATCAATGGGTCTTGCATTTTCATCCTTTCAGCCAGACTATGTCTTTTGATTGAAGAGTTTAGGCCATTTACATTCAATGTTATTATTGATAAGTAAGGACTTACTCCTGCCATTTTGTTACTGGTTTTCTGGCTTCTTATGGTCTTCTCTTCCTACACTTTCTTTCCTTCATGTCTTCCTCTAGTGAAGGTAATTTTCTCTGGTGATGTGATTTTGTTTCTTGCTTTTTATTTTTTTCTGTATTCATTGTGTGGTTTTTGATTTGAGGTTCCCATGAGGCTTGCAAATACCTTCTTATAGCCCATTGTTTTAACCTGGTAACAACTTAACACTATTTGCATAAAGAAACAAGCAAAAAGGAAACTAATAAAAATTCCACACTTTAACTTTCTCCTCCTGCTTTTAATCTCTTTGTATCTATTTATATCTTATTTTACTGACTATGTGTTGAAAAGTTATTGTAGTTATTATTTTGGATTGGTTCATCATTTACTCTTTCTACTTAGGATAAAAGTAGTTTACACACCACAATTACAGTATTATAATATTCTGTGTTTTTCTGTGTACTTACTATTACCAGTGAGTTTTATACCTTCAGGTGATTATTACTCATTAATGTCCGTTTCTTTCTGATTGAAGTACTTTCTTTAGCATTTCTTGTAGGACAAGTCTGGTGTTAATGAAACTCTTCAGCTTTAGTTTGTCTGGAAAAGTCTTTATTTCTCTTTCATGTTTAAAGGATATTTTTGCTGGACATATTATTCTAGGATAAAAGTTTTTTTCCTTCAGCACTATAAATATGTCATGCCACTCTCCTGTCCTGTAAGGTTTCCACTGAAAAGTCTGTTGCTAGATGTATTGGACTCCATTGTATGTTATTTGTTTCTTTTCTCTTGGTGCTTTTAGGATCCTTTCTTTATCCTTGATCTTTGGGAGCTTGATTATTAAATGCCTTGAGGTAGTCTTCTTTGGGTTAAATCTGCTTGGTGTTCTACAACCTTCTTGTACTTGAATGTTGATATTTTTATCTAGGTTTGTGAAGTGCTCTGTTATTATTCCTTTTGAATAAATTTTCTACCTCTATCTCTTTCTTTGCCTCCTCTTTAAGGCCACTAACTCTGAGATTTGCCCTTTTGAGTATATTTTCTAGATCATGTAGGTGTGCTTTATTGTTTTTTATTCTTTTCTCTTTTGTCTCCTCTGACTTTGTATTTTCAAATAGGTTGTCTTCAAGCCCACTAGTTCTTACTTCTGTTTGATCCATTCTGCTATTAAAGGATTCTGATGCATTCTTCAGTATGCCAATTGCATTTTTCAGCTTCAGAATTTCTGCTTGATTCCTTTTAATTATTTCAATCTCTTTGTTAAATTTATCTAATAGAATTTTGATTCAATCTCTGTGTTATCTGGAATTTCTTTAAGTTTCTTCAACATAGCTATTTTGAATTCTCTGAAAGGTCACATACCTGTGTTTCTCCAGGTTTGGTTCCTGGGCCTCATTTAGTTTGCTTGATGAGGTCATGTTTTCCTGGATGGTGCTGATGCTAGTAGGTGTTCTTCAGTGTCTAGGCACTGAAGAGTTAGGCATTCATTGTAGTCTTCACTGTCTGGGCTTATTTTTAGCTGTCTTTCTTGGGAAGCATTTCCAGATATTTGAAAAGACTTGAGTGTTGTTAGCTAAGCTATATCTGCTTTAGGGGGCACCCCAAGCCCAGTAACGCTGTGGTTCTTGCAGACTCTTCATGGTACCACCGCGATGGTCTTGGACAAGATCCAGGAGAATTCTCTGGATTACCAGGCAGAGAGTCTTGTTTTCTTCCCTTATTTTTCCCAAACCTATAAAGTCTCTCTCTCTCTCTCTCTCTCTCTCTCTCTCTATTTTGAGCCACCTAAAGCTGGGGGTGGAGTGACACAACACCCATGTGACCACCACTGCTATGACTGTGCTCGGTCAGACCTGAAACCAGCATAGTGCTGAGTTTCACCCAATGCCTACTGTAACCCTTCTCTGACTACTGCTTATGCTCACTCAAGGCCCTGGGGCTCCACAGTTAGCAGGTGGCAAGGCCAGTCAAGCCAATATTCTTCTCTTCAGGGTAGCAAAGGCCCCCAGGCCCTGGGTGGGTCTGCAGGTGCCATCAGGGAGTCAGGGAGTAGGATGAAAAACCTTAGAAGTCTATCTGGTGTTCTATTTTATTGTGGCTGAGCTGGCAGTCAAACCACAAGATGCAGTCCTTGTCACTCTTCTCTTCCTTTTCCAAAGGCAGAGAAACCTCACCCCATAGCCGCTGCTTCTTCTGGTCATGAGGAGTACTGCCAGACTACCAGTGATGTTCCCTTAAGACCCCAAAGCTCTTAAGTCCGCTTGTGGAGAATGCTGCCTGGCCTGGGACTCACCCTTCAGGGCAGTGGGCTCCCCTCTCTCCCAGGAAAGGTCCAAAATACCTTCCCAGAGTAAATTCTTAGAACTGGGGACACCAAGAGCCCTCTTGGTGCTTCACTCCCCTGTAGTCATGCTGGTACCTAAGGTACAAGACAAAGCTCCCTTTACTTTTCCCTCTGCTTTTCTCAAGCAGAAAGAGTTTTGCCCCATAGACACCACAGCTGGTAATGTGCTGAGTCTCACCTGAAGCCAGCTAGTCTCAGAGGCTCACCCAAGGTCCTCAATTTAGTACCTGGGTATTGCTGCTGGTTATTCAGGGCCCAAGGGCTCTTCAGTTAGCAGGTGATGAATGCTGCAAGGACTTGGTCCTTTCCTTCAAGGCAGTGGGTTCTCTTCTGGCCCAGTGTGTGTCTAGAAATGTCATCCAGGACCTAGGGCTTGGAATGGGGGCTTTGTAACTCTGAGCAGTGCCCTATCCTGCTGTGACTGAGCTGGTATCTTAGATGGAAGACAGAGTCCTCACCACTCTTCCTTCTCCTCTTCTAAAGCAGAAGGAAGGAGTCTCTTTTGAAGCCATGAACTGTGAAGCCTGGGGTTAGGGGAGAGGTGATGCCAGCACTCCCTAGGCTGACCCAGCTGGTTTCTCAGTTGGTTGCATGCCCCACCCCCCACCCCCACAGTCCACTGTCTCTGGGCCTAGTTCAGCACTAGGACTTGTCTAAGAGTTGTAGTCCTTATAACCTAGACTGACTTTCAAGTTTACTTGGAGACAGCGCTGTAGCCCTGGGTGGTGAGGTTTGTGGACTCTCCAGTTCAGACTGCTGCGATGGGTGATTCTCACTCTAGCTAGTGTTGATTTAAATGCTCTCTCTGTCAGCTAAGTTTGTCCTGGTTTTCCTTGCTGCTCTAATAGGACAGCACTTATTTGAATGCCTCATAATTGCACACAACTGTATTCTCCCTCCCCCAGCGCCAAGAGATGCTCTCTGCACCACACCACTACTGACCAGGGTTGCGGAAGGGTGGAGTTGGTGATTTTCTATGTCTTCAGTGCCTCTTTCAGTGATATGAATTTAAAACTGCATATTATGAGTGCTCATCTGATTTTTGGTTCTTATGAAAGTGTTTTTCTGTGTAGATTTTAACTTGGTTCCTTGCTCTGGGAATAGTCAGTGGAGCTTTTCTATTCTGCCATCTTGTTCTGCCTCCTTTCTATTGAGTTTTTGAATAGTTGGTGCAGAATAATATGTCCATTAGATCAAGCTTGTTAATTTTGTTTTTCAAGTTTTCCATATCTTTACTTATTTTTTTTTTTGCCTGCTTGATCTATCAATTACTGAGAGAGGAATGTTAAGAACTCTCAGAAATGGTAGATATGTCAATTTCTCTTTGTAATTCGTTGATTTTTGCTCTGTAGGTTTGAAGCTGTGTTAGTAGGAGGCATAAAAGCATATAACTGTGATACTTTCCTGGAGAATTATACCTTTCATCTGTACTGACCTTCATTACCCTTAATAATGCTTTTTGCCTTAAAGACTGTTTTTTTCCTGATAGTAATATAGCTACGCTAAGTTTCTTTTGTTCAGTATTTTGCTGGTATGTCTTTTGCTGTCCCTTTACTTTCAAAATTTCTATGCTGTCATATTTTAGCTATAAATCTTGTTAACTCAGTGTATCTAGAATTGTTTTCCCCTTCTGTGTCATTTCATTTTAGTGGTGTCTCTTGTAAATTGCGTATAACTGAACTTAAAAAAATCAATCAGATATTGTCTTTTTAAAAACTGACTGAGTTAGTTTATACTTAATATGATTTCCTATACATTTGGATTTACTTTTACCATTTTATTTTGTGCTTTCTATTTTTCTACCTTTTCTATGCCCTACTTTTTTTCTGTTTTTCTGGCAGTTTTCAAATTCTTTCAGGCTTTTTTCTCCTCTCAAATCCTTGGTTTAATTCTACTCTTCAGCAAATTATACATTAAGTTACTATTCTTTTAGTCATTATCATTAAGATTTTTTTACAATATACTTATTTTATTTTATTTTATTTTTTTATTTTTATTTATTTATTTTTTAAGAACAAGGGGTCAATTTATTTTAAGTAAATTTGTCATTAAATATCAATGTGTACAATTTCAAACATTTATAAATCTTGCAGTTTATAGAAAAATTAATGTAATCTTAAAATTATTTGAACAGTGGCTTTCACAATTATTTACAATGAACTCAACCTACTTTTGTAGAAACATTTATGTTTAAAAGTACCCCTGCCACAAAGTGATCATTTCACAGTACCTTTCTATAATATTTATGTCACTTAAGTGGTGGCTGCATGAATAAAACCTAGCAGATTCAATAATTCAGAAACAGCACAATCAGAACAGTCAATAAAGCTACCATTAATTCCAAACAAAACAGAACCTTTTATAGTAAGATATAAATGTTTTCCTATTCAGCACTTGTTGAAAAAAATAATTAGGAGGCAATCTTTTCTTCACTGTTTACTGCAAAACAAAGTAATTTTAAGATATTTTTAAAAATTGACGTTAAGAAGCAGGATTAGGTAACTTCTTATAATATGTGACATTAAATATTTTGAGAAATTCTTGGTTTCATTGGAAGGCATTTGTAATGATAAACCTTCTTTCAGTTATAATAAGACACTAAGCAGAGATAATTCTGTCATCCCAGATAGCAATTTCTTATTAACAATTGATAACATTTGAACTGAAAGAGATTCTTGGCTTTATTTCTATATTTTTTTCTACTTAGGTATTTAACTTTTTTGACATCCTCTTATCCCCTCAATAGGATCCAAAATATGTCTACAATTAATTCAAAAGAAAAATAACTATTTGAATTATTGCTTGTGTTTGAAAACAATATTTACTGTAGTATTCCACAGTTTCTTATTTTTTTTAAGCTAAGACAATTAAATAAAAATGTAAGGGATAAGAAATATAGTTGAAGTCACAATAAAGTATATTTCCTTTTATTGACATAAAACATAAATTTTAAATGTTGGCTTGTTAAGAAAAAAATTCTCCTGGTAAATATTATGCATAACCGTTGCCCAAAAATGTATACAGCTGTTTTCCAACATATTTATATACACAGTGGTTCACTTAAGACCAGCCCTGTTAGAACCTTCTGAATATAATGTGCTCTTAATTTATAAATGGGCTACCCTCAGTGTATAAAATATATAGGCATGTATGTTATACATACAAAGTAAAAAATATAAAAAGGAAAGATGGAAGAAAAAAGAAAGTATCCTTTCCTATAAGATCCAGACAGAAAGTCATTATAATTAGTGGGACCATGGAAAACATCTGAAGGATTTCAGTTTTGGCAAATAACTTTTCAGAAAAATATCCAAGCTGTGAGAACACTAAATGTCTATTTTAATAATTTAGTAGAGGTTTCTATTCAAACATTCAGTGAAGATGTTGCTGTCTTCAACTATGTAGAAAAGAAGACTTTTAGGGTGTCTGTTAAAAGCAAAGAGCTGCTGATTTTTAACAGGTTAGTAATAACCTTTTAATCAAGTATATGTCATGCAGAGACTCAAATCCTGGTCCAATAGTGTTTGAGTATGTTCGATGGAAGATTCCAATGGTAAGGATCCGAATTCTTCCTACATCTTAGAGGGAATGGAGCAGGATGTTATGGCAATGGAGGGGGTCAGCCCCAAAGGTAGCTGGCCCAACCTTAACTGTGGATGTTTAAAAAAAAAAAAACACCAAATATTTCTATAGCATTCTTTTTGCTGCATTTTCTTTATTTTAAGCCACAGGTCTACTTGGAGGGTCATGCAGCAAGTGGCTTATAAATAAAATCAAAGTCTATGAATAGTGTCATTGCATTAAGAGACAGAATTGCTGGGTTCTTTCATTATGTAAAAAGCTCACATCTTGGGAATCCATGATTTGGTAGGTTTTATGGAATACCTGAGATGTACCTTGCTCCGATTAACATTACCATGCTACTCACTATAAAAAAGCCCAAGGGCAGACTACAGAAGATACTAGGGTCACCACTTTCTGGAGATTGAGTTGTAACCCAACCCATTGACTTCATCACAGCTTTCTTCCATGTAGAATAACGAATTTCACTTTCCTCAGCATTAATCTGAGGTTCAAACCGCTCCATCGTGACGGCAGACAAATCCTCGGGTTCGAGACTCCATACGCCGACTCCTTCTGCAGCCCCTGCCTCCATAGCAGCACCCAGTGCAGTGGTTTCGGGCATTGAGGGCTTCACTACTGGTATATACAGAATGTCTGCTTGTAGCTGCATAAGAATTTTGTTGCTGGTCATTCCTCCATCTACCTGCAAATGACTGAGTGGAATTCCACAGTCTCGATTCATGGCATCCAAAATCTCTCGAGTTTGGAAACAAACAGCTTCTAATGCAGCAAAAGCAATATGGCATTTATTGGTGAACTGAGTGAGTCCACAGATTATCCCTCTTGTGCTGGGCTCCCAATAAGGTGCATATAACCCCGAAAATGCTGGGACGAAGTAGCAGCCATAAGAAGTACCTACTTCTTTAGCAAGTTTTTCAATTTCTTCTGAGGTCTTTATAATTCCAAGATTGTCTCTTAGCCAGCGAATAACAGCACCAGCTATAGCTACAGAACCTTCCAAAGCATAATATACTGGTTTGTCTCTGCCAAGTTTGTAAGCCACTGTGGTGAGAAGGCCATGATCAGAAAATACACACTTATGGCCTGTATTACACAGTAAGAAACATCCTGTTCCATACGTATTTTTGGCTTGTCCAATCTGGAAGCACATTTGTCCCACCAATGCAGCAGACTGGTCCCCTAAACACCCAGATATTGGCACACCTTCCAAGGCCCCAGCTTTCATTAGGCCATAGATCTCAGAAGAACTCCGGACATTTGGAAGAATTTCCATTGGAATTCCAAAAAATTCGCAGAGTTGTTTATCCCATTCCAAAGAATGAATGTTGAAAAGCATAGTCCTACTTGCATTTGTTACATCTGTACAGTGGACACCTCCATTGACTCCTCCTGTCAAATTCCAAATAAGCCATGAATCAATAGTCCCAAAAAGAGCTCATTTTTCTTCAACGGCCTTTTGAACTTTTCTCACATTGTCAAGGAGCCAACGAAGTTTCACTGCACTGAAGTAAGTGCTAAGTGGAAGGCCTGTCTTGGACTTGACAAAGTTATTATTTCCTGGAATTCTTTTACTAAGACTCTCAACGGTAGACTGGGTTCTTAGATCAAGCCACACCACAGCATTGTAGAGAGGCTCTCCAGTTATCTTGTCCCAGACTACAGTGGTTTCCCTCTGGTTGCTGACACCAATAGCTTTTATGTTGGAAATATCAATATTGAGCTGTCCAAGTTTCTCACATGTTTTCTCTATACACTCATAGACAGAATGTAGAATTTCCTTAGGGTCCTGTTCCACCCATCCTTCTCTTGGGGACTCTTGTTTTATTTCTACTTGATGATGACTAAGTAGTTCAGCTGTTTTTGAATTGAAAACCAAAAAGCTCGTCGAACTGGTGCCCTGGTCCACCGCCCCCACCAATGGCCCCAAAACTGCCTTCTTTGAGGCTGCCACGAAACCAGCTTCAGGTCGGCCGGCGATTGCGGCCGGTTTCCTGGGTGACGGCGGCGGGAGGGGGAGGGGCAGGTGACGAGTCCAGAGATCGAGGCCGCGCGCGTCCGCTGAACCTACTTATTTTATTTTTAAAACCAGAAAGTTTGCACAGAGGGCAAGGGAAATAGCCAAATGTGAACAGTTGCTCTCTTAGCTATTTTTAAGTGTTTCCTGTTGTTTCTGATGGTATTCTCTCAGTGTTTCAGCAGCCTCTTCAACTCAGATCTGGTCTTAAATGTGGTCCATTTCTGCCCCCTCAACTTTGGTTACTGGGATATACTTTACCTACTGTCAGTCTGATTGTTTTTAGGTGTTCAGTTCGATAACTGAAAAATGAATACAATTGGCAACCATGACCATCACAGAGGCATAAACATTTCTATCACTGGTAGAGCCCAGTTGTGCTCTTGTAGTCAATCCCCTTCTCCCTCCCGCCAGTCTCTGGCAACCTCTAATCTGATTTTTTATCTCTATAGTTTTATATTTTCCACAATGTTATAAAAGTGGAATTACATAGGAAATATTCCTTTGTTTTTTTCTGGTTTCTTTCACTTAGCTTAATATTTTTTAGGTTCATCTGCATTGTATCATACATCAGTCACTTAATTCCTTCTTAAGGCTGAATAATATTAATATTTCATTGTATGGCTTACAATACCATATATTTATCCATTCATCAATTGATAGACATTTGGGCTTTTTCTACTTTTGTCTATTATGAACAATGATACTATGAACATTCATGTACACATTTTTATGCAAACTTATGAAGTCTTCAAATCTCTTAGGTAAAATACCTAGGAGTGGGATTGTGGGTTAAGTGCTATCTTTATGTTGTTTATAAAAACTGCCAAATTGTTTTCCAAGGTCATTTTGCCATTTGAATCCCTGCCAGGGCAATGTATGACAGTTAAGTTGCTCTGAGTCTTTGTCAGCCTTTTGTATTGTCTTAAAAAAATGAATGTAGTCTGTTTCCAAATGCACCTTCCATCAAAACAAAACTGGACAAAAATTTATTCTGTCCCACAATTTCCACTTCAGGGAATTTATCTTATTCCTTTTTTTTTCAGCTATAGTTCCTTTATTAAAAGAACGAGATGAAAAAATAGACTTTGAGAAATTTTTTTACCTCAATTTTACAAATACTGTATCACAAATGTTTTGCAATACAAATTTAAATATAGCAGCTTTCCACTTTCTTAAAAGATTCTTGGCCGGGCGCGGTGGCTCACGCCTGTAATCCCAGCACTTTGGGAGGCCGAGGCGGGTGGATCATGAGGTCAGGAGATCGAGACCATCCTGGCTAACAAGGTGAAACCCCGTCTCTACTAAAAATACAAAAAATTAGCCGGGCGCGGTGGCGGGCGCCTGTAGTCCCAGCTACTCGGGAGGCTGAGGCAGGAGAATGGCGTGAACCCGGGAAGCGGAGCTTGCAGTGAGCCGAGATTGCGCCACTGCAGTCCGCAGTCCGGCCTGGGCGACAGAGCGAGACTCCGTCTCAAAAAAAAAAAAAAAAAAAGATTCTTCACCTCCTAAATAGAAATAGAAGGGAAGCAATGCTATTAAGTATCATATAAACTAGTAGTGGCAGCAGAATAATCTATCAACATTCTCATAACACTAGTCTAGTGACATTATTATTATTGTGAGAATTTAATAAGAATAGAAGGAAGGGGCCTAGAAGATAGTAGAAACTGATTAAAATATCACTAATTGGTCAGGCGTGGTGGCTCACACCTGTAATCCCAGGACTTTGAGATGCCGAGACAGGTGGATCACCTGAGGTCAGGAGTTCGAGAACCAGCCTGGCCAACATGGCAAAACTGCGTCTCTACTAAAAATACAAAAATTAGCTGGGTGTGGTGGCAGGCACCTGTAATCCCAGCTACTCGGGAGGCAGAGGCAGGAGAATCGCTTGAACCCAGGAGGCAGAGGTTGCAGTGAGCTTGTTATTTGTATTTTCCCCTACATTTATGAATGTGGTTTCTCTATTGTTTAAATTGAGGGTGAATTCCTGTTACATTCAGAAACAAAGCCCATAAAAGTATATACCGTAATCAAGATGTTCTTCAGTGTCTGGGCATTGAAGAGTTAAGTATCCACTGTAGTCTTCACTATCTGGGCTTATCTGACCTATGTTACTCATCTGACCTATGTCCCAGGCATCCCGCTCAAAAGTGGAATAGGCAAATCCTTGGGCCAATCATTAGATAAGACATTTGAAAGCTCCAGAGTCATCAGTCCATTGTGTGAAGCCACAGCCATGAGAAATTTTGAGTGCACACTCATTGGACCCTTTTCAAATGAAAAAGTGTATCTGGAAACGGTGAAGCTGGTGGAGTTACTAGGTGGGTAAAGTTAATAAAACCGTTAGGATGTGTTGGGGAAGCTTCCCACAGGAAGTGATGTTTAAACTGAGACCCGAGGGGAAAAGAGGCATTATCCAGGGAAAGAGTAGAAGGAGGAGATAATCTGAGATTCTAGCCAGATATAAAAGACGGGAAATGCTATATAACCTGATTCATCCCTGGAGAAATCCATTATGGAAATCCACTATTCAGCGGTTGGGCATGTCCAGAAAACTGTGTGAAACTTAATGAAACAATTATAGAAAGTGGCTGAACCCATTCTCCTCTCTTTGCTCTGACCCCAGCCCTCACAGCAGAGTGTTACCACTATTGCTACATACTGTATGGGATTTAGGGATACTGTCAGGAGAGTGTGTGAAATGGTGGGTTTTAGAATCAAGTTTGGAAAGTAAAGATGTTTGTGAGAGTAGTAAGAAGAAATATTTATATTTGTGGAACCATAGAAAGGAAAACTAAGTAAAGGGATTTGATCATTATTTTGATTTACACACTCTTGCACCACTCGCAAGGCAAAATGACTTTTAGCAGAAGATTGTTTCATTTTCCCAAATTATTATTGATTTTCATTGGAAAAATCAGAAATTAGAGATCAGTACCATCTAGTGACCAGTTCCAAAATGGCTACTTGTACATCATTAAGCAGGAAGCCTGGGAAGGAGAGGCCCCATCAGAAGGAACTTTCTAGAATTTTACATGGCAAATAAAGTGGCCCAGACAGAGCCTACTGTAATTAAATTATATTAAATCATGTGCCAGGAAGTTTTCTTCAGCCTCCTCCATGATAAAAAGAAAGCTCTCTGTGTATGTGTGTTTGTTTGTGTGTGTGTGAGACAGATGATTTTTTTATATATATATGTATATATATACACACACACACACACATAAATGCCTGCATACAGATGTATATTGCAAAATGTTTTGTAACTTCTTTTTAAAAATTATGTGCGCATATGTATGTATATTTGATATATATTTTTTCATGTACAGAACTACATTTTGACAGAATTATTATTGTGGTCACATTTCTAATGAGAAATATATAATATTATAAAATTTTATCTCGTTTTAATTTTTCTGACTTCAAAATTAATGTATTTGTTCCAAAAATAAATGCAGTGGAGAAATAAGTATTCATTGGAGAAAAGTTTTAAATCTCTTGTCCTGTTATGTAACAAGATGTCCATCCTTGGTAATGTAGTTTCTATTCTCTAGATATATTTCCATGTTCCTAGTACTATATAGGTAGGTTCAGATGACATTATATATTGTTTTAGAAAATTTTAATCACTATATGTATAGTATGGTTAATAAATTCTGTTGTTTAATATGTATTTTTGCTTACATACATTATAATTTTGTTCTTCCTTAGTCTTTATATGTTTGTAATGCAGAATTATTATTTGAATTATTTCACTGCAGACTTGGAATAAAACTATTTTAGGTATTCAGACTTATTTATATATTAAGAATATTAAATATCTGCCTGTAAAATATGCTGGAATTGTTTCCCATAATTCATATTTCTTTAAAATTATTTTTCTGTTTTTGGATAGGCAAAGTCTTTTTTTAACTTTCCCTTCCTTTTTATAATTAAATTAGTAATATAATTCACTGTAAAGAATTTGGAACCAGTTAATGTGTATTTATGACTTTATGATCATTGTTAAAAAGAAAGTTTGTGACCCTACTGATACTCTATGGGATTTGGGGATATTGTCTGGAGAGTGTGTGAAATGGTGGATTTTAGAATCGAGTTTGGAAAGCAAAAATGTTTGTGAGAGTAGTAAGAAGAAGAAAGAAGTTAATGTGAGAAAAAGCATTTCGTAGTAAGAATGAAATGTTAAAAACTTCTGAAGGGCCAGGTGCAGTGACTCATGCCTGTAATCCCAACACTTTGGGAGGCTGAGGCGGGAAGATTGCTTGAGTCCAGCAGTTTGAGACTAGCTTGGGCAAAATAATGAAACTCTGTCTCCACACACACACAAAAATACAAAAATTAGTCTGGTATGGTGGCATGTGCCTGCCTAGTCACAGCTACTTGGGATGCTGAGGTGGGAAGATTGCTTGAGCGAGGGAGGTTGAGGCTGCAATGAGCTGTGATTGCACCACTGCACTCCAGTCTGGGTGACAAAGCAAGACCCTGTCCCCCCTCCAAAACAATCCCAAACAAAACAAAACAAAAACAAAACCTAGAGGAACAGAATTTATCATTGAAAGCTTTTTATTCTATGTGTTTTTATTTCTTTGTCATTTCACCTTTTAGTTGAATGTCAAAGAAGCAATTTTCCATTAAGTCTGAGAAAGAGATGACATTCATAAGTCCACTGGAGAAACGGTATCTGATACCTAGGCCTCAGATACCAGGTCTATCATGGGTCATAGGACTTTTAGTGAGTCACTTCCCCTGTGCTGGCTTCTGCTGTAACACACAATAATCCTTTACATAGAAATAGGTCTTTGCTCAAGTGTCATTTCCATCAGTGAGAACTTCAATGATTATACTACTTTTAAAAGTTCACATCCCTTCTGCACTCCCCATCTCCTTTCCCTGCATTAATTGTTCCACAATAAAAATGACAGCATAAACTTTGGTAGTTCCCTCTCTTAGCCATGCACTGTTTTCAGTGCTTCATATGTACTAACACATTTATTTCTCACATCAAGTTTAATAGGGAGATACTATTATTATTGTCCCTAAGGTCACACAGTTTTTAAGTGGGCAGAGCTGTGACTGAAATCCACCATCATGGCTCCTAACTCCCTTCTCTTAACTGTCAATCATGTTGTGCTTGTCCAAATTAGCTAGGCCATATCACATACTCCATATTTTACTTATTTGTTTATTATCTTTTACCAACCCCACTAAAACATTAACTTTGAAAGGGTGAGAACTTTGTTCATTTTATTCATGGTTATATCCTGAGGCAGAGGCATAAAATGTCCTGTAGCCACCAAGTACAAAATCTGATATTAATATCACCACTACAGCTTTCTTATGCTTACTGTTTGTGTGGTAGATCTTTTTCTTTCCCTTTATTTTCAGCCTATTTTGCTGTTATAGTTAAACTGCATTTCCTTTAGACAACATATATTTAGATCTTGTTTTTGTATATATTCTCATAATCTTTGCCTTTTACTTGGGGGTGTTTAGTCTATTAGCATTTAAAGTACTATCAATAAAATTTGATTTAATTACAATATTTTGCTATTTTAGTGCATCTCCTTTAAAAAATTCCTCTATCCTTTGTTTGCTTTCTTTTTTGCCTCTTCCAACTTTTGGGTTCAGAGGGTACATATATATGCCAGTTTGTTACATGGATAAATTACATGTCGCTGGGGTTTGTTGTACAAATTATTTCATCAACCAGATAGTGTATTAGTCAGGGTTCTCTAGAGGGACAAAATTAATACGATATATGTATATGTGAAAAGGATTTTATTAAGGAGAATTGACTCACATGATCACAAGGTGATGTCCCACGATAGGCCATCTGCAAGTTGAGGAGCAAGGAAGACAGTAGTGGCTCAGTCCAAGTCCCAAAACCTCAAAAGTAGTGAAGCCAACAGTGCAGCCTTCAGTCTGTGGCTGAAGGTCCAAGAGCCCCTGGCAAACCACTGGTGTAAGTCCAAGAGTCCAAAAGCTGAAGAACTTGGAGTTGATGTTCGGGAGCAGGAAGCATCCAGCATGGGAGAAAGATGAAGGCTGAAAGGCTCAGCAAGTCAGCTTCTTCCACCTTCTTCTGTCTGCTTTTTCTAGCCACATTGGAAGCTGATTGGATGGTGCCCACCCAGATTGTGGGTGGGTTTTCCTGAGGGTGGGTCTTCCTCTCCCAGTCCACTGACTCCAATGTTAATCTCTTCTGGCAACACCCAGAAATACCCAGATACACCCAGAAACAATATTTTGTATCCTTTGATCCAATCAAGTTAACACTTAATATTAACCATCACAAGCCCACCCCTTGTCAACTTGAACACATACTCATTTCCTGAAATCATACTTAATCTCCAAGTAAAGATAATCATAAGGTCATAATTAAGCCTAACATAATACAGCTATCCTTCATTCAATTGGAAGTGCACTAATCCTTAACCGTACTACCTGACAGGTAGATTTTTCAATCCTAAACCGTCTTCCTTGTTCTCCCCTCAAGTAGGCCCCAGTGTCCATTGTTCCTGTCTTTGTGTACTCAATGTTTAGTTCCCACGTATGAGTGAGAACATGCAGTATTTGGTTTTCTGATTTTGCATTATTTTGCTTAGGATTATTGCCTCCAGCTGCATCCATGTTGCTGCAAAGGACATGATTTCATTTTTTTTCTATGGTGGCATAGTACATTTTTTTATTCAATCCACCTAGATGAGCACCTATGGTTGATTCCATGTCTTTGCTATCATGAATAGTGTTGCGATGAACATACGGGTTGGCACCCATTTAAAAGCGGGAAGTTGAGTGAGGGGCTGACTCGTTTTTAATGGCATCCCAGCAAGCCCAGGACTTCTGAGCTTATGACTTTTCTTTTTCCACAAGAAGAGTTATCCTCAGCACACCCTAGGATACTCATCTTTCTTTCCATATAAGCCCTCTACTCCTTCGCAATCACCCCCTCTGATTTCCAACTGGGACCGAATAAGGATTACATTTCTGGGGAATTTTTGCTCAAAGTCAACAACCCATTATCTGTGAGTGTATAACCCCCTGACTTTTAAACCCACTGTGCAGATCTCCCTTAATCAGTTTATGTATCCAAAAAATAGGAATAATAGTTCATGCTCGGCATACATTTTAGGATTATTTTGTTAAAACACCTGTGAAATTGCATTTTAAACTGTAAGGCATCATTTAATGTAAGTTGCCATAGGGTAGTGGATGTATTTCAAGATTGTAGGTATATGGGGTGACTAAAAAGTGTGAACTAAGGAATCTTGCTGCCTCTTGGCACAAAAAGGTGACAGGAAAGCAAAGCAATGTGTATATCTAATTTGAGCCCATATTTCTAAATAAAGGAAAGATTGATTTCACCATTAGCATCTCTGAAGCTGTCTGACTCTGAGAATGGTAAAGAGCCTCCCATATCACCATTCTTTGAACTAAACTCTAAGTCCCTTGAAAGCAGGGGTTATTGTATGTTAGGCTTTTCTTGGCCATCTTTTACTTTCTTAACAAGCATCTCAGTTGCTTGGCCTGGTGTGCCCCCTGCATTTGAGAAGTGTAATAATCTATCTATTCAGTGGCAATTATCTCCGCATCTGTTGGCTTTACTATATCTGAATAATGAAAATAAAAACCTACATTTTATTTTACTTTTTATTTTACAATTTCAACTTTTATTTTAGGTTCAGGGGGTACATGTGCAGGTTTCTTACATGGATATATTATGTGATGCTGAGGTTTGAGGTACAATTGATCCCATCACCCAGAAAGTGAGCATAGTATGTAAGTTTTTCATCCCTCCCCTCCCAACTACCCTTCCCCCAGTAGCCCCTGATATCTGTTGTTGCAATCATAATGTTCATGTGTACTCAGTGTTTAACTACCACTTATAAGGGAGAACGTGAGGTATTTGGTTTTCTGTCTCTGTGCTAGTTTGCTAAGGATAATGGCCTCCAGCTCCATCCACACCCCTGCAAAAGACATAATCTCATTCTTTTTATGGTATGTATGTATCACATTTTCTTTATTCAATCCATCATTGGTGGGCATCTAGGTTGACTCCATGTCTTTGCTATTGTGAATAGTGCTTCAGAGAACATACACGTGCATGTGTCTTTATGGGAGAACGATTTACATTCCTTTGGGTATGTACCCAGTAATGGGATTGCTGGTTATAATAGTAGTTCTGTTTTAGTTCTTTAAGAAATTGCCAAACTGCTTTTCACAGTGGCTGAACTAATTTACATTCCCACTAGCAGTGTATAATTGTTAACTTTTCTCCACAACCTTGTCAGCATCTGTTATTTTTTGACTTTTTAATAATAGCCATTATGACTGGTGTGAGATGCTATCTCTTTGTAGTTTTGATTTGCATTTCTCTAATGATTGGTGATGTTGAGCATTCTTTCATATGCCTGTTGGCTGCATGTATGTCTTTTTTTGAAAACTATTCATGTCCTTTGCCCATTTTTTAATCAGGCTGTTTGTTTTTGCTTGTTGATTTGTTTAAGTTTCTTATAGATTCTGGATATTAGACCTTTGTCAGATGCATAGTTTACAAATATTTTCTCCCTTTCTGTATGTTGTCTGTTTATTCTGTTGATAGTTTCTTTTGCTGTGCAGAAGCTCTTTAGTTTAATTAGGTCCCACTTGTGAATTTTTGTTTTTGCTGCAATTGCTTTTGGAGTTTTCATCATAAAATCTTTGTCAGCCTGTGTCCATAATGGTATTTCCTAGATTTTCTCCTAGAGTTTTTATAGTTTTAGTTTTTACATTTATGTCTTTAATCAATCTGGGGTTGATTTTTGTATACAGTGAAAGGAAGGGATCCAATCACAATCTTATGCATATGTGTTTGTCTTGTTTTAGGTGAAATAAATATGTTTTAGAACTTCATTCTGCTTTCTCTATTTACTTTATAGCTATACCTTATTGTATTTTAAAGTGATTGCTTTAGGGATTACAATATAAACCACTAATCTTTCTGTGTTCTCAGAGTTCATATTGTACCACTTCACATAAAATAAAAGAACATTAGTGTTATGCATTTCCTCTTACCACTGCTCTTTTATACTATAGCTGCCATATGTATTATACCCGCATACATTAAATCTCATAATACACTATAATTTTTGCTTTAAAGCAACTTATATTTAAAAGAAATTAAAAGGAAAATAAAAGATAGTGGTTTATATTTACCCACATATTGGCCATTTTTTATGCTTTTCATTTCTCTATTTAGATTTCATTTTACGTCTGGTATCATTTCTCTTCAGCCTAAAAAAACTTCCTTTAGCATATCTTGTATTGCAGATATACTAACATTGTACTTACTTTTTGTTTATGTATCGCTGTCTTTGTTTATGTAACACTGTCTTTGTGAATGATACCTTGTAGATTCCAAATTTAGTTCCTCTACAGCAGGGGTCTCCAACCCCCAGGTCATGGACCAGTACTGGTCCCTGGCCTGTTAGGAACCAGGCCTCACAGCAGGAGGTGAGCCGTGGGCCAGCAAGCATTACCACCTGAGCTCCGCCTCCTGTCAGGTCGGTGGTGACATTAGATTCTCATAGGAGTGTGAACCCTATTGTGAACTGCACATGCGAGGGATCTAGGTTGCATGCTCCTTATGAGAATCTAATGCCTGATGATCTGAGGTAGAACAGTTTCATCCTGAAACCTACCCCCACACCCCATCGGTGGAAAAATTGTCTTCCTGAAAACCGGTCTTGGTCCCCTGGTGCCAAAAAGGTTGGGGACCACTGCTGTGCAGAGAATTAACTTGTTTGTTGGTTGAAGCAACAAATTAATTCAGTCTCTGTCTCTTCTGCAGTTAGCATCAGATGAAATATTTTAGCTAAGGCTAAAAGAACTGAAGCTCTCTGTTCTCCCCACCATGTATAGTTCAGGGGTCAGCCAGATGTTTGAGCCAAAGTTATATACAGAATTTGTGGCACTCTGTTTGCGACTTTCACCTTTCAGTGTATTATTTACTTATTTTTCAGCTGCTGTGGTTGCCCCAAAATGTGGCCATTGATTCCTAAACTAGTAAGACTACAGATTTATCTGAGTTTTAGCCACTCCACGTGTAACCAGACAAAAAGCCATGATAGCCACTCCACATGTAATTGGGCAAAAAGCCATAAAAGCAGGCATCCAGAAACATTTCCTCTTCCAAATTCTACTTCTCTCCGATCTCTGCTTGCTTTCTGTCTTACTCAAGTGCTTTAAAATAATGAACAATAAATGTTAATTTTTCTGTGACACAGTTTCAAAATATAAGCACTACTAAATCTTAGCGTGAAGCAACAAGAATGCAGAAATGTCATTATTAAGGTACCGAAATGCATACATCATACAGTACTCTAAGAAAATAAAACCATCATATGAAAATATGTACTATGATAATCTCATAAATATTCTAAGGAGACAAATAGGTACTAAAGGGAAAGTTTTTTAAAAGATGTTTTATTGACACATAATGATTATATACATTTATGGGGTACATGTGATATTTTGGTACATACGTATAATTTGTAATGATCTAATTGGGGTATTTAAAATATCCATTGCCTTGAAAATTTATAATTTATTTGTGTTGGGAATATTTCAAATATTCTCTTCTAGCTATTTTGAAATATACAATAAATTGTTAACTATAGTCAGCCTACTGTGCTATCAAAACAGTATGGAGGTTTCTCAAAAAGCAAAACATAGAACTACCAGATGATCCAGCAATCACACTACTGGGCATTTATCCAAAGGAAAGGAAATCGGTCTATCAAAAGGATACTTACAGTCCTATATTTATCTCCATGCCATTCACAATAGCCAAGATAAGGAATCAACTTAAGTGCCCATCAACAGATGAATGGAAAAAGAAAATGTGGTATATATACACAATGGAATACCATTCAGCTGTACAAAATAACAAAATCCTGTCATTTTCAGCAACATAGATGGAACTGGAAGTCATTATATTAAGTGAAATAAGCCAGGCACAGAAAGACGAATACCACATGTTCTCACTTATTTGTGGGAGTTATAAACTTTGATCTCATGGAGGTAGACAGTAGAATGGTAGTTAGTCAAGGCTGGGGAGGGCTGGGGGAATGAAGAGAGATGGTTAATGGGTACAAACATACAGTTAGATAGAAGGAATACGTTCCTAGTGTCCTCAAGTGCTTTTAGATAGTTATTTGCGTTGTTTCCCAGGGTTTATAATTGCTAGCTATGGGAAGTTTGGTTCAATATGACTTATTTTGCCATTGCTGAAAGTAAAACATGTACTCTGCCTTTAATTATGAAAAGAATGAGCCATTGACTTTCTTGCCTGAAGAGGTTGAATGCAATTTAATTGTGAAAGTGAGGGCTGTCTAGTTCAGTCAACATAGAGAATACAAACAGGGATGAATTCTTTAGTTACTATAGGCAAAAAAGGTTTCATATGTAGATCTATATATTTGGAAAAGTGAAACATTAATTTAAATAAATAACATTCTTACCAGAATGCCTTGATTCGAAATATGTGAGCTCTTATAACAAATTATTGGAATTGACTTTCCTCCATAGCATACAGTGTCTTAAACCATAGCATGTTCCCTTCAGCTACACTCTCAGCTGAAATAACTTTGTATGTGTGAGGTATGAACATATAATAAATATATAGCGATATATTTTCAAAGGAAAATGTAACCTTATCATAACATCTCTTCACAACATGCCTTTTTCATATAACAGCATATTTTCCAAGTAATGGAACACATTTCTAACATGTGATTTTTTTGGTTTACTTCACAAACAGGCTTATCCTGTGTTTTCAAAAATATTATTTGGTTTACTTTCCCTGATTGTAAAATTAACATAAATTTTTTGCCAAAAACAAGTAACTGTTTTGTATTTTTCTTTTCCTCTATCTATACTATGGTATTAATTCAGTTATATAAATTATAAATGAACATATACTTTTTTTGTGTGTGTGTATATATATATATATATATGCGTGTGTGTGTGTGTGTGTGTGTGTGTATAAGGAAATAAAATGTTTCTAAATTTTAACTTCGTTTATCAGTAGGTGTCATCAACCCTAAACAACAGCTAATCTCCTTTCTGTCTTTATGGCTATGCTTATTCTGGACATGTCATATAAATGGAATCATACAATATGTGACTTTTTGCATCTGACTTATTTCAGTTAGCATAATGTTTTTAAGGTTCAACCATGTTGTAGCATCCGCCAGTACTTTTTTATGGCTGAATAATATTCCATTGTATAGATGTACCACATTTCACTTGTACATTTACCAATTGGTGGGCATTGGACTGTTTCCATCTTTTGGCTACTATTAATAATGTTGCTGTAAACATTCATGTACAAGTTTTTGCTTGAACACCCATTTTCAATTCTCTTATGTATATACCTAAGAGTGGAATTGGAGGCCATGTGTTCATTTTTAAACAAAGCTGCTATTACCTGTGCAAAATTGATCAAAACAAATAGGCAAATAAATAAACAAACCTGTTTTTATGGTATTACCAAATGGCTGCATATGAGCAAGGACCATCAGAGAATATGGACAAATAAAATACTCGAACCTTTCAGAGAGGGTATTTACCAGTTAATGGTTTTCTATGGTCACAAATAAATATTACAAATGCAGAAGGCAGCAGGAGTTGCTTCTGTTGCCAGAAATCCAAATCCATTAAATTCATTCTCTAGGCTTTTAGGCACTTAGAGTTATGTTGACTATTAGTGATACAACTCTTATAAAGGCATAAAGCATACCATTCTGAAAGTAGGCAAAGACTATTCAGACAAATATCTACGTCTAATGTGAAACGGTTCAATTGAAATGCTGTCCCCACATCACTTATTGGGTCAGAAGAAAATATCATGGCCAGAGATAACTTGGCATAGAACTGAATTTATCCAGGATGTATTATCTTTGAATACTCCATTGCGACCTGCCAGCTGGAGGTCACATAAGAAAATATGACAGCACTAAATATGGCAAATGAAAGTTCATTACATCCTATCAAATGTTTTTCTAATGTGGTATTTAAAAGTTTCTTCAAATTTACATTTCCTTTATTTGTCCAAAAATGGGAAAATGTACGCATTTATCATATTCACCTCAGAAAGGCTATGTGGCACATCAGTGATGTGACATGGAAAACTTTTAACTCCAGGAAAGCCAAATTCATAGGCCTATGGGGCCAAGTTGATAATGTAGATAATATAAGCAGGAGTAAATAAAAATAACAAGAACTTTTGCTACCACAAGTTAATACTGTCCACTGTTACTGAAATGAACAGTATTCTTAGTTTCTTTGTTTCACCCACGTTTCACAACTTTTATTTTTTAGCCGGGCACGATGGCATGTGCCTATAGTCCCATCTTACTTCAGGAGGCTGAAGTGGGAGAATTCCTTGAGCTCAGGAGTTTGAGACTACCCTGGGCAGCATAGCGAGACCCTGTCTCTAAAACAATAAATACATAAAATTTTATTTTTAATAGTGAAGTAATAATTGCATTATTTATGAGGTACAGTGTGATGTTTTGATATATATATATGTATGTGTATATATATGTGTATGTATATGTATACATACACACACAGATTGTGGAATGATTAAATCAAGTGAGTTAACATATCCATCACTTCACCTATTTATCATTTGTAGTTAGAATGTTTAAAATCTCTTTTAACGAGAAATATTTCACTTTTCTCTTTACTGTAAGAAAAGTAACAGCAATAATAGTACAATAAAAAACTAACATTCCGTGTATGTGTGGGGATAGGAAGTGACAGGAACCACAGTGACTGGGGATAAGGAAACTGCTTCTCAGCTCCAGCCAGTTATTTCCTTAAGGGCATGAAGGAATGTAGGCCCTGTGTGGCAAAACCTTCTCATTTTTCAAGATAAGCCAAGAAGCTTTATTTATATGTGAAATCTTCCAATTTTTAGATGTCGGCAACTGTTTAAAAATGAAATGTTATGTGGACAAAATTGTGTTCCCCAAATCATCAATTTTTACCCTCTGTTGTAAATTAATATTTTTTTGCAGTTGCAAGATTTAATAGAGTGAAAGTAAGTTAATATTAACTGAAGGAATATGACATCTAAAACCAGATAAGCTAAAATCAAAAGATTAAAGACAGACATGATTAATATTTTACAATTATCTTTATATAAACAAAAAGTCCAATTAAAGAATTAAAAAAAGAAAGGGAATGAAATTAGGAGCAGACTTACAAAGAAGCTTACATTACGTGCTTTGTCCAGACATAAGGAGTTGAGAAGAGTTTTTTTTATTGCCGGGGTTATTATGGAGGTTAATGAAAATGTTTACCCAAAAGTTGGAACTATCAAGAATGAATATAATATTCATAAGAAAAACGAGGACACTATGATCAGTTCCCAAGAGCTTTTCTAAAATAAGAACAGCTTTCATTTTTGGCCTGCCATTCCAATATCACTGCCTTGTTTTTACAGGGATTTTCGGTTTATATGGACTCTTTTTTGGATGGCCACACTCCCCCTTTTAGCAGAGTAATTATCTGTATTTCATAGATCAGGAAATCAAGGGCATAAAACATGTTGCTGAGAAAAGACTAGGAATAAATAATCTTTTATTCGTGCAAATCTCAGTTGTAAGTTCACATAGTGGAGGCAGAAATGTCAACCGGATGTCTAGAATACAGAAAGAACTAGTCTTTGCTGAGCCTTGAATACTATTTTTAAAATCTTATTAATGTGAAAGACTGAGGACTCCTTGTAACCTCATTTAAAAAGTTTTATCTGCTAATACATAGACAGTGTTTACAGACAGAAACATATTTGTCATTTGACTCTAAAAAATTCACCTGTGCAAAAATCTCATTGTCAAAAGTAGGCAGAGAGCATAAAGAAAACACACTTTTCCACTGAATATTTTTTTCTTGAAATTAAACATTTTTATTTGAATGCAATCATCAACATGACTGAATGACAATATATTTGCTTATGAGTAATATAAAGTGAAACCATACAAATTGAGAACAAAATTAAGTTGTCTTGATAGCTATTCAAAAAGTGTTCGACCAAAACAAACCCCTGGTCCAGTATAAATACTCTCTATTAAATTCTCAAAATAAATATGGCTGAATACAAAGAAATCCTTATGCTGTTGAGATGACCCATTTTTATGCTCTGGGAAAAGAAATGATTTAGCAGAAGACATGAGAATTGTGTGTTATTTTAAAGTGAAGATGTGAATGTCTGTATGGAAAGGCAAGATGAACTTAAACATTGAACAGTAAACTGAGAATTCTGATTTGGTTCCCTTTTAGCACAGTGCTACTGAAGCACTGCCAAGTTCACCATGCACTCAGATGTGCAAATGTTTCTCTGTATAACTGGTCTGATCATCCTCATGGCTCCGTCTACACCTGCACTTTCTGTCTGTCCTTTTGAGAATACTCACAATCTCTCAGGTTGGCCTTGCCTTATGCCCAGCCATTTTCCATCATTAGGTCTTGGGCACATGGGTGGTTGTGGGATGGAGAGGCAAGGGGCAGTGGTAGCTTGCTTGTCCCTATGGCACTAAGTTGTTCCCTGCACTGGTGACTGTTAAGATGTGATGAAACTTCGCCATGACCTTTTGGCTTTGTTCCCGGCCCTTTCATTAGCACTGTGTTTTTATAGTCAATAAATTAGTCTTTATTATCATATATGCATGTATATTATCATACATACAAATAAATGGAAAATAATAAGGAAAGAAATAAATTATTGCGAAGTAGCAAAAACATGCCTAAAAGGATTTTTAAAAGGAGACTATCAGATGAACTGTAGACAATGTCTGGTGATACTGCCATAGTCTCTGCCCAAAAGCTCCTTGATCTGATATACAACTTCAGCAAAGTTTCAGGATACAAAATCAATGCAAAAATCAGTAAGATTTCAATGTACTAATAACATCCAAGCTGAGAGCCAAATCGAGGACACAATCCCATTCAGAATAGCCAAAAAAAAAAAAAAAAAAAAAAAAAAAACCTAGGGATACAGCTAACCAGAGAGGTGAAAGATCTCTACAATGAGAGATTATAAAACACTGCTCCATCGTGCCATTGCACTCCAGCCTGGGCAACAAGAGCGAAACTCCGTCTTAAAAAAAAAAAAAAAAAAAGAATTCAGAGATGACACAAACAAATGGAAAAACATTCCATGCTCATGGATAGGAAGATTCAATATTGTTAAAATGTCCATGCTGCCCAAAGCAATTTACAGATTCAATGCTATTCCTTTCAAGCTACCAGTGACACCCATCACGGAATTAGAAAAAACTGTTTTAAAATTCATATGGAACCATAAAAGAAGCCAAATAGCCAAGCAATCATAAGCAAAAAGAACAAAGCTGGAGACATCACATTACCTGACTTCAAACTATACTACGAGGCTACAGTAACCAAAACAGCATGGTGTGCATACAAAAATAGGCACATAGAAAAAGAGAACAGAATCTAGAGCCCAGAAATAATGCCACACACTTACAACCATCTGATATTCAACAAAATCGACAAAAACAAGCAATGGGGAAACAACTTCCTATTGAATAAATGGTGCTGAGATAACTGGCTAGCCATACACAGAAGACTGAAACTGGACCCCCTTCTTACACCATATAGAAAAATCAACTCAAAATGGGTTAAAGACTTAAATGTAAAACTTAAAACTGTAAAGATGCTGAAAGATCACCTAGGAAATACCATTATGGACATAGGTCCTGGAAAATATTTCATGATGAAGATGCCGAAGCAATTTCAACAAAAACAAAAATTGACAAATAGGACCTGATTAAAGAGCTACTGCATAGCAAAAAAACTATCAACAGAGTAAACAGACAACTCACAGAATGTGAGAAAATACTTGCAAACTATGCATCTCATAAATATCTAATATCCAGAATCTATAAAGAACTTAAACCAATAATCAAAAACCAACTAATCCCATTCAAAAATGGGCAAAGGACATATAGTAAAGTGAACAAACACTTTTCGAAAGAAGACATACACACAGCCAACAAGTATATGCAAAAAAGCTCAACATCGTGAATCATTAGAAAAATGCAAATCAAAACCACAGTGAGATACCATCTCACACCAGTCAGAATGGCTATTAAAAAGTCGAAAAATGAAAGGTGCTGACAAGGTTGTAGAGAAAAATGAACTTATACACTTCTAGTGGTAATGTAAATTAATTCAGCCACTGTAGAAATACTGTGGATTTCTCAGAGAACTTAAAACAGAATTAGCATTTGACCCAGCAATTCCATTATTGGGTATATACCCAAAAGAATGTAAATCGTTTTACCATAAAGACACATTCACAATAGCAAAGCACTATTCAAAGTAGCAAAGACATGGAATCAACTTAAATGCCCATCAATGGTAGATTGGATAAAGAAAATGTGGTATATATACACCATGGAATACTACACAATCGTAAAGAAGAATGAGATCATGTCCTTTGCAGCAACATGGGTGGAGCTGGAGGTCATTATCCTAAGCAAACTAATGCAGGAATAGAAAACCGGATATCACATGTTCTCACTTATAAGTGGGAGCTATACATGGAGTACATATGGATATAAAGAAAGGAACAACAGATACCAGGGCCTACTGGGGGGTGGAGGGTGTGGAGAGGGTGAGGATAAAAAACTACCTATCGGTTATGATATGGTTTGGCTTTGTGTTCCAACCCAAATCTCATCTTGATTTGTAATCCCCAGGTGTTGAGGGAGGAACTGGTCGGAGGTGATTGGATCATGGGGGGTGGTTTCCCCCATGCTGTTCTCATGATCGTGAGTGAGTTCTCACGAGATCTGATGATTTTATAAGTGTTTGGAAGTTTCTCCTTCACACTCTCTCTTTTCCTGCCACCTGGTGAAGAAGGTACTTGCATCTCCTTCATCTTCCACCATGATTTTAAGTTTCCTGAGGCCCCCCTGACCAGCCATGTGTAACTGTGAGTCAATTAAACGTCATTCCTTTATAAATTATAGTCTCAGGGAAGTTCTTTATAGCAATGTGAAAATGGACTAATAGAGGATACACTGCTTATTACCTGGATGATGAAATAATCTGTACACCAAACCACAGCGACATGCATGCAATTTTCCTATATAAGAAACCTAAACATGTACCCTGAACTGAAAATAAAAGGTAAAAACAATAAAAAGAAAGCATCCGAAACATGCCACTTCTTTAAGTGATATTAGAAATGTTAGTTCCAGAATTCTTCATTCCATCAACGGGGGATTTTGATGTAAAATGAATGGAATAACTATATTAAGGATTATTTGAAAATATACACAGAAAACATGCAATATACACGTATTTATGTAACTTGTGAGCTTTGGTGTTACTTTTTGTAGCATATGCTTTCCTTTGGAGTTTGGAAGAGGAAAAGTTATTTGTGCCATTTCTTTTTATTATTTAATGAGTTATCCTGCCTATTCTTTACTCTTCAGTTTAACATTAGAGAAACACACACTCACTCCACACATGTAGAAACAAATTGCAGTCGTCTTTCTCCAAATGAGTATGTCCTGCAGGCAGTTGAAAATGAGAGTCTGGGCTTCAAAGAAAAGAGTGGGATGGACAAATGGACTTGAGTTGGCAGTGCCCAGCCCCCCCAAAAATACGTACAGAATGGAAGAATAATTGTGAGAGACCCAGCTTTGGAAGTCATTATCAAAAACTAAAACAGCAATACACATTCAAGTTTTTTCTCTCCACATGAATTTTTCAAATATATTTTGTATTATTCATTTCATATTGTCTTTGTCTCTCTTTGCAAAAATTGTTACTTTTCCATCGCAGCAGATGTGGACTATAGAGATAATTGCCACCTGCTGGTCAAAGCCAGAACTACATCTCTGAATATCTGGGAGGAGGCTCTGTAAGGATCTGGAGAGGGAGGGGCCTCTGGCCTGACCCGCCAAACAGGGCTTGCTGGAGGCTTGAATGGCACAGGCAGCCCTTCCTGCTTAATCTATTGCTGCCTGGCTCTCTGAGTTCTTGGCAGGAAGTTCCACCCCTGTCTCAAATAAAGAGAAAGCCACCAGTGTGAGTGTCTCTGATAAACTATATCAGCGCATGTTTGTGCATGTGTCTGTATTTTGTATTTTGGGTTATATCCTTTTAAACACAGTTGATTTATAACATGTACTTATGCACACGGCAGTATTATCAACAATAAGGGGGGGCCAATCATATTGTAAATACAATGTGTAATTTGCTCTTTTAAAAAAATCTCACCGTTAACTATGAATTCCTTTTTAAAAATTAATTTCATTATAAATTGTAAGATGTACAACATGATGTTATAAGATACATATAGTAAAATGGTTACTGTAGTGGAACAGATTAACATATCCATCATCATCTCACGGAGTTTCCTATTTTCCTTCTTTTGGCAAGAACAGCTGTAATCTACTCATTTAGCAAAAATCCGAATGCAATACACTATTATTTACTATATTCCTCATATTGGACGTTAGATCTTTTGATTTGTTCATCCTACATGTTTGCGCTTTGTATCTTTGATGTATACATCTCCCCATTTCCTTCTCCCACCCTAACCCTTGTAACCGCTATTTTCTTGTCTCTCTCTATATTTGACCTTTAAAAAACATTTGACACATAAGTGGGACTGTGCAATATTTGTCTTTCTGTGTCTGGCTTATTTCATTTAGTATAATGACCTCCAGGTCCATCCTTGTTGTGGCAAATGGCAGGATCTCCTTGTTTTTTATACTACATTATTTATATTACTAAGTGCAAATTGCTTTCCAGGTCAGTAGACTTATACAAAATAAATTCCTGAGATTAGATTATAATAAGTTTTTATTTTTTCACAAATTTATAACAATTACTTTCCTAAATCACAAAACTAATATATGTTTGTAATTGAAAGAAACTGAGCAAAAGACATGCTAATGTGGAAATGAAACAATCCTGTATCTACCTCCTTCACTCTGCTGAGGTATCCTTTGTTAATGGTGCAGAGCATATTCAACAGATGATTTTTTTTCTCCATAGAAAGAAATGTTCCTGAGAATATATATGGAAATATGTATGTACAAAATACATAAAGATGTACAATGTGTGAACATGTGTTATGAGATGAATGTTTCTATCCTCCCAAATTTACGCATTGAAGCCCTAGCTTCCAAGGTGATAGTATTTGGAGGTGGGGCCTTTGGGGTACAATTAAGTTTAGATTAGACCATGAGAGTGGGACCCTCATGATGGGATTGACGCCCTTATAAGCAGAGGAAGAGAGAGAGAGATCTCTTTCTTTCTTCACGAGTATGCACCAAGGGTAATGTGAGCAAACAGCAAGAAAGTGGCTGTCTACAAGCCATGAAAAGAGCCATCACCAGACGCTGACTCTACTGACACTTGGTCTTGGACTTTCCAGCCTCCAGAACTATCAGAAATAAATGTCTGTCATTTAAGTCACCCAGACTGTGGCATTTTGTTATAGCAGCCTGAACAGACAGCATGTATATACACATATTCTTCATGAAAATGGGATGACTGCAAACTTTGTCATGCAATTTACCTTCCCTAGCTGAGAATAAGGGTACCTGAATTTTTAGTTGTGTATTCATTGCTATTGGATATCTTCTCATAAGTTTAATTGCATTCCTCTAATTTTCTATGAGATTTTAAATTTTCATTTGTTTCTCTTCTGGTTAAAGAGAGTTCCTGGCATGTAAAGTGGTTTCTGAGGTATATGTGGATAATTTCCCCTCCAATTTTTAATGCAACTTTAAATGTTAAAATCTCATGGATTTTAATGATGAAGAAATCAATACAGTTCATTGTAAAAGTTTTTAAGATTCACAGGAGTGTAAAGATTGCCACTTTATGAGAAGATTTTAGATAGAAACCATTCAAAGCCCAGGAAGACATCATAGTGAGAAAGGCTTGGGTTTTAGAGTCCCTGGCCTGTGTTTTACAGACTTGGCACTAAGGGTAACTTACTTAGCCTCTTAAGTCTTGGCTTTCCTCATTTCTCGTAAGCGATCCTTATTACCTACCTTGAATTTATTATCATATTTAGAAGAGATACAATATAAAATTCCTTAGATGTAACTCAAGCTTTGATAAACAAGAATTTCCTTCCTCCATGTCACTTTCCCAATGTCTAAAACTTGTACTTTCATCTGATTTATTCGCTACTTCAGGAACTGCCAATCAACATGCCTCCTAGCCTAGGACAGGATTTCTTCTCCACAAACATCATCACTAAGGGGAGTTGTCTAAGTATTTTCCCATGTGGGCATGCCAAAGTTCAGCACAATACCAGAAAAGTTTACAACTATCATTTCTTACCCACATTGCATTGTAGAAGCCCACATCTACAATAGAAGCTGCTGGGTATACTCTGGGCATGTTCGGTGGCTGAATTTCATTGTTGCCACTTATCTGGATATGTGGTTTATCTTTGGCAAGCCTGGAGCTGATCATCAGTAAAATGAAAATAATGATGCTTTCTTTTCAGAGTTGTTTTAGGGAAATGAGAAACCCATGGGAGGCTTTAGTGCTTACTATCTTAGCCTCACCTTGCCTTCTCTGCAGAAGAGATGTCTGTGATAGAAACTAAATGCATAACTCTAAGAGAGAACAGTTGGGACCCTAAGTGTACAGAGGGAAATGTGATGTATTAGCCATGGTGACTGTCCAGTATTGTAGGATGAGTTACCTGAGGGGCTTTGGAAGGGAACAGAAAAATCCTCATGCCATTTCCTACCATCATATGTGCTTTCCTGTCCTTAGTACTTTGTCTTTTATGTTGTAAGGGAAGAAAGACTCTAAGAGGTGCAAGATAAAGAGATTTCCTTTGAGTCTTGGAATGAAGAAACAGTGCAGAGGAACCAATCCTAATAACAGATCTGCTGTACAGAAGGCTGCAGTCAAAGGAACTGTGTCCTGATAGCAGTCCTGTCACTTCCCCCCAAACAGATGTCTCTTCTCCAGAAATGCTACTATCTATCTTTGTGGGCATATATTAAAGTAGAGAAAAAATACTATAACAGAATACACCAAGATGTTAATTGTGTTTACCATGAAGGGGCAGGAGTGCTGGATATATTTTCTTGTCTGTATTTGACACTATTTTCCACATGGTCCAAAATGAGTGTGGATTACCTTAATAATAATAAGCAGAGCCTAAAAAAATGTACTTTAACTAATAAAGAGCACCCGGTCTGGAGATGCAGTGGAAGAAACAGGGCTTGGCCAGGTGAGATCTGGGCAGTTACTTTAGATCCCTGAGCCTCAGGGAGCCTGGAGCTTAATTCTTCACCCACAGGGCTCCCCTGGGGTGGGAGATGTGATGAAATCACCACATTGTCCACATACGGGCTCTATGCCGTTGTATTGATTAGTGACTGGTCCCTTCATGCTTTACAGAGAGTGACATTGTGGTATCCACTGCTTGAGTCTGTGGTCCCACTGCACACTATGACCCCATTTCCTTGATCCCAGCATTCTCAGCACAGTGTGATTCTCCAGGTATTATGTAAAGGATAAGGTGCTATTTTGCTTTGTTTGTGTTTGTTTTTATGATCTGCATTGGTGGATCTCAATGTTTGGTCCCCAGACCAGCAGTGTCAGTATCACCTGGGAACTTGCTAGAAAGTGCTAATTCTTAGGCTCCATCCTAGACCTACTGAATCAGAAACTCTTGTGGTTGGTACTAGCAGTCTTTTCTTTCTTTGTTGTTTGTACAAATTTATGGGGTACCTGTACTCCCCAGTTTGCCACAAGGTCCAAAGTGATTCTGATGCAAGCTGAAGTTTGAGAACCATATTCTACAAAATTTAATGTAGTAAATGAAATGTGTTAATTGCTGAGTTAAGGAATGAATCTTTATTTTATTTCCATACTTCTTCATAATCTCCATTCAAAGTACAATTTGTTCATTTTGTGAAATGAGTATTTTTTTCATTGAAAAATAAAATTGAAATTGAAAGTCAATCAATGCCATCTGTTGACCCAATCTAGAACTGCAGCTTGGATATCACTTTAGCAAGAGATCTAGGAAGGAGGGAAGGAGGGAAAGGAGGGCTGTGTAAGCCCACCAGAATAAACTTTCTGGAAGTTATACGGCAGACAAAGCACTAAGCAGAGATGGCGACAGAGCCCATGGGTATTAATTCATGTGACAGGATGTTTCCTTTGACCCCCCTCTCAAATTAAACACAGTTGAGTGAATGTGTATGTGTCGTTATAAATATAATGTGGTGTATAACCTCCTTTTTATGTTATCTGACATTTAATATCTTTTAATGTCCAGAACTATATATTTTTTCAGCATTAGTTTTGTAAATCAAACTACAACTAGGTTTATTCTATGCTGTCATAATTGTATCTCGGTTATTTTGCGAATTAAAAATCAGTGAGCTGTATGTATTCCCCCAGCTCTTGAAAACACTGGAGAAATATACAATTATAAGAGGCATTGTCTTATGTTTCCCCTATTACTATGACCTTTCTCAAGATAATAATTCAATTGATTTGTAAATATTCTCTAGATTTGTTTCTGTGGGTTCATTTATATTTTAAAATATGACATATGTGGCTGGGCGCAGTGGCTCACGCCTGAAATCCCAGCACTTTGGGAGGCCAAGGCAGGCAGAACAACTGAGGTCAGGAGTTCAAGACCAGCTTGACCAACAAGGAGAAGCCCTGTCTCTACTAAAAATACAAAATTAGCCGGGTGTGGTGGCGTGTGCCTGTAATCCCAGCTACTCGGGAGGCTGAGGCAGAAGAATTGCTTGAACCTGTGAGACAGAAGTTGCAGTGAGCCAAGATTGCGCTATTGCGCTCCAGCCTGGGCAAAAAGAGCAAAACTCCATCTCAAAAAAAAAAAATGACCTATGTATATCCTTATGGAAATATATGTCATTCAAAAATCATGCCATGTTGTATGTTATGTTCTGTAACTTGCTTATATATTTCTGCATCTCAGTGCTTTTTATTAGATTTCTTTAATTTTTGATGTGTTTAAGCAATTTTACATATGTTGATTGCCATTGCCTTCATTTTTTTCTTTAAATTACCTGTTGGTAGACATGTACACAACTCTTTTAGATAGTAGTTTTCCTTATATGTCAGGTATATTAATTATGTCTGTAAATTATAGTGCAAATGTGTCCAATGCAGAGCCCTTCCTCCAGTGTCCTAATAATGAGCAGACACTTTATGGATGCTCTCCTGGGAAGGGGAGGTCTGGCATCCATGCTGGACTTACCACTGCCGAACTGAATGGTCTCTTCTGCCTTCAGGGAGGTGACAGTACTGGCACCCACGGTTTATTTGTGAAGTCCTGGTCACTGCCCTAGGAGCATTACATCTGTGCATATTGTGACCTCTTTTCTCTGACCCTAGGCAGTTTTGTCCATCAGCTCTCTCAGCACAAAGTTTAGCCAGTTAAATAGAGTAACTCTTAATATGAATTATATATTTTAAAATAAGAAAGAAGTAAATGGCTATTTCAAGATAAGGGTAATTATTATTTATTGAAAAGAAGGTTTCATAACCAGCATTGAAAGTAGCATTTTTGAGGTTTATTCATTTTGCCAAATTAATACATCAGTATATTAACTGTCCAGTCTGCACTCCCACCCCAACCAGAAGATATTCATTATTAATAATTTGATATATATTCTGTTGACTTTTCTATGTGTCTTAATAAAATGCACAGATATTTTTCCAAATGTAAAAGTGTACTCTTTTACAAACTGTGATTGTCCTCTGCATACTGTGTTGATATTTATCTGTTTCATGTAGTATGAGAGCTTGTTTCACATTTCATCATTTATATCATTGGGCATATTTTCAAATGTTCACTGGGTATTGATGTTACTTTCATGTACATTCTCTATTGTAATCTTCGGCCCGTTTCTCTGTTGGTTAAAGTATCAAGGATATTAACCACATAGCTGCAATACAGATTGCAACTATTTTCTTCCAGCTTTTTATATACTTTGTACTCTTAAATTTTGCAATACAGATGGTGTTCATTTTATTTTATTTTTTTAACTCAAGGATATTATATTATTTATAAAATGGAACAGACTGACCTGAACTCTAGTTGTCTTTGATGGCTCAAAGCAAATCCAGAAGGCCTTACCAGTTTCAACCAGTTTGTGCCAGTTAACTTCAAAGAGGAAGCTTGCATAATGATTTTTATAAACATGAAAATAATATATTGTAGGCTGTTACTTGCTTATCCAAGTGATCCCATTTTGTTTTTGTTTTTTTATTTTTATTTTTTAAATATATATGTATTTTTTATTATACTTTAAGCTCTAGGGTACCTGTGCACAACGTGCAGGTTTGTTACATATGTATTCATGTGCCATGTTGGTGTGCTGCACCCATTAATTCGTCATTTACATTAGGTATATCTCCTAATGCTATCTATCCGCCAGCCCCCCACCCCACAACAGGCCCCGGTGTGTGATGTTCCCCTTCCTGTGTCCAAGTGTTCTCATTCTTCAATTCCCACCTATGAGTGAGAACATGCGGTGTTTGGTTTTTTGTCCTTGCGATAGTTTGCTGAGAATGATGGTTTCCAGCTTCATCCATGTCCCTACAAAGGACATGAACTCATCCTTCTTTATGGCTGCATAGTATTCCATGGTGTATATGTGCCACATTTTCTTAATCCAGTCTATCATTGTTGGACATTTGGGTTGGTTCCGAGTCTTTCCTATTGTGAATAGTGCCGCAATAAACATACGTGTGCATGTGTCTTTATAGCAGCATGATTTATATTCCTTTGGGTATATACCCAATAATGGAATGGCTGGGTCAAATGGTATTTCTAGTTCTAGATCCCTGAGGAATCGCCACACTGACTTCCACAATGGTTGAACTAGTTTACAGTCCCACCAACAGTGTAAAAGTGTTCCTATTTCTCCACATCCTCTCCAGCACCTGTTGTTTCCTGACTTTTTAATGATTGCCATTCTAACTGGTGTGAGATGATATCTCATTGTGGTTTTGATTTTCATTTCTCTGATGGCCAGTGATGATGAGCATTTTTTCATGTGTCTTTTGGCTGCATAAATGTCTTCTTTTGAGAAGTGTCTGTTCATATCCTTCACCCACTTTTTGATGGGTTGTTTGTTTTTTTCTTGTAAATTTGTTTGAGTTCTTTATAGATTCTGGATATTAGCCCTTTGTCAGATGAGTAGATTGCAAAAATTTTCTCCCATTCTCTAGGTTGCCTGTTCACTCTCATGGTAGTTTCTTTTGCTGTGCAGAAGCTCTTTAGTTTAATTAGATCCCATTTGTCAATTTTGGCTTTTGTTGCCATTGCTTTTGGTGTTTTAGACATGAAGTCCTTGCCCATGCCTATGTCCTGAATGGTATTGATGGTATTGCCTAGGTTTTCTTCTAGGGTTTTTATGGTTTTAAGTCTAACATTTAAGTCTTTAATCCATCTTGAATTAATTTTTGTATAAGGTGTAAGGAAGGGATCCAGTTTCAGCCCTCTACATATGGCTAGCCAGTTTTCCCAGCACCATTTGTTGAATAGGGAATCCTTTCCCCGTTTCTTATTTTTGTCAGATTTGTCAAAGATCAGAGAGTTGTAGATGTGTGGTATTATTTCTGAGGGCTCTGTTCTGTTCCATTGATCTATATCTGTTTTGGTACCAGTACCATGCTGTTTTGGTTCCTGTAGCCTTGTAATATAGTTTGAAGTCAGGTAGCGTGATGCCTCCAGCTTTGTTCTTTTGGCTTAGGATTGACATGGCAATGCGGGCTCTTTTTTGGTTCCATATGAACTTAAAAGTAGTTTTTTTTTTCAATTCTGTGAAGAAAGTCATTGGTAGCTTGATGGGGATGACACTGAATCTATGAATTACCTTGGGCAGTATGGCCATTTTCGTGATATTGATTCTTCCTATCCATGAGCATGGAATGTTCTTTCATTTGTTTGTGTCCTATTTTATTTAGTTGAGCAGTGGTTTGTAGTTCTCCTTTACGAGGTCCTTCACATCCCTTGTAAGTTGGTTTCCTAGGTATTTTATTCTCTTTGAAGCAATTGTGAATGGGAGTTCACTCATGATTTGGCTCTCTGTTTGTCTTTTATTGGTGTATAAGAATGCTTGTGATATTTGCACATTGATTTTGTATCCTGAGACTTTGCTGAAGTTGCTTAGCAGCTTAAGGAGATTTTGGGCTGAGACGATGGGGTTTTCTAGATATACAATCATGTCATCTGCAAACAGGGACAATTTGACTTCCTCTTTTCCTAATTGAATACCCTTTATTTCCTTCTCCTGCCTAATTGCCCTGGCCAGAACTTCCAACACTATGTTGAATAGGAGTGGTGAGAGAGGGCATCCCTGTCTTGTGCCAGTTTTCAAAGGGAATGCTTCCAGTTTTTGCCCATTCAGTATGATATTGGCTGCGGGTTTGTCATAAATAGCTCTTATTATTTTGAGATATGTCCCATCAATACCTAATTTATTGAGAGTTTTTAGCATGAAGGGCTGTTGAATTTTGTCAAAGGCCTTTTCTGCATCTATTGAGATAATCATGTGGTTTTTGTCTTTGCTTCTGTTTATGTGATGGATTACGTTTATTGATTTTCGTATGTTGAACCAGCCTTGCATCCCAGGGATGAAGCCCACTTGATCATGGTGGATAAGCTTTTTGATGTGCTGCTGGGTTTGGTTTGCCAGTATTTTATTGAGGATTTTTGCATCAATGTTCATCAGGGATATTGTTCTAAAATTCTCTTTTTTTGTTGTGTCTCTGTCAGGCTTTGGTATCAGGAGGATGCTGGCTCATAGAATGAGTTAGGGAGGATTCCCTTTTTTTCTGTTGATTGGAATAGTTTCAGAAGGAATGGTATCAGCTCCTCCTTGTACCTCTGGTAGAATTCGGCTGTGAATCCGTCTGGTCCTGGAGTTTTTTTGGTTGGTAAGCTATTAATTATTGCCTCAATGTCAGAGCCTGTTATTGGTCTACTAAGAGATTCAGCTTCTTCCTGGTTTAGTCTTGGGAGGGTGTGTGTGTCCAGGAATTTATCCATTTCTTCTAGATTTTCTAGTTTATTTGCGTAGAGGTATTTGTAGTATTCTCTGATGGTAGTTTGTATTTCTGTGGGCTCGGTGGTGATATCCCCTTTATCATTTTTTATTGCATCTATTTGATTCTTCTCTCTTTTCTTCTTTATTAGTCTTGCTAGCAGTCTATCAATTTTGTTGAACTTTTCAAAAAACACCAGCTCCTGGATTCATTAATTTTTTGAGGGGGTTTTTATGCCTCTATCTCTTTCAGTTCTGGTCTGATCTTACTTATTTCTTGCCTTCTGCTAGCTTTTGAATGTGTTTGCTCTTGCTTCTCTGGTTCTTTTAATTGTGATGTTAGGGTGTCAATTTTAGATCTTTCCTGCTTAATCTTGTGGGCATTTAGTGCTCTAAATTTCTCCCTACGCACTGCTTTAAATGTGTCCCAGAGATTCTGGTGTGTTGTGTCTTTGTTCTCACTGGTTTCAAAGAACATCTTTATTTCTGCCTTCATTTCGTTATGTACCCAGTAGTCATTCAGGAGCAGGTTGTTCAGTTTCCATGTAGTTGAGCGGTTTTGAGTGAGTTTCTTAATCCTGAGTTCTAGTTTGATTGCACTGTGGTCTGAGAGACAGTTTGTTATAATTTCTGATCTTTTACATTTGCTGAGGAGAGCTTTACTTCCAAGTATGTGGTCAATTTAGGAATAGGTATGGTGTGGTGCTGAAAAAAATGTATATTCTGTTGATTTGGGGTGGAGAGTTCTGTAGATGTCTATTAGGTCCACTTGGTGCAGAGCTGAGTTCAATTCCTGGGTATCCTTGTGAACTTTCTGTCTCGTTGATCTGTCTAATGTTGACAGTCGGGTGTTAAAGTCTCCCATTATTATTGTGTGGGAGTCTAAGTCTCTTTGTAGGTCACCCAGGACTTGCTTTATGAATCTGGGTGCTGCTGTATTGGGTGCATATAATTGGACCATTTAGTCCATTTACATTTAAAGTTAATATTGTTATGTGTGAATTCGATCCTGTCATTATGATGTTAGCTGGTTATTTTGATGGTTAGTTGATGCAGTTTCTTCCTAGCCTCGATGGTCTTTACAATTTGGCATGATTTTATAGTGGCTGGTACCGGTTGTTCCTTTCCATGTTTAGTGCTTCCTTCAGGAGCTCTGTTAGGGCAGGCCTGGTGGTGACAAAATCTCTCAGCATTTGCTTGTCTGTAAAGTATTTTATTTCTCCTTCACTTTTGAAGCTTAGTTTGGCTGGATATGAAATTCTGGGTTGAAAATTCTTTTCTTTAAGAATGTTGAATATTGGCCCCCACTGTCTTCTGGCTTGTAGAGTTTCTGCCAAGAGATCTGCTGTTAGTCTGATGGGCTTCCCTTTGTGGGTAACCTGACCTTTCTCTCTGGCTGCCTTAACATTTTTTCCTTCATTTCAACGTTGGTGAATGTGACAATTATGTGTCTTGGAGTTGCTCTTCTTGAGGAGTATCTTTGTGGCATTCTCTGTATTTCCTGAATCTGAATGTTGGCCTGCCTTGCTAGATTGGGGAAGTTCTCCTGGATAATGTCCTGCAGAATGTTTTCCAGCTTGGTTCCATTCTCCCTGTCACTTTCAGGTACACCAATCAGATGTAGATTTGGTCTTTTCACATAGTCCCATATTTCTTGGAGGCTTTGTTCGTTTCTTTTCATTCTTTTTTCTCTAAACTTCCCTTTTCGCTTCATTTCATTCATTTCATCTTCCGTCACTGATACCCTTTCTTCCAGTTGGTCGCATCGGCTCCTGAGGCTGCTGCATTCTTCACGTAGTTCTCGAGCCTTGGCTTTCAACTCCATCAGCTCCTTTAAGCACTTCTCTGTATTGGTTATTCTAGTTATACATTCGTCTAAATTTTTTTTCAGTTTTCGACTTCTTTGCCTTTGGTTTGAATTTCCTCCTGTAGCTCAGAGTAGTTTTATCATCTGAAGTCTTCTCTCAACTCGTCAAAGTCATTCTCCGTCCAGCTTTGTTCTGTTGCTGGTGAGGAGCTGCATTCCTTTGGAAGAGGAGAGGCGCTCTGCTTTTTAGAGTTTCCAGTTTTTCTGCTCTGTTTTTTCCCCATCTTTGCGGTTTTATCTACTTTTGATCTTTGATGATGGTGATGTACAGATGGGTTTTTGGTGTGGATGTCCTTTCTGTTTGTTAGTTTTCCTTCTAACAGACAGGACCCTCAGCTGCAGGTCTGTTGGAGTTTGCTAGAGGTCCACTCCAGACGCTGTTTGCCTGGGTACCAGCAGCGGTGGCTGCAGAACAGTGGATTTTCTTGAACCACGAATGCTGCTGTCTGATCATTCCTCTGCAAGTTTTGTCTCAGAGGAGTACCCGGCCGTGTGAGGTATCAGTCTGGCCCTACTTGGGGGGCCTCCCAGTTAGTCTGCTCGGGGGGTCAGGGGTCAGGGACCCACTTGAGGAGGCAGTCTGCCCGTTCTCAGATCTCCAGCTGCATGCTGGGAGAACCACTGCTCTCTTCAAAGCTGTCAGACAGGGACATTTAAGTCTGCAGAGGGTACTGCTGTCTTTTTGTTTGTGTGTGCCCTGCCCCCAGAGGTGGAGCCTACAGAGGCAGGCAGGCCTCCTTGAGCTGTGGTGGGCTCCACCCAGTTCGAGCTTCCCGGCTGCTTTGTTTACCTAAGCAAGCCTGGGCAATGGTGGGCGACCCTCCCCCATCCTCGCTGCCACCTTGCAGTTTGATCTCAGACTGCTGTGCTAGCAATCAGTGAGACTCCATGGGCGTAGGACCCTCCGAGCCAGATGCGATATATATTCTCCTGGTGCGCCATTTTTTAAGCCCTTCGGAAAAGCGCAGTATTGGGGTGGGAGTGACCCGATTTTCCAGGTGCTGTCTGTCACCCCTTTCTTTGCTAGGAAAGGGAACTCCCTGACCCCTTGCACTTCCAGAGTGAGGCAATGCCTTGCCCTGCTTCAGCTCGTGCATAGTGCACTGCACCCACTGTCCTGCGCCCACTGTCTGGCACTCCCTAGTGAGATGAACCTGGTACCTCAGATGGAAATGCAGAAATCACCCGTCTTCTGCGTCACTCACACTGGGAGCTGTAGACCGGAGCTCTTCCTATTCGGCCATCTTGGCTCCACCTCCGTTTTTCAAGGGTTTTAACTTCTTTGCTATGGGTTTGAACTTCCTTCTTTAGCTCGTAGAAGTTTGATCATCTGAAGTCTTCTCTCAACTTGTCATTCTCCGTCCAGCTTTGTTCCATTGCTAGTGAGGAGCTGCATTCCTTTGGAGGAGGAGAGGTGCTCTGATTTTTAGAAGTTTCAGTTTTTCTCTTCTGTTTTTTCCCCGTCTTTGATGATGGTGATGTACAGATGGGATTTTGGTGTGGATGTCCTTTCTGTTAATTTTCCTTTTAACAGTCAGGACCCTCAGCTGCAGGTCTGTTGGAGTTTGCTGGAGGTCCACTCCAGACCCTGTTTGCCTGAGTATCAGCAGCAGAGGCTGCAGAACAGTGAATATTGCTGAACAGCAAAAGTTGCTCTCTGATCGTTCCTCTGGAGGTTTCGTCTCAGAGGGGTACCTGGCTATGTGAGGTGTCAGTCTGCCCCTACTGCCCCTACTAGGGGGTGCCTCCCAGATAGGTTACTCGGGGGTCAGGGACCCAATTGAGGAGGCAGTCTGTCCGTTCTTAGATCTCAAACTCCGTGCTGGGAGAACCGCTACTCTCTTCGAAGCTGTCAGACAGGGACATTTAAGTACGCAGAAGTTTCTGCTACCTTTTGTTCAGCTATGCCCTGTCCCCAGGGGTGGAGTCTACAGAGGCAGGCAGGCCTCCTTGAGTTGCGGTGGGCTCCACCCATTTTGAGCTTCCTGGCTCCTTTTTTACCTACTCAACCCTCAGCAATGGCGGGCACCCCTCCCCCAGCCTCGCTGCTGCCTTGCAGTTGGATCTCAGACTGCTGTGCTAGAAATGAGCGAGGCTCTGCGGGTGTGGGACCCTCTGAGCCAGGCACGGGATATAATCTCCTGGTGTGCCTTTTGCTAAGACCATTGGAAAAGCACAGTATTAGGGTGGGGGTGACCCGATTTCCCAGGTGCCGTCTCTCACAGATTTGCTTGGCTATGAAAGGGAATTCCCTGACCCCTTGTGCTTCCTGGGTGAGGCAATGCTTCACCCTGCTTCAGCTCATGCGTGGTGCGCTGCCCCCACTGTCCTGCACCCACTGTCTGACAAGCCCCAGTGAGATGAATCCAGTACCTCAGTTGGAAATGCAGAAATCACCCATCTTCTGCGTTGCTCACACTGGGAGCTGTAGACTGGAGCTGTTCCTCTTCAGCCATCTTGGAACCACCAACAGATGGTGTTTATATATATACAATCATGTGTCACTTAATGATGGTGATACCTTCTGAGAAAGGCATGGTTAGGTGATTTTTGTTGTTGTATTGATGGCAGCGACATGTTGTCTGGAGTGGCCACTGCCATCATGCTGGTTGTGCTCTCCATGGAGCCAGTGGGAGCAGGGACAAGTGGAAGCCTGGCCCCTTCAAAGTTGACGTGGGAACTTCCTATGTGTCCCTGCAGCCACCCAAGCCATGGCTGTGGACCTAGACATCTCTGAGCTCTTGGGCATGGAAGCAGGCGGGAGCCCCGCCCTCCAGGGCACAGCTGCAACCAAACAAACAACAGCTGCAGACCTGGGCCTCCCACTCCAGGGAGCAGGCAAGAGCCCCAACCACCCCCCACGCACCTGTGGACGCAGGCATCTCTGCACTCTTGGGGCCCAGGAAGGTCCTCCATGCCATTGCAGGTTTGGAAGTGCCTGCTCCTGCTGACTGGCTTCTCCCTGCTGTTGGCACCCACTCCAATTTCGGAGCATAGTTGGTGCTGAGCCCAGGCACTGTTGCATCCCAGCCAGGCGTGCATGTGCTTGGTGCAGTGCTGACATGAAAGCCCCCTGCCACCCCAGCCCTTTCCATTCTTTGAGCACTGACAGGAAGCTGAGGGGAGGCTGAGGGCAGCTGAGGCTGGCCTGCAGGCTCCCCTTGGCACCTACAGCCTGGGCACTATGAATGGCAGCAGGAGACAGACAGGTTCCAAGCCAGAAGTGTGTAGGTCCCTGGTGAGGCTCCACCTTCAGGCCAGGGAGGGCCTGAAGGCTGGGGGTTGAGCTGCCAGCCCTGTGGACCAGAGTGGGAACTTGTGGTGCCTTTTCTGGGGCTGCCCATGGCTGCCCATGGACCAAACAGCTCACACTTTCTCCCCTCTGAGTCCCGTAAAAGCCTCGGGCTCAGCCAGAGCTGAGCAGTCATCAGGATGACGAGCTGCAGAGAGGAGCACCCCATTCTAAGGCCTCCTGTCTGTTGAGAGCTGCAGAGATGACGGGATGACCTGCCTGTAGAGATGAGCCACCTACTCTAGGGCCTCCTGTCTGCTGAGAGCTGCACAGACAATGGGACAACCAGCTGCAGAGAGGAGCTACACTCTCTGTTGATAGCTGAACACTTGTCCAGACAACTTGCCTAGCAGAGAGGAGCTAACCTCTATGCTAGGAGATGAACACTCATTGGAACACCCTGGTTGTGGAAAGGAGCTGTCCCCTGTAGATTTCACCTGAGATGTTCTATTGCTCAATAAAGCTCCCCTTTGTCTTGTTCGCCCTCCATTTGTCTGCATACCTCATTCTTCCTGGGCTCAGGACAAGAAGTCAGGACCTGCTGAATGAGGCTAAAAGAGCTGTAACACAAACGTGGCTCAGACATGCTCTGTATTAGTCCGTTTTCATGCTGCTGATAAAGACATGCCAGAGACTGGGAAGAAAAAGAGGTTTTACAGTTCCACATGGCTGGGGAGGCCTCAAAATCATGGCAGAAGGCAAGGAGGAGCAAGTCATGTCTTACATGGGTGGTGGCACACAGAGAGCTTGTGTAGGGAAACTCTCATTCTGTAAAACCATCAGATCTTGTGATACTTATTCAGTATCATGAGAACAACATGGAATAGACTTGCCCCCATTATTTAATTACCTCACACCAGGTCCCTCCGACAACACATGGGAATTGAAGATGAGATTTGGGTGGGGACACAGCCAAACCATATCATTCCTCCCCTGGCCCCTCCCAAATTTCATGTCCGCATATTACAAAATGAATCGTGCCTTCCCAACAGTCCCCCAAAGTCTTAACTCATTTCAGCATTAACTCAAAAGTCCATAGTCCAAAGTCTCATCCAAGACAAGGCAAGTCCCTTCTGCCTATGAGCTTGTAAAATCAAAAGCAAGTTAGTTACTTCCTAGATACAATGGGGGTATAGGCATTGGGTAAATACAGCCATTCCAAATGGGAGAAATTGGCCAAAACAAAGGGACTACAGGCCCAAAGCAAGTCCAAAATCCAGCAGGGCAGTAAAATCTTAAAGCTCCAAAATGATTTTCTTTGACTCCATGTCTCACATCCAGGCCAGACTGATGCAAGAGGTGGGCTCCCACAGCCTTGGGCAGCTCCACCACTGTGGCTTTGCAGGGTATAGCCCCTCTCCTGGCTGCTTTCATGGGCTGGCATTGAGTGTCTATGGCTTTTCCAGGCACATGGTGCAAGCTGTTGGTGGATCTACCATTCTGAGTTCTGGAGGACAATGGCCTTCTTCTCATAGTTCCAGTAGCGCTGCCCCAGTAGGGACTCTGTGGTTGTGCTCCACCCCTACATTTCCCTTCCACACTGCCTTAGCAGACATTCTCCATGAGGCCTTGCCCCTGCAGCAAATTTCTGCCTGGGCATCCAAGCATTTTCATACATCTTCTGAAATCTAGGCAGAGGTCCCCAAACCTCAATTCTTGACTTCTGTGCACCTGCAGGCTCAACACCACATGGAAGGTGCCAAGGCTTGGGGATTCCACCCTCTAAAGCAGTGGCCCAAGCTGTAACTTGGCCCCTTTAGCAACGACTGGAGTGGCTGGAATGCAATGTACCAAGTCCCTAGGTTGCACAGAGCAGGGGAGCTGTGGGCCTGCCCCATGAAACCATCTTCTCCTCCTAGACTTCCAGGCCTGTGATGGGAGGAGCTGTCATGAAGATCTCTGACATGCCCTGGAGACATTTTCCCCATTGTCCTGGGGATGATCATTCAGCTCCTTGTTACTTATGCAAATTTCTGCAGCTGGCTTGAATTTCTCCTCAGAAAATGGGACTTTCTTTTCTACTGCATCATCAGGCTGCAGATTTTCTGAATTTTTATGCTCTGTTTCCCTTTTAAAACTGAATGCTTTTAACAGCACCCAAGCCCCCTATTAAACGCTTTGCTGCTTAGAAATTTCTTCCACCAGATACCCTAAATCATCTCTCTCAAGTTCAAAGTTCCACAAATCTCTAGGGCACAGGCAAAATGCCACCAGTTTCTTTGCTAAAACATAACAAGAGTCACCTTTATTCCATTTCCCAACAAGTTTCTCATCTCCGTCTGAGACCACCTCAGCCTGGACCTTATTGTTCATATGATTATCAGTATTTTTGTCAAAGCCATTCAACAAGTCCCTAGGAAGTTCCAAATTTTCCCACATGTTTCTGTCTTCTTCTGAGCTCTCCAAACAGTTCCAATCTCTGCTTGTTACCCAGTTCTAAAGTTGCTTCCACATTTCTGGGTATCTTTTCAGCAATGCCCCACTCTACTGGTACCAATTTACTGTATTAGTCCATTTTCATGCTGCTGATAAAGACATACCCAAGACTGGGAAGAAAAAGGAGTTTAATGGACTTACAGTTCCACATGGCTGGGGAGGCCTCACAATCATGGCAGAAGGCAAGGAGAAGCAAGTCACTTCTTACATGGATGGCAGCAAGCAAAGAGAGAGTTTGTTCAGGGAAACTCTCATTTTTAAAAAAATTTTACTTTAAGTTCTGGGATACGTGTGCAGAACCTGCAGGTTTGTTACATAGGTACACAGGAGTACATGTGCCATGGTGGTTTGCTGCATCTATCAACTCATCTTCTAGGTTCAAAGCCCCACATGCATTAGCTATTTGTCCTAATGCTCTCCTTCTGCTTGTCCCTAATCCCCCGACAGGCCCAGGTGCATGATGTTCCCCTCCCTGTGTCCATGTATTCTCATTTTCCAACTCCCACTTATGAGTGAGAACATGCAGTGTTTGTTTTTTCTGTTCCTGTGTTAGTTTGCTGAGAATGATGGCTTCCAGATTCATCCATGTCCCTGCAAAGGACATGAACTCATTTTTTAAATGGCTGCATAGTATTCCGTGGTGTACATCTGCCACATTTTCTTTATCCAGTCTATCATTGATGGGCATTTGGGTTGGTTCCAAGTCTTTGCTATTGTGAACAGTGCTACAATAAACATACGTGTGCATGAGTCTTTATAGTAGAATGATTTATAATCCTTTGGGTATATACCCAGTAATGGGATTGCTGGGTCAAATGGCATTTCTGGTTCTAGATCCTTGAGGAATTGCCACACTGTCTTCACACAATGGTTGAACTAATTTACACTCCCAACAGTGTAAAAGCATTTGTGTTTCTCCACAGACCCACCAGCATCTACTGTTCCCTGACTTTTTAATAATCACCATTCTAACTGGCATGAGATGGTATCTCATTGTGGTTTTGATTTGCATTTCTCTAATGACCAGTGATGATGAGCTTTTTTCATGTTTGTTGGCCACATAAATGTCTTCTTTTGAGAAGTGTCTGTTCATATCCCTCACCCACTTTTTGAAGGGGTTGTTTTTTTCTTGTAAATTTGTTTAAGTTCCTTGCAGATTTTGGATATTAGACCTGTCAGATGGGTAGATTGCAAAAATTTTCTCCCATTCTTTTGGTTGCCTGTTCACTCTGATGATAGTTTCATTTTTTGTGCGGAAGCTCTTTAGTTTGATTAGATCCCGTTTGTCAATTTTGGCTTTTGTTGCAATTGCTTTTGGTGTTGTAGTCATGAATTCTTTGCTCAGGCCTACGTCCTGAATGGTACTGCCTAGGTTTTCTTCTAAGATTTTTATGGTTTTTGGGTTTTACATTTAAGTATTTAATCCATCTTGAGTTAATTTTTGTATAAGGTGTAAGGAAGGGGTCCAGTTTCTGTTTTCTGTATACGGCTAGCCAGGTTTCCCAGCACCATTTATTAAATAGGGAATTCTTTCCCTATTGCTTGTTTTTGTCAGATTTGTTGAAGATCAGATGGTTGTAGATGTGTGGTGTTATTTCTGAAGTCTCTGTTCTGTTGTGTTGGTCTGTATATCTGTTTTGCTACCTGTACCATGCTGTTTTGGTTACTGTAGCTTTGTAGTATAGTTTGAAGTCAGGTAGCATGATACCTTCAGCTCTTTTATTTTTATTTTTTTTATTTTTTATTTTTTGCTTAGGATTGTCTTGGCTATACAGGCTCTTTTTTGGTTCCATATGAAGTTTAATGTAGTTTTTTTCTAATTCTACAAAGAAAGTCACTGGTAGCTTGATAGGAATAGCATAGAATCTATAAATTACTTTTGGCCGTATGGCCATTTTCACAATATTGATTCTTCCTATCCATAAGCATGGATTTTTTTTCCATTTGTTTGTGTCCTCTCTTATTTCCTTGAGCAGTGTTTTTTAGTTCTCCTTGAAAAGGTCCTTCACGTCCCTTGAAAGTTGTATTCCTAGGTATTTTATTCTCTTTGTAGCAATTGTGAATGGGAGTTCACTCATGATTTGGCTCTCCGCTTGTCAATTGTTGGTGTGTAGGAATGCTTATGATTTTTGCACATTGATTTATATCCGGAGACTTTGCTAAAGTTGCTTATCAGCTTAAGGAATTTTTGGGCTGAGATGATGGGGTTTTCTAAATATACAATCATGTCATCTGCAAACAGAGACAATTTTATTTTCTGTCTTCCTATTTGAATAACCTTTATTTCTTTCTCTTGCCTGATTGCTCTGGCCAGAACTTCCAATACTATGTTGAATAGGAGTGGTGAGAGGGCATTCTTGTCTTGTGCCGGCTTTCAAAGGGAATGTTTCCAGCTTTTTCCCTTTCAGTATGATATTGGCTATGGGTTTGTCATAAATAGCTCTTATTATTTTGAGATATGTTCCATCAATACCTAGTTTACTGAGAGTTTTTAGCATGAAGGGATGTTGAATTCTATTGAAAGCCTTTTCTGCATCTATTGAGATAATTATGTGGTTTTTGTCATTGATTTTGTTTATGTGATGGATTACTTTTATTGATTTGCATATGTTGATCCAGGCTTGCATCTCAGGGATAAAGCCGTCTTGATTGTGGTGGATAAGCTTTTGATGTGCTGCTGGATTCGGTTTGCCAGTATTTTATTGAGGATTTTTGTATTGATGTTCATCAAGGATACTGGCCTGAAATTTTCTTTTTTTTGTTGTGTCCCTCCCAGGTTTTGGTGTCAGGATGATGCTGGCCTCATAAAATGAGTTAAGGAGGAGTCCCCCTTTTTCTATTGTTTGGAATAGTTTCAGAAGGAATGGTACCAGCTCCTCTTTATACCTCTGGTAGAATTCAGCTGTGAATTCATCTGGTCCCAGGCTTTTTTTGGTTGGTAGGCTATTAATTACTGCCTCAATTTCAGAACTTGTTATTGGCCTATTCAGGGAATCAATTTCTTCCTGGTTTAGTCTTGGGAGGGTGTATGTGTCCAGGAATTTATCCACTTCTCCTAGATTTTCTAGTTTATTTGCACAGAGGTGTTTATAGTATTCTCTGATGGTAGTTTGTATTTCTATGGGATCAGTTGTGATATCCCCTATATCATTTTTTATTGTGTCTATTTGATTCTTCTCTCTTTTCTTCTTTATTAGTCTACCTAGTGGTCCATCTATTTTGTTAGTCTTTTCAAAAAACCAGCTCCTGAATTTGTTCAGTTTTTGAAGGGTTTTTCGTGTCTCTGTCTCCTTCAATTCTGCTCTGATATTATTTATTTCTTGTCTTTTGCTAGCTTTTGAATTTTTTGCTTTTGCTTCTCCAGTTCTTTTAATTGTGATGTTAGGGTGTCGATTTTAGATCTTTCCTGCTTTCTGTTGTGGGCATTAATGCTGTAAATTTCCCTCTTAACACAGCTTTAGCTGTGTCCCAGAGATTCTGGTACATTGTCTTTTTGTTCTCATTAGTTTCAAAGAACTTATTTATTTCTGCCTTAATTTAGTTATTTACCCAGTAGTCATTCAGGAGCAGGTTGTTCAATTTCCATGTAATTGTGTGGCTTTGAGTGAGTTTGTTAATCCTGAGTTCTAATTTGATTGCGCTGTGGTCTGAGAGACTGTTATGGTTTCCATTCTTTTCCATTTGCTGAGGAGTGTTTTACTTCCAATTATATGGTCGATTTTAGAATATATGCTATGTGACACTGAGAAGAATGTATATTCTGTTGATTAAGGGTGGAGAGTTCTGTAGCTGTCTATTAGGTCCACTTGGTCCAGAGCTGAGTTCAAGTCTTGAATATCCTTATTAATTTTCTGTCTCATTGATCTGTCTAATATTGATAGTGGGGTGTTAAAGTCTCTCACTATTAGTGTGTGGGAGTTTAGGTCTTTTTGTAGGTCTCCAAGAACTTGTTTTATGAATCTGGGTGCTCCTGTATTGGGTGCATGTATATTTTGGGTAGTTAACTCTTCTTTTTATGTTGATCCCTTTACCATTATGCAATTCTCTTCTTCATTTTTTTTTTTATCTTTGTTGGTTTAAAGCCTGTTTTATCAGAGACTAGGATTGCAACCCCTGCTTTTTTTGCTTTCTATTTGCTTGGTAAATATTCTTCAACATCTTTATTTTGAGCCTATGTGTGTCTTTGCACGTGACATGGGTCTCCTGAATAGAGCACACTGATGGGTCTTGACTCTATCCAATTTGCCAGCCTGTGTCTTTTAATTGGGGCATTTAGCCCATTTACATTTAAGGTTAATATTATTATGTGTGAATTTGATCCTGTCATCATGATGCTAGCTGGTTATTTTGCAGATTAATTGATGCAGTTTCTTCATAGTGTCATTGGTCTTTATATTTTGATGTGTTTTTGCAGTGGCTGGTACCAGTTTTTCCTTTCCATATTTAGTGCTTCCTTCAGGAGCTCTTGTAAGGCAGGCCTGGTAGTGACAAAATCCCTCAGCATTTGCTTGTCTGAAAAGGATTTTAGTTCTCCTTTGTTTATGAGGCTTAGTTTGACTGGGTATGAAATTCTGGGTTGAAAACTCTTTTCTTTAAGAATGTTGAATATTGGCCCCCACTCTCTTCTGAGTTCTAGCGTTTCTGCAGAGATATACACTGTTAGTCTGATGGGCTTTCCTTTGTAGGTAACCTGACCTTTCTCTCTGGCTGCCCTTAACATTTTTTCCCTCGTTTCAACCTTGGAGAATCTGACAATTGTGTGTCTTGGGGTTGCTCTTCTCAAGGAGTATCTTTGTGGTGTTCTCTGTTTTTCCTGAATTTGAATGTTGGTCTATCTTGCTAGGTTGGGGAAGTTCTCCTGGATAATATCCTGAAGTGTGTTTTCCAAGGTGGTTCCATTCTCCCCATCACTTTCAGGGACCCCAATCAATCATGTTTGGTCTTTTCACATAGTCCCATATTTCTTGGATGCTTTGTTCATTCTTCAATCTGTGATATCCTTCTTCTGCTTGATTGATCCAGCTATTGATACTCAGTGTATGCTTTATGAAGTTCTTGTGATGTGTTTTTCAGCTCCATCAGGTCATTTATGTTCCTCTTCAAACTTGTTATTCTAGTAGCAGTTCCTATAACATTTTCTCAAGGTTTTTAGCTTCCTTTCATTGGGTTAGAACATACTCCTTTAGCTCAGAAGAGTTTGTTATTACCCACCTTCTGAAGCCTACTTCTGTCAATTCGTCAATCTCATTCTCCATCCAGTTTTGTGCCCTTGCTGGAGAGGAGTTGTAATCATTTGGAGGAGAAGAGGGATTCTGGTTTTTTGAATTTTCAGCATTTTTGCCTTGGTTTTTCCTTATCTTCATGGATTTGTCTGCCTCTGATCTTTAAGATTGATGATCTTTGGGTGGGGTTTTTGTGGGCGGGTCCTTTATGTTGATGTTGTTGCTTTCTGTTAGTTTTTCTTCTAACAGTCAGGCCCCTCTTCTGCAGGCCTGCTGCAGTTTGCTGGAGGTTCACTCCAGACCCTGTTGGCCTTGGTGTCACCAGTGGAGGCTGCAGAACAGCGAAGATTGCTGCCTGCTCCTTTCTCTGGAAACTTCATCCAAGAGTGACACTGGCCTGATGCCAGCTGGAGCTTTCCTGTATGAGGTGTCTGTCGACCACTGTTGGGAGGTTTCTCCCAGTCAGGAGGCGCGAGGTTCAGGGACCCACTTGAGGAGGTACTCTGTCCTTAGCAGAGATGTTGCACTGTGCTGGGAGAATCCTCTTGTCAGGATCAGCTGCTCTCTTCAGAGCCGGCAGGCAGGAACAATTAAATCCACTGAAGCTGCGCCCACAGCTGCCCCTTCCCCCAGGTGCTCTGTCCCAGAGAGATGGGAGTTTTGTCTGTAAGCCCCTGACTGGGGCTGTTACCTTTCCTTCAGAGATGCCCTGCCCAATGAGGAGGAATCTAGAGAAGCGGTCTGGCCACAGCCGCTTTGCTGCTCCTGGCCCAGACCTCCTAGCCTCCTTAGAACTGTCAGGGGAAAACTGCCTACTGAAGCCTCGGTAATGGTGGACGCCCCTTCCCCCACCAAGCTCAGTCATTCCAGGTCGACTTGAGACTGATGTGCTGGCAGTAAGAGCTTCTAGCCAGTGGTTCTTAGTTTGCTGTGCTCTGTGGGAGTGGGACCCGCTGAGTGAGACCACTTGGCTCCTGGCTTCAGCCCCCTTTCCAGGGGAGTGAAAGGTTCTGTCTCACTGGGGTTCCAGGTGCCACTGGGGTACGAAAAAATACTCCTGCAGCTAGCTCAGTGTCTGCCCAAATAGCCTCCCAGTTTTGTGTTTGAAACCCAGGGCCCTGGTGGTGTAGGCACACCAGGGAATCTCTTGATCTGCAGATTGCAAAAACTGTGGGAAAAGCGTGATAACCCGGTCAGGTAGCACAGTCCCTCACTGCTTCCCTTGGCTGGGGGAGGGAGGTCCCCTGCTCCTTGCACTTCCCAGATGAAGCGACACCCCACCCTGCTTCCGCTCGCCCTCCATGGGTTGGACCCACTGCCTAACAAGTCCCAATGAGATGAACTGGGTGCCTCAGTTGGAAATGCAGAAATTACCCACCTTCTGTGTTGGTCTCGCTGGGAGCTCCAGAGTGGAGCTGTTCCTATTCGGACATCTTGGCCCCTCCCCATCAAAACTCTCATTTTTAAAACCATCAGATCTCATGAAACTTATTCACTATCATGAGAACAGCTGGGAAAAGACTTGCCCCCATGATTCAATTACACCCCACTGCATCCCTCCCACAACACATGGGTATTGAAAATGAGATTTGGGTGGGAACACAGCCAAACCATATTATGCCCCTTGTTCACCATGTTGTGGGCCAAAAGAAGGAAAGAAGAACTGTGACCCTTCGGGGAGCCCAGACCTGGATGCTCCCCAAGCCAGGGCTGTGACTCCCTCTTCAGGGCCCTGTAGTTCCTGGTGTCTCCAAGCTTCTGGGTGCCACTGTGTTCCCTGGTGCCAGTTGTGGAAGCTGCCTGTGGTGTGCCTGGTCCAGCTGCAGCCTCGTGGAGAGCCAGCACCAGTGCTGGCACCCAGAGTTGCCCACTCCACTGCAGCAGCCAGCATGTCTGACTGCACAGTGGCCAGACCCCACACTTGCTCACATACCCCTTGTTGCTCTGAGCAGTCTCCCTTGTCAGATATGGGATGCAGGCCAGTAGTGTGAGCTGAGCACAGCCTGCCAGATCAAGTGAGCAGAATGAGTGCAGCAGGCCCAAGCAAAACTTAGGCAAGGGTGCCACCAGTCACAGAGGTTTCCGGCCAGAAAAGCAACACCCCAAAGATCCTGTAACAGTATGAACATCACAGAGTGTACTTACACAAAACTAGATGGTATAGCCTACTAAACACCTAGGCTATATGCTATAGCCTATTCCTCTTAGGCTACAAACCTGTACAGCATGCTGCTGTACTGAATACTTTAAGCAATGGTAACACAATGGTAAGTATTTGTGTATCTAAACATAAAACAGGTACAATAAAATTATCATATAAAAGATAAAAAGTAGTCACCTGTATAGGGCAGCTCTATTATAATCTGATAGAACCACCATCATATATGTGGTCCATCGTTAACTGAAACATTGTGTGGAGAGACAGACAGACAGACAGACAGACACACACACACACACACACACACACACACACACACACACAGAAAGAGAGAGAGGAGCAGTAATGCTCATTGTTAAAGAGAAATCCTAAGCAACACAACAAGAATATCTGTAATAATATCAACTTGAATAGCTGTAAGAATTAAATTAGATAAAGTATCTATTGATTAAAGTCTTTATGTAAATGTCAATAACCTTTTTGCAGGCCACTTTCCAGAGAGAGCAACAACTCTGTTTTCACAAAAGCCTTGCTTAACACCTCAGGGACCAGCTCAACCATGTGACTTCTACACCCAGGTTTCCTGGAACAAGGTTTTTATTCCTATACTGAATATCATGCTGAGGGAGTATCCATGGGGACAGAATTCTAGGACAGCTTAAAACAATCACTCCTTAAGCTTTGGAAGCTTATCATCTAAAACGGAGGCTAATGGGTGTATTGGGAGGGAAAGAAAGAGAAGCCCATTCCTGCTCCTGACTTGATGTGTGACCCTGAAAAAGTATAGTGTTCTGTGGGTCTATCCTTGATCTCTGTAAAATGGGAATAATGTTACCTTCCTCAGAAAGCTCTGGTGGGAAAAAAGAAAAAGTACAGCAATGTCTGGCACATTGTAAGACTTGGAAAAACACTACTACTGCCCAGCTCACTTCCTCCCATAAGAGAGATGTCTTTTAAATAAACGGCATATAATATTTATCTTAGAGAACATCTGGAAATATGGGCAGAAAAGAGAAATATACAGATATTCACCTAATGTATGAATTTTTGGTGTCATTTCTGTGTCTTGGGAAGAGCAAGAAATTTTAAGAAAGACAAGAAAATAATTTGCTTTTATTTCAAGTGATTTCCAATCATCTTATTTCCCTTCTAGTTTGATACCAGCGGTGCATTTCCCACCAAGTCTTTAAAATAGAGCATAAATGAGAATAAAGTAATATTGGCACCTATGCTGAACCAGAGGACCTTGGGTGAGTCCCTCCTCCTGTGCTGGCCTCAGCTCTAACAGAGAAGAGTCAATACAGAAACAGTGGTTGTGGGCATGGGGTTTGTGGAGTGAGATACATGTGGATTTGCTCTTTAGTTGAGAGACGGTTAATCTGAATAAGCAATTTCTTTTATCTGAATTTCACCTTTATTCGTGTGCTATATGGGAATTGGGATGATACTTGCCCCTTAAATTTGAGATGAAGATTAAATGAATCATTGCATTGAAAGCACTCAGGGCAATGCTATATTAGTCCGTTTTCACACTGCTGTAAAGAACTACCTGAGACTGGGCAATTTATGAAGAAAAGAAGTTTAATTGACTCACAGTTCTGTAGGCTGTACAGGACGCATGGCTAGGGAGGCCTCAGGAAACTTACAATCATGGCAGAAGGCAAAGGGGAAGCAAGGCACATCTTACATGATGGCAGGAGGGAGAGAGGGAGAGAGAGACAGAGAGAAGGAGGGAGAGAAAGAAGGGGAAAGTGCCACACTTTCAAACCATCAGATATTATGAGAACTTACTCACTATCACGAGAAGAGCAAGGGGGAAATCTGCTACCTTAATCCAATAACCTCCCATGAGTCCTCTCCCCTGAAACGTGGGGATTATAATTTAACATGAGATTTGGTTGGGGACACGGAGACAAACCATATCAAATGCACAGCATCTTCTAGTGCTGAATACACATTTGCATCATTCATTATATTTATTGTTACTCCTCCCAACAATCTAAAAGAGAGTCGTGTGAATGGGGTTTGCATTGCCAGGCAATGTAATTGTTCTGTAGTGCTGCACCTTCATCTTTGTTGGGAACAAACTGGTTGACATATAGTTTAAAGGAAGACTATAAAAAGCTCAGGAGCAGTCTCAGATATATAACATTATTTAGTATAAAACAGATTTGGCATTTCCAATCCGTGCATTCAGATGCATGGTTCAAGAAATGAGACAGGCGCTGTTTGCAGATGACATGATTGTATATTTAGAAAACCCCATCGTCTCAGCCCAAAATCTCCTTAAGCTGATAAGCAACTTCAGCAAAGTGTTAGGACACAATATCAATGTGCAAAATTCACAAGCATTCCTATACACCAATAACAGACAAACAGAGTCAAATCATGAGTGAACTCCCATTCACAATTGCTTCAAAGAGAATAAAATACCTAGGAATCCAACTTACGAGGGATGTGAAGGACTTCTTCAAGGAGAACTACAAACCACTGCTCAATGAAATAAAAAACGTTGTGCACATGTACCCTGGAACTTAAAGTATATATATATATATGAGAGGACACAAACAAATGGAAGAACATTCCATGCTCATCGATAGGAAGAATCAATATCCTGAAAATGGCCATACTGCCCAAGGTAATTTATAAATTCAATGCCATCCCCATCAAGCTACCAATGACTTTCTTCACAGAATTGAAAAAAAAAACTACTTTTTAGTTCATATGGAACCAAAAAAGAGCCCGCATTGCCAAGACAATCCTAAGCCAAAAGAACAAAGCTGGAGGCATCATGCTACCTGACTTCAAACTATACTACAAGGCTACAGTAACCAAAACAGCATGGTACTGGTACCAAAACAGAGATATAGACCAATGGAACAGAACAGAGCCCTCAGAAATAATACTACACATCTACAACCATCTGATGTTTGACAAACCTGACAAAAACAAGAAATGGGGAAAGGATTCCCTATTTAATAAATGGTGCTGGGAAAACTGGCTAGCCATATGTAGAAAGCTGAAACTGGATCCCTTCCTTACACCTTATACAAAAATTAATTCAAGATGGATTGAAGACTTAAATGTTAGACCTAAAACCATAAAAACCCTAGAAGAAAATCTAGGCAATACCATTCAGGACATAGGCATGGGCAAGGACTTCATGTCTAAAACACCAAAAGCAATGGCAACAAAAGCCAAAATTGACAAATGGGATCTAATCAAACTAAAGAGCTTCTGCACAGCAAAAGAAACTACCATCAGAGTGAACAGGCAACCTACAGAATGGGAGAAAATTTTTACAATCTACTCATCTGACAAAGGGCTAATATCCAGAATCTACAAAGAACTTAAACAAATTTACAAGAAAAAATCAAACCACCCCATCAAAAAGTGAGTGAAGGATATGAACAGGCACTTCTCAAAAGAAGACATATATGCAGCCAACAGACACATGAAAAGATGCTCATAATCACTGGCCATCAGAGAAATGCAAATCAAAACCACAATGAGATACCATCTCACACCAGTTAGAATGGTGATCATTAAAAAGTCAGGAAACAGGTGCTGGAGAGGATGTGGAGAAATAGGAACACTTTTACACTGTTGGTGGGACTTGTAAACTAGTTCAACCATTGTGGAAGACAGTGTGGCGATTCCTCGGGGATCTAGAACTAAAAATGCCTCTTGACCCAGCCATCCCATTACTGGGTATATACCCAAAGGATTATAAATCATGCTGCTATAAAGACACATGCACACATATGTTTATTGTGACACTATTCACAATAGCAAAGACTTGGAACCAACCCAAATGTCCATCAATGGTAGACTGGATTAAGAAAATGTGGCACATATACACCATGAAATATTATGCAGCCATAAAAAAGGATGAGTTTATGTCCTTTGTAGGGACATGGATGAAGCTGGAAACCATCATTCTGAGCAAACTATTGCAAGGACAGAAAACCAAACACCGCATGTTCTCACTCATAGGTGGGAATTGAACAATGAGAACACTTGGACATAGGGTGGGGAACATCACACACTGGGACCTGTCGTGGGGACAGAGGGGAGGGATAGCATTAGGAGATATACCTAATGTAAATGACGAGTTAATGACCAACATGGCACATGCATACATATGTAACAAACATGCATGTTGTGCACATGTACCCTAGAACTTAAAATATAATAATAAATAAATGAATAAATACATAATGATAAAAAGAAATGAGACAGGTGCATCTATAGATGGTTCAATAAAAATCAAAGTTCAATACTTTTCCCATGGCAAATCATTTAATATTAATTAAAACATCAACAAAACAATAAAGCACAAAACTGTGTATCTATCAAAGCTCTATGAAATGCCAATGCAATATACATGCAATGTATTTGCATGTTTGCAAGCAAAAAAAAATAAGGGAAAGAAATGCAGGAATATGTTAACAGTTTTTTCCTGGTTATTGATATTTTCGTCTCTACAGTTAACTGTATTTTAATCATTTGAGTCATTGGTAAAATGAGTATATGTTTACGATATAATAAACCTTCAGCTTCTAAAATTTGTGTTACTTATCCAACATATCAAATATACAAAATGTTATAGAGAGCTATGAAGTGAACACTTGTGTATCCACCACCCAGGTTAAGCAATAAACTTGACAAATGTTTGAGCCCATCCCCTCATTTCACTTGTCCTTCCTCTATTCCTCAGATGTAACTCATAACCAGAGTGTGGTGTTTATATTCTCCATAAATTGCTTCATAATTTTATCATGAATAAAAGCATTCTTAAAGTATTATATATATGTTATATGCATATATTTTCATACTGTAGGTGTCTTTATTTTCCATATGATCATGATGTATATTTCCACATATATATGAATATATGGTCTGATTCTTATAGGTCTAGGGCATTTATTTTCATGACTATAGAATATTCTACTGTAAGAATGAACAACAGTGTATTTTTTGGACTAATGGTACTGGACATTTTTGTTTTTCCTATAGTTTTGCTCTCACAAACAATACTGAAGTTACCACGATTACAGATGAGGCCATGTACGGACATGCCAGACAATCTCTAGTTTCTTGCTACTCAAAGTGTGATCCATGAAATAGTAGCTTCAGCATTACCTGGTATATTAGGGATCTACCAAGAAATGGGTGTGTGTGTGTGTGTGTGTGTGTGTGTGTGTGTGTGTGTACTTTTAAAGAAATTAGCTGCCATGAATGTGGAGCCTGGAAAGCCTGCAGAGAAGGCTGGCAGGCTGGAGACCCAATGAAGAGCTGCAGTTCACATCTGAAGGCAGTTTGCTGGCGGAATTCCCTCTTCCTCAAGGGAGGTAAATCTTTTTATTCCTGAAGGCCTTCAACTGATTGGATAAGGTCAACTGACGTTCTATAGGGTAATCTGCTTTATTCAAAGTCTACAGATCTAAATGGTAATCTAATCTAAAAATACCTTCACAGAAACATTTGGAATAATGTTGGACCAAATATCTGGGTACATGGATAAGTATGTGAACTACCTAAGTAGGCCTAAGTTGGCATATAAAATTAACCATCATACCTGGGATCCTGTTACAAATGCAGATTTTGAGGCCATGCTACAGAAAATCACATCCCCAAGCCCCCACAAACTGTGCCCTCCCGTCATTACATCACCACCTTTCTTTGATGCAGGTTAGAGTGCTAAGAACACCCAGACGCCATTTCTCCCCACTTTATTTTATTTTGGTGGGGGTGAGGGACAGTATCTAACCTTGCATGACCTAGGTTTGAGGTTTCTGCTCTTGGATGTGGCCATTGAAGGGGAGAAGGGTTCACATCCAACCAGTGGCTTTCTCCAGCACAGGGGTGACAGGAGGGTGGGATCATAAGGAGTCCCGCATAGAGGGGAATTCTGAGATCATTAATGGAATGATGCCATTAAAGACTCATGAGCAGATAACTAGGATGAATGGAATCCATATTTGCAAAGATCAGCAGCAGCTATGCACTAAGGCTGAGGGCAGGAGATATAGGCAGGAACCCCAGGGGTAAGGGGATCAGTTGGAGGCAAGTTCCGGGACGAACTATTAGGAGGGCAGAGTAACACACAGGTGCCAGAGATATTCTGAAGGAAGGCATAAAAGTTAGTTGGAGATGAGGGATAGAAAAGGGCCTCTTTGAGGCCACTCACCCTGGAGTTCCTGCAGTTGCTTCTGGACTCCTTCCACACTGAGGTTCCTAGGCTCCAATGAGGACAGGGAGGGATCCACCACCCACCCACACCAGCAACCCTTGTAAGAAGTGCAACTTTGCTGGGTGACTGTAATCTCAGCTACTTGGGAAGCTGATGCTGAAGGACTGCTTGAGCCTAGGAGTTTGCACCCAGGAGTTTGAGTTCAGCCTGGGCAACATAATGAGACCCCAACTCTAAAAAAAGTACACCCTGTTGGAGGTGTCCATAAACTTGATGCCATCATATGCAATGGGCAGGAAAGCAAGTGACATATGGGAAATAATGCCGATTCTCAGGGATGAGCCCTTTGGATTCCATAGCCCCAGGCTCCCTGCCACCCTGTCCCTAAGGAGAGTGTGCCAAGGCCCAAGGAAATGAACAGAGCAGCTGTGGCTGGACTCTCCTGGCTGTGACTGCCATTTGCTGCTTTCTGTCCTAATCAAACTTTCCACTCCATGCTCCACGCTATTAACACATAAATGAACAATGTCAAGAATAAAAGAAAGTCATCACTGCAGATCTACATAAAATTATAGCATGATGCCATGAAGAGCTTTATGTTAATGACGTTGTTAACTAAAATGAAATGGATATAAAACTGTATCTGCATTATTTCTTTTATATAAATATGTGTGCATATATATATTTATGTGCACATATATATTTATTCAATCATTTATGACTGAATTGTTCTCAATGATTCTAAAAAATGGCTATGTCAATTTACATGCTTGGAAACAATGTATGTGAGTACTCATATCTCCTCCCTCCAACTTCAGAAATAATCTTGGGAAGCATACACTTTGCCTCACCATTTAGACTTCCAAGATTGTGTCCTAATGGACCATTTTCAGAGAGACGTGTGTGTGCGTGTGTGTGTGTGTGTATGTGTGTGTAGAGCTAGAGAGCTCGAGAGATGAAAGAAAGAGCGAGTTCAGGTGTTTAGAATTAGCATGTGCTGGGAACATAGGACCACAGGAAATCGTGGGAATTGGCAAGAGGATGAGTGACTGGAAGACCATGGCATCCGAGCTGGCTAGGGAAGAAGGTCCAGGCTGTGGAAGCCTGATGATGTACAGAGAGGAAGTAGAGGGGCCATGTGATGGGTTCCATGGTTCCTACCCACAAAGGAGTCCTGGCAGCTCCGAGAGCCTGAGCTGAACAGGCACTGTGGTTGATAAGTAACATGTGAGGCCATCTGTAGGCTACACGATGAGGCTGAGAAGCACACAGTGTGGTCTCTGCTCCCTGGGTGAGAGGACCAAGGCTTAGAGAGGTACAGGAGCTTGTCTTTGACTATTGAGGCACTACAGGGAAGAACAAGGTTGGCATTATTCTTTATGTAATTGCAACTATCCCCTTAGTTCCTAGTTTTAAGAAATTCACACTCCAACATATGGCTCCCTAATGTACATGTACATAAAAAACTGAAAAGTGGCAAGTGGTAGGAAGGTGGCAAGTGGTAGGAAATAACGTATGCCAAACGAAAGTGGAGGCATAATTTGTAAACTGGTGGTACCTCTTCTATGTCATCATTTATAGGATTATGACTTGAAAATGTCATACTGCTATTATTTTAATTTCAAAAAGGATGCCTGCTGGTTGTCTAACATGCAAGCATCACAGAAATGTGGACAATAAATTGTGCAAATGTCCTGTTCAACTCTTGCCTGCAATTTGGAATTGCTAAATGCTGGTCATTGAGAACTGATCATAATGTGAGATTCTGTGCTACTGCTGTTTGTTTAGAAATGAAAATAAATGGCTGAACCCCTTCAAGAACATGGATGTGGAGTACCTGGTGTCAGCTCTCTGAAGAGTTCCCTGGGCAGACAGGCTGAGTCTCCCTCCCACTGCAGGTGCTAACCTGAGACTCCTCGAAAAGTGCACCTTCGGGAAAGGGAGGGGTTGGGATAGTGGATGGAAGCCCCTGGTGTGCCAGGTAACATGCCTGCTTCTGTGGGCCTCCAGGTCGAGCATATGACAGAGTTCCATTGTCTCTCAAGGCCAATATCTGGAAGGGGCGTGTGTCCTTTCTCATCAGGATTTATTGACAAAATTACCTATGAAGGGAAGCCAGATCATTGTATCTGCTAAGGCCAGCCAGCGATAAACAGGGATGCAGGGCTTTTCTGTCCTGGCCCCACTGGCTCATGGTTGGGGCAGGGGAAGAGCAATCCAGGGCACACAACATACAACATGTAACGTCACTGTTTATTATGAAAATAAACGGTGATCATGAGTGGGGCAAATACACAGAACAACTGGCTCTTCAGGTGGCTATGTCCTGTGGCCTGCAAGTTAACTTTGGCTTCTTGGTCAGCCAGGCCTCCAACCCCAGTCCTTAGAGTGGTCTTAGGCTGGTGAAAAGAGGAAACAAAGAGGATGAGAAGGAAGACAAAGATGACATCAAAGGGCTCCTTTTAGGGGATTTGCTTGAAGGCCTCCACTGGGATCTTGCCCTCAGTCTAGATGAAGTGAAGAAAAGGAGTTGGGATGTTAGTAGAGCCAGGTGCCCTGGGTTCCATCCCCACACTACCCCGCCTCCATCTTCTTGGCCCTCCTGAAGGCCCAGAGACAGCTGTCTTTTACCCCCTTGATATCCAGACCTCACCTGGAGCATAGTGAAGACCTGACCAGCTCTAATGTAGTTCCACTTATTGTCCTGAAGGCACCTGGGGTGGGAGAATAGGTGCTCTCCATTACTACCCCAGGACAGACATGCTGACTATGCAATGCCACACTTAGTCTATGCTACCTGTTTGCTGGGACACATGTACCAATATGAGCACTATTGTAAGGATGAAAAAAGGCCTAGGGAAAATGAAAACACCTATCCCTGACATTCATTCCCACTAGAATTCAAATCAGAAACATAGGGTTATTCAAATGAAGAAGGGAGCTTAATCCATATGGGTAAAAAAGATGTTCAAGAAATAACAAGTGGAAATTCAATAATACGTTTCTTTTTTATTGAGATATAATGTACATACTGTAGCAGTCACCATTTTAAGGTGTACAATTCAGTGCTTTTTAAGTCTATTCACAAGATTGTGCAACCACCACAACTATCTAATTCCAAACTATTTTTATCACCTCAAAAAGAAACTCCTTAGCTGTTAGAGATCACTCCCTCTTCTCCCTCTTCCCCAGATCTTGGCAACAACTACTCTGCTTTCGGTCTCTATGGATCTGGCTATTCTGAACAATTCATATGAATGGAATCATATAATTATGTGGCTTTTTGTGACTGGCTGCTCTCACTTAGCATATAATGTTTTCAAGTTTCATCCATGTCATAGCATATATCACAACTACATTCTTTTTTATGAATAATATTCCAATAATATTCCACCATATGGATGTACCACATTAATCTATCCATTCATCAGTTAAAGGTCACTTGATGTGTTTCCATTTTTTGGCTATTTCGAATAACACCATTATGGAAATTCATGTGCAAGTTGTTGAATAGGCATATATTTTCATTTCCATTGATGTACACTTAGGAGTGGGATTACTGGGTCATGTGGTAACTGCATGTTTAAGATTTTGAGGAATTGCCAAAATCTTTTCCTCAGCGACTGCTCCATTTTATGTTCCCAGTTGCAATCCATAAGATTTCCAATTTCTTTGTATTCTCACTGACATTTGTAATGTTTCTTTTTATTGACTAAAGCCATCCTAGTGGGTGTGAAGTGGCGACTCATTTCGGTTTCGATTTGCATTTCCATAATGACTAATGATGTTGAGAAATTTTTCATGTGCTTGTTGGTTATTTGTATATCTTCTTTGGAGAAAAGTCTATTCAAATCCTTTCCCCATTTTCTAATTGGGTGGTTTGTCTGTTTATTGTTGAGTTGTAAGGGTTCTTCTTGTCAGCAATGTAATTTGCAAACATTTTCTCTTGTTTCATCAGTCAGTTTTCAACTTTCTTGATAGTATCTGTTGATGCACAAAAGCTTTTAATTTAGACGAAGTCTGATTTACCTATTTTTCCTTTGGTTGCTTGTGCTTTTCATTTCATATGTAAGAAATGGTTGCCTAATTCAAGGTCATGAAGATGTACACCTATAGAGTTTTACAGTTCTAGCTCTTACTTTTAGATCCTTGACCCATTTTTCAGTCAGTGTTTGCACATCATGTGAGGCAGGTGTCAACATTCATTGTTTTACAAGTTGATATCCAATTGTTACAGCATCATTTGTTAAAAAGACTATTTTTTTCTATTGGATTTTTTTTCAGCACCCAGAATGATAGTCAACTGGATATAAATGTGTGAGATTATCTGTGAATTCTGAACTCTGTTCCACTGATGCCCACGTCTCTTCCTATATCGGTACCACGCAGTCTTGATTAATGTAGTTTTGTAGCAAGTTTTGAAATCAGGAAGTGTTAGTCTTCTAACATTGTTCTTCTCTTTCAAGATGGTTTTGGTTGTTTGGGGTCCACTGTATTTCCACATGAATTTTGAAATTATCTTGTCAATTTCTGCAAAGAAGCCAGTTGGGATTCTGTCAGGGACTGCAATGAATCTGTAGATTGTTCTGGGTGATATTGCCATCTTATTGATACTAAGTCTTCCAATCTATGAACAAGGGATGTCTTTCCATTTATTTAGGTCTTCTTTAATTTTTTTCAGCAATGTTTTGAAGATTTCAGAGTATAATATTTGCATTTATTCCCTTAAATTTGTTTCTACATATTTTACTTGTTTTGATGCTACTGTAAATGGACTTGTTTTCTTAATTTCATTTTTTTGTATTGTCCATTGCAACTACATAGAAGTACAAGTGATTTTTGTGCATTATATCTTGCAACCACGCTCAATTGGTTTATTAGTAGTTTCTTGTGGTGGATTCTTTCAGATTTTACATATGGAAGGCAATGTCATTTGAGCCATTTACATGACCATATAAAAATTATCTACAATATATCAGTATAAAAGTATGATACCTTTTTGATGGGCCCACTTTTTTTGGAAGCAAAACATCCAGATTACTGGGGGAACCCACCCCCAATATTTCAATGTAGGTTCTTTCTATTTTCCATAAGCGTTGGCCAGCTGAGAAATAAAGAGAGACAGTATAAAGAGAGGAATTTTACAGCTGGGCCACCGGGGGTGACATCACATATCAGTAGGACCATGATGCCCGCCTGAGTCTCAGACCAGCAAGTTTTTATTAAGGGTTTCAAAAGGGGACGGGGTGTAAGAACAGGGAGTAGGTACAAAGATCACATGCTTCAAAGGGCAAAAAGCAGAACTACTAATAAGGGTCTAACAAAGATCACATTCTTCTGAGGGAAAAAGACAAAGGGAAAAAGCAGAACTACTGATAAGGGTCTATGCTCAGCAGTGCACATATTGTCTTGATAAACATCTTAAACAACAGAAAACAGAGTTCGAGAGCAGAGAACTGGTCTGACCACAAATTTACCAGGGCAGAGTTTTTCCCCACCCTAGTGAGCCTGAAGGTACTGCAGGAGACCAGGGCGTATTTCAGTCCTTATCTCAACTGCATAAGACAGACATTCCCAGAGCGGCCATTTATAGACCTCCCCCTTGGAATGCATTCCTTCCCCAGGGTATTAATATCTTCCCTACTTGCACGTCCATTTATAGGCTCTCTGCAAGAAAAAAAATATGGCTCTATTCTGCCCAACCCTGCAGGCAGTCAGACCTTATGGTTGTCTTCCCTTGTTCCCTAAAAATCGCTGTTATTCTGTTCTTTTTCAAGGTGCACTGATTTCATATTGTTCAAATACACATGTTTTACAATCAATTTGTACAGTTAACACAATTATCACAGTGGTCCTGAAGTGACATACATCCTCAGCTTACGAAGATAACAGGATTAAGAGATTAAAGTAAAGACAGGCATAAGAAATTATAAAAGTATTATTTGGGAACTGATAAATGTCCATGAAATCTTCACAATTTATGTTCCTCTGCCGTGGCTCCAGCTGGTCCCTCCATTTGGGGTCCCTGACTTCCTGCAATATCAGATAGTTATTTTTCCAAATTGCATGTGAGTTTCCATTACTCACTCTTCTGAGGTCCCAACTTCCCCCATCCCCATGTACTCCTAGTACTCACTTCTGAGACCACTCTAGTTTCATCCCAGACTGGGCAGAGAAAGCCTGCACCATTTCCTGTGCTCCTAGGAGAGGGAGGGCTCAGAGCTGGAGGAGAGTGTGGACACTGGGATGGAGAAGGCACTCTGAGTCTCTTGGGGGCTGGCATCCCTCAGAAACAGCTTATCATTCATGATGCACAGACTGGAGGAAAGAACAATGCACCCTCAAACTGGACAGGTAGACAATTCCACACTCTCAACAACAGGATCCTTCTTAACCACTACTGCCGCTCAACAACCAAATTGCTTCCATATCCCTACTGTGCCTGCCTCCCAGATATTTTGGCTGGTACCTTCTAACCCTCCTACAGAGTCTGCCTTTGGAGAGATTGTCTACCAGCTTCACTAGATTTTTAGAACCCCAGCATGTTTACCCTGTACAACAGTGCAAGGAAGTGGATACTCTTATTCTAATTTTCAGAGAAAGGCACTGAATCTCAGAGAGGTCGAATAAGTTGATCAAGGTCACATAGTTTGTGAGTGTTGGGGTGAGGAATAAAAACTGTATTCCAACTCCAGGGCCCACACTCTTAAATATTAGGCTGGACTGTTCCTTGGATCTACCTGTTGGCCTTCCACAATATTGAGAACACCCTGAGGACTGCACCCAACACATTCCCACAACACTGACCCCAAGCTGGGATGGGTGCTCCCACCCACAACATAGCACTAACCTGGAATTGCGGCCAGAGGTAGTGATGAAGGTCCACATGAAGGCAAGATCAGAACCCTGAGACCATCCTTCCACTTCAGAGACAACAAACACCACCACCTGAGAGTTACACAGGCTTTACATGCTCACACAGTGATCCCCAGTCAGAATCTTGCTTGACACTCACACAGAAGAGGGGACAGACCAGGACAATTGTTCACTTGGAGTCAGGCAGATGTGGCAGGGATGGGGAAGGCAACAACAGGAACAATCAGCTCCCAGTGATAGGGCCCCTATCATGCATGGGGCCCTGTGAAAACCACAGGTTCACTTGATTCCTATTTCACAGTAGCCCAAGAAATGGGTTATTATTAGCCCCATTTTGCAAATGAGGAAACAGAAAGGTTAAGTAACCAGCACAAGTTCACAGAGTAAGGACCTGGGATGAGAGCTGTCAAACTCCACAGTCTGTGTCCTTAATGCACGCCTGAGCTGTGCAGGGCAGACAGGCATGGACCTAGGTCAGATCAGGGTGGTTTGTGGGCAAAGTGGGGGTGGGAAAACACAGAGGGAAGAAGAGGAAGGGATGGAATGAAATCAGAGAAGCTGGGAGAATTCTGGGAAGGAGCCCAGCCAGTGGGAGGGAGCAGTGGGGGATCTGGGGAGGGGACTCTGCAGTCATTCACCTTCCTTGAACACTCCGTTGACAGAAAAGCAGAGCATCCTTTCCTGAAAAGGAAGCGCTCAGGTGCTCAGGATCCTCCTTAACCTCCTACCCACCTCTGGCTCTCTGGGCCTGCCCGAGGGAGGAAGCAGGTGTTCACGGTCTGG